>NC_000012.12:25834650-26459650 GCF_000001405.40 Homo sapiens
GAAGATAAGGTAGAATTAAAGAATGATTTTGGAATTCTCTTATAATTAAAGTTATGCATCACTTTAGTTTTGAGAGCAAAAAGAAGTCTAAGTATTTAAAAAATTATCTTTTTAAAGTAAGATTTCCATTTTTTCATTACTAAAAAAAGTATGACAGTTGTGAAAGACAATGTTAATTCACACTAGGGAGAAACATGGCCTTAACCTTTCACAAATATGTTGGTCTTTCTACCTCTGTTAATGAATGTCTTTCAAACCAAACAGTAGAAGCACAGCAGCCATACCAGTGTGTGATTGTTTTAATAATTTGATGACCTGAAGAACAATGAAAGGGTGATAACTCCACTAAGCTATCAACCCAAACTGCCCTGCATATAGCCCTATAAATTACCAGGAAAGTTCTATTTTTCCCCATAACATATTTTTGTAACAAATGTTCTTGGTGGATTGGGTGGAGAAGAAGGCAGAATGAGTCTGCAATTCTATTTAAGACTTGCATGGTGATAGAATTTTAGAGCTTGGAGGGACTTTAGAAGTCATTTCATCTAAGTCTCTCATTCTACAAATGAAGGAAATGAGGCTTAGAGAAGGTCCACAACTTACCCAGAATAATTAAGTAAATTCATAGTAGAATCATAACCCCAACCTTCCTCTATTGATTCTTAACAATATTAACTAACAGTTTTAAGCATAGACTATATACAAGCACGGTGCTTAAGTGCTTTACATGAATGTTTATTGCTCTATGAAATTGGTGGTATCATTATCTCCATTTAACCCCAAGGCTCTAGCCAAAAGGAGTAAATGAGAAGTAGACCATTCTTGGCAGAAACAAAAGCCTAACTTCAAATCATCTCTGAAGTGGAATTAATGTGATCCTTTATCTCAATCCTTTATCTCTACTGCTTCTGGCCACTTGTCAGTAGCCAAGGTTAATCCTCCCTGAGAGAAGATAACATCTTAGACTTCAAATTTTCAAATCAATGGCTAGCATGTACTCATAAATAACCAGATGTATCAGGAGCCAAGATGACATGACCACAAATCCAAAGAAACAATAGATGATAAAAACAGAGTTCAGGAGAATCAGGCTAATGTTCAAGGAAGTAAGATACAGGATTGGAGACTTCGGCAGAGAGCTGGAAACTACAAAAGTAAATGAAAATTCTGGAACTGAAAAATATCACCTTAATGGAGATTACACAGCTTATAAGAAACTTAGAAAGCTAATTAGAACATAAGTCCAAAGAAAATATCCAGATGAAGGACAGACACATAAAAGGATGGAAAATTGAGTAAATAAGAGACATAGACGATACCATGAGAAGCTCCAATTGTTGTTACGGAAGTCCTAGAGAGAAGAGAGAAAATAGAGTAGAAGCAATATTTAAAGATAAAATGATTGAGAATTTCCAAAATTGATGAAAGACATAAAGATTGAAGAAACTCTAAAAAATTCCAAGAAAAAAATAAAAAGGACAACCCTAAAGGTACACAACAATAAAACCACTGAAACTCAAAGACAAAGAGAAAATCTTAAACTCAGCCAGAGAAATAAAAAGACAAATTGCCTTTGAAATAGCAACTGCAACAATGGAATCTACAAGGCAACAGAATATCATTCAAATACTGAAATAAAATAGCTGTCAACCTATAACCAGCAACATGTACTTTAAAAATGAAAAAAAGACATTTTCAGACAAACCAAAAAAGAAAAATCACTATAAGCAGACTGCACTAAATAATAAATATTTTTAAATATTGTTTAAATAGAATCGGAATAAATTAAGGCTACGTTTTAATTTCTAGATTAATCACCAAATAAAAGAATAGTAAAAGAGTGTATAGCCATCAAGCTAATAACGGAATAGATAATAAAGAGAAGAAAGAAGAGGAAAAAGAACATGAACAGGCTGGGCACAGTAGCTCCCACCTGTATGTAATCCCAACACTCTGGGAAGCTGAGGCAGGTGAATCACTTGTGCCCAGGAGTTCAAGACCACCAGGGGCAACACAGTGACACCTCGTTTCTGAAAAGAAAAAAAAGAGAAAAAAAAAACATAAACAAAGTGAGACAAGAATAAACTAAATATTAAAATGGTGGTTTTAAACCTAAGGATAGTGTCAATTACATTAAACATAAATGTACAAAATCTTCTAATTAAAATAGAAAAATTATTAAGAGAAATATTTTAAAATACTACTAAAAATAGCAATATTCTGTTTCCAACATATACAAAATACAGAACGGTTGAAAGTAAAGGAATTTAAAATAATATACTATGCAAGAATATTTATCAGAATGCCAACTACAGTATGGTACCTGGTAAGTACTCAGAAGTCACAAAATCAGCTTCCATTCAATTGGGAGTAGTAGAAGAGTGAGAGATCACAAATGACCTCAAATCATAGTTAAACAAAACTAATATAAATAAATCTGGTCCCAGCATAGAAAAACATTCTCTATTAAGTTAACATAGCATTAAGCAAAACCAAGGTAGGTAAAGACATCCACAAATTAAAATTGACACCCACAATTTAGCACACTTCTGCTATTATGCACAAATCAGGATCACACTACATAATACTTTTTTAAAGTTTAGAATTAACAAATATCACATAACTTTCTTTATGAAAAACTATTAAAGAAGTAATTACTATAGATGTCACAACAGTATTTAAGGCAGGAAAAGGAATTGTTGTTGAGGAGGACACATGAACAGTTTCTGGAGTGCTGGCATTGTTCTATTTCTTTGTCCGGATAGTGGTTTCATGAGTTTTTCCATTATAATAATTAATCAAGTTGTATATATATTTAATATTTTATAAATATTTAATATTTATGTAAATATATGGTCATATATGTATATTAATATATACATAGTAAAAGTCATTATTTTTTTAAATCACAAGAGCCATTTTCTTGATTATGCTCCTGTTTTCAATTAGAGCAGGATCAAGTTAGGCCAAGAAGAGTCCCAGAGGTATATTCACCACCCTAGCCTGCCCTGCCTCACTGCATCCTCCATCTTCATGACCACATGATGTCTCAAACTTCATCTTGCTAAAGTCTCAAGGTCACATTGATTGGTTTCTATGCATTTCTAAAAAATAGGTTTCTTTGATATGCCTTTTTCTCTGATACATAGTAATTTTTACATTATCACAAATAGGCACTAAATTTCTTTATCTTTGTAAACCAACAAAATCAGGTGAAAGTCCCCATCATGCCCAGAATAAATTTGACGCTTGTTTAGGCAGAGCGAGCTTTCCATCAGTACAATGCTAAGCCATTAAGCAAAGTATTAATAACAGGTAGGTAAAGACTATATTGATGGTTATAAGATTGTTCATATTAAAGAAATAACATCAGCTGTTGAACATTCACTGTTCCATGCATTATGCTTATCTGATATCTCACAACAACCTATGCGTTAAGTACAGTTGTTTTCCCAATTTTACAGGTAAAGAAACTGAAGCCTATAGGACTTCTCAGTGACACTGCTAGTAGCTTGAAGAAGAAGGATTTAAGCCCAGGACTTCTTAGGAGTTGAGTTAAGACGTCCTCACACAGAAGGCTGTGCATGACAATAGTCCACCACAAAGCTATGCTATAGAGAAAGGGAAATAGTGGGCTTTTCTAAAACTTGTGTCTATGAAGATGTTACACAGGGAATTTATCTAAATTCCATTATGGAGTAAAGTAAAATAAAAGCTAAAGAGCATAGAAAGCAATCTTCCTTCGAGAACAATACTCATGAGGTAACACCCTGAGAAACCCCACTAAAGGTCTTGCCTTTCTTTTTCTTTTTAGTTTCCCATCTGTGCTCCCGCAAGCGTGAAATTGAACGGAGAGGAGATGTATGTATATTTCCAAACACTCCCATTCCCAACAGACTCAAATTCCTTATCTAAATTCCCTAGAATATCTCCTTCTCCAACCTCCTTATTTTTTATTTTATTCTTTATTTGGTTCCACTGCTTTCTATAGCAAAGCGATAAATAGTTCCAAGCCTCCCTTTCAAGTCTCTAAATCTTCTTGTCTTTATTGAATTTCTCCTCACTCTATTCTGATGTTTTCATTTTCATGGTCCATCTTACTCTGTATTTTCTTCTGTGACGGTGAACATTATAAATACTCCTGCCTCTGTCCCTGTGAATGCTATCAATCCTTCTGCCTGCATCATTTTTATTTTTCTGCCCTTCTGACTGGTATTGCTTAAATAAACTTCATATTTACATTATAGAAAATATTTGTGCACCTTTTCTCATATATATTTGCCAAAGATACAGTTCTTAATTCATGGATTTATGTGAGGTTGAGATTGTAGTGTTTATTACAAAATACAGATTAATTATATAGATTCACTGACATTTAATTACACACCTAGCAATGATTTTTTTAATCACTAGAAAATGAATTATAACAAATGGTGGATATGCAAAAACCTCACATAATCATGAAAATTATGACTATGGTAATTTGTGATATTACCATTATCACTTTGATAATGATAAATGTAGTGATGATGATGATGGTTATGATAAATCTATGAATTAAATATCACTATATTTGTATATACACACAGAAATTCCATGTCTTCCCAGGTGGTAGTAAATAGAACAAGCCTACATTGATAGACTGTAGTCAGGCCACTAACAATTATTTTTTGCACAAACTCCTGTTTAGTTATTTTGAATTCATTGTATTTCCAAAGGCATTGCCAGATGCCAATCAATACCTAAAGAATATGAAAGAAGAAAAATAGAACAAGAGCCTTGAAAGATTATAAAGTATCAACTTGATTTTCTATTGCCAACCTCTAGAAAGCTGAAAAGTAATTCCCATTATACCATGAATTGTATATAATCTAGGTTTACATCTTGCTTATATAACTGCTTTTGCCAGGTTGCTCTGTTATTACCATTTATTATTTATGAAGTGCCAACAGAATTTTCAGACCTTGTCCATATTTGTTGAGTCATGCACTACTGCATAGGACAAACAAGATGACGCATAAAAACCCAGGAGTGGGTGGGAGTAGTAAGTTCTCATTTTCTTTTTTGTTTGCTTCTATGCTACTTTCTTAGACGATAGAACAAAAGCATCACTGTCCTTCATCAAAGAAGGAAGGGAGGAAAAAGCAGAAAATGTGGCCAAAATCAAGACAAGTCAAAGAAATGGGAAAAATTACCTTGATTCATCCATTACAATTCTAGCTTTAGTAGGAATAAAAAAGGGATATTGTTCTTTTGAGTCTCAGAAAGAAAAAAAGAAGGCTAAGAAATGAATTTGTGAAGTCAAACTAAGAAAATTAATTGAGTAAGAATAGCCAAGGTTTGCTATGAAGCTTGATCAAATGAATTTCACTAGTGCTCTCTTTTTACAGTAAAAAATACCTAATTCATATTCACTTGCCATTAATTTGACCAAATAATAAAGACAACTAAAAATAAAATTATGATGGAACTGAGAAATACATATTGTGGTCCATGGGTCATTTTCAATACTAGAGATACAGCAAGATCCAGGATTCTAGAACCAAACTGTTTGGGTCCAAATCCTGGCTTTGTCACTTACTAGGGCAATTGAACTAACCTCTCTGTGTCTTAGTTTCCTCATCTGTAAAATATGGAAAAGAATAATATGTACCCTGTAGAGTTGCTGTAAAGATTACATTAGTTCATAAATGAAAAATTTTTAGAACAGTGCCTTTCATATATTAGGCACAATTTAAGTATTTGCTGTTATTTGAATGTCATTTTCAGAAAGACATTTGATTGATTATAACACTCATTTCTAGTTTTAAAAATACTTATAAAGCTAGGAATAGAAAAAAAAAGTGTTCTTAACTTGTACCAGTTAAGAAGGTTTCTGGTGGCTCATGACTGTAATCCCAGCACTTTGGGAGACCAAGGAGGAGGATCGCTTGAGCTCAGGAGTTTGAGACCAGTATAGGCAACATGGTGAAACTCCATCTCTACTAAAAATAAAAAAAAAAAAATAGCCAGCTGTGGTTGCGGTGTGCGCCTGTAGTCCTAGCTACTCAGGAGGTTGAGGTGGGAGGATTGCTTGAGCCTGGGAGATGGAGGCTGCAGTGAGCCGTGATCACGCCGCTACACCACTGCATTCCAGCCTTGGCAATGGAGCAAGACCTTGTCTCCAAAAAAGAAAAAAAAAAAAGTTTCTGGTGGAAAGAAACAGAAAACTATGAGTAGTAGTGGTTTAAGCTGTAAAAACATTTTGTGTTTATTTTACAAGAATTTCGGAAGCAGACAGTCTCAGAACTGGGTCAGAGAGCCAAAAATATAACCCAAGACTGAGGCTCATTCTAGCGTTGTGTTCTCACCATGCTTAGCTGTCTGCTCTTCACTCTCACACATTGGTTGCTTACAATCAGAAGGATTGCCATAGCTCTAGGCATCAAGACTGGAAGTTGGGAACGAAGAATGCCAATGAGGTCTCCACTCACACATGCTCTGATACCTATCCCTTAAGAGGATTCACAATCTCTCTCCCCCATAAGACGTGGGTAGACCACCCTTTAATGGAGGAAGTAAGTAGCTAGCTTTCCATCATCTACAGTGGGAGGCCACAGAACGGCTGTTAGGTTAGCCCACTAGCTGTGTCTGTTACTTTGACAAAAAGAATGTATCAGTAACCAACAAGAAATGTCACACATATGGTGAGACATTCGAAGTATTTTGATTAAAATTCAGAAAAAAAATCTGCCTATTCACAGCTATTATTCAATATTTTTATAAAGGTCCTAACCAATGGCTATCAGCCAAAAAACTGACTGAAAATGCAGATTTGAAATTAAGTAAAATTAAAATTCAATTCCTCAGTCTCACTAGCAACATTTGAAATGCTCAACAGCCACATGTGGCTAGTGGCTACCATATGGAACAACACAGATAGAAAGCATTTTCATTGTCTCAGAAAGTTTGATTTGACAGTGCTACAGTTGGAGAGACAGTTGTCAGTATCTGTTTACTTTTAAAATGTGAATATTTGTTGAATGCACAACAATCTCTTCTGAAATACACAAGCATACATAAATATATGTACAAGATGGCAGCACTGTTAGCAGTACTCACAAAACTGGAAATGACATAAGTGTCCATCAACAGAGGGAGAATTTAATAAATGATAATACATTCATATTACATTGTATCATGCAACCATTTGAAAGAATAAGGAGCTTGTGTATAGTTAAATTTATGAAGGTACCTGGAGAGTGGTGCACTTGGCAAGGGCGTGGAAGCTCTGCCTTCCTTCTCTCATATTTTGCCCTATACAGCTCTTCCATCATGGTGTTCACTGAGGATAGAATTTTAAAATATGTGCAAAGCTATGGTTTCATATAACCAAAAATTAAATATCAAGACTGAGTGGGGAGGCTGGGCACAGTGACTCACGCTTGTAATCTCAGCACTTTGGGAGGCTGAGAAGGGCAGATCACCTGAGGTCAGGAGCTCAAGACCAGCCTGGCCAACATAGTGAAACCCCGTCTCTACTAAAAATACAAAAATTAACTGGGCATGATGGCAGGCACCTGTAATCCCAGCTACTTGGGAGGCTGAGACAGGGAGAATTGCTTGAACCTGGAAGGCAGAGGTTTTAGTGAGCTGAGATCGCGCCATTGCACTCCAGCCTGGGTGACAGAGTGAGACTCCGTCTCAAAAAGCAAACAAAAAGCCCGAGTGGGAAAAAAAAGAAAGGGGAAAAAAGAGTGACATTGATGTATATATTGTCTCAAGGCGGGTTGCTTGCCATGGATTGTGGAGTGACTCAGCCAAGTTATGGATCACATGCACAGTGTGATCTCATTTTGATTTTAAATATATTCTATATAATTTGTATAAATATGTGTATGTATATTTGCATATGTTTAGGACCAGGACTAGAGGTGCCTGGGGCACAAAGAGTAAGGCACTACCTCTCAGTGCCTCCTTAAATTGTACACCTTGGAGTCCTCATTCACAGTACCCTAGTCCCAGCGCTGACATGTTTGCATGCACATAGAAAAATGTTTGAGAATAATTTCATCACATAAAAGTAAAGGAGTATTTGCATTTTGACCCTATTCATCCCTAGGTTTTTTAATTTTTTTAATTTTTTATTTTTGAGACAGAGTCTAGCTCTGTTTCCCAGGCTGGAGTGCAGTGGTGTAATCTCGCCTCACTGCAACCTCCACTTCCCGGGTTCAAGTGATTCTCCTGTCTCAGCCTCCTGAGTAGATGAAATTACAGGTGCACGTGACCACGCCTGGCTAACTTTTGTATTTTTAGTAGAGACAGGGTTTCACCATGTTGACCAGGCTGGTCTTGAACTCCTGACCTCAGATGATCCACCCACCTCAGCCTCCCAAAGTGCTGGGATTACAGGCGTGAGCCACCACATCCAGCCTTACTTTTTTTTAAGATGGGATATGACCTGAAGCAAGTCATTTGACAAGGGCTGTACACAAGGGACCAATGGAGACTTACAAAAGCAGTAAAGACCTGCTTTAGCCCAGGGATCTCTTCTAGTAAGCAAAATGTTAATATTTGAGCTCCCTTCAATATGTTCACTTCCACATCACTTCAAAGGCTCTTCATTTATCTTCTTCCTTCTCTAACTCTTTGAACAGAGGAAATACTGCCAGCACTCTTATTGTATAAATAGTCATACTTGTTCCTATTTGTATTTTTTTCATGTTGTAGTCTGAGGGCTTATTAGTAATAGCTCTTTCGGATCACAGTTTCTGTATAATTACATGCAATAAGCTGAGCAAATGTTAATGACCTCTTTAAAAACACAGAAAATGCTCAATTGTTTGACAAGGATTTACAGTAGCTCAAGTCACAGGTCTATGTACCAACACAGCTGCTAATTCTGAAATTTTCTACATGAATATGAGTGACTTCAATCTTTTTCATTCAAATCTCTTTGTATTTCCTTCTAAGCAATGTTCATACTCCTTACTGTGTTTTCTTTTTTCTGTTTTTAAGCTTTACATGGTTATTTCAAAGACACTTACTAACCTCATTTTTTTCAGGAGACCCTGTTTGCTGTATCCTGTTACCTTTAGTAATTAAAGCTAACAATTAGCTCAGCTTTATTTTCATTACAAATACTCTCCATCAAAGGGTCTGTATCTTAAGATAAAGAGTAGGAAGTGTGCCCTGTGTTTTAGACTTATAATAGCACAGTCCTTTTACTATTTATGTATTATCTCCATATGATGTAAAATATTTCCATTGTGTTTCCTTGTTTTTCAGAGATAGGGCTGATAGTTTCCTTTTCTCTTTTAAAACCTTTCAAAGCTGCCCAAAAAAAAACCCCAACCCATAATTCCACTATTCAGATTCATGATTATAAATGAATGAAAGACTGAAATAAATAAAAAGCGTATTTCAAAATGTAGATGATCTAGTTTTTATTTTTTTCCAAGTGTAGTGTTTAAAGACAAATTCAGCATCTCCAAATCCTCTGTTGTGACTCCAGCTTGTCACACGATCAGTTTACAGAAGAGTGAAATCTTTATCTAAGTCAGCCAGCTGTTTGGTCTCCATGATAACAAACAATGGGTTTGGTCATTTTTCCTAATGACTTGATAGACTTTGGTAACATGAAAATACTGATAGTTGCTTAGAAATTAAAGGTAAGATGATGCTAATCCATAATTTTAACCAAAGGTTCATTTCAGTCAGGTGTTTGTTATTCCTTTGAAGAATAAACAACTAAATTAATATTTTTTAAAATAAAAAACAATTTTTGTTACAACTGTCAAAGAAAATCAAGATTAAGCTGCATTACATGATGTTGGCTTATAGATTAGGTATACTTCATAGATGACATATTTAATTCATGACAGTTTTTGCAATCCCTGCACTAAGGAAAGAGTTTGCAAAACATATTACTGGATAAAGACAATCATGGAAATACAAAGACAGAGTGGAAAATGCATGTTAAAATTTTAAATAAATATCTGTCCCTCGAAAACAGGTGTTCAGAATTTCATGCAATTAAAGCCACCTAAATAATAAAATTTCTAGTGCCCACAGTTTATAATTCAACTTTTTTAAAAAGCAAATTATCTCATCAATCCAGTAACAATCCTTTACTCTTGTTTGTTTGTACCACATGACTTTCAGTCACATAAATTTAACTCTAAAACAATTGGGAGTAATTTAGGTATAGACTAGTGTGAAGTTGAGATGGACTGGTCTGTAACCAGCAGTGTTCACAAAATAAATCAATATTCCCAAGTTTACAGAGAAACACATACAAGTAAATCTCAGCTGAAGAAAATTAAATATGTAAATGTTCTGTTTACAAAATAGGCAAATCCTGCTTTATTTTCATTGTGGAAGGATCTATCGCCACTCCTTCCACCACAGCTAAAACAGGTATCAGTTATTAGGACAACAGGGAAATTTACAATCAAATTTCCCAGGTTCCAGTGAATATTTTATCGGAAGAACATCTATTCTTGATTGTTGACTGCATTTTCTCTTTTAAAAAGAATCTTCTTTTATCTCACTCTCCCAAAAAAGTTATACTCCTGCCTAAACTTCTAAGGAAATTTGAAAAGTATGTTTACATATGTGGCATTAAAATATACACCAGTTCTTCAAACTTAAAGTATCAAAGAAAATATTCTTTCCACCGAACAACAAGCCCAAAGAACAGGCTACGTTGGTCCCCAATCTTTAGAATGCATGGAACTTTTATAGGACCCCAGAGGGGTTTTCCTGAAGAGGCTGCTCCTGTCTTTCAGTTTAAATAAATATTTTAATATTAAATAAACTGGCTCATATTTTTCGGTGCATGTCTGTTCGTAGATTTTTTCTACATTTCTTGGTTGAAAGAAGGGTGACATCACTTTTAAGGAAAAGGAATAAACTATTTCTAAATTAGATTCATTCTATTTCATTCCTGTGGTTCTTTTGATTGGATTAAATTGGATGAAAAATGGCATTGATTCGGATGCTTTCTTTTTTTTTTAACTTGTCACTGACTTGAAGCTCATGATTTCACTATTGGGCCTTGAGAAATTTAAATCTTTTAAGATCCTTCAGCAGGTCATTGCTCATTTCCATTATTATGATCCCATGGAAGCATTTACCAATAATCTTTATTAAATATTTTAGATGCTTCCTCCTGGAACTCAGTTCTCTTAACTATAAATTTAAAATTAGAAGGTTGAAAGAAATAATCTCTACAGGACTAAAATTCTATAATCCTACCTGAATTTTGAAATGATCTAATAAAAATATATTCTGCTTCTCGTGCTTTTTGATGTGCATTATTATTATTATTTTTTTTTGAGTTCAGATCTTACTCTGTTGCCCAGGCTGGAATGCAGTGGCACGATGGTATCTCATCGCAGCCTCAACTTCCTGAGCTCAGGCGATCCTCCCACCTCAGCCTTCCAAGTAGTTGGGACCACAGGTGCATACCACCATGCCCAGCTAAGTTTTGTCTTCTTTTGTAGAGATGGGGCCCAGGCTAGTCTTGAACTCCAGGGCTGAAGTGATCCTCCTGCCTCAGCCTCCCAAAGTGCTGGGATTCCAGGCATGGGCCCCATGCCCAACCCTGATAAGCATACATTTCTTTGTTTTACAATTTCTACCTAATTAGCACATTTTTCTGTTACTATTAAAAATTAGTTACTTATTGCTACCACTATTTGAGTTAGGTGTATTAATGAGGTAATTTTATTTGAGAGGGACAGTAACACAACTTCACATTAGTTTAAGCAAAAACAAAAATTAAGGCCCACATATCTGGACATTCAAGGCATTACTAGCTTTGGCAGAGCAGGATCCAAGTGTTCACGCATCTCAGGTGTTTGTCTCTCTTCACCTCTAAACTCTTCTTTCTTTACGTTGGATTCACTTCTTGGTATATCTTCTATGAGTAACAGTTAGAATGGCTACCGTCAGCTTCATTCATCTGTAGATCCTATGAATTCAGCAATCCCATTGTTGAAAAAGTGCATGTCTTTCCTGACAGCTCCAGAAAGTCAGGGATGGATTCTAACTGGCCTGACTCAGGTCATGTAGCCAAATCTGAATCAATGCCAGGGGCCAAGAAATATTGTGTCCTCCTTGCCCAGGCCTGGATCTTGTACCCTATCACTGGCATCAACTATTACAGTCACCACAGTCAGCCTGACTGGAACCACATGCACTCAGAGTGGAGAGGTGTTCTCCAAAAGGAGTAAGAGTGTTATGGTTAAAGATAAGGGATTCCGAGCAGACGAAACACCAGCTGGCCACTGTGCTAACTCCTGAGAGCACCCTATCAACCTGAGTTCCTCAACAACGTATTTTAGTATTCAATCTATTCATGCAGCTATTGTTCATGCAGTGGAGTCCAAAATGTTTATTTTATGGCATTGACTTGATATTTTCCATAATATAGTACTTTACATGCAGTGAAGAAACTTTTTTTTTTTTTTTGAGATGGAGTTTTGCTCTTGTTGCCCAGGCTGGAGTGCAATGGCACGATCTCGGCTCACTGCAAACTCCATCTCCTGTGTTCAAGGGATTCTCCTGCGTCAGCCTCCCAAGTAGCTGGGATTACAGGCATGTGCCACCACGCCCGGCTAATTTTGTATTTTTAGTAGAGATGGGGTTTCTCCATGTTGGTCAGGCTGGTCTCAAACTCCCGACCTCCAGTGATCTGCTGGCCTTGGCTTCCCAAAGGGCTGGGATTACAGGCATGAGCCAGCACACCCGGCCTCATGAAGAAAAATTTTTAAAAACAAGTATAGAATACATTTTGTGGTAAAAACTTCTTTTATTAAAATTTCACACATTGTTTTCAACTGTTCTACTTCTGTATTATATACTTTATAATTTAACATGATAACAAATCAGGCTGGGCACAGTGGCTCATACCTGTAATCCCAGCACTCTGGGAGCCCGAAGCTGGAGGATGTCTTGAGCCCAGGAGTTCAAGACCGGCCTGAGCAACATGGCAAGACCCCATCTCTACAATATGAAAAATCAGCTGGGTGTGGTGGCACATGCCTGTAGTCTCAGCTACTTGGGAGGCTGAAGTGGGAGGATTGCTTGAGCCTGGGAGGTTAAGGCTGCAGTGAGCTGTGATCACAACATTGCACTCCTGCCTGGGCAACACAGCGAGACCCCATCTAAAACAAACAAACAAACAAACAAACAAAAAACAGATCAATAAACATTATTCATTTGTTCACTTTCAAAAGTTCTAACATTTGAGGCCCATGAAATTTTCTACTCATCTTAAAATTATTTTGTTACTACTTCTTCATAGGGGAAATAAAACAGTGTTCATTATATTTGCTATTATATTCTCTTCAAGGATCTTCTTTATGGAATTCACTTATAGCATCTACCTACTTCTAATAAAATCTTCATATTATCATCAACTAAAGAGTCTTGTATAAGGTCCAAGATAGAAATACATTAGTCAGCACCTAGATTCTAAGATGCTTACAACTTTTTAAAAAATTAATTTTGGGTAACTGGACCTTTTAATTAAGTTTCTTTAATTAATACTCAAAATTGTCAATAACAAAACAAATTTAGTACACTCGTTCACAGCCATAATTATACTTTCCTCAGCATTTTAATTGTATATAATTGAGCAGCTTCATAACTTATGAAAAATATTTTTACCATTAAGTTAACAAGTTCTTTAAAGAACTCTTGATACGTGAGCCTCTTCAGACAAGATCTACTGCTTTTGAGGTAAACACTATTATTTCAGATGCAAATGAGAACAGATTGGAGTGTAAAGCGATTCACAGAGCCAGATATTCTGAGCCTCGAAATATTTATACTATATGTTGTAAATTTTTTGACACCTTTAGGCCATTAGGGGACCAATTTACCAGGTTAGTCGTCATAAAGAACAAGTCACATAATCTTTTTCCTTTCTCTCTTTTTTTTAAGGAACATGTCACTTATTTCTCTTCACAGTCAGTCAGGTTCTGAGTGGGTGATTTTTTTGCTTTTGAGGGTAAATAATGTAAATGCATGCAATAAATCAATAGCTCTAATTCAAAAAAGTTGTTATGCTGGATAAATGCTAGCCACTTTCTATTCATGGGATTGTAACACTTTTAAGGAAGCAAAAGTAACATTCATCACTTGCCTTTAAATACTGTATATATGGCCAGGCACAGTGGTCATGCCTATAATCCCAGCACTTTGGGTGGCCAACACGGGAGGATCACTTGAGGAGTTCGAGACTAGCCTGGGCAACGTGGTGAAACCCCATCTCTACTAAATATATAAAAATTACCCAGGTGTGGTGGTGCACACCTGTAATCCCAGTCACTGGGGAGTCTGAGGCATGAGAATTGCTTGAACCCAGGAGGTGGAGGTTGCAGTGAGCCAAGATCATGCCACTGCATTCCAGCCTGGGTGACAGAGAGCAAGACTCTGTCTCAGAAAAATAATAAAACAAAATAAATAAATAAATACTGTCTGTGTGCATGTGTATATATAATCAAATATATATGCATGTGTATATAAATGCAAATATATATGCGTGAATACATATATATATACACATGCATGTATATTTGATTATAAAAGTGTGGGGTGATCTGAACTACTGAATATGGAGAAGGCTCTTGGGCCCTTCTGATGGGAGAAATTTGGGCAGAGGAGTTCAGCCTTTTTGCATGAAGGGAGTTCTAACTGGAATAGCCAGAAGGTGACCCTAACTCTGACCCCTTATCCAGGGGGAATAAGAATGATTGTTGCTGAGAGAGATGAACCATTGGAATGGTCCTTCTACCAAAATCAAAGGCTGTGGGCAGCCAGGTATGCTTTGATTTTCCAGCCTCTCCTGGGTGCTCCCCTTTAGGGAGATTTCCCTAGAAGCCACATATCCTGGGTGTGTACCCATGGTCAGGGGGACTGCTCCCTATAGTGGGAAGTAAGAAAGGGCAGAGATGCTCCATTTTACAGACTGGGTAGGCAGGATCTGACTGTAGTGGGCAGCGGCCCAGAGTATGGCCTGGGACTCTACCCACAGTGGAAGCATGAAAGAGCAAATATAGTGCTTGAGAGCCTGGACTCTGGGTCAGACAAACCTATGATCCCAGGGTGGCTTTACCACTCGCCAGCTGAGTGACTTAGGAAAGTTTTCTCCCATTTCCACACCCCACTTTCTCATCCACAAATTGGAGATTGTAAAATAGATGGTATCAATCTTGCAGGAATGTTGTGAGTTCCTAGCACGTAAGTATTCAATACAGAGTAAGGAGAAAACAGTAGCCCAGAGGACTAATGGAGAGTGGTGTTAGAAAAGGTGAGACAGGGAAGGAAGGAGCAGAATAAAGAAATCAAATGTCCCTTTACTGAAAATGGCCACATAGTCACAACAGTGGTGAAAAGGGCACCTGTGTCCGTCCTGGATGGCCCGTTAGTCAGCTGGCCATCTTTCTCAAAACAGAGCATGGAGCTGTCGTGCAAGATACCACCAAACAGATGTCAAGATTCCTCCAGCAAAGTGTAAGCATAGATTAAAAAATAAAATAAAGTAAACCCTCTGGTTTGAAAATAATTTCCCAAAATTGTCTGGTCCGTCTTCCTTTCACGAGGCAGACTTCAATTTAAACAACTCAAAAGATACAACATGACTTTAATTTTAAGTGCCAGTAGAGAAATAATTTTCACAACCTCCCTTGACAAACTATTTCAATGGGTCACAATCTTTACTTCAGAAAGATTTTTTTTTTTTTTTAACCTGAGTGGTCTGGCCAGGTGTGGTGGCTCATGCCTGTAATCCCAGCACTTTGAGGGGCCCAGGTGGAAAGATAGCTTGAGCCCAGGAGTTCGAGAGCACCCTGGGCAACATAGCAAGATCTCCTCTCTATAAAAACAAAAACAAAAAATTAGGCAGGTGTAGTGGCTCGCACCTGTGGTCCCAGCTACTCAGGAGACTGAGGTGGGAGGATTGCTTGAACCCAGGAGATTGAGGTGGCAGTGAGCCAACGTAGAACCACTGCACTCCAGCCTGGGCAACAAAGTGAGACCCTGTTTCAAATTAAAAAAAAAAAAAGATGCTGGGTAGTCATTACTAATGTGTAATGACATTCTGTCTCTAATGGTCAGTCATTATGCTTTCTGAAGGGATTATTTCCTTGACCAACTTTTGGGTTAGTAAATTGATTCCCTAATGAAGAAAATGTGTAATATTGTGAGAAGTTAGAGTTCCATATAAAACATCATATTTAGAATATTCAGATTTGAGCCCTCAGAAATGATTTGAGTTCCAAGCTTATCACCGCAGTTCAGATTGACTCTCATAAAGGGTGCTAGTGAAGGTGGTTTCCTATTGTTCCTTCCATAGCATCTCTTGGATTAATTGTCCTTCACCCAGCTGCCCATAAGAATCACCCTGGGAACACTGAAAAAATGCTGATGCTAGGGCCCCACCCCCAGAGATTCTGAGTTAATTGGCCTGGGATGAGGCTTGTCATTGCTTTATTTTTAAAGTTCCCAGGTGACTGTAGCAGATTTGAGAGCCAGTGCTCTCTGCGGAATTATAAATGCAAAGACATGAAATATTCTTTTCTCTTTCCTTTGTCCTTTAGTTTCACAATGCAGTCATTTAAGAAAGATTATGATATGAATATAATCTCTTTAGTTAAAAATACTTAAATGACTGCATAATGATTCTGTCTTTTCATTTGAGTGATTTAGAGAGGAATGATATAGTAACTCCTACATCTACTATGAAACGGTCTTATAAATTGCATTTGAAAATTATTGAAACTATGTTCACCAGCTAATGAATCTTTTTTTTTTTTTGCTATAAACCAGGAAGACAAAAATTTCTATTAAAGTAATTAATGAGCATTTTTCACCTTTCCTTGAGAGATGCCTGTTCTGCTTCTAATAAAGCCACCAGTTTCTCAGGTATCCATACCTTAATCTTGCCACCTCTACCACAGTGCCTTATAATGGGCAAAAAGTGAGCTGTATTTTTAAAATTTTTTTAATTTTTTAATTTTTATTTTTATTTGTTTATTTATTTTGAGACAGGGTCTGTCTGATTCTGTCACCCAGGCTGGAGTACAGTGGCGTGATCACTGCTCACAGCAACCTCCACCTCCTGGGCTCAAGAGATCCTCCCACCTCAGCTTCCCAAGTAGCTGTAACTGCAGGCCAATGCCACCATCCCCGGCTAATTTTTGTATTTTTTGTAGAGACGGGGTTTCGCCATGTTACCCAGGCTGTTTTCAAACTCCTAAGCTCAACTGATCCTCATGCCTCAGCCTCCCAAAGTGCTGGAATTACAGGCATATTTTATTTTCAATGTATAAATGAAAATACCCCATTGGTGGTGGTGAGGGTGGAGGGAGGGGTCATTGATATTCCCTCTCTGCTTCACAGTGGCTTTCATTCGTGATCCTCTTTGTGAAACTTTGTCCCTGCTCTCCAGGGCTGTTCTGGAGCTCTCCAGGTTGCTGCTTCTCCATGTATTCATTGAAACTTCATTTAATAAATCTTCATGAGGACCTTGATATGTGTCTGGCACTATTTAAGACTGTGGACCTGTGGCAGTGAGCAAGACAGGCAAGAAAAGCCAATTCTGTCACGGAGATTGCTTCAAAAGGGGAAACAGAATAAACAACAAATAAAAAGAAAATAAATATCAGGCAATACAGAGAATGTAATATATTGCAATCTTGTATTTCATGGAATACACTTAGGGCAATTCTGGTCTATTATATGCTTCTAAGTAAAGTTGCTCCCCACCCCCCGTTTATCATAAACTAAAATGGCTTTGTTATTTTCTCCCAAGAAACCTTTCACTTTTCTTTTACTAAAAAACTCCTATAGAATTATATCTAGCTTCACAGTGTCCAGAATTTCATCTGCTGAAAGCTCACTCAGAATATTACTTCTTTAAGTTCAGTAGAGAAATGTTGAACAGGGCATGGCCATAAAATTTCAAGTGAACTTAGTTTTGCTTGGAACTCACAACATGTTAATTTTCTCTTCTTGCTTCTTTGTCATTTTCTGATGGCTTTGACTCTAGATTTTCTTTACATTCTAGACCTTACATTGACCAAAGATGAGATTTTCCAGCTTCTTCCACATATTTGGATATCCATTCTCTTAACTCAGTTCCTGAATTCAATTTGCCATGTGCCATTTTCACTCTACACTTCTGAAGTTTTGGTGGAAAGTCTAGTGACTGCCCAGTATAACAACTCAGAGGAAAAAAAAAGTGCTACTCTGTACTCTATTGACATAACAATGATTCAATAAACATTTCTTGCACATCCACTGTGCACTGTGTTCTAAGAGCTGTATGATGCACAGGGATTACAAAGATAAACAAGATACAGCCTCCCTTTCTGAAGAATCTTACAATGGAAGGTCTGTGGTCAGTTGGTTAAACAAAAAACTCTATTAAAGTGGACAATCTCATCCTTAAGTTTCTCAATGTAAAAAAAAAAGTGGACAATCATAACACATGCATAGCTGAAATGTTTAATTTTTAACTTTAAACCCTTAAAGATACATTCACTACTCACCAAATTTTAGAAGTAGGGTCAAGGCCTTTTCTTTGATTGATGATTGAACTTTGCATGGTCTTTCTTGCATAGCCATAACATGCCATCAATAATTTCTAGTTTTAGTTTATTTAAAATAGAGAAAGAATGTACCACCACTGTGGAAGTGGCTGAATACTAAAACCATTTAGATTTCTGTGATTTTTCCTGAGTCTTATACAGTTGCCTTGCTCATATCTATTCTAACAGCACTTGTTTTAGCATCTCATGTTTATAGTATTTCCAAAGTATTAAAGTAAGTTTTCAAGAAACAGCAACTCTCTGTCACTCCACACTTCATATTTCATCAGCCTAATTATATTTAATTCAACTACGTGCTTTGAAAGATCAAATACAACCAACATAATCAGGTTTGAGTACAAACTGAACTGACTCTTGGTAAGCACACACTCCATGTGGAGGGAGACAAGGAGGACCAGGAGAAGGAGCCCTCTCAATTGGGAGCCTTCAGTGTATCTATCCGTATATTCCCCAGACAGCACAGAATGCTCTGGGTAATCTGACAAGTTGCTTAAGATATATACTCATACTATATTATTGTAAAATGATATTATTAAATAAAATTTCACCTAAAGCTGCCTCCTTACATATTCTAAGTTCAGCCTAAAGGTTTCTCGTCCACAGTGAACTGTAACCCAACTGGATGTGTAAACAGACCAGAACCTACTTTTGTGCCAATCACCAAGTTTCAGCCAAAGGTGGCCAACTGTTCAAACCAGGTTCAAATAAGGCAAATGCTGAGCTGTTATCAATCTGGCTGTTTCTGTACCTCACTTCCATTTTCCGGATATAACTTCCCTTCTTCTGTCCATAAATTTTCTTCCACCATGTGGCTGCACAAGAGTCTGTCTGAATCTGCTGTGCTTCTGGTGACTGCCCGATTTACAAATCATTCTTTGCTCAATTAAACTCTGTTCAATTTAATTTGTCTAAGGTTTTCATTTTAACAAAATGAATGATTTAATAAAGGCTTGTGCAAAGACTTAACAATATAAATCATTTAAAAGGCTTGTGCAGTTTTTTTGTTTGTTTGTTTGTTTTATGAGACAAGGTTTCACTCTGCTGCCCAGGCTGAGTGCAGTGGTAAAATCATAGCTCACTGCAGCCTCAAACTGGGTTCAAGCAATCCTCCCGCCTCAGCCTTCCAAGTAGCTGGGACTACAGGTTCGCACCACCATGCCCTGCTAATTTTTAAAATTTTGGTAGACATGAGGTCTTGCTATGTTGCTCAGACTGTGTGCAAAATGTTACGTATATCTTAAAAGGACCCTCCCCTGTTACCAGCATAAATATTGTTTTGGAATTTTCTCTTACCTTTTTTTGTCTTTGATTATTTTAAATTTTTTTTGGATATTCAATGCAATTGCATAGTTCAACATTTCTAAGGTAAAACAAACAGTGAGAAGTGTCTCTGACACCCCTGGCCCCAGCCATCCACCTCCCTGTCCCAGAGGCAACCAGTGTCACCAGCTCCTCCATGCTGAAGTTCCTTACGGAGTTTTTCTTTTTTCTTTTTTTGAGACAGCTGTTGCCCATTTCAGCTCACTGCAACCTCTGCCTCCCGGGTTCAAGTGATTCTCCTGCCTCAGCCTCCTCAGTAGCTGAGATTGCAGGCACCTGCCACCATGCCCGGCTAATTTTTTTTTTTTTTTTTTTTTTTTTTTTTTTTTTAGTATAGACGGGTTTTGCCATGTTGGCCAGGCTCGTCTTGAACTCTCAACCTCAAGCAATCTGCCCACCTCGGCCTCCCAAAGTGCTGGGATTACAGGCATTAGCCTCCGCGACTGGTCTCCTTACGGAGATTTTTAAATGACTATAAAAACATATCAGATGCATAATCGAATTCATTATCTTCTATTTTCCTTTTCATAAAAATACCGAGTGTTAGCATACTAGTTTCTGCCATTTCTAGGATGAGTTTTGACTTCACTCTCTGGGACAGAATTGTCATCAAGCAGGTTGAAACTTGTCAGATGCTCTGAGTTTCCCTGACTAAGTCTCCAGCAGGTAGCCAGATTATGTCCTAATTAGTACCATATCTTGATCATGTCCCCCTTTTGTAACATATATTAAGACGACATTGTGTCTTTCCTCTCTTAGGTCAATTAAACGTCATTTCTCTCTCTTTTATTTATTTGAAAGCAGGTTAGTGTATATTTTGTGGATTTTCTTAAAGGTGTATCTTTTTGACGTATAGTACTGTTATGTCTTTCTTACTATCACATTTTTAATCATTCTTTATATATTTGTTATGTGAGACAAACTATTCCATGATAGCATGTCCACTAAATCCTGGTATTTCCCCTTAGATTATTCAGTTATATACACGTTGCAATGTGTATTCATTTTATTTACAACCCACGTGCTTTATGTTTGCCTTGATATTTGAATTTCTAAGTAATATTTTCAGTGTCTTCTAATGATTCTCTCATGTGAATCCCTGAGAAGCTCCTTCAGTCTTATTTTTCATTCTGTGTCCTATCTGTTCTCCCCCAAAGAAATCAGCCTCATGGCTTCATCCAGGAGCTTATTTTGCTTTCTCTACATTTTCAGTGGTGAGCCCCCTCAAACTGGCCAGCTAACTTCTGAGAAAACGCATTTGTTCTTCCTTATTTTTGCAATATGCATGTAACCCCAGCCAAGAGCCAGGATATTAAGTCATGGTTCAGGTATCTAAGCCCATTTCATCAACACTAACTGCATTGTCAGTAGTTCCCTTCCCAGAAGTTTCTCTATCTTTCAGATATCCTACTCCAGTGAAAAAGAAACAATGGAAACACGGCCTCTATGCCGCTAGTTTCCTGCCTAGAAATGCACAGTCCCTAATGACATTTCCCCAGTCTTTTGTGTGTCTTTCTTCTGTTCAAGAATGATCAATTTGCTAATTTGCCACTTTTGTTAATCAATTCATTAATTTATCCAACAAACATTTATTTAGCACCCAGGAATGCGTGGTTAAAAGTTAATTGATTAATTTATTAAATTTTAGAGTAATTTGTTACTGTATGGCAATCCTGGCTATCATTTAAATTGATAAGCATCACAGAAAAGTATGTTACGAAAGATATGGGAGCAGTGAGGAAGAAGCACGTAACTCTTCTGGGTAGCACAGCAGTGGAAGCAAATAAGAAGGCTTACAGCGGAGAAAATGTGGGACTGAGCGCGGTGGTTCAGCCTGTAATCCCAGCTCTTTGGGAGGCCGAGGCAGGCAGATCACTTGAGGCCAGGAGTTTCAGACCAGCCTGGCCAACATGGTGAAACCCGTCTCTACTAAAAATACAAAAATTAGCCGGGCGTGGTGGCACATGCCTGTAATCCCAGCTACTTGGGAGGCTGAGGCACAAGAATCACTTGAACTCCGGAGGTGGAGGTTGCAGTGAGCTGAGATCGTGCCACTACACTCCAGCCTGGGCGACAGAGCAAGACGGTCTCAAAAACAAAACAAAACAAAACAAAACAAAACAAAACAAAGAGAAAATGTGGGATTTTAGAAATAAGTAAAAGCCTACCAGGCAGTCAGGGGGAAAAGTACATGCAGACAAACAGGATTTTCTGCAAAAGCATGGAGGTGTGAACACGCAGGTAAAGTCTAGACTAAGCAAGGCATGGTGGCTCATATCTGTAATCCCAGTGCTTTGGAGGTCGAGGTGGGAGGATCACTTGAGCCCAGGAGTTCAAGGCTGTAGTGAGCTAGGATTGGGCCATTGCACTACAGCTTGGGTGACAGAAGAAGACCCTGTCTATAAAAAGTAAAAGAAAATAAAATCTAAACTAAGGGAACATCAGTACCAATCAAGAGGTGAAAAAGAATTGGGAAGCCGGGCGCGGTGGCTCACGCCTGTATTCCCAGCACTTTGGGAGGCCGAGACGGGCAGATCACGAGGTCAGGAGATCGAGACCATCCTGGCTAACATGGTGAAACCCCATCTCTACTAAAAGTACAAAAAATTAGCCGGGCGTGGTGGCGGGTGCCTGTAGTCCCAGCTACTCAGGAGAGGAGGCTGAGGCAGGAGAGTGGTGTGAACCCAGGAGGCGGGGCTTGCAGTGAGCCGAGATCGCGCCACTGCACTCCACTCTGGGAGACAGAGCAAGACTCCGTCTCAAAAAAAAAAAAAAAAAAAAAAAAAAGAAAAGAAAAGAAAAAGAATTGGGAGGCAGTTTAGAGTTAGAATTTGTAGGATTGGTTGCGCATGGTGGCTCACACCTGTAATCCTAGCACTTTGAGAGGCCAAGGCAGGTGGATTGCTTGATGTCAGGAGTTCGAGACCAGAATGGCCAACATAGTGAATCCCTGTCTCTACCAAAAATATAAAAATTAGCCAGGCATGGTTGCATGTGCCTGTAATCCCAGCTACTCAGAAGGCTGAGGCAGGAAAATTGCTTGAACCCGGGAGGTGGAGGTTGCAGTGAGCTGAGATTGCACCACTGCACTCCAGCCTGGGCGACAGAGCAAGACCCTGTCTAAAAAACAAACAAACAAAAAAAACAAAACAAAAAATTATAAGATTTGTTGATCACTAGGATATAGAAATGAGAGAATGGTAAGATTTAAGAATAACTCTGAGTTTGGGTTTATGAGTAGAATGATGGATGGTAAAGCCTGAGATAAAGAATTCAGGAGATGGAACAGGTTTGCGTGTTGGATTGCTGATAATGAAATCAATTTTGCACATATAAATGTTGAAGTAGCTGTAGGTTATTCGAGCAGAGGTGCCCTCTGAGAAGTATTGGTCTGAGCCCAAGGGAGACAGCCAAAAAAAACGTAAGTTTGGACAGTTGTTAAGGTCATGGGAGTGACATTTTCTGTGGATTGAGAGATTCTTGAGAGGTAAGTGAAACATCTTAAACATTCTTCCAAATAAGAGGTAGAACTGCCAGCAATTTTTTTTTAATCCATTGATCTGTCTTAACGGGCTAGTAATGGGAAAATATATTGTAATAGAAATAGAAAACATTAGTAATAGAAATGGAATAACTTTAAAACCTAACAGAAAATAGTAATAGAAAAAAATATATTACAATGTGATCTAAGGTTGTCCTTTGGGTCAAGAATACCAGTTCCAGCTCACTTGCTGTTCATGACCCTAGTTCTGAATCATTCTTTTCAACCTTTTTTGGCAATATCTCACCCACCAAATCCTCCCTGGAAATTAGAAGGCTAAAATCAATATGACACTTCAGACACCTCCAACTGAATTGTCCAAATCATTGGACCCATTCACTAATTTAACACATGGTCTGCAAATTTCAGTTACTGCTATGGTGGTGAACTAGCAACTGGCTACTGTGGATGGATACTTACACTAGAGATTTATAAATGCCAAAGGAATAATGGCCACAGTGAAACATATGATTCCTTATTACCACTAAGAAACTATTCAATTTACCCTACAAGTTGATTGCAAAAGTGATTTGTTATTCAATGCCTTGAGTTTCTCATTAAGTCCAACGTAAACGAAGAGGTTTAATATGTCCTCAATCTGTCACTCTATGAGCTGAAGTAGTATCACTCTCTTTTTAAATTTTGTAACACAACTATAAAGTGGCCGAATTCAAGAAAAATTTTTAAATAAATTTTGTAGACTGTCTAGAAATTCCAACATGACACCAAAACCTATATATGGGAGAAGGAATTCAGGCAAAGCAGAATTGTAAAATGTTGTGTTGAAAATAAGTAGGTCTCTGTTTCATGAGGAAGCACCCTCAGGGGAGGAACTAGTCTGAGTGAAGTTTTTTTTTGGTTCAGTTTGGGCTGTCCAGGAAATTGTCAGGGGTGTGACAGAAAGCTAAGTTTTCAGATTTCTTCCACTTCTCTGTCATTTTCAAGAGCAAATTAAACCTGTTGAATAGTTTGATTATATCATTTCTACCATCACACTCATTTACAGAATGGAAAGAGGAGACATTCTAATACAAACGATCTGGGGCAGAGAACTTTTTAATTTAAAATTATATCACCAAGATCTAGGTCAGCACCTGACCATTATAGCTGGTCAAATATTTGTTAAATTAAGTGAACGCATTTTGTTATCCCTATGCCCAACTCCATTTAACTGTCATAGACTTTGACTGTCACAAAAAGAAGCACTTTTATGACTCCTTTGCAAGCCTGCACTGGAATCCCAGGACAACTGACTGGAAGACTTTAAATCAATGTCACAACAGTTATGAGTTAGATGCGCAATTCTTATTCTTGTCTAACTATCAAGAGGTTACTCTGATACCTTCAAAAGTTTTGGAATTTTAAGGAAAAAACCCATAAATATGCAGATCTAACAAATGCATATGTTGTAAAAATCTTCATTTGAAACACCAGGGGCAATGATGGTAAAAGAGCCATAACTTGCAAGTTCTGCTTAATATACTTGCAAGATATATATTTTTAAAAGCAGCTGATCAATTACAGGCAAGAGAGAGAGCTGACCCAGTTTCTTTTGCCTCATAGGACTTCAGTCAGTTGTTAGCATCTTTATTCCATTTCTGTCTATGGTTTACAATCCAGGACAGCGTTGATGTTTATATTACAGACCAGTCTCCTCTACTTACTTTCTTTATGTTACTTTGTTTATCTCCTCTACGGATAATTTATTTATCATCTACCATATGTTAGGTCTTGGAAATACAAAGGTGAATAATATTAAGATTCTCTCTTCAAATAACTTATAAGCCAATGGAGTAAACCAGCAGTTATAATAATTGCAAAATGTGCTGTGGTTATATATAGGAAAGGCAGGTAACTCTGGCTTCTGAAAAGTGGTAGCACCTGGACTGAGTCTCGGATGACAGGTAGAAATTAACCAAGAAAGTAGCATGTGCAACAGCATGAGATCAAGGGAAACCACAGCACATTGAGGAAGTTGTACGTGGTTCTTCACAGATAGGTACAGACATTGCGAAATGAGATGAGCAGACTAGATAAGTTGGGCAGGACCAGGTGAGAGCGTTACACCTCTGCGTCATCCTAAGGAGTTTGACGTTAACTTGAACACTCTGCATTTCTATAAAAGAAAACGTTCTCTGATAACACAACTGAAAATATATCAAAGGCAAAGCAAGAAAGCAGGCAGAAAGACAGGTTAGAGGAAGCTTGTTGTAGTGCTTTAGAAAAAAACCAATACCTTAACTATGGTATTGGCAGAAGGGAAGTTTGGTTCAAAGCGTCTGAACCAGTTAGGAGGAGATTACCTCAGTCCTCCAGGGAAGAAATGATGTCATGAACCAAGGAGGTGGATTTAAGAGAATTAATCTCTCTCCATTTCTATCCAACATGCCAATTTTTCTGAATTTTTCCTTCTAATATAAGACATGTGAATATAAACCTGTTAGCTTTCTGGTTCCATGGACTAGGAAAATGTTGTCTAATGTTATTTTCATTTGTGGTTATCCTAAATTAAGATCTCTATGTTATGTGCATTTTAAAACGTATCTTTTATCAACTGCTACCTGGAAGTACATGCTTTAAAATAATGTAATGGTCAGTCTGATCCCTGGTGAGTCAACTTCTTAAATGGATGAGAGCAGCTGGTAGAGTAAAGAGCTTGAAGAATGATCCTCCTAAAATGTAAGTCAAATCATCTCACTCTTCCTCAAAATTCTTCCGTTCTCCCCATCTTGCTCTGAGTAAAAGTCAGTCTTTACAATGACCCACAAGACCGAGAGCAGACTCCCAACTCTCTGACCTCAATTCAATTCCTTCTACTCTTTCCCCGTCACTCATTTCAGGGCAGCCACGCTCATCTCCTTCTGAACCTCAAAGACTCGGGGGAAGCTCGCTCGGACTTTGAGCACTTGCTCTTCTTGTTTTCCCAAGTTATCTTCCTGGCTTGTCCCCTCACCTCCCTCAATTCAGGTCTTTTCCTTCCCTTATCACTTTACTAAAAAATAAAATATTCTTCCCACTCTCAGTACTCTCTTCACAGCTTATATTTTTCTTAACACTCACCACAATCTAACAGACTTACTATTTTACTTCTCTTGTCTATTTTCTATCCACAACTAGAAAGCAAGTCCTACAATGGCAGAAGATTTTGATGTTTTGCTGTGTCTCTAGTACCTAGAACAGTGTCAGGCACATGGTAGAAACTCAGTGACTATTTGCCCAGTGAATAAATTGCTATTTCAGTGTGACCATCAGTCATGCAAACATGGTGTTCCAAGACCTCACCGATTGACAAACAAAATCATTACCATGGAAAGAACCCTGCAGCCAGTTATTGTTTTTTCCACCAGGAAGCCTCTGGCAAAGTCAGATATAGTCTGAACTGTTTCCATCAACACAGACTTTTGTATAAAGCACTATAATCAGGGCATGTTTTCTAAGAAAATTAATTTATAGCCAATCTTCACCTGATCCTTAATGACTATCAAGCCGTATTAAATTCTTTAGCATAACAGAGAATGTGTGCTTATTCAAAACTGCAACTTTCAATTATATCCGGTAGCAACAAAATGCTCTTTGTTCATTACTATAGAGAAAGGTTTTTGCTGAGAGTGATTCCATTGCCTTCAGTTTTATAGTTAAACATCTTCGAGGCTTCACTTGAAGATGACCGTGTCAGCCAAAGCAATCACCACAATTAACAAAACCAAATTACTGGGTAATGTTTCTAAAGACTTTTTTCACGCTCTTTAGTTTTGGAAGGTTTATATTTCTACTTCATTTTGTAATACATAAATGATTGCTTATTGTTTAAAAAAATCAATTACTACAGACATAGATTGAGTTTAAAAGAACAAATTTACCTTCAACCTTCTCACCAATTCCACTCTCTTCCCCACAATAACAAAAGTTAGCAGTTTGCCATGTATTTTGTGTACCTCTTTCTATCCATTTACACAAAGATGCACCTGTAGAGTTTTAGTATTGGAAGATTAAAATTTTACATACATATCTGGTAAAGTACTCTCTTTACCTAACAATGTGCATTGAACAGTTTTCCACATCAGTGCATACCGAGTTCAGTGATCGTATTTTCAGGTTTATCCAATTATTCATAGTGCCATCTTTCACTATTAAAAGTAACTTCTTTTGGACAATAAATTATATGGTCCCCAATAGAAAGTTATCTGATTAATGAATTCATAACAGTCTATAAAACCATAATTTTTATAATCATTGCCTTAAAAATGAACATTCAGATATAGCCTTTTTTGGTATCATGAACAAGACTGCAAGGAACATTGATATACATATATATTTGTGCATGTGTATGAATATATTACAGGATAAATTCTGTAAGTCCAATTGTGAGGTTAAAGGATATATACATTTAAAATTTTAATATACTCTCAAATTGTTCTCTAAAAAGCAATATTGTTTTATACTTCCATCAGTAGCACTTATGTTCCCATAACCTCACAACTAACAAGGGCATTATACCTTTTTGTTGCCAATTCAATGGGAAACATATTATTTTATTATTGTTTAAATTTGTATTTCACTGATTACAATTGAGATTGGGCATTCTTTCATGCAACAGTATATTTTGCCTGTTTTACAATGAGGTTTTTTCTTATTAATTTGTACATATTCTTTTGTGTTGAATGTAGTATGTGTAGGTTATAAGTATTTTCTCACAATATCTTACTCTATTTTCCCAATAATATGAAAAACAAATGTACCAATTCCAAACCTGCTACACCCACCAATTTTTATATTCTCAAAAAAAATGGTTAAAATACATATAACTCAAAGCATAATGTCCAATTTTCTTATCTTCCATTATATGTGTGTGTGTGTATTTATCTCCAAACCATACACAAGTATTATGATCAATGGACAGATATGGTCTGCCATTGAATATGTTGTGAGTCATTTTATTTCTATATAATATTTCTTCAGTTTTTTCCAAAATAAATATTTTAATTACAATTTTGAGTACAACAAACAAATATGGATGCCTGTGAATCACTCTAGCTCCTATGCATAAAATCTCATTTATTTAGAGAAAGCAAAGCTTAATCAAATTGTTTTGTATTTTTCCCACTTTGACTATATTTCCTAATTTTGTCAGGGTTGAGTTAACCTTTACCTAGAGGTCACAATGGATTGCATGTATGTCATCCTAGCATGGAACTGACACCCGCAGTGTTAGTCATCTCATTTTTTCAATAATTCATGAAGAAATGGAGATAACAAGCTTTCTCCACTGGAAAAAATGTTTAACGATTTCCAGAGGGACAGAGCATGAGCAATAAAAAAAATTTGCAGTCCAGGCGCAGTGACTCATGCCTGTAATCCCAGCACTTTGGGAGGCCGAGGAGAGCAGATTATCTGAGGTCAGGATTTCAAGACCAGCCTGGCCAACATGGTGAAACCCCGTCTCTACTAAAAATACAAAAATTAGCCATGCGTGGTGGCACACACCTGTAATCCCATCTACTTGGGAGGCTGAGGCAGGAGAACTGCTTGAGCTCAGGAGGTGGAGTTTGCAGTGAGCCGAGATTGTGCCACTGCACTCCAGCCTGGCCCACAGAGAGAGACTCTGTCTCAAAAAAAAAAAAAAAAAAAAAAAGAAAGAAAGAAACGAAAAAAAAATTTTCAATATTCTGTAGGCAACGAGATTTCCCCCAAACACTCTCTCATATGGATACATGCTCATGCCAGTTGGCATGGTTGGTTATCAAATAGTTTTTCTTTTTTGGTTGTATGAAATACCTATTTAATGAGATACCGTCTTTTCTCTGAATAAACCACACTGTCTATTACTTAATAAAAATTAGAAATAAAAATAGGCATTGGCAGCAGGAACTCTGATTAAGAAGATGGTCTTTATCTTTTCGATGTAATAGGCTGTGTGTTTTCTCAAAATCCTATTGTAACTAATAACAGGCATTATTTCAATATTTTCATTTCCATATTTACATTTTAGCGTTTTCATTACGACCTGATTTATGTCTAACAAAGCTTCATCATTTCCACACACCACCCTTTTAACCAATAACACAAAGGCTAAAGCTGGGCTGTTCAAATGGTAACCATGGAAAAATGACTGGAAATAATTCATCTCTCCCTAGTTAGGGTCTGCTTAATAAGCTGTGGGAAATTAGCTCAGTTGAACTTGCAGGGCTGTCTAATATATCTTTGTACAGGTACAGACAAATTCTAGCACAAAACTTTAAAGCTATAGATGAATATTCTTTTTAACCACACCCAGTCCACACCCCTTTCCACTTTGCATAAAGATCACTTGCTCTAATTTATGACATTCTTCAGACTGCCCAGACTCTCCACAGGAATTCACTAATGACAGTCTAGGAGTAAGGAATAAAACTTGTTTTTTCAGCCATTTGACTCCTTGCAATTATGATAATTCCCACTGCTCAGATTCCAGTTGTAATTATTATATTAGATGAGATTGGAAAGGCAATATCTTGCTGGCTAATTCCTCTGAGTATTTCAAAGCATTGTCATCATAGCAGGAGCTGTGAATGGTAATCATGGTTCATCTTTAAAGGAGAGGAGTAAAAGTGCTTAAAAAGCAAAAGATCTTTTTTTATCCCTTAGAGTAATAAAGCATTCATCACATCCAACCCCACCCGAACTCCAGTCTGATAGAACTCAGCTTGTTTTCTGCCAGATTTTATCATTATTTCTAAAATGCAGTTCCTGAAAAAAAAAAAAATCATTCACAGACTTTTAACCTAGATATTGATTTGAGAGTTTTTAATAGTCTGTAATTAAGATAAAAATTTGGCATGCTTGATTGGTTTTCTCCATCACCATTTATTAATAGCTGAATATTGGATTTGGAACCAGTAGATTGAATGGTTCTTCCTATATGCCACCTGCTGATGCTGAGAAAGAGAATGTTCTAATTCTGCCCTTTATTTATGACAGCGTATAAGCCTGTTAATCATTTAGGCAAATCAGCTCACCGTCACTGCCCACAGTGAATTGTTGCAAGCTTTAGAACTGGAGAAAATGGATTAAATTAAATTTCAATTCTGCCACTTATTAATTATGTGACCTAGGCAAATTGCCTCCACCCTCCAAGTCTCATAAAAATGGAGATAATGATACTCAGCTCATAAATTATTATGAGAATAAAATGTTAAATGTTCAGCAGAGTGCCTGGCACTTTTTCAGCACTCAAAACAATGATGTTATTTTTGTTACGTCTTTTCTTTGGTGGATTATTTTATATTAATGAAGGTAGTTACATCTCTTTCAAAACCATGGTAGAAATTTAACTCTCATACCAATCTGCACCTATAAAATTAGGAGAAAACTCAAAGTCCAATAGGCTAGGGCATCTTTTGTAATGAGTACTTTTACGCACATTATCAGCAAAAGCACATGTGGGTGTGTCCCTTCTGAAGAGCAATTCGGCAAAATATGTCAAAAGTCTTAAATATGTTCACATACTTCAGGTCAGTATTTTTTTTCCTAATAATGCATCCTAAGGTTTTAGTTATAAAGATGTTCATTATAAAGATGTTCATTGAATAATTACATATACTAATACCAAAGAACAGAATCAACTTGTAAATTCACTTGTTATGAATTATGGCTTACAAATAGGCACAGTAGTACAGGCGCAGTGGCCTACGCCTGTAAACCCAACACTTTGGGAGGCCAAGGCCTGAGGACGGCTTGAGCCCAGGAGTTCAAGACCAGCCTGGGCAACATGGCAAAACCCTGTCGCTATAAAAAATACAAAAATTAGCCAGGTGTGCTGGCACACCCCTGTAGTCCCGGCTACTCAGGAGGCTGAGGCAGAAGAATGGCTTCAACCTGGGAAGTCAAGGCTTCAGTGAGCCGAGATCACACCACTGCACTCCAGCCTGGGTGATAGAGTGAGACCCTGTTTCAAAAATAGATAAATAAGTGACACAATAGAAGTACAATGAAGGCCACACAAGGTAACTCACACCTATAATCACAGCACTTTGAGAAGCCAGGGTAGGAGGATTATTTGAGCACGGGAGTTCGAGACCAGCCTGAGTAATATAGTGAGGCCTCATCTTTACAAAAAATTTAAAAATCAGCTGAGTGTGGTGGTGCGTGCCTGTAGTCCCAGCTACTTGGAGGCTGAGGTGGGAGGATCACTTAAGCCCAGGAGGTGGAGGTTGCAATGAGCTGAGATCACTGCCCTCCAGCTTAGACAACAGAGCAAGACTCTGTCTCAAAAAAAAAAAAAAAAAGGTACAATGAAAACTCTAGGCATTATATAAAAAATAAACATAAGAAGACTTCCAAAGGTGGAAAGAAGAAGGCAGGCTTGCTTGGGGCCTGAGGAAAGACATGGCTATGAGTTTCCTGGTTTTCTTTTGCTGGAGAGGCAGTAATTTCTAAGTGCCAGTGAGACAGACCAAAAAAAAAAAAAAAAAAAAGCCCCAAAAAGAGCCAGTTCTCTCTAACCAAAGAACTAAGAAAAGGGTAGCCTAGAAAGACAGAAAATGTTGATATAATAGCCTCCCCTAACCCCAGCCAAACTCCACAGAAAAATTTGCAGCCCCACCGCCAACACTGTCAGCAAAGTCTGAGTGGGGATTAGTGGGGATTACAGATCTTGCCCAGCTGTAACAAGGCACGCTGCTCTAGACCAGCGGAGGCAAGACTTTCATCACTGACTGACAGTGACAATCCACCTTCCTCGCAGTGTCAAGAGAGATCACAGGGGAGTCTAGACTTTCATCCTCACTTGAAGGTAATGAGGTTCCCTTTCACCTCCCCATTGGGGTGGTGTCAGTGGAGGCTAAGTGAACTTCTACTTCCACTTAATGGTAACAAGGCAGTCCTCCCCACACAGTGTTGGTGGAGACCAAGTGGGGAGCAGTAATGCCTGAGGGGCATACCCTCTAGCTCTGGCCAGGGTGATGTCACAGTAGCCTAGTAGGAAGCCTGACTCCTCTTCCCACTCGTCAGTTATGAAAGCCCTACCTTCAGGGTGGCAACAGAGGCCGAGGGGGGAATCCAGACTTGCATGACCACATGTCATTAAGGAAGAAGCTTCCCAACCACTTCCCCTGCCAGAACAGTGTCAGATAAAAATCTCCTAAGCCAGAAGATTTAAATAAGATCCAGAGTCTCATCCATAATACTCTAAACATCTAGGATACAATTAAGTCACTTGCCATACCAAGAAGCAGGAAAATGTCAACTTGAGTGAGAAAAAACCATGAGCAGATGAAATACTGAGATAATATGGATGTTGTAGTTATCTGATAAGGATTTTATAGCAGCCATCATAAAAATGCTTCAACAAGTATGATCATGCTTGAAACAAATGAAGAAGCAGAAAGTCTCAGCAAAAAAAAAGAATGTTCTAAAAAAGAACCAAATGGAAATTTTAGAACTGAAAAATGCTATAGCCAAAAGAGAAAAAAAAGAAAAACTTTATAAATAAGCTCAACAGAAGAACAAAAAGAAAAGAATCAATAAACTTGAAAATAGAACAATAGAATTGGGTTATTTCTAATAACCCAATCTGAACAGAGAGAAAATAGACTGAAAAAAAAAAAAAAAGAACAAAGCCTTATGAAAAAAAAAAAAAAAGAACAGAGCCTTAAGAAACTATGCAGCTATAACAAAAGAATTAAATATATGTCACTGGAGTCCCAGAAAAAGAGGAGAAAGAGATCCAGGTTTAACTTTTTTTCTCCCAAGACAGAGTCTCACTCTGTCACCCAGGTTGGAGTGCAGTGGCATGATCTCAGCTCGCTACAATCTCTGCCTCCCAGTCTCAAGCGATTGTCCCTCCTCAGCCCCCCAAGTAGCTGGGACCACAGGTGTGCACCACTACATCAGGCTAGTTTTTTTTTTTTTTTGTAGAGGTGGGGTCTTGTCTTGTTGCACAGGCTGGTCTCAAACTCCTGGACTCAAGTGATCCACCCACCTTGGCCTCCCAAAGTGCCGGGATTTACAGGCATGCACCACTGCAGCAAGCCTTAAAATTTCTAAAGATGAAAATTTTTAGAAAATGGCTGAAAATTCCCCAAATTTGGCAAAATACATGCATATTGAAGAAACAGAGCAGATTCCAAATAGAAACTGAGACAAATCTACATCCAGATATATCATAATCAAAATTCTGAAAACTAAAGATGAAGAAAAAAACCTTAAGAGCAGCAAGAGACAAATGACACCTTAACTTTGGGGAAAAAAACTCTCAAATGACAGGGAATTTCTCATCCAAAACTATAAAGGCTGGAAGGAATTGGCACAACATTTTTCAAGTGCTAAAAGTAAAAAACAGTCAGCCAAGAATTCTATATCCAGCAAAAAGACCCTTCAGAACTGAAGAGGAAATCAAGACTTTATCAGATCTAGGAAAACAAGGAGAATTTGTTAGCAACAGACTTATGCTGAAAGAATGCCTGAAGATATTTCTGAAACAAACAATAAACAATAAAAGAAGGAATTTTGTAACATTAGGAAGAAAGGAAAAGCAATAGAAAGAGTAAAAAGATGGGTAAATACAATAGATTTTTCTTCATTTCTCTAACTTGTGTTTGTTGAAACAAAAATGGTAATTTTTTATTTGTAAAAAACATATGTAAAATGTATGTATGTAAAAGAATAGGCAAAACACATCCTATGAAGCCAGTATTACTCTGATGCCAAAACTCAGCCAAGATATTACAAGAAAATTAGAAATCAATATCTCTGATGATTATAGAAACAAAACCATCAACAAAATACTAGCAAACCAAATCTAGCAATATATAAAAAGGATTATGCATCGCCACAAGCTAGGAATGCAAGATTGGTGGCCTAACATAAGAAAAACAATTGTGGTAATATGCCATATTAACAGAACAAAGGGAAAAAAAAAACATGTTATCATCTCAGTAGATACATAAGAAGCATTTGACAAAACTTCACATTGTTTCATGTTAAAAACATTCAACAAACTAGGAATAGAAAGGAGCTTCCTCAAATTGATCTAAGAAAATTTTGGATCTTACTGAATGATGAAAGACAATTCTTTTCACCTAAGATAAGGAACAAGACAAGCATGTCCACTCTAACTCTTTCTATTCAGTATTGTACTGATTCTAGAGAGAGAACTTAGTCAAGAAAAGGCATTAAAGGAATACAAATTTAAGAGAAAGAAATAAAACTATCTACAGATCTAAATATTCAATGTAATTCTCATTAAAATCAAGGCTGGATTTTTTTTTTTTTTTTTTTTTTTTTTGCAGAAATTAACAAACTGATCCTTAAATTCATATGGAGGCCTGGGGTGAGGGCTCACGCCTGTAATCCCAGCACTATGGGAGACCAAAGGGGGTGGATCACTTGAGGCCAGGAGTTCGAGACCAGCCTGGTCAACATGGGAAAACCCCATCTCTACTAAAAAATACAAACATTAGCCAGTTGTGGTGGTGCATGCCTGTAGTCCCAGCTGCTCAGGAGGCTGAAGTGGGAGGATAGCTTAAACCTGGTAGGTGGAGGTTGCAGTGGGCTGAGATCACGCCACTGCACTACAGCCTGGGCCACAAGCAAGACCCTGTCTCAAATATATATATATATATATATATATATATATATATATATATATATATATATGTAAAATGCAAGGACCCAGAATTGCCAAAACAATCTTGCAAAAAGAAGAAAATTGGAGGACTCAAACTTCCTGATGTTGAAACTCACTATAAAGCTACATTAATCAAGACAATGTAGTACTGATGTAACGATAGACATCTAGATCAATAGAAAAAATTCAGAGTCCAGAATACATTTACAGTCAACCACTTTTTGGCAAGGGAACCAAGACAATTCAATGAGGAAAGAGCAGTCCTTTCAAAAAACAGTGCTAAACAGTCAGATACCTACCTACTTGCAAAAGAAGGAAGTTGGATCCCTTCTTTACACCAGACTCGAAAATTAACCCAAAATGGGTCACGAACCTAAATATAAGAGCTACAACTATAAAACTCTCTGAAGAAAACCTAGGAGTAAATATTCATGACTTTGGGTTGGGCAAAGACTTTTTAGATATGACACCAAAAACACGTGATAAAATAAATAAATAGAAATTCATCAAAATTAAAAACTTCTGTGCAACAACCCACATATACCATACAAGAAAGTGAAAAGACAATCCACAGAATTGGTGAAAATATTAGCAAATCATATATCTAATAGAGGACTTGGCTCCAGAATACACACACACACATGCATGTGTATGGTATATATGTGTATATGTATATACATATGTTTTACAACTTAATAACAAAAAGACAAATAACCCAATTTCTTTCTTTCTTTTCTTTTCTTTTTTTTTCTTTTTTTTTTTTTTGAGACGGAGTTTCACTCTCATCACCCAGTCTGGAGTGCAATAGTGCAATCTCGGCTCACTGCAACCTCCGCCTCCCGGGTTCAAGTGATTCTCCTCCCTCAGCCTCCCGAGTAGCTGGGATTACAGGCGCCCACCACCACGCCCAGCTAATTTTTATATTTTTAGTACTGACGAGGTTTCGCCACGTTAGCCAGGCTGGTTTCAAACTCCTGACCTCAGGTGATCCGCCTGCCTCGGCCTCCCAAAGTGCTGGTATTACAGGCGTGGTATTTGACTGTGCCCGGCCAAATAACCCAATTTCAAAACAAAATTAGCCGGGTATGGTGGTGCATGCCTGTAATTCCAGCTACTCGGGAGGCTGAGGCGGGAGAATCGCTTGAACCGGGGAGGCAGGAGGTTGCAGTGAGCCAAGATTGTGCCATTGCACTCCAGCCTGGGCAACTAGAGCTAAACTCCGTCTCAAACAAACAAACAAACAAACAAACAAATAAATAAGCCAGGTGTGGTGGCAGGCGCCTGTAATCCCAGCTACTCTGGAGGCTGAGGCAGCAGAATCACTTGAACCTTGGTGGGTGGGAGGGGAGAGGCTGCAGTGAGCCGAGATCGCGCCATTGCGCTGCAGCCTGGGCGACAGAGTGAGACTCTGTCTCAAAAAAAAAAAAAAAAAAAAAGGCAGAAACAACCCAAATGTCCATCGATTGATGAATGGTAAATAAAATGCAGTATATCCAAACAGTGAAATATTATACGAAAACACAAAGGAACTTGAAGAGCTGATACATGCTACACATGGACAAGTCTTGAAAAATATGATGCTGAGTGAAAGAAGCCAGTCAGAAAAGATCGCATATCCAGCCATAAAAAATGATGAGTTCATGTCCTTTGTAGGGACATGGATGAAGCTGGAAACCATCATTCTCAGCAAGCTATCGCAAGGACAAAAAACCAAACACCGCATGTTCTCACTCATAGGTGGGAATTGAACAACGAGAACACATGGACACAGGAAGGGGAACATCACACACCCGGGCCTGTTGCGGGGTGGGGGGAGGGGGGAGGGATAGCATCAGGAGATATACCTAATGTTAAATGACGAGTTAATGCGTGCAGCACACCAACATGGCACATGTATACATATGTAACTAACCTGCAGGTTGTGCACATGTACCCTAAAACTTAAAGTATAATAATAATAAAATTAAAAAAAAAAAAGAAAAGATCGCATATCGAATAATTCCCCTAACACGAAATCTCCAGAAAAGACAAATCTATAGAGATAAAAAGTAGATTAGGACAGGCATGGTGACCCACGCCTGTAATTCCAGCACTTTGGGAGGCCGAGGCGGATGGGTCTCCTGAGCTTGGGAGTTTGAGACCAACCTGGGCAACATGACGAAACCCCATCTCTACAAAAAACGCGAATAATTAGCCAGGTGTGATGGCACTGACCTGTGGTCCCAGCTACTCAGGTGTGGTGGCCCTGACCTGTGGTCCCAGCTACTCAGGTGTGCTGGCACTGATCTGTGGTCCCAGCTACTCAGGAGGCTGAGGTGGGAGAATTGCTTGAGCCTGGGTGGCAGAGGTTGCAATGAGCCAAGATCACACACTTCAACATGGGTAACAGAGTGAGACCCTGTCTCAAAAAAAGAAAACAAAAGTAGATTAATGATTGCCTGAGGTGGGGTGGGGGGAATGTTGAGGGGAGATAAGAGGAATGGGGAGTGATTTTTAGTGGGTAAGGGGTTTCTTCTTGGAGTGATGAAAATGTTCTAAAATTGGTTTTGGTAATGATTACACAACCCTGTAAATATAGTAAAAATAACTTAATTGTCTACTGTAACTGGGTGAACTGGTTGTATGTGAGTAATATCTTACCACAACTGTTAAAAAAAAAGTGTCAATACAAAATAAGGACAAAAAATTTTAACAACAGAGGTAAATTATTATGTGACAATACTAAGCAAAAAAGATGAAAGCAAAATTATTTATCTGTATATGTTCAGCTATGTGTAAAGTATATGCATAGAAGTAATTCTGAGAGCAAATATGCCAAACTACTTATAATGGTTCTTTCTCTTTACACTTTTGTATTCCATCTAAAATTACCATAGTGAGTAGGAACATTTTAACCAAAAATAAAAATTTTAAAACAAAAATAACAAAGCACTTTTCCTTTTATTACTTTGGTTAATAGCAAATTAGTCTGTTTCATCTGTCTATATTCATTTGCGAGTTTTCTTCTAGTCTTCTCTGTCTTTATCTTCTACCTCTTTTACTTGATAAGAGGAGTCCCAAGACTAGTACTCAATTTTGCATTTCTTTCTCATTTTTCACACAGCATCTGCTAAGGTAAAACTGTTACTAACTTATTGGATGGTTGACTTCAGCATATTGATTTTGAAGATTTTGGACTCTATATATGCATTTAAGGATAGTATTTCTATCTCTATAAAGTGGAATCTGGAACCAGATCCAACAATAGACCACTTAGAAAATATACTTTGTTCTATTATATTGAATTCCAAGTGTTCTCATTTATACAATTTGTACCAAATGTTAGATTGGAAGACAAAAAGAAGTTTGGGAGCACAGATGATTCTTCAACCAATTTCTCTATTTTAAAGACATAGTTGAGGCAATTAGATATCAAATAATCTGAGAGACAAAAAATTAGATTTAAAATAATCATAATGGTAACAATAGCTAATATTATTGAGTATCTACTGTATGTCAGGCATGGTTCCAAGCACTTTATGTTCAGTCCTCATTGAATTATCCCAATAATCCTAAGAGATAAGTGCTATTGTTATCCTCCTTTTGTTGTTGCTGTTGTTATAGGGTCTGGCTCTGTCACCCAGGCTGGAGTGCAGTGGTGCAATCTCAGCTCATTGCAACCTCCGCCTCCTGGGCTCAAGTGATCCTCCCACCTCAGCCTTTTGAGTAACTGGGACTACAGGCGTGTGCCAACATACTAGTCTAATTTTTCTATTTTTTGTAGAGACAGGGTTTTGTGATGTTGCCCACGCTGGTCTCAAACTCCTGGACTTAAGCGATCCACCACGTCAGTCTTCCAGACTGCTAGGATTACAGACATGAGCCACCATGACCAGCCTGTTATCCTCTTTTTATAGATTATGAAATAGAGGCTTACAAATGTTATGCCCACTTAATTTAAATTTACAAAGCTAATAAATATCAGACAAAGATTCAGATCCAGGTTTGTCTGACTCCAGAGACAGAACTTTAAACCATAAAGCTTAGAGACCTGGATTTGTGGAAAAAATAAAATAAACCATAAAGCTATATATCTTCATTTTCCCATAACACGTTTTTGAAATCATACAGTTCAATCAATTCTCTTCCTCCTGGAATAAAGCTGATTAAAGAGTTAGAGAAGTTGATGAGTTATAATGAGTTACAAAACAAGGAGTATTTTCTCTCCCTTTTTTTGCAAATGAAAAATGAGGTATTTGGAAGAGATGCTTTTTTTAAGCTTCATGACTTTGGTGATTTGGGAATAGAAATAGTAATTCTACCTCATTCCAATACCTTAAGTAAACTCAGCCACCTCGCTGAGCCACACTGGTCCCTCCTGAAGTGACCCCAGGATCTGCATCACAGTTTCAGAATTCCTCATCAGTATCCACCATGCTTAGAGCTCTGCTCTCCTGATGCCAACATCCCCACTTTTTTTGGTTCTTAGCAAACTCTTTCTCTTTGTGGAGCATTTTCCTTGGTGACTAAATTTAGACTCCGGCACACAACAGAATCTGTCCTCTGGCCTTATATGCTAATACTTTTGATAAATGATGCCTCAGTAGACTCCCAACTCTGGTCCCTATGGATCCCACCTTCACCAAACTGCTACCCCTTCATCCCCAGCCTCACACACACACACAGGAGGGAGGAGGGTCGGACAAGAGGGAAAATACCATAACCATGGAAGCAGGTAACGTGCTTCTCTCTGGCAATACCTGGCCATGTCACATTTCTAGAAACTTGGGCACTCATCGGCATAAATCTTACAAAGAGGGGCCTAAAAGCATTGTCAGCCTCTGGGGTGGGAGTCCAGGGATATCACAAAACACAAAGTTGTCTTCAAAAATCCAGTCATACTGTGCATATTTATCTGAGAAAAAAATCTCAAGGAAGAAATTCTTAAACTTCTCTGCCTCACCCATTTCAAGGTCTGATCATGTATTTTTCAGGAGGAATAGTCAAAAGTAAGGCAATTTCAAATGAAGACACCAGGAAAAAAATGTGAAGTGATTGTAACCAGCGAAAATAAAATTTAGGATTTGTTGGCAGTGTTTGTTGAAGAAGAAGGAAGAAAAGGAGTAGGAAGAGAGAGAAGGAAGGAACGAGGGAAGGAGACGAGGAAGGAAAGAATTAATAAGTCTGGTGGGGAAGAAATGAATCCTTTGTCAAAAATATTTCAGATGCTGAAATTCTGTTATTGTTTCTAGCTAACTAGAACGTTCTCCCTTTCCCTTTCGGCTGGATTATTTTCTTCTCATTCTTCAAATCTCACTTCCTCCTTCAGACTTCATCAATTCGTGCTTCCCTTCACTGATATCCATTCAGTGATATTTATAGTCCATTTATATGTATGGCCTTTGATTTTTGTTTAAATTTCAGCAATTGCTCACTGCCCATCCTGACTGGCCTCCTCCAGCACAGCTCCTAACACCCCTCACCCTGCTCACAAACACTCGTCGAGTCCAAACCAGCCTGGCAGGTAAGGCCTTCCATAATTTGGCTTCAACTCATGCTTCCAAACAACCTTATTTTCAGCTCTTCACTTCTTATGAATAACCATACAGCAGTGACCTTAACATTTTGATGGCAAACAGTAATGCTCACCACGTTCAGGTCACAAGCACATGTCTTGCTATTAGGAGAGTTGTAAAGGAAACAGCAGAAGCAGTCCCTCCCCAGAAAAATGCACAGTCTAATGGAGGTGAAATTAACTTCAGCAATAAACTTAAGATTCATATTGAAGAGGCACTTGCACTGACTCAGAAACTTTCTGCAGAGAATCTGAAGAAGAGCAGGAGCAGCAAGACAGAAAGCACTCAAGAGGTGACTTCGGAGGCTCAGTCACCAAACAATAGGCAATGTTGTTCTCTAAGCCTTGTACCAAAACTGATAGGGTAAAGGGTCTTCCAAATACAACTTTATTTATTAACAATCCTCCTTTATTCTGGTCCACCTGAGGCTACACAAATGTACCCTCTTCTTAAAGAAACTGATTTGGATAGACAGGGAATAGGAGATTTCAATCCTGCTGAACTAGGTTGCTTCTCTTATGAAATCAGCCTGCAATAGACTTTCAAAAGGAATTCCAAGTAGGCTTTGAAAATAATGGGAGGAGTAAGTGGCCCATCAAGCCAACATTTGCTTGAGCCAGAGGACTTGCTCACCGAAGACATTGCTGGATTTCTTATCTGACTAGTCAGTCAAGAAAATTTACTTTGATGACCATAAATGGACATTTTTTACAATGATCATTATTTACAGATGCAAGTGCTGTGTGAAATATAGTACTTAAACTCAACTATAATTTAACACTACCTATTTCCATAATGAGTGTTCAAAAGGATGAATCAATAGACCTTCCAAGAGAACATGTAATAGCTTTTAAGAATATAGGCGTGCTTCAATTATTTGAATTAAAATCAAAATTGAGGAATACAAATTTTAGCTTTTCTTTCTCTGTAGGGTTAGCAGTAAATCATCAAAGAATATACTCAATTTCATTAGTTTGTATAAACAAGACATATCTGATTTGAAAAGTAATAACTCAAGAAAGGAAATATGTGGACTTGTTTTTCATTCAAATATAGATATATACTTGTAACATGAAGAAATTGACTACTGGCGTGGCTTGTTTTGCACTGAAAATAAACTAAGAAACCCCTATGCCAATATAACTTGTGAACTCAAAATATCTGAGACAGGTCTCAGTCAATTTAGAAAGTTTGGTTAAGGACACACCCATGACACAGCCTCAGGAGGTCCTGACAACAAGTGCCCAAGGTGGTCGGGGTACAGCTTGCTTTTTAGGGAGATATAATACATCAATCAATACATGTAAGATTACATTGGTTCTATCTGGAAGGGTGGGGGAGGGTGGCTTCCAGGTGATAGATAGATTTAAAATTTTTCTGATGTCAATTGGTTGAAACGCTTCTTATCAGTAGAAAGGAATGTCTGGGTTAAGATAAGGGGTTGTGGAGACCTAGGTTTTATCATGGAGGTAAAACCTCCAAGTAACAGGCTTTCAAGAGACTGTAAATGTTTCTTATCAGACTTAAGGTCTGCATTGATGTTAATGCTGGAGGGGGTATCATGAGACATGTCCAACCCCCACTTCCCATCATGGTCTGAGCCAGTCTTTCAGGTTAAATTTTTTGAGTGCCCTGGTTGGGGAGGAAGTTCATTCAGATGGTTGTGGAAGCTTTCAAATTTTATTTTTGGTTAACAAACTCATTCTACCCCCTAAATATTAGATTCCTCTATTTTGGAACTAAAGTAAGCAAGAACAAATGATTGTTTTTAGTAATGTTTGTTTCTTTGCTTTTTACATTACTCTAAACCAGTTGAAAATTTTTCATTTAAAAATTATTTTGAGATTTTAAATTATTTGTTGTTATGTAGGTTAAAAAACAGTTATTTGAACTAAAGTCAAACTCATTTGTGTGTGTAGACACAATCATTATCATCATCACATGATTTTACATATTTTTTTAAAGCAGGCATTTTCTACTCATACACAAGCTACCAAAGAGAGGTGTCCCTACAACTCACATAGATGGCAGTAATGTTGACTGAATTTTGTACCCTCCACTCTAGACTCTTCTGACAGAGTGAGTGCAATGATGTGGTTTTATTTAATGTTTCCCCTTCCTGGACCCATAGATACCATGACTTAAAAGCATGGATTAATGTTTTTTCTGGAAATTTCTAAGCATAATTACAAAGGGTAGCAAAAAAACCCACACCAATAACATCGCTACAGTTTTAGTGATCATCTCTTGAGACATTGATCACATTCTGCTTTGTGTCATTGTTATTTTCTTTAAACACAGGCAGGTTATGCCTTGTTCATTTTTCTATCTTCCACAGTGCTTAGCTGTGCATATTATAGATACTCACTAAATGTTTGTTGAGTGACCAACCAAATAAATGAATGACTAATGATTGCAGCCATACTTGTATGCAGAAGAAAAGAGTGGAACAAACCCAGTTGTAATCCTTTCCTTGATGAAATAAAAAAATTAGATTCTAATGCAGCAGTTTGGATTTCAGTATAACTAACCAAGGTTCTTCTCAATTAACTTTACTCTCAATCACAAATTAAAGAGAAAAAACATGAGTGCCCCTCTGAAATTTCTTAGAAGTCTTTTATAATTCTGATGAAGAATAAATATGACTTACAGAGTTTGGGGGGTTTTCAGAGTTGAAAGTTTGGGGGAGGGTTGCTTTGACATTAAAGTACATCCTCCAATCCCTTCCCTTCTTTATGGACACACACACACACACACACATCAGATGTTCCATCTGAAGAAGTTTTTGGGTGCCTCTTGAGTTAAGGCTGGCCTATAAATACTGACACTTTCCTAGGGTTTTGTCTTTGGCCCACATTTCTTCCTAGTCTTCATGTTCTCATTGAGTGATGCTATTCACTTCCATGGTTTTAACCCCCATCCATATGCTTAGAACTTTTAAATCATTACCCCTAACAATGACACTGTCTTAAGCTTCAAATTTATATATTCAGCTGCCTAGAAAATCTCTATTTCTGGACATTCCTTACTTTCCTAAATTCAAAACTTTATTTTATTATTATTATTGTTATTATTATTATTAATTATTTTGTAGAGACAGGGTCTCCCTATGTTGCCTAGGCTGGTCTCCAACTCCCAGGCTCAAGTGATCTTCCTGCCACAGACTCCCAAAATGCTGGGATTACAGGTGTGAGCCACCACACCCGGCCAATTTAAAACTTCCAAAACCTCATCTCCCCACTCTCTCACACCAAAAACAAAACAAAACAAAAAAAGGCTAAATGTCTTCTTTCAATTATTAGCATTTCCATCTATCTAGTCACACAACACAAAAACCTTGGGTTGTTTCCTAAGCTTAGGGTCAGAAAACTATAACCCATGGATCTGTTTTTATAAATGAAGTTTTATTGGAACACAGCATCAGCCATTGGTTTTGTCAATGGCTTCTCTCTCCTACTGCAATGGTAAAATTGAGTTCAACTGAGGCCAAATGGCCCAGCCTAAAATATTTACTGTTTAGCCCTTGACAAAAAATATGTTGCCAATCCCTGTTTTAGACCGTTCCTTCTCTCTAAGATTGCAAAGCTGCCTCTATTTTTCCCTTCTAGATATTTCTCAAATTCTTCCCTGTCATCTCTTGAATTTCGGCTCTGATCTTCTTTCACCTGGATTATTGCAGCAAATGCAACTCCATCCCTCACTTGTCACCAGAGTGATACACCTAAAACACATCTTGATTGTTATACTGTTGGGGGCAATTCTTCATTTGCCTGTAACATCTCTGCACAACTTGTGAGCAGAGATACTAACAGCTTTTGTTCCAGACTGTATTTTCTTTTTTTTTTTTTTTTGAGACAGAGGCTCTCTCTGTCGCCCAGGCTGGAGTGCAGTGGTGCGGTCTCGGCTCACTGCAACCTCCGCCTCCCGGTTTCATGCCATTCTCCTGCCTCCGTCTCCTGAGTAGCTGGGACTACAGGCGCCCGCCACCATGCCCAGCTAATCTTTTTGTATTTTTAGTAGAGACGGGGTTTCACCATGTTGGCCAGGATGGTCTGGAACTCCTGACCTCGTGATCCATCCTCCTCAGCCTCCCAAAGTGTTGGGATTACAGGCGTGAGCCACCGTGCCCGACCTATCCAGAAAGAATGTTTTATACAAACATATGTCTCCCTTCAGGAAAAAAACAAAAATATGCCTGCCTTCAGGAAAAAAAGCAGATCTGTTTGCTATCCACTATAATAAAGATAATATATCCCTCTAAGGCAAAGGTTGGGCAGGTTTGCATGCATCTCACTTACAAAATATTGGGAAATCCTAAGCTCAGGGTTTCTCGGCTGTAATACAAACCCACTGCATGCACAGCACCTACCTGGACCCACCTTCCTGTGGCCCCCTTAGAACTCAGAGAACAAGATAAACCAACATAGACATGAAGCTTATGCTGCCTGCTGTGCGATGGGTAACAAAGTGTCTTGTCTCTGACCCAGGAGTCTTGTGTCTTCTACAAGCATCTGTGAAACGATAGCAGCCTAACTTGATAGCTTGCAAGCAGGTTAAAATCTCAGACTCTTCACTGTTCTTGGCAATCACTCCATTCTTATTTCTCTTCCTCATCTGTAAACTGAAGTCCATGCTCTTCAGCCTGGGATATAAGGCTGTCAGTGACCTGAGCGCACCTCTTCCTGTAGTCACATCTTCTCTATTCCCCCCTCACAATATTCACTGATAATTCATAGCTGTTCATAGCTCTCCAGTGAGCACATCCTATTCTGTGTCTTCCCACATTTGCTCATACTGAATTGTTTTCTAATCTCCCCAAACAAATTTCTCCTTTTTCTCTGCCCCATCCCAGCCTTCCTTGGCCTACAACCTCCTTTTTATACTTCAAACCCAGTTCAGGCATTATCTTCATCTAAACTGGCCAAACTCAGTGCTCTTCTTCCTCTAGGTTCCTAGAGCACCAGGAGAACAACTTAACCATGGTCTTTGCCATGTTTTTGGAAGTGTGCATTTGTGTGCCTGCCTCATCCATCAGACTTTGAGTTTCTTGCATAAAGAGACAGTAGCTGCTTCACGTTGGTGCCCCCAGCACCTCATTCAATGGATGCTCAGGAAATTGTCATTTAACTGACCTGAACTGAAATAAACTAAACTGATAAAGTAACCCTAAGCCCTTTAATTCTCACTTGGGAGAAATAAAAAAAAAATTATTTTTACTTATATTCTTTTTTTTTTTTTTTTTTTTGAGATGGAGTCTCACTCTGTTGCCCAGGCTGGTGAGTGCAATGGCACGATCTCAGATCACTGCAACCTCTGCCTCCCAGTTTCAAGCGATTCTCCTGCCTCAGCCTCCTGAGTAGCTGGAATTACAGGCGTCCATCACCACACCCAGCTAATTTTTGTATTTTTAGTAGAGACGGGGTTTTGCCATGTTGGCCAGGCTGGTCTCAAACTCCTGACCTCAACTAATCTGCCCGCCTTGGCCTCTCAGAGTGCTGGGATTACAGGCATGAGACATGACTCCCGGCCTTTATTTTTACTTGTATTCTTACTCTGGGGAGATTTCTTTCCTGCTTCCTTTTTAAACACAATTTTTCCATTTAAAATATGATTCATTAAGACTAAAGACCTTCCAGAGGAGGTAAGAAATATCAAACTCTAAAGGTTTGATATTTTCCCAAATGTAGTTATATTCTCCAAACCATGCTGGGTTTGCCAAATGATTCCTGATATCAGTAACTGAAAACAGTCCAATTCTTTAACACTATGCACTTAAGAAATATACTAAATAGGCTGGGCGTGGTGACTCACATCTGTTATCCCAACAGTGTGGGATGCCAAGGTGGGTGGATCACCTGAGGTCAGGAGTTCAAGACCAGCCTGACCAACATGGTGAAACCCTGTCTCTACTAAAAATACAAAAATTACCTGGGCGATGCCTGTAATCCCAGCTACTCGGGAGGCTGAGGCAGAAGAATCACTTGAACCCAGGAGGCAGAGGTTGCAATGAGCCAAGATGGTGCCACTGCACTTCAGCCTGGGTGACAGAGCGAGACTCTGTCTCAGAAAAAAAAAAAAAAAGTATATAGGTAGAAATGGGACATGCTCAACCTTCAGTTCTTTTCTTTCTTTCTTTTTCTTTTTTTTTAAATAGAGTCTCGCTGTGTTGCCCATGCTGGAGTGCAGTGGCAATCTCGGCTCACTGCAACTTCTGCCTCCCAGGTTCAAGCGATTCTCCTGCCTCAGCCTCCTGAGTAGCTGGGATTACAGGCATGAGCCACTACCCCCAGCTAATTTTTGTATTTTTAGTAGAGACGGGGTTTCACCATGTTGGCCAGGCTGGTCCCGAACTCCTGACCTCAAGTGATCCACCCGCCTCAGCCTCCCAAAGTGCTGGTATTACAGGCGTTAGCCACCACACCCGGCCTCTACCTTTACTTCAAGCTCCATTAGAAATCCAAAAATCTTCCACCTCCCTAGTTCAAATGCAGAGCCTTAGATTAAATACAGATCCATATTGTAGTAAGACAACCAGTTCACAAAAACAAGTTCACCCTTTTCTGAATGTTTTACTTACTACCAGTGGAAAGTGTAAGGTGTCAAACTACATAAACATAATCCATCATGTGCTAATAAATTAATGACTCCAGAAATACACATTTAGACTTCACGAGTGGTAGTGGTTCTAGAACTTGAAATATCTTATTGAAACATTTAGTTATTAATAAGAAAAACAGAAAATGTTTGCTATGAGAATATGTTTCTCATTGTCTTGTGAATACTTTAGTATTGGATAGGAAGTCTAAAGCTTTCTAATCTCTTTTGCTTTCTTATAAAAGTTTTATGGTTAGCATATTGTTGGGGCTCAGAAACCAGTGCCCCAAAATGTGGAGCTTTGACATGCTGAACTGAAGAAGGCTTAAGGTCACTTTGACTTCCCCTCTCCCTTGACACTGTCTCTCCCAAAGCACAGGATGAAGTTGAAGTTCCTTTATTTACCTAAGATCCAGACTCATCAACAGGAGCAATTGCTTTTTCTTCTCTTTCCTGTAAGACCAAGAATGTAACCATCCCTGGCCAGACCCTGTCACAAGATAATGTATAAATTAATCCCTGTTGCCTAATCCATTCATTCTTCCTGGTGATCCTCCCAACAGAATTTCCGTTCTCCTCCCTCCCATAATATGCTTTGTTAGGATAGTATATAAACTTCTGAACCATCTTGGGGGATAAGTAATCACCCTGTGGTTCTCCCTTGTACACACATTAATTACATTTCTATGCCTTTTCTCCAATTAATTTACCTTTTGTGAGTTGATTTTTCAGTGAAACTTCAGAGGTCAAAAGAGAAGTTTTCCCCTGACCCTACAACATCTTTTAAAGACAGCAGGAGAAGACTTTCAAGCCTATGGCAAAAATAGTTTATGGCCGATTTCAAAGGTATTGGTAATGACACACACATACACACAGCCTGTATTTGTCTATTTCCTCAGAATAAAATGCCATTAAAACAAAAGTTTAGAATCTTGAAAATTAATCAATGCATTCATTATTAGAATTCTAAAGGTACAGATGCTCAGTAGGGAAATATGTTCAAGACAGTTAGAAAGCAGCTTTCCAATAATGTTAACAATGAAAAATTATCACAATATTTGCAAAGGAGAATTGCAACAAAAGACTTGTAATTCATTAGCTTTAATTTATCCCTGAATATCAAGGGGATTAAATTAGTTTGCATCAGACTTTGATGTTAATCCTGAAGAATTTATTAGCTCCTTTCTAGCATTGCTTTAGACGTACTTTCTTTTCTTCTAGAAATTCTCAGATTTTAACCACTCAGGTACCAGGAAGGTTCAGCAGAACATCAATGTAAAATCACCAGTCATTCAGTCTTGGATCCCTGAGACAGCTGCAGCCAGATTTAATGTGGGACATGCCAAGTTTCCACTGTGCTGATAGTTTGGAGGGGTGTGAAATATTCTCCCAACGAGGTGAGGTTTCCTTGTATGCTGGTATTTAACTGGGCATGGCCAACTCTGTTAAATATGAGTAAATAACAGGCAAGGTATAATAGCTGTCAGAGGCATTTGAACCAGAGCAAGTCCATCTTGAAAAGGGGCTGGGTAAAATAAGGTTGAGACTTACTGAGCTGTATTCCCAGGAGGTTAGGCATTCTGAATCACAGGATGAGATAGGACGTTGCCACAAGGTACAGGTCGTAAAGACCTTGCTGATAAAACAGCATGCAGAACAGAAGCCGGCCAAAACCCACCAAAACCAAGATGGTGATAAAAGTAACCTCTGGTCTCCTCACTACTCATTATACGCTAATTACAATGCATTAACATGCATTAATATGCTAAAAGACACTCCCACCACCGCCGTGCGGGTTTACAAATGATATGGCAACATCAGGAAGTAACCCTATATAGTCAGGAAAGAGGAGGAACCCTCAGTTCCAGGAATTGCCCACTCCTTTCCCAGAAAACTCATGAATAATCCGCCTTTTGTTTAGCATATAATCAAGAAATAACTATAAATATCCTTAGTTGACCAGCCCAGGCCACTGCTCTGCTTATGGAGTAGGCATTCTTTTATTCCTTTACTTTCTTAATAAACTTACTTTCACTTAATGAATTTGCCTCAAATGCTGTTTTTCGTAAGAACCAAGAACCCACTCTTGGCGTCTGGATGGAGATCCCTTTCTGGTAACAATAACTACAGCATTCAAACATTTATTATATGAAAGTTTGTGCTTTACTGTCTCAAGTATACTTATTATAATAGTGACAGCAGCGGCGGGCCATCTGGAGCGGCCACTGCCATTACGCCGGCTGCAGCAGAGAGCCGTGGGAAGTGGCAGCAGGAGCGGCTGCAGGAGCAGCAGTGGCAGAGGTCGGCCCCCTGTGCCCCATCCCCGAGGCAGCCGACTGCACCACTGCACCACCCCTGCCCTTGTGCACGGAGGGGCAGGACCCGTCCCCAAGCCCAGAGCCTCCCCAATTCTGGAGTCCGGGCCCTGGAACGCTGCTCTGGCCCGCTGCTGCGGGGAAGGCATGGGGAGGAGGTGGAGCTAGGCCTGGGGCAGTGAAGCACTCCATGGAGCCAGTGGGAGCCAGGGACAAGCAGGAGCACCCCCAGAGCTTGCCTCCCTGAAGCCACTGTGATGGGGCCCGGCCTAGCCGCCTGCTGGAGGGGGAGCAACGCTGTCAGGCACAGAGGGGTGGGCAAAGAGAGGCCCAGTGAGGACCTGGTTCCCGCACCCTAGGCTGCGAGGAGGCGCGTTGCCTGCCGGGGCTGCCTGCACACTCCACAAGAAGCAGGCTCGTGCAGGACTCAGACATCTCTACAGTCTGCACCCTCGGGGCCTGGGAAGGCCCCCAATGCCTCTGCAGGGTTGCGGGTGTCTGCTCCCACTGCCTGGCCTCTTCCTGCTCCCAAAGCCTCAGAGCAGGTTTGGGGACGAGCCTGGGCACTGCAAAAACCTGGCCGGGTGTGCACACACTCAGGGCAGCACTGAGACGCGAGCCCCATCCGGACTTTGGGTGCCGACGAGCACGGGGTTAGGGGAAGCCAAGGAGGTGCTGAGGGCGGCTCATTGCTGGCCTGCAGGTGCCCCTTGGCACAGGCAGCCTGGGCACTATGGGTGACGGCAGGACGCAGACAGGCTCCTGGATGGAAGGGCATGGGTCCCCACCTTCAGGCCAGAGAGGCGACTGGGCTGCCAGTCCCGCAGACCAGAGTGGGAACTTGTGGTGCCTTTTCCAGGCCTGCCCATGGCCGCTCATGGACCAATAGGGACACAGTTCCTTCCCCCTGAGGCCCGTAGAAGCCCCAGGCTCCGCCAGAGCTAGACAGGTGACGGGATTACCAGCTGCAGAAAGGAGATATCCTTTTTGCTGGGAGCTGAACACTTGTTGGGATGACCTGCCGGCAGAGAAGACCTACCCACTCTACTAGGAGATGAATACTCACAGGACACTCTGGCTGCGGAAAGGAGCTGCCCCGCGCTGGTCTCTGAACTGTTCTATCACTTGATAAAGCTGCTCTTCATCTTTCTCACCCTTCACTAGTCTGTGTACCTCATTATTCCTGGATGCAGGACAAAAACTCAGAACCCGCTGGATGGTGAGGCTAAAAGAGCTGTAGCACAAACACAGCTCTAACATGCCCCTTGCTTGCCACATCGCGGGCAAAGAGAAGGAAAGAATTGCTGCGGCCCTTCGGTGAGCCCAGACTGGAGAGCTCTCTGAGCCAGGGCTGTGACTCCCTCTTTGGGGCCCTTGCAGTTCCTGGCATCTTCCAGGTGCCACTGCATCCTCTGTTGCCAGCTAGGGAAGCTGCTTGTGGTGCACCTGGTCCAGCCACAGCTTGCAGAGAGCCAGTGCCCATGGCGGCATATGAAGCTGCCAGAACCCACGCTCACTCACACACCCCTTGCCGCTCCACACCTGACTTGCAGTCTCCCTTGGAGGCATGGGATCCAGGCCGGTAGCGTGGGCTGAGTGCAGCCTGCCAGGCTGAGTGGGCAGAACGAACCCAGCGGACCCAAGCAAAGCTAGGGCAAAGGCGCCACCAGCCACAAGTTTCTGGCCAGAAAAGCGATACCTCGAAGATCCCATAACAACAGACTTTAAAAATCAGGCGGCATCTGGTTACAAAAGGGTGGTGGCAACTGAAAAATCTGTAGTTTATTTTGCAGATCACTATCCACCTCCGCAGCTACCACCTCCTTTGTTCCAAGAAGAATGGCCACTTTAAGATAAAAGCTCTGGGGCCGAGCGCGGTGGCTCATGCCTGTAATCCCAGCACTTTGGGAGACGGAGGTGGGTGGATCACCTCAGGTCAGAAGTTTGAGACCTCTGTCTCTACTGAAACTATAAAAAATTGGCCGGGCATGGTGGTGGGTGTCTGTAGTTCCAGCTACGTGGTAAGCTGAGGCAGGAGAATGACTTGAACCCGGGAGGCGGAGGTTGCAGTGAGCCAGGATTGCGCCACTGCACTCCAGCCTGGGAGACAGAGTCAGACTCTGTCTCAAAAAAAAGCTATGGGCCTGCAGGATGCCTAATATAAAAGGATGTTTTTATGATTGCTTATCATTTCCACTATCTCAGAGACATTATTTCATCACTAATTTTCTGATTCATCACAGTTTATTTTTCTCACTTTAAAAATTATACCATATTGCACATTAAGTTTTCAGTATGTTCATGTTTTTCACAGTTTTACTTTACAGATTCATTTTACTTTTAGATTCATATTGTAGTTGCATCCTTTAGTTGCTGATTGACATTACAGCATTTTCTCCAGGGCAGATAAAAAGCACATACATGTTGTCATGCTTCCAAATGTTCTCCTTTGAAATGAGTCCCCCTTCTAAAGAAGAGGTTTTAATGACAAGGCTAATTCCACAACAAGATTTTAAAGACTTGCAAAAGACAAGTAAGAAACTAGAAAGCTATCCTGTTTTCTGAGAGTGCTACAGTGCTGCAGATATTATAATTTTGTGTTTATTTCTTTCTACATTTTATGACAAAGAAAACATGAATATAAATTAGCCCTTTGTTTCTTTCTTTTTCTTTTTTTTTTTTTTTTTTAAGACAAGGTCTCACTCTGTCATCCAGACTGGAGGGCAGTGGTGCAATCATAGCTTGCTGCAGCCTCAAACTCCTGGGCTCAAGCAATCCTCCCAGCTCAGCCTCCCTAGTAGCTGGGACTACAGGTAAGTGCCACCATATCCAGCTAGTTTTGCTTTTTATTTAATGTTTTTGTAGAGGCAAAGTCTCACTATGTTGTCCTCATTGGCCCTTTATTTTTTAGAAGAAAAACAGTTTTTTTCTATGATTAAAGACCATGTTTTAATTTAAAACTGAAAAAATCTAAATTTGTAACTCCTAAATTAAAAATCCCAATGAGGACTAAACTCTGAGTTTTTATCTTGCCCAAACTCCTATCTAAGGGGTCTGGGAGGTCGTGCCCTGCAAACCATAAATTCTTATCAGATGGGTTTTATTTAACCGGGTATATCAATACTTATTTTCCAACATGACTCTGGCATAACATTATGAGACAAGGAAGAAAATAAAAGTATTTTACCCCAAAACATTTTTCTTTGCCATATTTTGAAATGGCCCTGCAAAAATGTTCTTTGTGAGGGAAAATTTGCATCTGTAAAGAATCTCAATTAACATAGCTAGATCTTTTTCTTTCAGATGCTTCCAATCCTAAAGAGATTAACTAAGATTTAAATAGGAAACATTTGTCATCTATTGTCTCTAAGGGCAGCCACTATAAGACTTCTAAAGAACTTTGGTCTCCACAATCTTAGCCTGAACATTCCCTTTCTGTCAGTCTCAAGTCTTTAGACAAACTCAACCAATTGTCAACGAGAAAATGTTTAAATTCACCTATAGCTTGGAAGCCCCCCGACCAACATTGAGTTGTCCTGCCTTTCTGGACCAAACCGATGTATTTCTTAAATGTGTTTGATTGATGTCTCATGCCTCTCTAAAATGTATAAAACCAAGCTACCAAGCTGTGCCCCAACCACCTTGGGCACATGCTCTCAGGACCTCTTGAGGGCTGTGTCGTGGGCCATGATCACTCATATTTGGCTCAGAATAAATCTCTTCAAATATTTTACAGAGTACGACTCTTTTTGTTGACATCAGCTATGGTTAACTCTATTTTGATAAATTTATGTACATAACTGCATAATTTTATATTGGCTAGTTTCTGTCCAATTGCTGGAAACATTAAAAAGCAGCAATAACATTTGCCCTTTTAATACAAGGGACTTAGTCCAGGTCTTGTCATCAAATCATTGAATCTACTTATCCAAATATATCTGTCCAGATTCTTGTCTCTAAATGCATTTTAGTCTAAGCCACTCATAGTTCTGACCTAGTTTATGTGTGCATATTAGATTATTCTGCTGTGCCGTTAAAAATTCAGCTTCAGTAAAATGGGATTGGATGATTTCTAATCTTATATGTTCAAACTTTCTATGTTCTAGAATTCTCGAAGGAAACAGATATCATGTTCAATGGTTTTTCAAGCCTAAAAATCTGACGTTCTTTCTTAAATGTATTCTTAATCATTTCTGCAGTAATAACTGCAGGCTTTTACTGTCACCTACACAGGAAATACAGCTCAGTATTTGGATGGGAGACAGCACAAGTTATGACAGATACAAACAAATTGAAAGAGAAATACTAGCAATGTTCTAAGAAGCAGAAACTTTCTGATGCCCTGTTCTTATTAAATTGAAATATGAGCTAATGAAAGCAGCAAATCTAAATGTGACATGAATATAGAGACCCCAAGATATAAAAAGAGAAATATAAGAATTCTTTCCAACTAAGCTACAATATGATGAGATATCAGTACTTTCAGAAGAAGGTAAACTTCCAGAGGAACATAGGATCTCATGTTCTCTTAGGAAGTCTTTGGGAAAGAAGAAAAAAGAAAGCTGCCAATATCCTAGCAATAACTCCAGCTCCTTGCTGTTATATACACAGGAGATTCAACTGAACAGAAGGATAAGTGAGAGAGTAGAGGTTTTCATATCTGTCTACATTAGCTTGAGAAATTTCACAGTGAAATTCATCATCCATATTTATGTATCATATTCACAGTTTTGTTATAAATACAAACAGTAAGTCCTCACTTAACATTATCAATAGGTTCTTGGAAACTGCGACTTGAAGCAAAACAGCAACGAAGCCATTTTTACCATAGGCTAATCGACATAAACAAGAGTTAAGTTCCTATGGCATATTTCTGATGTAGGGGCTAAGGGGAAACTTCCCCTTTACCCTCTGAAGTTTCGCTAAAATAAACCAACTGACAAAAGGCAGATTAATGGGAGAAATGGCAAATATCTACATGCACAGGAGAGAAACACACAGTGATTACCCCTATCACCCCAAACAATGGGATACAAAAGCTTGGATAGCCTTTTTTCAGAGGAGAGGGAGGGGATGGGGAATATAGTTAATTCTGTTGATGGGCAATAAATGATTACTAGGTAGAATGAACAGAGAATAGAGATTAACTTGTAAACGGTTCTTTTTCGAAATTCAGTGAGCCCCAGAGACAGACATGATCTCGTGAAAGGGTTCATTCAGGTGTGGTTACACTCTTCGGTCTTCTTTTTTGCAGTAGATAATGAGATAACAGGGAGAGGAAAGTAAAACAATTGTTCTCATTGATGGATCCATCGGGTCTTTATGTAGATAGAAGGAAATGCTCTCCCAGCGTCTATTGATCTTTTAAGGGGCTTTAATTCAAAATATGCTTTAGACTAGGAGGCAATATTTTGAGATGAAATAATTTTGATTTCCTTCTTTGGCCGCAAAAACATCACCAAACTTCTAAATAAAGACCCCAAACTTCTAATATTAAACATTGAAATAAAAGTGATATATTTGTAAACCCAAAAGTATCTGAGATAGGGCTCAATTAATTTAGTGGGTGCAGCGCACCAGCAAGGCACATGTATACATATGTAACTAACCTGCACATTGTGCACATGTACCCTAAAACTTAAAGTATAATAATAATAAATAAATAAAGTTTATTTTTCCAAGGTTAAGGAAGTGCCTGGGAGACAGGTCTGTGCCTTTCTTCAAAGATGATTTTGAGGGCTTCAGTATTTAAAGAGGAGAAGCAGGCTGGAGGGAAAAGAGGGAGGGTATGGTCACATCACTGAATCCACATGTTGCAAGAGAAAAGGAGCAGGTAGGGAAATAGTCAACTATGTACTCGCTCAGTAAATTGACACTTTGCATAAGAGAAAGTGAACATAGAGTAGCTAGCTACCTGTGCAGGTATTTAACCTTTTATCTGTAGCTTTCTGCTTAGGAACAAAAGAAAAGGCAGCTTCTTGCATAACTCAACTTTCAGCTTGATTCTTTTCCTCTTGGCAAGTGAATTTTGGTCACCAGTTTTTATTTTCCTTTCATACATTTAAGAAAGATTAATAAAAAGAAAATTATTTATATGTTCTTGTTGTGACATAAAAAATAAAAACAACAACAACAAAATAATTATTTATCCAATTTATTGTGTATCTGTGAGCAATTGCAATAACGGTGGTGGAATAAATCAACGAATGAAAGTTTGCGGAGCAAAAATTCTAAGGAGTCCTTCCACCATGCAGTTCAAAAACAAATAATCAATATGGCGGGTAACTAAGTGCTTTCACCCCATGTCATGTATTATCATGCATTTGTATGATTATTGGATACTTCACAAATTTTCATTTTACAATAATTTGTATTCATTCATTCATTCCTTTTCCAACCTGCTTATTTCAGTTCAGCATCTCAGATGGCCAGAGCCTATCCTGGCAGCTCAGGGCACAAGTCAGGAAACAATCCTGGATAGGACACCATTCTGTCATAAGGCACACTCACACAGACCCACACTCACTGACACTGGGGCAATCTAGACATGGAATTCACCTCATATGCACGTCTTTGGCATGTGGGAGGAAACCTGAGTAACTGGAGAAAAGCCATGTACACATGCAAACTCAGGAACATGCAAACTCCACACAGTGTCTCCAACTGGGAAGGAAGCAATTTTTCTCTCATCAACATTATAATGAAAGCACATCACGGAAGGACACAATACACATTCACACATTCTCCCAGATATACACCAAACTCTTAATGGTGACTATTTCTGAGGAGTCACATTGTGGAGAATGGGATAATGGAGGACTTTCACTTTTTAATTTGTATAATTCTGTATTACTTATTTTTTATGTGCATGTATTGCTTTTATTCATTCATTCATTTATTCATTTGAGGCAGGGTCTCACTCTGTCACTGTTAGATATGAGTTCTAAATTTCTCTTCAAAGAATCAATATGTCAGTTATGTTCAATTCTTTGCCTTCTACTTTTAAACTTAACTTCCTCATAAAGCAACCTTTTTCGATTACCTGACTCATTCTGATTACCTGCTCCACCCTGACTCATTCCAATTACCTGTTCTGCCCCGACTCATTCTCCAACCTGACTCAGTCTGATTTCCTGCTCTGCCTTAACCATTTTTCCCGCCAAACCACTCACCCCGTCACTCTCTTTAAATTAGCCAATCGGAATTAGTTTAGCCTGTGTGGTCTAACCCTAGCCAATGGGGTAAGGACACAGCAGCAGGGGCCACGTGCATCAGGAATAAGAACCCCTTCTGCTCCTTTGTCCACCTGTGTGCTCACCATTGCTCCATCTGTGAGGGCCTACCCTTCTATAGAAGTAAATAGCCTTGCTGAGAAGAAAAAAGGAAAATTTTATACTCGAGTGCTATTTCTTTTGAGGCACTGAAACTTTATTTATAACATCACCCAGGCTGGAGTGCAGTGACATAATCACCACTCACTTCAGTCTTAACTTCCCAGGCTCAAATGATCCTCCTACCTCAGCCTCCAGAGTAGCTAAGACTGCAGGTGTGTGCCACCATACCCAGCTAATTTTTTGTAATTTTCGTGGAGATGAGATTTTGTCATGTTGCCCAGGTTGGTCTCGAACTCCTTGGGCTTATGGACCCTCCCATCTTGGCCTCCCAAAGTGCTGGGATTACAGGCCTGAAACACTGTGCCCAGCCTGAATTACTTTTAAATATATCTGTTTCCTTTGTACGTTATAAACAGAAACTATGCTATATCCTATAATTTAAAAAAAAAAAACCTGCCTTGGCCAACCATGCTAAGAATTAATTTATGATTAGCTATGCCCTTGTGGCAAGTTTAATAGCTAAAATCTCTTTATTTAGTAATTTGGTAGGATTTTCTCTAGAACAGATCATTTTCTTTATTTTTTCCCTCCATAGGCCAACCATGAGCAAGGAACTAGAACAAATCATTTTAAAGTGAAATCCCAATGTCATATGGACAAGTAGTATATTTTTCCTAGTGTTATTGCCCTTATTCAATTAATATAAATGCAGCCCAGTACTTAATCACTGCCTACCAGGGAACATAAAATCACAATACATGGTTTACCAATTTCCCTAAGAGTGTACCATAGGCGGGAACCTTGAGAACTTCTTTCACTATCCATATTTGCATTTCCCAGTAGGATACAAGTGATGGAAAATATGAGGGGTCTTCAAAATGTTCCTGGAATATGTGTATTATGAAGAAACTATGCATGGATTTTATAAATTTTTTGAAACAAAGTAAACTTCCACTGACTTGTTATAACATGTCTAAACAGGATCTAGTTTGAGGCAATAAGACAGATAAGATGTCAGTTTGAAAAGAGCTCCTATCAGAGCAGCGTGAATTCTACTAAAATTGAAGCAAGAACAAACATCAAATTTACAGTGAAGCTTGGGTAGAAGAATGGTGAAATTATTCATGCTTTACAAAAATATGGGAAGAATGCCCCCCAAAAATCAGCAGTTTTCGAATAGATAACCCCTTTTTTGTTTTTGTTTTGAGACAGAGTCTTGCTCTGTCACCCAGGCTAGAGTAGAGTGGTACAATTAGGGCTCACTGCAGCCTCGAACTCCTGGGCTCAAGCAATCCTCCCACCTCAGCCCCCTGAGTAGCTGGGACTGCAGGTGCATGTCACCACGCCCAGCAAGTTTTTATATTTCTTTTTAGAGATAAGGTTTTGCCATGCTGTTCAGGCTGGTCTCGAATTCCTAGGCTCGAGCAATCCTCTGGCCTCAGTCTTCTAAACTGCTAGGATTACAGGTGTGAGCCACCACACCTGATCCGATAATTCATTTTAAGAGATGAGACAATGTTGAAGATGAAGAGGACTGATGATCAGAGCAGAAACAGTAGCCAACACCTAGACATCTTGATCAGTTCAGCTTACATAATTCTGACTGAAAAATCAAGATTCAGCAAACTTTCCACTTGATGAGTGCAAAAACTGTTGTGCCCAGATCAGCTGCAGACAATAGCTGAGATTTCAATGGAAATTTTAAACACGTAGGATCAAGATCCTGAAGCATTTCTTTAAAGAATTGTAACAGGGGATGAAACATGGTTTACCAGTGCAATCCTGAAGACAAAACACAATCAAAGCAATGGCTACCAAGAGTTGGAAGTTGTCCAGTCAAAGCAAAAGTGGACTGGTCAAGAGCAATGGTCATGACAACAGTTTTTTGGGGGGATGCTCAAGACATTTTGCTTGTTGACTTTTGAGAGGGCCAAAGAATGATAACATCTGCTTATTATGATAGCTTTATAGGAATACTAGAATGGCCTAATACAGGGTTTACATAAGAAATTCAGAAGGTGGCCAGGTGCCATGGCTCACACCTGTAATCCTAGCACTTTGAGAGGCCAAGGTGGGTGGCTCACTTGAGTCTAGGGGTTTGAGACCAGCCTGGGCAACATGGCAAGACCCCATTTCTAAATAAATAAATAAAAAGAAAAAAGAAGGAGCTTACAGTGGGGCAGAATGGAGTCAGATTGTGTTGAGGAAAGTCCAAAGGGCAGATGATTACATCAGTTTGCACTTGTGTTTCAGGAAACTATGGAACATACAAATAGATATATGTCTCCTGAACAACTGGATATTCAACTCTGAAGTTCAGATGAGAGGTGAGGACGGGATATAGTCTAGAGACTTACAAGAATGTAAGTGTTAATTAAAACCACTGAGATAAATCACACTGTGACATTGTGATAAATGGCCGCATTCTACATTGAGTATAGAAAGCAAGAGCAGTGGACTGAGGACCAAACCTTAGGGCAGCCCAACAGGGAAGAGGAGTTTACAAAGGTAGACAAACGGTTAGAGATGCTGGAGGAGTGTGCAGTGTCATAGAGAGAGCTTTGGAATTAAGAGAGTAGTCTCCAGTGTCAAAGGCATAAGACAAATCAGAGAAGCCCAGTGCTGAAAAGTGTTTGTTGAGTTTGGCAATAGGTCAGTCACTGCCGACTTTTCCCAGAGCCACCTCTTGGAAGTGGATAGCGTGGGAATCTAATTACCCTGAATTGGAAAGGTGAACGGGAAGTAAAGGAGTGGAGCCATGTGGTGTTGAGAATTTGTTCAAGAAGATTGAAGAGGCCAGGCCCAGTGGCTTACACTTGTAATCCCAGCACTTTGGGAGGCCAAGGCTGGTGGATCACTTGAGCTCAGGAGTTCAAGACCAACCTGGGCAACATAGCGAAACTCTGTCTCTGCAAAAAAAATACAAAAATTAGCAGGGCATGGTGGCATACGCCTGTGGTCCCAGCTACCCAGGAGGCTGAGGCAAGAGAATAGCTTGAGCCCGGGAGGCGGTGGTTGCAGTGAGCCAAGATCATGCCATTGCACTCTAGCCTAGTTGATGGGAGTGAAACCCTGCCTCAAAAAAAATAAAAAATTAAAAAAAAATATTGAAGGGAAACAAGTGCAAAATGGGGACCCAGTGTCAGAGGTATGCTGCTGTTCTTTAAAAAAAAAAAAAAGTTTTCCAGACAATTAATGTAGTCAGAAACCAGGGACACAAAAATGACTGAGATATGGTTTCTGCCTTCAAGGAACTGACAATCTAGTGCAGGAGAAGAAAACAAATAATCACAGTAAAAGGTAATGAGGAGAGCAGTAATAGCAGTGTGATTAAAGAAGCATGGGAAGAGGAAAGAGAAAGTCCCTGACTCTGCTTAGAGGTCAGGGAAGTTGGTGAATTAGCAGATCAACAGATTGCGGCAGAAAATGAAACAGCTGTGGAACAGCATGACAGTGTGTGAAAGATGGGCACATTTGTTGAAATGAATGTTCAGTATGGCTGAGTGCAAGAAACTGGTAGAGACGAGAGATGACACAAGAAAGGTAAGATTGAGTTCAAATCGCATTGGGCTTTGTTTGCCACATTAGGGAATTTGAAATGTTTCTGCTGAGTGATGAGGGAGCTTACCAAAGAGCTTTAAGCAGGTCAAGCAATATGAACAATTGTGTTTTATAAGCTGGCAGGAGAGAAGAGTATGGTTTGGAGGAAGCAACTCAAGAGTCAAGAAGACCAGTTATGAGGCCACTGTACCAGGTCATTTATGATGGAAATGACCAAAGCAGCAAAGATGGGCATGAAAAAGAGGTACAGATTTTAAAGAAAACTAAAATAATTAACAGAATATGATTATACTGATGAGAAAGAGGAGCTGAATGGGAAGAAGCAGTAAAATTATCATCCAGATTTCTGAATTGGTGGCTGGATAGTTGCTATTAGAATTGAAATGTAGGACCTTTAACAAGAAAGTCTTTGGGTTAAAATATAATGAGTTTAGTCCTGAGATATCTGTGTGACATCCCAGAATAAAAATACCCTAGTAGCCAGTGCAGTATGCATGGGTGGGGCCAGGGGCTGGGTGGGATTTGGAGGTAGATACTCAACTGATAGCAGTTAAAGCAGAATGAACAGAGAGAGAAGGGACTGACAACAGAACCCTGGAGAATACATGTTTAAGGGATACAGAAGTAGAAAGTGTGTCAACCAGCCAATGTGGGAGATGACAGGGAGAGAGCTAGGGAAGAGTAGGAAGATTCTTGAGTAGCACTGAGCCTGGCCTGCAACGGAAAGCTTACAATTTTGTAGAGAGTCTATCCATATATTTGTATGAGTTTATATAGCAATTTAGGTGACCCATAAGGATGCGTGAATTGAACCATGGTAGGGAGTTTGCTGTACATGTAAGTCAGGAGGAAACCGTGTCAAGACATTTGAGGGTGCTAGTGAGATAGCAGTTGAATTTAGATTGTGTAAGGAAGGATGCTGAAGAAATCAGGTGTTCTAGGGATAAGTGAAGGAGCTGGAGCTCTTGATGGTGTTCAAAAGCAAGTATTGTGGTAAAGACATGAAAGAACTGGAAAGATAGGCAGGTGTGGTCAGAGGATGAAATCTGGAATTTAAGATTCCAGAGGCTTAGCTGTTCCAGACAGTGACAAGGTTTAGGGCCTGGCTTTCTAAGTGTAGCAGAGCTGAAGGCCATTAGAGTAGGAAAGCTCTGTAAGCTCCCATAGCACAGAATCATATCTTGAATGTGCATTACATATTTCCTAGCAGTGCCAAGCACAGATGGATTTTCTTTTTGTCGTACAAACAATATGACTACATTTTGGAAAATAGAGGGGGAGGACTATTCACATTCCCACCACCTACACAACTCATGCTCTCAATTGATGTATCTCCTTCCACATGATGCATATAGCTGCATCCATAACTTATATATGATCATCTATTCTTTTATCTTATTTTATTTTTTTTGGGACAGAGTCTCACTCTTGTTGCCCAGGCTGGAGTGCAATGGCAGTATCTCGGCCCACTGCAACGTCCACCTCCCAGGTTCAAGCAATTCTCCTGTCTCAGCCTCCTGAATAGCTGGGATTACAGGCATGTGCCACCATGCCCGGCTAATTTTGTATTTTTAGCAGAGACAGGTTTCTCCATGTTGGTCAGGCTGGTCTCGAACTCCCAACCTCAGTTGATCCACCCACCTCAGCCTCCCAAAGTGCTGGAATTACATGCATGAGCCACCATGCCCGGCATATTATTTTATTTTAAATTAACATTATAATGTAAGCATTTTCCACGTTATAACGAACCTGCCTTTGCAAAATCGTACAGTAAAAGAAACTTGACATAGTGGACTCCATCTTGCTTCTGACCTTCACACTATTCTTGGTCATTCCTGGGTGTGGTCCAAGCTAACTTTAAGAGGAATTTATTTTATAGTTTAACCTTAAACCAAGGGTTATGATAGCCCTTCCCAAAACTAAACCATTTTTGTAAAACTAATGAAAGGCCACAAGGATAAAATTATCCAAGGGGCTTGAACTCTGCTAAAATGTAGATGTAGTTTGTGTAATCCCTTACTGCTCAGGAGTCCTGTTGCCAGAGGTCACAAGATTTGTGACTTCCCCAATTGTTCCTATAAATAACATCACTATTGTAGAACCTAAAATTGGTTTTTTGCAAGACGTTTTTCAGACTGCCTTCACCCAGATTTATGACTCATGACTCAATCGATCCTGTGGCCCCATCCAGAGGCAGACTCAGTGCATGAGGACCATTTTTCCACACCCCTGTGATATCAGCCCCTACCAATCAGTAGCACCCATTCCCTAGCCCCCTGCTCACAAAATCACCCATAAACACCCCTAACTTCTGAGCCTTCAGGGAGACTGATTTGTGTGGTAACTCCAGTTTTCCTGTATGGGATGGCCTCATTTCAATTAAACTCTCTCTACTGAAATGCCTTGATTTCAATGGATTGATTTTTTCTGTGTAGTGGTCAAGAAGAACCCATAGATAATTACAATATAGATTAATTGTTGGGTTCTGGATAAGTGGGGTTTTTATTGGGGGGGAGTTGTTTGTTTTTGAGACAGAGTCTCACTCCATCACCCAGGCTGGAGTGCAGTGGCCTGATCTCAGCTCACTGCAACCTCTGCCTCCGGGTTCAAGGGATTTTCCTGCCTTAGCCTCCCAAGTAACTGGAATTACAGGTACCCACCACCACATCCAGCTAACTTTTGTATTTTTAGTAGAGACGGGGTCTTACCAGTTTGGCCAGGCTGGTCTCGATCTCCTGACCTCAACTGATCCACCCACCTGGGCCTCCCAAAGTGGTGGGATTACAGGTGTGAGCCACTGCACCCAGCCCTTTTGATAAGTATTTTAAATAAAAATTTTGGAATACTATAGATTACTGATGACGATCCTCATTTTTGTGAAACTAAAGAAGAACACTGTGAAACTTCAACCAAATTATCAGGAATAAATAGGGACATCACTCATTTTTGTCTCACTGTTAGAGATGCATGGTCTTCTGACTTCTTTTATCTTGTTGTTGCATATGTTGCTCTTATCTTTTTTACTAACTGCATTCCTCTATCCTTTGAAGTTAGGAATATTATAAAGTTGTTTGGAGTACAAATCAAGGTCTGTAGCTGGTAAGTGCAAAGATGACACTGAATCTGTCTTCCTCCAGGACCAGGGGCTTCCCCTTAGAGGAGTGCTAAGAAGATACTCAGTATATCCTTACCCCAGCCACAAGATAGTACAGTTCTAAAATTTCGTTCAGTTCTCATTTCTCTAGCTGGGGTCAAAGAACATCTCTTGTCTTTTTCTGGGTTGGAAAGATTTAAGTTTCCTAAAAGACTGGCTGATTTAGTGGAACAATCATTCATTGTATCCTATTGCTAAACCTCTGCAGTCTTCTCTAGCAAGAATGAATTCAAAAACATACAAAGAAAAATTCTCATTGTTCAAATTAGAATTAAAGATGCAACAAATTTGCAAAAACCAAAACACACACTTAGGAATCTTTTTCTTCTCTTTCTTTTCTTTTCTTTTTCTTTCTTTCTTTCTTTTTTTTTTATAAGACACAGTCTCACTCACTCACTCTGTCACCCAGGATGGAGTACAGTGGCACCATCTCGACTCACTGCAACTTCTGCCTCCTGTTTATGCAATTCTCCTGCCTCAGCCTCCTGAATAGCTGGGATTACAGGTGTGCACCACCATGCCTGGCTAATTTTTGTATTATTAGTAGAGACAGGGTTTGCCATGTTGGCCAGGCTGGTTTTGAACTCCTGACCTTAAGTGATCCACCTGCTTCAACCTCCTGAAGTTCTGGGATTACAGGCATGAGCCACCATGCCTGGCACACTTAGGAATCTTGAACCCCTGTTTTTGATGGTGAGCTCTGTATTAATAAGAGTTGATAAGAACATGATCTTGATCTGTGATGTAGAGAATTTCAAAAATGTTATTTGAAACACTTAAAGACCCATCGATTAATCATAAAAGGTATGGGTGATTGCTTTTGAAAAAATACTTACAATGTTCAATTGAAAGGATAGATATTCACATATAAACTGTGGTTACAGCTATGTACATCATGTGGAAGGCAACACAACCAATTGAGAACATGAGTTGTGTAGGTGGTGGGAATGTGAGTAATTCTCCCCCTTTATTTTCCAAAATGTAGTTATAGTGTTAGTACAACAACAACAAAAAAAATCCATCTGTGCTTGGCACTGCTAGGAAATACGTAAAGTACATTCAAGATATAATTCTGTGCTATGGAAGCTTATAGATCTTTCCAGTCTAATGACCTTCAGCTCTGCTGAACTTCAAGAGCCCTAAATCTTGCCACTCTCTGGAACAGATAAGCCTCTGGAATTTTAAATTCCATATTTCACCTTCAGATCATAGCTGCCAATTTCTCTCATTGTTTAATGCCTCTACCACAATACTTGTCTTCTAACAACATCAACAGCTCTAGTTTCTTAATCTCCAGAGGACTGCAACTCCAGCTCACAGTCTCACTTAGTCCTAGAGTGCCTGATTTCTCCTACCTGGACATCTCCAGATCCTTGACTCATCAATCCTATCTAGGATGGCTGATATAACCCCTTTTCATATTTCCTTGTCTCAATTCCAAATCATAGATTTGGAAGCATTATATTGGGAGACTCGTTATATTGGGAGAATATCTTGTGGGTATAGCAAGAGAACCCCATTAGAAGGCAACATTAACTACTACTTATGGCAGAGAGTGGCAATGCCAATCCTATATTCTTATTTCTTCTTCCTCACTAATCAAATCCGATCTTCTTTAGTTTGACAATATGCTCTCTAAAGATTACATTGATCAGACTCCCTACAAAAAAGGTGACCAATGAGAAGTATGCAGTGGTCAAGTGGGTAGCTTTTCCTGAAAGCTCCTTAAAGGGAGCTGACTCATCTGTGCTCTTCTTGCCCTTTACCCTTTCTTCCCCCTTCACGTCTTTAGCTGAGGTATAATGACTGGAGCTTCAGCAGCAATTTTACAACCAAAAGGAAACCTTACGTAGGTCCCTGCCTTCTGAGAATAGTGGAGCAAAAACCTAGATGCAGCCTGGGGACATGGACGATGTTGCATAATTACTACATAGTCCCCAGCTTCCTGCTTTCAGACTATTTTTTTAATGTGAAATAAAATAACCTCTATGTTTTTAAAGTCATTCTTATCAGGTAATTGTTACTAATAATTTGGTGATTCCTAATTGTCACACAACTTAGTTCACTCATTGATTACCAAGTATTTGCTGACTGTTGTCATGAGTTTGGCATTATGTTACAAGTTTGGGTAAAAACAAAAAAAGTATAAGAATAGTTTTAGAGTACAAATAAATCCTTATTTCTTCTATTAAGAAAATGACTTTTTTGTTGTTGTTGTTTGTTTTTTGAGACAAAGTATCGCTCTGTTGCCCAGGCTGAGTGCAGTGGCTCAATCTCGGCTCACTACAACCTCTGCCTCACAGGTTCAAGCGACTCTCCTGCCTCAGCCTCCTGAGTAGCTGGGAATACAGGCACCTGCCACCATGCCTAGCTAATTTTTGTATTTTCAGTGGAGATACGATTTTGCCATGTTGGCCAGGCTGGTCTCGAACTCCTGGCCTCAAGTGATCCATCTGCCTCAGCTTCCCAAACTGCTGGGATTACAGGCGTGAGCCACCACACCTGGTTTAAGAAAAGGTATGCTTTTTAAAGATCATAATGAAGTTCATGGTAATCTATGATTTTTTTCATTTACTAAAATGTATAGGCAATAAGCACTATGGGCTATCAAAGATGACAAAGGTGGGAGGTGGGATGTAGTGATTGAGAAAAAAGGTGACAATTGAGTTGAACCTGAAAGGAAGGAGAAGAATGGCGGGAAGAGTTAAACCATTTCTTCTCGTGCCCAGAGGAAAATCATGCACAATGAACCAGAAAGAATAATAAAAAGCTTGCCAGATGCAGTGGCCCATGCCTCTAATCCCTGCACTTTGGGAAGCCAAGGCAGGCAGATCGCTTGAGGACAGGAGTTCAAGACCAGCCTGGGCAACATAGTGAGACCCCATCTCTACAGAAAAATTTAAAATTTTTTTCAAGGTATGGTGGCACACACCTGTAGTCCCAGCTACTGGTGCCACTACACTCCAGCCTGGGCAACGGAGTGAGAACTTGTCTTTCTCTCTCTCTCTCTTTTTTTTTTTTTTTTTTGGTCTTTTTACCTGCAGTTTCTTTGGGTATGAGAGACCCTATCTCTTAAAAATAAATAAATAAAATAAACCTTACATTTAGGAGATACTAAGGACTGTAGCCTGGCTGGACTAATTCTGTTGTGTGTCCTTAAGTAAGACAGTCAGCCTCTTTGTTCTGGAGGTTCTCCCTTTCAAAACCACTACATATTAGGCAGGGTGCAGTGGCTCATGCCTGTAATCCCAGCATTTTGGGAGGCCAAAGCAGGTGGAACACTTGAGGTCAGAGTTCGAGACCAGCCTGGCCAACGTGGTGAAACCGTATCTCTACTAAAAATACAAAAATTAGCCAGGTGTGGTGGGGTACACTTGTAGTCCCAGCTACTCAGGAGGCCGAGACAGGAGAATTGCTTGTACGTGGGAGGCGGAAGTTGCAGTGAGTCAAGATTGTGCCACTGCCCTCCAACCTGGGTGACAGAGAGAGACTCCATCTCAAAAACAAAAAACAAAAGCAAAAAAACAAAACAAAACAAAACAAAAAACACCACGTGTTTATAGCATGCTTGGAGACTGTCAGCTGAACTCTGTACAACAGTCAGTGACCCTGGAGTTTTATTATACAACATCAACCTTTCTTCATAAGAATGTTACCAGAATAACAACTTTATGTGAGATAAATGTTTCACAGCCCTTTGTCTTCATATCCCAAGTTGTCTGCCAATGCCTATGGCTCTTATGCTGAATGAAATTGCTCTGTGTGATGTGTACGTTTTTGGGTTCCTCTTGATACAGTGGGAAGTGCCTGTGGCTTCCTTTGCTCAGTAAGTGTGTCTTACTATGTTTTTGTCCTGCTATGCTATATCCATGAATGTATTATGTTGTCACTAAGAGTTTTCTTATAATATTTTACCAATGTCATAACCAAATCTTCCTGTGGTCACTGTTCAGAAAGCTACACTGGCTGTTTAGTCATTTAAGTTACTCAAGGACAATATTTAACCATCTGTGTACCACTGAGGTAAAAAAAAAACAAACAAAAAACAAAACAAACAAACCAAAAAAAAATCTGACTACAGTAAAAACATTTCTATTTCTCCCTTTTCCCTCCAATTCAGATCTTAACATTTCTCAGCCTTCAGTTAACTGGCCCTTCTTCAGTCTTTTCCCATAACTCAGTTCCTCTCTCCACAAGTCTTTTCTTTTCTTTTTTTTTTTTTTTTTGAGATGGAGTTTTGCCTTGTCACCCAGGCTGGAGTGCAGTGGTGCGATCTCGGCTCACTGCAAGCTCCGCCTCCCAGGTTCAAGCGATTCTCCTGCCTCAGCCTCCTGAGTAGCTGGGACTACAGGTGCCTGCCACCACACCCAGCTAATTTTTTTGTATTTTTAGTAGAGACAGGGTTTCACTGTGTTAGCCAGGATGGTCTCCATCTCCTGACCTCATGATCCGCCTGCCTCAGCCTCCCAAAGTGCTGGGATTACAGGTGTGAGCCACCACACCTGGCAAGAGAGTACACATTTTTATCCATTCTTCCTCCAAGATAAGGACTTACTGCCCTTGCCCCTGCTTTGTTTTTGCTCCCAACCTGGGAGCTGGTGGCAAAGATTAGGGTCCTTCTCTAAGGCAAAAGCATCAAAGCCAAACCTTTTCACAATGAGGACCAATCCTTTAGGTAATGGCATTCCCTTTAGAAGGCTCTATTAAAATAGCAGCATGAAAGTGTCTTAAATCTTTGGATTACCAGCTTTAAGTTCACCAGCTTTCACTTTAGGTGTGGTGGAAAAATCCTATAAAGAACATTTAAAGGCAAATGTATTTCAGTTTGGACCATGACATTATGCAATTGTACATCGCATGTTCTTATTCCAGATCTTCAAACAGATGAAAAGTTAACTATTGTATTTTGATTGAAGCCCAGACCAGCTGTGAGAGGAAAATTTACCACTTTCTACCAGGAAGATTAGAGGCTGTTCCTAGCAAGGCAAAAACCAGTTATTAAAGTTTTCTCATTAAATAAAGACCATGTGTGTTACTGTGGGTGTGTAAACAATGAGTGCCTGCCATCCCACACAGGATACACAAGGTGGACTGCAGGAGAATGCGAGCAGGGCAGAGGAAAGTCCTATTTATCCACACGTAAATTCATTTTCCTGACTTTCAGGGCTAACATCTGCCCCAAAACTCCCCAAATGAAACTCAAGGAGCTTCAAACCCCTTTTTAAATATTTTCACAAAGTCTATATGGATTTGGGATGTGAAAAGAGTGCTTAAATGTTCTTGTTCTATCATTTACTGGCTGTGGGTCATGAGCAATTCACTGAAACTCTTTGAACAACAATTTCCTCATCTATAAAACAGGGTGAATAATACCTACCATGGAGGGTATCAGGATGTTTAGCAATAATATGCATAAAGTGTCTGGTGTGTAGGAGACTTTTAATACATGATCAGTGTTGCTATAAATATAACACATCTTCATGTTTCTCCCAAAACACACACACATGCAAACATGGCAAGGGGGTGGAGGAGAGAGAGGAAGAGGGAGAGACAGGCAGACAGAGAGAGAATGATGCGATAAGTCTATGCTGTTGAGTAAGAGGAGGCCTATAGAAGCATGTTTTTATTGCTTTCTCATTTCACCATTTCAGGTATAATATAGAGCTTCTCTGAGCTATGGCTTTTATATCAAGAGTCAGCTTCCATTCCAAGGGACATATTAATATCTGAGAGAGTGAGCAAAAAAAAAAAAATGTTCTTTGAGGGAGGGAGAGAGAGAGAGCAATTGCTCATCAGTCATATCATCACTGAGGGACTGACCAATCTGAATCCACCCAGCTGAGCTACCCGTGCAAATTTTTGCAAGAGCCTTAGTAATCCAGCCATAGAATGAAAAGAAGTGGGATGTGGAAGGGGAGGCAACAGGTGAGCAGTTCCTTTCATTCCTTCCAAGGCAGAGAAACATTGCAGAGAAACAAAGTAGGGACTCCTTTCTTAAAATACTCTCTTCCATGCCTCTCATTTCATCCTGACTTTGCGGGTCTACAGTAGATATATGGTGCATTGCCCAGATGCCCTCTTTATGGCTAGGGTTCTTTTTTAATTTAATTTTTTTATTTATAGACAGAATCTCACTCTGTCACCCAGGCTGGAGTACAGTGGTGCAATCATAGATCACTGCAGCCTCGAACTCTCGGGCTCAAGGGATCCTCTCACCTCAGCCTCCTGAGTAGCTGGGACCACAGACACACACCATAATGCCCGGCTAATTTTTTCTATTTTTCTTTTTGTAGAGATGGGGGCCTTGCTATGTTGCCCAGACTAGGGCTGAAGTTCTTATTCCCTTCACTGCTGGAAGAGTTGCCTCCTGATGACTCACCACTAACTCCTTCCTCAGAAATTGCTCTCAGTCAAAGGCAGCTGCCTTGCTCTCCTAGGGCAGCCAGCATCCAGTGACTCCTAGAGATGAGGGTACAAACACCCTGCACCCTTGCCTCAATTCAGGATGGGCCATTCCAGATCTAGAGCTCCCCAGGGGATCTGCTAAGGCCTCCATTGCAACAGCATCATGGTTCAGGCCTCTCCTCTGAATGGATGCTGGTCCTTCCTGATTCCTCCACTCCTTAATAGATGTTCTTGGGAGTTCTCCTTGGTTAATCTCCTGCATGCAAATCTCCATCTCAGAGGCTATGTCAAGGTAACAGCCTACAACAGTGGCCTTAGACAGTAACAAGCAGAGTCTGGTAGGTGCTGGTGAAGCTCATGACAGCCCACTCATCATGTGCTGAGCTGCTCAGGAAGACCTGGAGGGGACAGGTGTGCTGGGAAACCTGCATAGAGGTAGCCCAATGGATGGGTTAAGTCACTGGGCTCTGGAGCTGGCTGCCTGTGTGAAACCTAACTCTGACACTTGCTGGTTATATGGTCTTGAGCAAATCCCTTAATCACTGTGTGATTTAGTGTCCTTCTCTATAAACTGAGCGTAATAATAGGACCTACCTCATAACTTTATTGGGAGGATTAAATTAACTGAGTCAATATGTGTAAAGCATTGAGATTGGTTTTGGTGCATGGTATACACTCAGTAATGATAGCTATCATGAAACATTTGGATAATCCATGTAAGTATCTGTTATTTGGGAATACCCAGGTTCTTAGAGCACTTAAATTAGTTGTACATTTTAATCCCAGTTGTTCAAGATAGTAAATTCCTTGAGGGTAAAGATAATATTAGTTAATAATTAGATAAACACATTCATACATTTATACACATCTATGTATATAAATGTACGTGTGTGTGGAGTATGTGTATGTGTCAAGCTGTCTATCTACATTTATATTTGTGCAAGGATATCAGAGAAGCAGAGATTGTAATGACCCTGGACAGAGTAGCTGGAAAGGAAGAGCACTGCTCTATTGGACTATCCAGGTGTCTGCATTCTCCCCTCTGGCTCTAATCTTTCATATTGAGAAGGCTTCTCTCTAGAAAATAAAGTAACACATTAGAAGACAGGACCTTAGCCTTTGCCTGAACAACTCTGGCCATTGCCTAAAGCTGTACTACAGAGACAAAAGGTTAGACTGCTTATTTGGTACCTGGAATTGACCGGGTTAATAACCTTTTTGATTTACAGAGTAGTAACTCTGGCATGTTATACTTATGAAAGGATTGGAACAAAGACGATAATGCCTGCCCAGTGTTAAAATTTAATGTTTTTAATTTTTATTTTTATTTATTTATTTTTTTGAGACAGAGTCTCACTGTGTCACCTAGGCTGGAGTGCAGTGGCATGATCTCAGCTCACTGCAACCTCTGCCTCCCAGGTTCAGGCGATTCTCCCGCCCCAGGCTCCCAAGTAGCTGGAATTACAGGCGCCTGCCACCAAGCCCAGCTAATTTTTGTATTTTTAGTAGAGACAAGGTTTCACCATGTTGGCCAGGCTGGTCTCGAACTCCCGAACTCAAGTGATCTACCTGCCTTGCCCTCCCAAAGTGTTGGGATTACAGGCATGAGCCACCATGCCCAGCCTAATCTTTTTTTAAAAATATTAAGTAAAGCACCCTGAAGTCAACAAGCAGGTGGATGAGCATGAGCTAATAATTTCCAAGAAATGTTCATCTACTTAAAAAATATTGTAGCCCTTTACACATAGCATCCCTAATTGGTGATTTTTTTTAACCATCTAGGGAGACACTACAGTAAAATCATAAAAATTTAAAGTTGGAAAAGACCTTAGGAGGCATGTAGTTTAACCTCCCTCACTTTATAAATGAAGAAACCAAAACTTGAAAAGATTAAGTGACTTGCCCAAGGTCATATAAAAATTTGTAATGTTTTGTGAAGTTCTAAAGATCAAGCAGAAACCAGACAAATAAATACTCAAATACTTAATTGCTTGTATATATCTTAACCGGTGCAATTTAAAGTAGGACTGTGGTGAGTCCAAGGGGAATCTGAGCTTACATTGGTATGCAAGATGCAAAAGAGGAACCCAGCTCTAGGTCTTGAAACACCAACAAAGGGTTTTGCATTGTGTATTTCTGAACTACATGTACATAGAAAGCAGAGTGGGGATAAATGCCAGTCATTGTCCACTTTGAACAATTCAGAATCCCTCCATAGGACAGTTGAAAAACTAGCTTGGGAAATAACAATGACATGAGCATTGTTATCCAATACAAGGAACAATAATAATAATGAACATTAGTAGGGTGCTTTACAGATTACAAAATATTTTCAAACACAACCCTTTTTGTCCTTATGATAGAAAACCACCAGATAAGTAGGCTTGTTGTTGTTATTACTACTACTATTTCCAAATGAGGAGACATAGATTGGCTAAGAGAACTTCTCCACGTCACACACCTTGGGCCAGGAAATAACACGCAGTTCTCACTCCAAGCTCTGGGTACATTTTTCCCATTCAAAGATGCTTATCCCCAACAGTAACCAGCATGATGCTCCCTGCTGAGCTCTCATCCCAGTGGTTAAGTAGGCAAGGCAGGTAAGGAGTGAAGTCCTAAATGTGAACTCCTTACTTCACATAGATAGGTTATCTCTCTGCCCAGAACAAGGTCACTCAGTATCAAAAAAAGTGTTTTGTTGTTTTTTTTTTTAGATGGAGTCTCGCTCTGTCACCTAGGCTGGAGTGCAGTGGCGCAATCTCGGCTCACTGCAAGCTCTGCCTCCCAGGTTCATGCCATTCTCCTGTCTCACCTCCCGAGTAGCTGGGACTACAGGTGCCCGCCACCACGCCCGGCTAATTTTTTTGTATTTTTAGTAGAGACGGGGTTTCACCGTGTTAGCCAGGATGGTCTCGATCTCCTGACCTCGTGATCTGCCTGCCTCAGCCTCCCAAAGTGCTGGGATTACAGGCGTGAGCCACCGTGCCAGGCCTATTTTTTTTTTTTTTTTTTAGAGAGAGGGTCTCTCTCTGTCACTCAGGCTGGAGTGCAATGGTGCAATTATGGTTCACTGCGGCCTCAACCTCCTCGGCTCAAGTGATCCTCCTGCCTGCATGTAGTAGCTGGGACCACAAGCACATGCTACCGCACTTGACTAATATTTTAATGTTTTGTAGAGACAAGGTCTCCCTATGTTGCCCAGGATGCTCTCAAACACCTGGGCTCAAGCAATCCTCTTGCCTCAGCCTCCCAGTGTGCTGGAGTTATAGGCATGAACCACTGCACTCTGCCTCAAAGGTTTTTTTATGGCTGTGTGTGAAGAACCAAGTCTGAGATTCCTCAGAGACTACCTAATTTAAGTCATTAGGCTGGAAAGCATTTAGTGTGTCCCTATGGAACTTTTGTGCCCTTATACTTAATAAATTCAGTTTTTGTTTCCTGTAAGAAAGCACTCAGACTCTTTCCTCAAGATCTTTCCTGAACCAAGAGGCACACAGACCTCTTCTTCAGTGCATGAAGGTGAAGGAATTTGGAGTAAGTGGTAGGGCAACTGAACAGTGATCCCCTTAGAATTCTGAGTAGGAAAACAGAATTTTATCAGCTGTAATTGCTTTCACAATTCAACCTCCTTGTGCCCCACCCTATATCTCATGGACACTTATTATTTTTACTGTTTGACCTAAGTGTGGACCTCTCTGAAGAGGCAGCCATGACAGCAGTCTTCAATCATGGCTTTTCACAACCTCATAAATGCACAGGCAGCTGAAAAAAAGAGCTCAAAGACAATCTAGGAAGGATTGTTATGCATTCCTAAAAGTGTGTCAAGGTATATGAGGCATATACCAAAGAAAATCCTGTGGTTATCATATTCACCCTGTAAAGCCATTGTCATGTTTTAAGCTTTGCATTCAAGGGCCCACAGGGAGGATAAAACCTGACTTTGTTAATAGGATATGTTCAGAGGTTAAATGTGTTCTATGATTTGGGGAGGTGTATATTTGATTACTGCTATGTGGATCTCACATTTGCTCCATTTTGATTTGTGAGAAGCGATTCTTAAATTGTTCTACTTATTAGCTTTTCTGATCTCTATGGTGTCCATTTATGGCATGCTGGAGGGGACCATAACATTAGGAGCAGATTTTTCTTCAGCCAAGTGGGAAATCTGCATGAAGTTTTTAAACACAACTTTGAATGCACTCCATTCTGGAACACATAATTACTTCATGCTGACTGAAATCAAGAAGTAAATATGTGACTATACTCACAGATGTAATTACAAATTACAACCTGTGCCTCATCATTGCCATCTACTCAAAGATACTCTTTGCTCCATTTCTTAAAATAGCTCCTTACTTCTGTAATTTAATGGAATTGTGAGTAAAATGTAATACTATGGCTTCCTAGGCAGCTTATGATGGCTGCTAACATTGGTTGGAAATTGAGGAAAATTTCTAAGGACATTAAAGTTTTTTGTAGACACACACACACACACAATAGTCTTTTTCTCCTTTTTTTCTCCTTTCTTATTCAGTTCATTTTCCTTTTAAAAACATAGGAATACTCTACAATAACTCCTAGATTCCTTTTCAGAAGTGTGACTGAATGTTGAATTCATTATTTTATAGATATCGCTTGAATTATTTTTACCTAAATGCATGATAATCAATGTTTGTCAAAAGAAGTCCATCGGCCACTTTCCTGTCCTCTAGTCCAGTCTCTGAGACTCTGCCTCAGTTACTCCCTATGCAACTGTTGTCTTTTCACCTGAAAAAAAATCACATCATTTGTGAATTTGAGGTTTTCACTCATTTATAAAGACTTTAAGTAGACCCAATTCTAATACTCATCCCAGGTAATCCCATTATTGCCACTTCTATATTATTTAGAAAATACTTATTTTTCTTTTGTTTAGAACTCCAAGCTAGCCTTTCTTTCTTTCTTTCTTTTTTTTTTTTTTGAGATGGAGTCTCACTCCATGGACTGGGCTGGAGTGCAGTGGCACAATCTCAGCTCACTGAAACCTCTTCCTCCCAAGTTCAAGCAACTTTCCTGCCTCAGCCTCCCGAGTAGCTGGGATTATGGGCATGTGCCACCATGCCTAGCTAGTTTTTGTATTTTTAGTAGAGATGGGTTTTCACCATGTTGGGCAGGATGGTTTTGAACTCCTGACCTCAGGTGATCTGCCCACCTCAGCCTCCCACAGTGCTGGGGGGCATGAACTCCCACACCCAGCCCAACCTAGTCTTTTATCCATGGTAGTACTTGCTCTCTAATCCCCTGATACCGGTAACTTTTAAAAAATCTTCCTCAAAGAGTTTACCCTGACCAAATGCTTATTGTCTATTAGAGGAAAGAAGTCTTTCCCTCAATGAATTATGTTACTTGGTCCAGTAAGTCCCTATTTAATCTTGGTTTCCATCAGCTTTCCAGGTATAGAAATGAAATACTGTAGGCTGTAGTTTCCATTGTCTTCTCTGTAACCTCGCCAATGAATGGAAGCCATTTTGGAAATCTGTCCAGGATGCTGTGGCACAGGACTGTGACTAGAAAACCTTTTCCTCCCTTTCCTCCATGGTACACTCATCCTTACCCTGCAGTATCCAGGTCAAATTTTCTTTATGAAGTTTCCTATAATTCATCCTATTCTGTCAAGAGGAATAGATAACTGGATGGATGAGCTTAGGAAGACATTTTAAGGGACATAGGCAGGGTAATAAGAGAGTTTTGGTGGACAGTCGTGACCTCCTCACTGTAGTGGCTTTGGAATCAGACAAGTCTAAGGTAGACTCAGTTAGGTGAATACAAATTTAATTACTTATATAGGTATAGGGCAATTCATGTACTCTACTCTTCTTGAGTGAACTTTAGTAGTTTGCATGTCTTTAGAAACCTGTTAGCGTCATATAAGTTGTTCATAATATACCTTTATTATCCTTTAAATGTTGATGCTGATGAAAACCAAGATTAAGAATAGATTCATTGAATGCCTAAGTAACATAATTTAATTTGTTGCATCTGTAGTGAGGTTCCCTTTTTCCTTTATAATATTGGTCATGAGTATTTTCTATCTTCTTTTTTTTCCTGTTTGGTCTGGCTAAAGTTTTTTTTTTTTTTTGAGACAGGGTCTCACTTGGCTAAAGTTTTATGAATTTTATTGATCCTTTTGAAGAACAAGTTTTCAGTTTCGTTGATTTTCTCCATTGTTCTTCTGTTGACTCTTTATTGATTTTTGCTTTTATCTTCATTATTTCCTTCCTACTGCTTATTTTCCATTAAATTTGTCCTTTTTTTTCTAGTTTTTAAAGGTAGTTGATTTGAGATATTTATTTTCTGGTGTAGGCCTTTAGTGTTATAAATTTCTCACTGCATTGGCTTCCTTCCACACACTTTTATATATTATATGTTCATTTTTATTCTGTTAAAATATTTTCTTTTTTAACTTTTATTTTAGGTTGAAGAGTACATATGCAAGTTTCTTATATAGGTAAACTAATGTCACAGGGGTTTGATGTACAGATTATTTTGTCACCTAGGTACTAAGCCTAGTACCCAATAGTTATTTTTCTGCTTTTCACCCTCCTCCCATCCTTCACCCTCTGTTAGCCCCCAGTGTCTGCTGTTCCTCTCTTTGGGTCCATGTGTTCTCATCATTTAGCTCCCACTTATAAATGAGAACATGCAGTATTTGGCTTTTTGTTCCTGCATTAGTTTGCTATGGATAATGGCCTTTAGCTCCATCCATGTTCCTGCAAAGGATATGATCTCTTTTTTTTTTTTTTCATGGTTGCAGAGTATTCCACGGTATATATGTACCATATTTTCTTTACCCAGCCTTCCACTGATGGGCATTTAGGTTGATTCTATGTCTTTGCTATTGTGAATAGTGCTGCAATTAATATGCATGTGCATATATCTTTATGACAATAAGACTTATATTCCTTTGGGCATATATCCAGTAATGGGATTGCTGGGTAGAACGGTAGTTCAGTTTTTAGCTCTTTGAGGAATCACCACACTGCCTTCCACAATAGTTGAACTAATTTACTCTCCCACCAACGATGTATAAGTGTTTCCTTTTCTCCATAACCTCACCAACCCCATCTGTTATTTTTTGACTTTTTAGTAATAGCCATTTTGACTAGTATTAGATGGTATCTTGTGTGGTTTTGATTTGCATTTCTCTAATGATCAGTGATATTGAGCTTTGTTTCATATGCTTGTTGGTTGCATGTATGTCTTATTTTGAAAAGTGTCTGTTCATGTCCTTTGCCCACTTCTTAATAGATTTGTTTGTTTTTTTCTTGTAAATTTTTTTTTTTTGTTTAGAGACAGAGTCTTGCTCTGTTGTCCAGGCTGGGGTGCAGTGGCACGATCTCGGCTCACTGCAACCTCCACCTCCCAGGTTCAAGCGATTCTCCTGCCTCAGCTTCTGAGCAGCTGGGACTACAGGTGCACACTGCCATGCTCAGCTAATTTTTTCTATTTTAGTAGAGATGAGGTTTCACCATGTTGCCCAGGCTGGTCCCAAACTCCTGAATTCAGGCAATCTACCCACCTTGGCCTCTCAAAGTACTAGGATTATAGGAGTGAGCCACTGCACCCAGCCTTTTCTTATAAATTTGTTTAAGTTCCTTATAGATGCTGGATATTAGACATTTGTCAGATGTAGAATTTGCAAAAATTTTCTCCCATTCTGTAGGTTGTCTGTTTACTCTCATAGTTCTTTTGCTATGCAGCTTTTTTGTTTAATTACACCCCATTTGTCAATTTGTGTTTTTGTTGTAGATGCTTTTGGTGTCTTCATTATGAAATCTGTGCCAGTTCCTGTGTCCAGAATGGTATTACCTAAGTTGTCTTCCAGGGTTTTTATAGTTTGGGGTTTTACATTTAAGTCTTTAATTCATCTTGAGTTGATTTTTGTATATGGTGTAAGCAAGGGGTCCAGTTTCAATCTCCTGCATATGGCTAGCCAGTTATCCCAGCACCACTTATTGAATAGGGAGTCCTTTCCTCATTGCTTGTTTTTGTCAGCTTTGTCAAAGTTCAGATGGTTGTAGGGGTGCGACCTTATTTTTGGGCTCTCTATTCTGTTCCATTGGTCTAAGTGTCTGTTTTTGTACCAGTACCATTCTGTTTTGGTTGCTGTAGCCCTACAGTATAGTTAGTTCAAAATATTTTCTAATTTTTCTTGTGATTTCTTCTTTGACCCATAGATTATTTAGAATGTGTTGTTTTATTTCCAAATATCTGAGGATTTTCCAGATAATTTTGTTATTGATTTACTTAATTCTTCACCTGGTACTGAGTTTGAAGTTGTGTCTTTGATATTGCTCTCTAGCTGAAATGATGGGTCCTTATTAGTATTTGATCCCTGAAATATGCCCTCCAGCTTCATTCCCCACCTTCTTGCCCTTTGGCAGTACTCATAGGACTCATCTGCAAGTGCTCACTCTCTATCTTCTACTCTGATACAAAAACTATGGTAAGTTTGATAGAAAATCAAATACAGATAAATTAAAAGACTCTCAAAGTGCATTAAGTGTTTGGCAGAGATTAGATAAATAGATTAAGTAAGGCACACAGTACTGTGAATTTCTCCAGAAATGCTCTGTAACTGAGGACCAGGAAACTGAAGATGTTTTAGTTAAACTCAACAATTAACGGGGTTGGTAGGATCCCAATGTAAAGGACTTTCAGTTGTTAGTAAGACTCTCTTTGACATAATCCAACACATCTTTCAAAATTATCTTTCAATTTTTTCCATTAGCCTCTCAGTGTAGGGATCAAGTGATTTTTTTTTTTTTTTCCTTTTGAGACGGAGTCTTGCTCTGTCCCCCAGGCTGGAGTGCTGGAGTGCCATGGCACGATCACTGCAACAACCACCTCCAGGTTCAAGCGATTCTCCTGCCTCAGCCTCCCGAGTAGCTTGGATTACAGGTGACCGCCACCATGCCTGGCTAATTTTTGTATTTTTAGTAGAGACGGGGTTTCACCGTGTTGGCCAGGCTGGTCTCGAACTCCTGACCTCATGTGATCCACTCACCTTAGCCTCCCAAAGTGCTGGGATTACAGGCGTGAGCCACAGTGCCTGGCCTGGATCAAGTGCTTTATGTGACTTGGATTCTCTATTTGATACCAGAGTTATGACAGGGAATATTAAGTTCAGTAATCCCCATTCTTCATCAATGATTGCAATCATACCTGTCATTGGCAAGACCGTAGCATCCAGATAAAATCAATTTATTATTTACAATTACAATCAATACAACCTAATTTATTTCTCAACTTTTCAAAATTTAAACTCATGTTATTAATGTCTTAGATATGAAAATTATAAGAAAATAGGTTTTTATAGAGTCCTTTTTTAGAGATGTATACTGAAATATCTGTAGATAAAATGATATTTTAATTAAAATCTAAATTTACTTTTTATTAAAAGAGAATATATTGGAAAATTTAGAAAATTAATCTAAAATAAAGAGCACATAAGGCTGAGTGCAGTGGCTCATGCCTGTAATCCCAGCACTTTGGGAGGCCAAAGCGGGCAGATTCCTTGAGTCCAGGAGTTCAAGACCAGCCTGAGCAACATGGCAAAACCCCGTCTCTACTGAAAATACAAAAAAAAAAAAAAAGAAAATTAGCCAGGCATAGTGTTCGTGCCTGTAGTCCAAGCTACTCGGGAGGCTGAGCTGGTAGGATCACCTGAGCTCAGAAGGTCGACGCTGCAATGAGCCAAGATTGTGCCACTGCACTCCAACCTGGGCAACCAGAGTGAGACCCTGTCTCTAAACAAAAATACCACATGGTGGTATTTTTAAATATATTCGACAAGTATAAAATAGCTTAAGCACATGGGATCTCATATCTATATCTTCTATATATAGTCTTTAGACAAACAAATCATATAATGATGCACACACAAACCAACTCACAAACACTTCTCATAATTTGAGGGAAGTCATGCTTGGTCTTCAGGAAAGCCATGTCCTATAAAATATATCCTCCTGAAGGCATCTGGAGCAAATCACTAATAATCAAGGGATAGATTTAAACAGGTACTTAAAGCTCTGATTACAGGCTAAGCTGGGGCCTACATTACGTTCGCCCTGTCTGTGTTCCTGACTTTATCACTGGGTCATAATTTCTCTTCCCAAAGGGCCTGATGAAAGGGAAACTACACCAGACCTGACTAATAAATCAGAGTTCTATCTATATGTACAAATGAAGAGGGCAACTTCTGAGCTGAACTTTGTCTCTCTCTAGTTCAGAAAGCACAGGATCCTCAATCATTTGTAAAATTAATATTTACTTTGTAAATACTGTGCATTTACTAATATAAATATAGCATTAACTGTATTCACAAGGTTTAAACTGGCACAGTTCATCTCTGCAAAATCTGATAGAACAAAGATGCTGGTATTCCTGTCAATACTTTTGTGGTAATACTTTTTTTTGTTTTTTTTTTTTTTTTTTGAGGCAGGGTCTCCCTCTATTGCCCAGGCTGGAGTGCAGTGGCACCATCTCGACTCACTGCAACCTCTGCCTCCCAGGTTCAAGCAAGCCTCCCACCTCAGCCTCTTGAGAAGCTGGGACTACATGCGTGTGCCACCATGTCTGGCTAATTTTTGTGGAGTTTTTGTTGATGTTGTTGTTGTTTTTGAGTTAGAGTCTTGCTCTGCTGCCCAGGCTAGAGTACAGTGGCACAATCTTGGCTCACTGTGACCTCCGCCTCCTGGGGGTTTAAGTGAGCCTCCTGCCTCAGCCTCCCGAGTAGCTGGGATTGTAGGCACCTGCCACCATGCCCGGCTAATTTTTGTATTTTTAATAGAGACGGGGTTTCACCATGTTGGCCAGGCTGGTCTCAAACTCCTGACCTCAAGTGATCCACCCGCCTCGGCCTCCCAAAGTGCTGGGATTACAGGCGTGAGCCACCATGCCTGGCCTAATTTTGTGTTTTTAGTAGAGACAGGGTTTTGTCACGTTGCCCTAGCTGGTCGGTAATACATTTTTAAAATCAGTAAATTAACTTGTAATGCTGTAGAAGGTGACCGATCAATTTTATTACAGTTTTAAATTATTTGTCCTCATAGGAGATTAAAAATAATTTTAAAAAATAATTTAAACATATAATTTCCTTTTTTGGATTAATGCTATGAAGCTATCTGGCCTTACTAACTGAAAGAATATTGATTACATTTTGTTAAAAATTTCTGGACATCTTATTTAAAATGTTTCATAATCATAAAATTTATTCTTGAGATAAAATCAGACTCCATTTTATGATCAACATGACTTAGGAAACTTGGCTGAACTAGAAAGAAAAAAGTCGAAGCAGAGGAGAAAAAGAAAACAAGCATAAGGCCAGAGGTTGAGATTTTAACTCTTACGAAGGATAAAATCCAGTCCTATAATCAAAACTTGTGATGTTTTTTTATCAACATGGCAGAAAGATCAAATGAAAAAAATAAAATAAAAAGCTTGCATTGCTAGCCATCTGTCCACAGTCTGTGTGTTGCTGCTGCTCTGAGGAAAAAGAAATACATCCTGGGTTAATCCCAGGAATGGTGAGTTTATTTATTAGTGATGTTGTCACTAACGTGCCTTAGTCAAGCCTCCTGCCGTCTAAGCTACGCGAGATGAAAGTTAGAGGTATGGCATGATGAGAGTGTGAATTGATCAGGAGCTTTGATGTCACGCTTAGCATTTCAGCTTTTTTGTTGTTTTGATGGCCCATTCTGCAACCTAAGGGCTACAATTCCATTTCATTCTTAACAGGAACTGGAGAATATTGATCACTATAGTGTCCCAGATTTTTAAATGATGCCTGAAATATCACTTGGAACAATGGCTGAGAAAGAAAAACAACAATAAAGTTTGCTTTGTTAAACAGTTGACTGACAATAATATTATAGTCCACATATGTGTGTCTATAAATATTATTGTATATCTTGCAGTTCTTTTTTTCTTTTCTTTTTTCTTTTTTTTTTTTTTTGAGACAAGCTCTTGCTCTGTTGCCCAGGCTGGAGTGCAGTGGTGCAATCACAGTTCACTGCAGCCTTGGTTTCTCAGGCTCAGGCAATCCTCCCACCTCAGCCTCCTAAGTAGCTGGGACCACAGGAATACACCACCACAATGCCTGGCTAGTTTTTAGTTTTATTTTTGTAGTGATGAAGTCTCACTGTGTTGCCCCAGCTAGTCTAGAGCGCCTAGGCTCAAGCAATCTTCTCACCTTGGCCTCCCAAAGTGCTGGGATTACAAGAATACACCACCATGGTTGGCCAGCTCTTTCTTCTTAAGTATAACCCAGGCATGGAAATAGGTTGACCCACCACCATGGATACTAAAAGGTCTGGCCAAATGACCTAAAATGTAGATTGTATGATATCTGTTGCTGGGACTGACGTCAGTGCTGCAGCCCCAGGAGGGGTCCAATGTCCCCAGCAATCCCCATGCCCATGGGTCCTGCTCGCAAGGTTTACCTGCCCCTGGCTCTGTGGGATCTCCTGAGGTTCTCAGGAGAGGCCCACGGGTTCTACTGTCCACCTGCACAGGGATCCAATGACTCCAATGACACCACCATTGGCCCCAACTGTTTCGTCTAGGGATTTACTAATTTCTCCCTTCATCCAAACCAAATGTGAAAAATCTCTTTGACTTTTGTTTCACCTTAAGCAAAAAGCTTACAACAAAATATTGAGGCAAACAGCGAATTTAAAAACAAAACTTCATTCAAATTATTGTTCTGTCTTTAACTTATTATGACCCTTGAGTAAGTTACTTCACTTTTCATGTGAATATTTGACGAGTATTTGCCAAGGGCCTACTGTGTCAAACATGCTTAGGCATGCCAGGCATGGTGGCTCATGCCTGTAATCCCAGCACTTTGGGAGGCCAAGGCAGGTGGATCACCTGAGGTTGGGAGTTCGAGACCAGCCTGACCAACATGGAGAAACCCCATCCTACTAAAAATACAAAATTAGCCAGGCGTGGTGGCGCATGCCTGTAGTCCCAGCTACTCAGGAGGCTGAGGCAAGAGAATCACTTGAATCTGGGAGGCAGAGGTTGCGGGGGGCTGAGATTATGCCATTGCACTCCAGCCTGGGCAACAAGAGGGAAACTCCGTCTCAAAAACAAAAAAACAACAAATAAACAAACAAAACACATATTTAAGCAACAGGTATGCAAAGAAAAACAAAAAGCAACTCTGGTTCTCAAGGTGCTCTCAATGGGAAGGAGAAGACCGACGTGCACACCAATGTTCACAGTGCTGGGTGACACAGATCACAAAAGAAAGGAATGAGAGGGCCACATGGCCCAGACTGAGAGGGTCAGGGTGGGTTTCTAGGAGGAAGCAAGTCTTAGGTGAAGCCTGAAGAGTGAGTAGGAGACAGTCAATCTAAGGGGGAAGGAGGGCAGAGAGGGGAGGAAAGGGTAAAATGATTGAAAGGTAAAATGAAAGAAGAAAATGTTATCCTACCATGCTACTTGACCCAGCTCAAAGAATTGTCATAATAATATAAATGCCAACAATTAGCTTTTAAAGTCAAACTGTAGATAAAAGTACTATTGTTGGTTTCAGCATAAAATAGTTAATAACATGTAACCAACATACAAGAAAATCCTTACATCTACCCTGCGACCTAGTAATTTTACTCCTAGATTCACACCCAAGACCAATGAAAACATGTCCACACAAAGTCCACAACAAAGATGTTCTTAGCCACTTTATTCATAGTAGCCCAAAATGAAAACAACTTAAATGTCTATTAACAGGAAAATGCATAAGCAAATTGTGTATATTCATACAATGTAATACTCATTAGTGACTTAAAGGAATAAACTTTAATACATGTAAAAATATGGATGAATTTCAAGATATTATACTGAGAGGAAAAAGCCAGATTTACACCCAAAAAGAATACTGTGACCACATTTATGAAAATGTATAATTCTAGAAGAGGAAAATCTACTCCATGATGAAAAAGGTCAGATAAATTATTGCCTCTGATTTGGGCAGGGAACTGACTAGGAAGGAGCACAGGAGAAATTTCTGTGATGAAAACAATCATTTTGTTTGTGATGAAAATGATAGACATGTGGGTTATGCAGGTGTGTGCATTGGTTAAAATGCACTGAGATGTATGCTCCAGATTTGTGGCTTTCACTATATGTTTTTGATCTAAAAAATTGAAGCATTAAACTTTTGTAAGTTTGCTTTCTTTCAGAGGCATAAGTTAGCCATTTATGAAGCTATCTCCTACGTATTCCTGTACTCCAGATTTCTTCCTGTTGGAGAATAGAGTAACAAATATGAGAAGGAAAAAGACAGAACTATGCTGTCCAATATGGTAGCCCTTGGCCACATGTGGCTGTTGAACACTCGAAATGTGGCTAGACCAAATTGAAGATATGCTATGCTTTTATTTGTTTGTTTGTTTAGGCAGAGTGTTGCTCTGTCGCCCAGGCTGGAGTACAGTGGAGCAATCTCAGCTCACTGCAACCTCCTCCTCCTGGGTTCAAGCGATTCTCATGCTTCAGCCTTCCAAGTAGCTGGGATTACAGATGTGTGCCACCATGCCCAACTAATTTTTGTATTTTCAGTAGAGACGGGGTCTCACCATGTTGGCCAGTCTGGTCTCAAACTCCTGGCCTCAAGTGACCCACCTGCCTTGGCCTCCCAAAGTGCCGGGATTACAGGCATGAGCCACTGTGCCTGGCTTGAAGATATGCTTTTAAGTGTCAAATACACATTGGATTAGGAAGGCTTAGTACAAAAAGTATTAAATATTGTTAACTTTTTCATATTGATTATATGTCAAAATGATACAATTGGATATATTGGGTTAAATATATTCTTTAAAAGGATTTCAACTCTTTCTTTTTTCAAACATGGCAACTGGAAAGCTTATAATTACATATGTAATTCATATTTGTGTCCATTGGACAGTGCCAGACTGTAATGTAGCTTGTGGTGTTGGTCTGGAACTGAAGATGTCGTATTCCAAGATGTAAACCACGTTTCTTTCTATACTTTTCCCTGTAAGGGCCTGGACACGATGACATACCAGTAGCAATGAGAACATTGAGCGCGCACATCTTGGCACCATTCTCCATTAAATGGAAATATAGTCGCTGGGGGAGATGGCTGATTTCAGGACTGGGCCAGGGAAAGGATAGGATGAGCCTGGAGCTTCCTCTTTCCCCAAGAAAGTAAAGAATTGACCAAAAAACATGACAGCATATGTCAAAATGACACAAAAGAACCATATTTAACAGGCTCCCACTGGCCAAATCTAGGGTAAGTTGAGCATCAAAATAAATGATGATAGTAATGGATTATAACTTATTGCACTGAATAAAATAAGAATCCATGAGTCAATAGTCATATAAATAAATAAATAGATGACAAGGATAAGTGCTTCCCTGAAGTAGAATGCCAACTAATAAAAATAGAAAAGAATTGTGGAGGTAGAAAATCAACAGTGATTATGAAAACTAGTGAGGAAAAGTTTGATGAGAAACAAGATTATCTAGCCTCAAAGTATCTCCCCAAATATTAATTCCAAAGAGAAAATGTCTTTAGAAGTGTAATTTTTAAAGTTTACAGGTAGAAAAATTATCAAAATAAACTCAGAACTAATTATGTAATCTTACTGCCTTTGTGTTTTTAAATATCACTAAGAGGATTCAAAGTCTCCCTTTTCCCCCAGTCTGATGCAGGAATATTAACCTAACCTAAGTTTGGCTCATGAATCACCATTAGAGTCATCTGAATTCTTTTTAGAAAATCTTTATAAGACATAGGAGGCAGAAAGCCTTGATACTCCTAGGAAGTTGGCAGCTGTGGGTGCAATTAAAAATATTATTTGCAAAACCAATTAGCAAATCTGATCAGCAAACAGGCAAGAAGAAAAAACACTAGGAAAATACACGTTATTTTTCATAGTTATATTTGTTATACTTTAAAACACCATAATTTTAAGTAGTGTCAGAAAAATATTTTGTAAACCCTGCACTGACACTTCTTAAAATACTTCATGTAATTAAAAAAATCTCTAATGTTAATACATCATAAAGGTTAAAAAAAATTCATGGGGATAGGGCAAAAATGGGAAATTACCTATAAAATTAGATATTCTATTCTTAAAAAGACTCAAATGGCAGAAAAGCTGAGTTTATTGCTCAGCTAAATAATTTCTACATTAAAAAACAATAGTGCCATTACCTGTGTACACATTTTGAGACAGAACAATTTAAATCAAGTAACAAGTTGTCAGCAATTACATGATATTTAGCCCAAAACTTTACATTTCGGTCACATCCCAAAAGTTCTTTAATTAAAAAGAAGAGGATCAGGGAATTTATTTATTAGTTTATTAATGAATTTATTTATTATTTATAGATGTGTTTATAAGATAATCTGTTTTCAAAAGATTTAAGTTGCTTATGACAGAGGGAATATAGATTATTCAAAATGGAATATAAAAACCTTCCATGTTAGGTCCATGGCAGATTTGCATGTGAAGAGGAAGATGCCTGCTTTCCAGAGTTTTCTGAAGAAGCAAAAGAATGTCATAGCATTGAAAGCTGGCCAGGCCCAGTGGCTCACGCCTGTAACCCCCAGCACTTTAGGATGCTGAGACGGGAAGATCACCTGAGGTCAGGAGTTTGAGACAAGCCTGGCCAACATGGTGAAACCCCGTCTCTACTAAGAATACAAAAATTAACCGGGCACAGTGGCGGGCGCCTGTAATCCCAGCTACTGGGGAGACTGAGGCAGGAGAATAGCTTGAGCTGGGAAGGCAGAGGTTGCAGTGAGCAGAGATCATGCCATTGCACTACAACCTGGGCAACACAGCGAGACGATCTAAAAAAAAAAAGATTTGTTATTGGAATAAGAAAATACTCTAGTTGGCCAGGCGCAGTGGTTCACGCCTATAATCCCAGCACTTTGGGAGGCCGAGGCAGGCAGTTAACTTGAGGTCAGCAGTTTGAGACCAGCCTGGCTAACATGGTGAAATCCCATCTCTACTGAAAATACAAAAATTAGCTGGGCGTGGTGGTGGGCACCTGTAATCCCAGCTACTCAGGAGACTGAGGCAGGGGAATCATTTGAACCTGGGAGGTGGAGGTTGCACTCCAGCCTGGATGACAGAGTGAGACTCCATCTCAAAAAAAAAAGAAAAGAAAAGAAATAAAATATTCTAGTTGTCGAGTGCAATGGCTTACACCTGTAATCCTAGCACTTTGGGAGGCCAAGGTGGACAAATCACCTGAGGTGGGGAGTTCGAGACCAGACTGGCCAATATCGTGAAACCCTGTTTCTTCTAAAAATACAAAAATTAGCTGGGCTTAGTGGCATGGGCCTGTAATCCCAGCTACTCAGGAGGCTGAGGCAGGAGAATTGCTTAACCTGGGAGGAAAAGGTGGAAGTGAGCCGAGATCACGCCAATGCACTCCAGCCTGGGCGACAAGAGCGAAACTTCATCTCAAAAAAAAAAAAAAAAAGAAGAAGAAGAAGAGAAAAGAAATAGAAAATATTATAGTTCTTCAGAAAAGGAGGGGCTTTTCTTGATTTTAAATTTGAAAAGATATTTCTCATGTAGAGAAAAGAATACTATATAATGTAACATAGTATATATTATCCTTAAGTGGATTTTTATTGCTAACGTCAATATGATTGCCTAAGGCAAGCACATAATATTAATGTACAACTCCGTGAAGGTAAGTCTGGGGTTTATGGAATGTTCATTAACCATCTAGCCTTCCTGTGCTCTAGGAATACTACTGTGGAAAACACATTATGCTCTCCAAGGTATACCTAAGTGAATATATTTTTTCACTTGATTATATCATGTCAGTCAATAGAATCAATTGCCATGAAATTCATTGATTGGTTTGTTGGATAAACTTAGAGCTAAAGACTCTGAAAGTTGGAAAAGATGTTAGAGATCTCCTGGTCCAGTAATAAATGACTAAAGGATTGCAGTAAATATCATAAAAGGCATTTCTGACAGTCGGTGTAGGAACTTGGTTTGTATACCATGACACACAGCAGGATCACTCTGTCACAAGGCCATCTGTTCCACTATTGATAACAGATTTTTTTGTTATGCTGAAAACTACTGGACTGTAATTTCCACCAGCTTTTAAAGTCTGTCCTGCAGATCAATTGAACAAACCTTCAAATATCAGACGACACCTTTGATTCCACTTCTGCCTTATTTTACTAAGCTAAACATCTTCAGTATATGTTATTAATTCATTTAAATGATGATGAATCATCTTAAAAGTCAGGTAACACTTTACATTTTTTTTCAGTGCTTTATGTACATTATCTCATTTTACCTTTATAATAAATCTCTGAATGCTATACAACAGGTATTTTAAAACTTAACTTGCTCAAGATCATACACCTGGTTTATGACAGAATATAGACTAGAAGCTTGATCTCTTCACTTTCTTCCTATCTTTGTTCTTAAATGAGAATTTATAAACTAGACTGAACAATAAATGTAGTGAATATTTAAAAGAAGGAAATTTTGAAGGCATTCCACTAATACCTAGAAAACATCAAGAAAACACATTTATGGTAACATACATTTCTGAATGTTTCCAAGTGTCAATTATTTATTCATTTATTTATTTATTTATTTACTTATTTATTTGAGACTGAGCCTCACTGTCACCCAGGCTGGAATGCAGTGGCGCGATCTCAGCTCACTGCAACCTCTGCCTCCTGGGTTCAAGCATTCTCCTGCCTCAGTCTCCCAGTAACTAGGATTACAGGCGCTTAACACAACACATGGCTAATTTTTTGTATTTTTAGTAGAGACGGGGTTTCACCATGTTGGCCAGGCTGGTCTTGAACTCCTGACCTCAAGTGATCCACCCACCTCGGCCTCCCAAAATGCTGGGATTACAGGCATGAGCCACCGCGCCTGGCCTAAGAATTTCGTATGTCTTTACAACTTCAAGAGGAGATATTAAAATAGTTTCTCTTCTCTTTTTATCTAAAAGTTTTGACCAAACGACAGCTTTGGGTTCAGGTTCAGGTTTGAGTTGAAGTTCAAATTTTCTGATCATCTCAACTGTAAGATAATATACTCAAATAAACCGTTCTGGCTTGCTAAATAAAACTAGAATTTTTCGAGGTTTTGTTTGTTTGTTTGTTTGTTTGTTTGAGACAGGGCCTTGCTCTGTTGCCCAGGCTGGAATGCAGTGGCATGATCTCAGCTCACTGCAGCCTCGACTTCCTGGGACCAAGCAATCCTTCCAACTCAGCCTCCTAAGTAGCTAGGACTACAGGCATGCACCATCACGCCCAGCTAATTTTGTTTTTTGTAGGTATGAGGTCTCACTCTTGCCCAGGCTGGTCTCAAACTTCTGGACTCAAGCAATCCTTCTGTCAAAAGCCTCCCAAAGTGTTGGGATTGCAGGCGTGAGCTACCATGATGGCCTCTTTGAGTAGCATTTTTTTTTTTAGAAATGTGAAGGTTCTAGGACTTCTGGTGCTTCAGTCAATTCAACCATTTTCTTGCTATTTCTCCCGTACCCATCTTCATCCACTCTTATTCACTGAGCTCCTGGGCATCTTCTGGTTCATCTTCTGCGTTCTTGGCAAAGAATATCAGAATTCAAACATTTTTCCTTAAACTATAATAACAGCAACCAAAGCCCACTATAAATGTAAAACTTCATCTGTTGGGATAAAATCTTTAGAACTAAATATAAAGCACTCAAGAAGCAGCAGTAGTTAATGGTATGTAATTAAAATATCAACTTTAAAATGTACCTCCGGGGACATTTTAACAAAGTCCAATTTAAAGAATTTTCACTGTGCCAAGGAGGTGTTCTATTGAGCCTTAGTAGATTGAAAAATCAACTGCTGAGATCTCGCCATGAGGTAAGCCTGCTCTGCATGCCATTGTAAGTGGAAGTCCTGGAGCAAAATCCAGCACTGTCACGGCAGGCCTGCAGGAGACTGCAGAGGCTCTCAACTTCTATGGGGCCAGGAGCACAAACCTTTGATGATGGGATGCGTTGGGACTCACGGCTGGACAGCAGGCTAGACCAGGGGAAATATTAGCCTGACTACACATCCTGTTTAAACAGAAGGGTTCTGCTCTATCATTTCCTTTTTCCTTTCATGAATGTGTCCAAATGCCAATTTAAGCCATGTTCCTAAGAAATAAACTAACAGACATCAGTATATAGAAAATGAAAACTAGTCATTATGCCCTCTGGCTACAAAATATTCACAATTAAAGAGGAAGCATAGGCCAGGCACGGTGACTCACGCCTGTAATCCCAAAACTTTACGAGGCTGAGGCTGGTGGATCACCTGAGGTCAGGAGTTTGAGATCAGCCTGGCGAACATGGTGAAACCCTGTCTCTACTAAGAATACAAAAATTAGCTGGGTGTGGTGGGGCGTGCCTGTAATCCCAGCTACTTGGGAAACCGAGGCAAGAGAATCGCTTGAACCCAGGAGGCGAAAGTTGCAGTGAGCCCAGATTGCACCATTGCACTCCAGCCTGGGTGACATAGTGAGACTCCGTCTCAAAAAAAAAAAAAGAGGAAGCATACTGAGAAGCCATATATAAAATGTAGACCATTCAGCCTCTACTTGGGACATCGACCCAGCCACCAGCCAGGCCCATTTCCAATGTTCAATCTTGCTAGCAATGAACACTTGTTGAGTACCAGCTAGTCAAGTTACCATGCTACTGAGACAGTATGTGGTTCTTTCATCCGCATCTTCCTGGTAAAGAATTCTCACTTTTTAAAATACCATTCCCAGCTGGGCACAGTGGTTCACACTTGTAATCTCAACATTTTGGAAGGCTGAAGTAGGAGGACTGCTTGAGCCTCGGAGGTCAAGGCTACAATGAGCCAAGATCGTGCCAGTGCACTACAGCCTAGGTAACAGAGTGAGACTCTGTCTCAGAAAAAAGGAAGGAAGGAAGGAAGGAAGGAAGGAAGGAAGGAAGGAAGGAAGGAAGGAAGGAAGGAAGGACAAAAGAAGAAATTTTAAAAATAAAACATAAAATAGGCCAGGTGCGGTGGCTCACGCCTGTAATCTCAGCAATTTGGGAGACCGAGGCAGGCAGATTACTTGAAGTCAGGAGTTCCAGACTAGCCTGGCCAACATGGTGAAATCCCATCTGTACTAAAAATACAAAAAATTACCTGGGTTTGGTGGTGGGTGCCTGTAATCCCAGCTACTTTGGAGGCTGAGGCAGGAGAATCACTTGAACCCAGGAGGTAGAGGTTGCAGTGAGCTGAGATCGCACCACTGCACTCTAGCCTGGGGAACAGAGTAAGACTCCTTCTCAAACGTAAATAAAACAATAAAATAAAATAATACAGTAAATGCCATTCCCCACTCCTCAATCTCAGGTGTGTTTTCCTTTGAGAGCAACAGAATCATTGAACGAAAGGAGGCTTTAGAGTGAAGCAGCCTGCTTTTCACTTAGATTCTCCCACCTGTAAGGTTTTTATTCCCAGCTCCTGATGTTTCTTTGTTATCTGGAGACCTCACTTAGTGTAACACTCCTGGCTTCTTCACTCCCTTACCACTCTGCCTCAGGAAATGAGGAGCCGGTTATTTGGTTGGTACATTTGAGAAGAGTCAGTAGGGCTTGCAGAGCCCAGCCCTTGACATACTCTCCTTGCTTGAGGAATGGCCACAATAAAGCAGATGTTTGGCCGGGCGTAGTGGCTAACACCTGTAATCCCAGCACTTTGGGAGGCCAAGGCAGGAGGATCAGCTGGGGTCAGGAGTTCGAGACCAGCCTGGCCAACACGGCGAAACTCTCTATTAAAAACATAAAAATTAGCATGGTAGCATGTGCCTGTAGTTCCAGCTACTCAGGAGGCTGAGGCAGGAGAATCACTTGAACCTGGGAGGTGGAGGTTGCAGTGAGCCAAAATTGTGCCACGGCATTCCAGCCTGGGAAACAGAGTGAGAGTCTGTCACAAAAAAAGAGAAAAAGAATAAAAAGCAGATGTTCATATCTTCTCTTCCACACTCGAAGTTTTACAAGGGGAGGCCCCCACAGGAGGAAGCATGTGTCATCTGGCTGGGATTGATGGATAAGTCTGACTATTTCTGAGATACAGAATTAGGAAGCTCACAGTTGTTGCAATCGTAAGCCTTATTATCCCTCCCAGCCTTAATCAGTAGTAAGTACTGTATGGTGTTTTGATCTCCATCTGTCCTATTCCTTGTCTTTCTCTTAAGTGGCTTAGAACTCAAGACGCCTTTTTAACCATGTTGACCTCGGATAGTTATTTTACAATAGCCACCATTTCCACACATATTTGTCAAGTTTTTGTGCATCTTCTGGTTCCTCTTCTGGAGTTTATCATTATTTTATCAACCTGGCAAGGTTGGGAATATATAAAGTGTCTAGCACAAGGCTTGGCATTCAATTAAAATTTACCTTTTCTATTATTTTAATTTAGTGATCACTCCATTATCCTAGTTTCTTCTTCCCTTTAGTTCCCTCCAATAAGTTTTCTTCTATCTCCCCTCACTGTCTTCAACACTTTCTTATTAAATGTTTCTGCCTCTAGATATTGCTCTGAGTTAATGGTTCTTAAAGTGTGGTCCCAGAACCAGCAGCATTAGCATTTTCTGAGAACTTAGAAATGGAAATTCTTAGCCAGGCATGGTAACTCATGCCTGTAATCTCAGCACTTTGGGAGGCTGACGTGAGAAGATCACTTGAACTCAGGAGTTTGAGATCAGGCTGGACAACATAGTGAGACCCCATCTCATATTAAAAAAAAAAAAAAGAAATGGAAATTCTCAGGCCCCACCCCAGATCTACTGCATCAGAAACTTTGGGAGTGGAACCAGCAATTGGTGGTTTAAAAAGTCCTCCAGGTGATTCTGATTCATGTTCAAGTGTGAGAGCCAGAGACCTAAATCATTCCATTTCTGTTCAGATTCATGGCTTGTCTCTGCCCCTTAAATTTTCTTTTCATGACTTAGTCTCTTCTATGATTACTAACCATTTTGTTTGGTAACATTATCAATTGTTTCATAACTCAGAACCCTACTATCCCCATCTCCATCCAAAACTGGCTGCTGGCTGGGCTCACATCTTTAATCCTTTAGTTTGTTTTTTGAGACGGAGTCTTGATCTGTCGCTCAGGAGGGAGTGCAATCTCATGATCTTGGCTCACTGCAACTTTCGCCTCCAGGGTTCAAGTGATTCTCCTGCCTCAGCCTCCCGAGTAGCCTCCCGAGTAGTACAGGCATCCGCCACCACACCCGGCTAATTTTTGTATTTTTAATAGAGATGAGCTTTTGACATGTTGGCCAGGCTTGTTTCGAACTCCTGACCTCAAGTGATCCACCCTCCTCCACCTCCCAAAATGCTGGAAATACAGGTGTGAACCACCATGTCTGGCCTCACATCTGTAATTCTAACACTTTGGGAGGCAAAGGCAAGTGAGTCACTTGAGCCTAAGAGTTTGAGACGAGCCTGGGCGATATAGGGGCGAGACTCTGTCTATACCAAAAAAAAAAAAAAAAAGCCAGGCGTGGTGGTACCTGTCTGTGGTCTCAGCTGCTTGGGAGCCTGAGATGGGAGGATTGCTTGAGTCAGGAGGTTGGGCCTGCAGTAAGCCATGATCATACCGTTGCACTGCAGCCTGGGTAACAGAGCAAGACCCTGTCTCATAAAACAAACAAACAAAAAAACAAAACAGGTTGCTATTTGGCCCTGAAATCATTTTAAATTAGGATATACACATCTCTTTTGTGCAGATTTTTGTCACTTCCTAATTATGATATCTGATTAATTGAAAATTCGGACAACTTAGTTTGTTTTAATTTAGTTTACCAGGTGTTCATTTTCACTGCCATTGTATATATAACACAAATCACTCACAAATCTATAAATCTTTGCTCTGTGTTTTGTTTTGAATGGGTAAATAGAAAATCTCCTATCACAGGACAGTATAGGTAGCACTGAAAAAAATTGGTTTTCACAGCACTGATTCCCTAACAACTTGAAAAGCATCAAGCAATTCAATTATCCTAAAATTGTCATCCAATTTGTTTCAGTGCGGGAGAGCTAGTATGCTTATGTCATGAAGACCAGGAAATTAGCTGCTTTCTGGAATAAGTGAATTTTTTCCTTCCCATCTTTGCCATATCTCTGAAATAAATATTTAAAGACAGTAGGGATTGGAAGGATTGGGGCAAGGGGAAGGAAAAGGAGAGGTGAAATGGGATCTGAGAGAACAAAGATGTTTTTCATTTCAAATGACTCCAAAATATCAGTAGTTATTCAATGTGCTGAATGTACTCTTCCATGATACTATAGTAAATGTTTGCTTATACCTAAGTAGTTCAAATAATTGAATACTTCATGTATTTATTGACTTCCCTCCCAACATTCCCCAAATGTTTACACAAATTAATTTTCAATCAATAAAATGTGTAGACATTCATGATTCTGCTATAAATTAATATTAATGTGTAACATTTTGGGGAAGTGTCACTCTTATGCCATTCACTATGAGGCATTTTTTAGGGTAGCAAGTCATTCACTTAAATTGTAATGAAAGCATTTAGTTTTTATTAGTGTGTAGGAGTCTTGTTCTCAAGGGAGTATTTCACAGCTATTATTCATTCAATCTCAGTTACCCTGGGAGGGAGGGAAAGGGGACCCAGTGAGCCAAAGTCAATGAGTTGAGTCATTGTTCAGTTCCCTTCCAAAGGACTACTCAGTTTCAACTAAACCCCTTAGGTTCAATTTAAGATTCCTGGCAAAGGCTTTCCTTTGTGATTTATTGCCATTGACAACAGCAGACATCGCCTGTCTGTTCTCTATTTGTCTTCCACCTGCAGGACCTTGGGAGGATCCCTGGAAGCTTCCTGAGGAGCAATAGCCTCCCAGGGTCAAGCAGACATTCCCGGAGTGGCATCTTCCGATTACTTCTGAGATCCACAGAACCCACCAGAATGGCCAGCCTTGTACCTTATGATCAATACTCTAAGATTTTAAATTTGGTGGTCGTGATGATGATCCTTTCTGATTTCATCTTCATTAATTTCTATCTTTTGTACATCCCTTCACCTTAAAGAAGTGGCACTTTGGCCTCATGGACTGGACTATGGTGGCACAATTATAGCTCATGGCAGCCTCAAACTCCTGGGCTCAAGCAATTCTCCCATGTCCTGGGTCTCTAGGACTGCAGGTGCACACCACCATGCCTGGCTCTTCGTTTGTTTGTTTGTTTTTTCTAATCCTAGCTAATCACATTCTTTTAGTTTCCCTTGCTTCACCAAGGAGTCTGGACTCCAGGTCAAGTCAAGTGATTTCTTTCCTTTTTTTTTTTTTTTTTTTTTTGAGACAGGATCTCTCTCTGTCGCCCAGGCTGGATTGGAATGCAGCGGTATGCTATCAGGTCCCTGCAACCTCCATCTCCCAGGCTCAAGTGATTCTCATGCCTCAGTCTCCCAAGTAGCTGAAAGTACAGCTGTGCACCACCACGCCCAGCTAATTTTTGTTTTTGTTTTTTTTTTTGGTAGAGGGAGGTTTTCGCCATATTTTCCAGCCTGGTCTCGAACTCCTGGCCCTAAGTAATCTGCCTATCTCGGCCTTCCAAAGTGCTAGAGTTACTGGCATGAACCACTGCACCTGACAGGACAAGTTATTTCAACACTGTCTTCGTGAAGCCTCATTCCAACCTGTAACTTTTCTTGATGCTTCCACATTAATTACAGCCCTGATCATCTCAACTTTCTTTTCCATCTCCACACCTAAGCATCCAGATTTTAGGGAAAGGTTACGAACGTATTTCAAATGCTTCTCCTCATCAGTCTTCATACTCTCCAGTGGGCCGTCTGCAGCTTCCTGCAGGATGGCACGCCTCATCATACTCCCGGCTCTCTTATTCTATGCAGGCGGCCTTGCCACTTACTGCCATTACACCTTTCCCGCATTCCGTCTCAAGTTTTCTTTGTATGTTCACATTTTTCCTTCATTTCGCTTCAGAGGGAGTGGTATTGCTTGCAACTTGGTCATCTCATCAATCTTTTCTCCATTTCTTTCCCTCACCTTTACTCTGCTCTGTCTCCTCTTTTCACCTCCATCTCTTGAATGCTTTTGCTAGGCCAATAAACACTCTCAGTACTCTCTTACAAAAGGCAACAAACAAGTAAGCAAACAAAAGTCAATTTCCCTTGGTTTTGTAATCCCTTCAGATTATTATCTTCCTAGTTTCCTTTCCAGGGTAAACCTGTTCACTCCAGAAGCTCTTGAAAACTGGCTAATGCGCCACTGTTTCACAGAAATGGAAACGTTCTCAGAGGTAACCAATGACCTCTAACCACCGCCAAATCCAATGAACTAAAAAGGGATTCAATTTACCTGATCTCTCTGAGATGTCTGTTTTTATGTATCAGCTCATCAGGAACTCACCCCTGGTTTGGCTTTTGGGAGCCTATCACGCTCTTCCTGTGCCTTCTCTATTCTCTCCTCTCCCAACTTCTCAGAAGACATCTCCCACCAGGTGCTTTCTCCAGACCTCTGTTCTCTAATCTCCTCCTTGACTTCGTCGATTCCCACATTTTAAACTATTGCTTTTGTGAATAGTTCCAAAATCTAAATTCTAACTGCCAATTGGACATTTCCACCTTGAATATTCTAGAGAAAAGACTGGCAACCTTTATCTATGAAGAACAGTTAGTAACTCTTTTGGGCTCTGAAGGCCCTATGGTCTCTGTCATGACACTGCTATTTGAATTTTTTTTATTTTTATTTTTTTATTGAGACAGAGTCTAGCTATGTTGCCCAGGCTGGTATCAAACTCCTGGGCTCCAGTGATCCACCTGTCTCAGCCTCCCAAAGTGCTGGGATTATAGGCGTGAGCCACTGCGCCCAGCCTGATATTTGAATTTCATATAATTTTCATGTACCACAAAATAGTCTTATCTGAATTTTTTTTAAAAAAAATCTTTACAAATGTAAAAATCATTCTTAGCTCTTGCAAACATATGGCAGGCTGGATTTGGCCCTCAGGTGGTTTGCAGACCCCTGTTCTATAGATTCCCACAGCACTCATGCTCTTCAGCCATTTACTCCCCCTCCCTGCTGGGATTTTGCTTTTTCTTTAGGACTATCTATCTATCTATCTATCTATCTATCTATCTATCTATCTATCTAGTTATTTAGAGGCAGGTTCTCACTATGTTGTCCAGGCTGGTCTTGAACTCCTATCTTCAAGCAATCTTCCCACCTTGACTTCCCAAAGTGCTGGAATTACAGGCATGAGCCATCACACCCAGCCTCTTTTTATTTTAAAACAGAGTTGTGTTTTGTGTTATTTCCTACAGGTACAGATTTGTCTAAAGTGGACTTGGGGAAAACAAGTGTGAATACAGCATTCCCATTTTCATATAAGGATGTTGAGATTCAGCCTGGGATTTGTCAAGGAGTTAAGTCGTACTGAAGCCAACATTGTAACTCAATTTTCTGGACTTTTCAGCACAAGACTCTAGATGGACTGCCACACAGCAGTCAATTGCCTATAATGTGTTGCTTATATATTTCAACACAAAAAGAAAGAAAATGGTTAGAAAACTCATCAAGATTCTTTTCAGATCTACATTCCATATCATCTTGCACCCCGCCTGCTACCCATGCGCTCTCTTGTCATTCTGGTGCCTAGTTATGGTGCTCCTATTTAGCTTAGTTGGGCAGCCAGGAGTGGGTAGAAGAGGGGATCCAATGTTTACTGAGACACAAAGTCTCACAGGTGTCAGTTTAAGACTACAGTAGAAAGCTTCATATGAGTAATAAAGATCTACTTAACAATTACCATACTCATTCTAGTACAGGAAGAGAGAGTTAAAGTCCATTATTACATTAAAAAATAAAAAGGTACAATGAGTTTGCTATGAGTTCCAAATATGTTAAACAAGAATGAATTATTTTCCTGTAGCCCATCTTATCCTTTTAAATGTATTTTCTCAGACCTCATTCAGAATTTTGAGTTCCATGAAGAATATCATAATATTCACTTAGTTTTTATGAGGTGATCAAGGCTACGGATTCTTCTGTAACCCCTTTCCCTACATCTTAAATTTTAGGACTGTGAGAAATGAATTTATCTTGACTTCATTCGGAGCCTACATGTTTGTTTTTTAGCCATGGGCCAATTTGGCACTGTGTATTTTAACTTTCATACTTTATATTATTTTGATAATACATATTTTGATTAAATAACTTTACAAAAAAACTTAAACTTTAGATGATATTTTGCTTTGTGAGGAAAAACAAAGCAAACCGACAAATGTACAAACAAAAATATTCAGCAATTTGTAAGAAGTATGACACCAGTTGTGGTGGAAATTGTGGAAATAAGAAACAAATCATGAGCGGGTATGATTTTACCCTTATTCCAATTTACACTTCTTTTTAAAAATTTTAATGATGTTAACCTTGCTTTATGCTTCGTTATTTTATTACCAAGTGACCCGTGAAGGGTTTTGTTTCTTGAGAGGGCAGTTCATCACAACAGAATTTGGTCCTAATTAAAATGGGATTATCACAGGATACTAGATCCAAGAAATGTGCTTCTGAGGTGGGTAGTCTGTTACTCATTTTCCTTTAATAGACATAACGAAGGCCAGAACAAATTGCCCCTTTCAAATAACAGCTCTTTGGGAAATATGTCTGGCTTTGGTAAATTTTTATGTTTGAATGGAAGATTAAATTAGCCTTATAAATTTCTTAATGTTTAAAGAAATTCATGATCAAAACGAAGTAAAATAGTTACAAATGTCTAGGTCTTTATTTTCTGAAGAAAATTACTTTTTGCTTATATATTTTGATTTTTCAGTATATTGGGGTAAAATCGTTTCCAACAGGACAACTTGTAAACTCTCTTTTGTCATAGTATTATAGAGTAAGCTAAGCTGCTGTATGAAAGAGAACCTCCAAAATTCAGTGGCTCAAAGAACAGCCAAGTTTATTGGTGTCCCAGGTAACAACCCAGGTAAGTGTCTCAGCGTGGTGGGCAGCTCTGCGCCCATCAGTCACTGGAGACCAGGCTGGCAGAGGCTCTGTCACCAACAGTCAGCTTCCAGGGTGCTCTGGCCATGGGCATTCCAGCTGGCGGAATGGGGTAAAGAGGAGTCCCTGGCCAGAGGTTTCCTCTCATGCAGATGAGGCAGAAGTTCCTCAAGTCTCCCACACTCATATTCCATTGGCAAATATCCAGTCACATGGCTACACCTCACTACAAGGGAGACTGGAAAATAAAGTCTCTCCATATGCCCAGGAAGAGGGGAAGAACAAAAATAGTGGAAAGCTGCAGTCTCCATATACTCTTTGATTATGAAAAATTATAAATAATTAGCAACATGCATTGCAAAGTCTCTGATACGGTTTGGATCTCTGTCTCCACCCAAATCTCATATTGAATTGTAATTCCCAATGTTGGGGGAGGGACCTGGTGGGAGGTGACTGGATCATGGGGGTGGATTTCCCCTTTGCTGTTTTCATGATAGTGAGTGAGTTCTCATGGGATCTGATGGTTGAAAAGTGTGTAGCACTTCCCTCTTTGCTCTCTCTCTCCTGCTCCACCATGTGAAGATTGTGTCTGCTTCGCTTTCACCTTCTGCCATGATTATAAGTTTCCCGAGGCCTCCCCAGCCATGCCTTCTGTATAGCCTGTGGAACTGTGAGTCGATTAAGCCTCTTTTCTCCAGAAATTACCTAGTCTCAGGCATGTCTTTATAGCAATGAAAACAGACTAATACAGTCTCTAAGAATGCTATACAAACACAAATAAATATAAGAAATAAAAGGTTAATTTTTTTCTATTATGAACATATTTAACAAGGTAAAAATCAAGGCAGGCCTCTCTGATTTTATGTCACCACATCAAACATATTTTTGTTACCAAACACACAGAGGAAATAGCCAACTTAAAATAAATCATGTTCTAAAAGCTGGAAATTCATTTTCTCTTTGAAACAATGTTCTAAAAATGGCCAGGTTCCAAAATTATTTCAAAAGGGCTTATTTATTTTATGCGTTACATCGGCAATGAAAAGTAGTGGAAGACAATACTATACTATAGCACTCAAAACGGAAAAACTGTTAACTAGAAAAAATTTTAAAGTACTTTTTATGTGTGTGTGTGACAGGGTCTCATTTTATTGTTCAGGCTGGAGCGCATCACACAATCACAGCTCACTGCAGCCTCGATCTCCCAGGCTCAAGCAATTCTCCCACCTCAGCCTCCCCAGTAGCTGGAACTACAGGTATGCACCACCACGCCCAGCTGTTTTGTTTTGTTTTTATTTTTTAATTTTTGGTAGAGATGGGCTCAAGCAATCCTCCTGCCTAGGCCTCCCAAAGTGCTGGGATTACAGGTGTGAGCCACCATGCCTGGCCATAAAATACATTTTTTTTTTTTTTTTTTTTTTTTTTGAGACGGAGTCTTGCTCTGTCACCAGGCTGGAGTGCGGTGGTGCGATCTCAGCTCACTGCAACCTCTGCCTTCTAGGTTCAAGCGATTCTCCCGCCTCAGCCTCCCAAGCAGCTGGGACTACAGGTGTGCGCCACCATGCCCAGCTAATTTTTGTATTTTTAGTAGAGACGGGGTTTCACCATGTTGGCCAGGATGGTCTCGATCTCTTGACCTCGTGATCTGCCCACCTCGGCCTCCCAAAGTGCTGGGATTACAGGCACGAGCCACTGTGCCCGGCCAGTACATTTTTAATAAGGAAATTAAGTGCAACTAGAGAAGCATATGGTAGGGAACAGGGAGTAGGAAATGAAGGCTTCAATATAAAGTAAATTCTCAAAAGCATTGTGGCAGTGGTTCTTTATTTGAACACACACCAAAATGCATGACTTTGCTATTTCTTCCTTCAAGGTTTATCACAAGCAAAATTCATATGCTTATCAGCTTTGTGTTAGAGGTAGATCTGGGGAACAAAATGGGAGGGAGAAAATAATGAATGGAAGTGTAGGAGGAGAGGATTCTGTAAGGAAACAGGAAAGAGCTGGGAGGCAGCAGAAAGGAGGAAAAGGCTTCCAAGTACAAGTCTCTATGTCTACATGTGCATGTAAAGAAAGCGATGGCAGAGGAAGGACAACGTTGAGGGTTAGGGCAAGGGACAAAGACTGACATATGCGTGATCTCTTAGGGGAAAGGAGTAGAGCAATTTGGAACTGAGTTTTCCCTGGCCCAACCATCAGGAATTCAATTAGTGCCTGCAGTGTGGGTCTCGGGCTGGGGAGGCAGTGTGCAAGTGACCATGTGTAGAGAAAGAATGTTCACGCGCTGAAAGGAATTCAGGGAGAGGCTGACCTCTATTTCATTTTTCTTTAATTGGCACAAGGAAAGTTCATGGTTTAAAATTATGACAAGGATAACATCTTAAAATGCAAACTAAAAGAATCTTCGTGGCAGAGGATTCTTAAACTAGTCCAGGGCAAACAAAAAGCTACTACCTCTGCACAGGAGGACCCTGGTGAATAGGCCCAGCCTCCTTGCATCTTTTAAGTACACATTTATTTTCTTCTTTCTAGCTGTTCTATTTCAGCTCAATTTAATAGTTCCCCTACTGCTTACAACATGACTTCTGATATGCTTGATCTTGAGTAAAATGGCAATTTGGAGCAGCTCGATCTGGGAGTGAGCCCTATGTCTTAAATACAGTGGAGGGCTGTTCCCTAGGAACCTGACTGACTCCTCACAGCTCATGGACAGCAAAGCTCACCAACGGATGCTGGTTTTTCTAGCTTGACAACTGCGTGTACTATAATCAGACAGACCTGACATTTGGGTTCCTCTAAAATGGCCTTGAATTGTTTTCAAAGCAGTACTTGGTTTAACAGTGGCACAAGCAACAATAACCCATCACCATGAGTATCACGAGCCCAGACTGTAAAGCCCAAACAGGAAACAAAGATTTCTTTAACTTCTGAAAATGACAGTCCCCTTTGAAAATAAACATAAATTGTCACATTGGCTGCAAACTGTTTAATCAAATGTTTTCTGTGGTTTCAGAGAATACAAAGACAACCCCAAACATGTCAGCACAATTTCTCTCACCAATTTCTTTGATTCCAGCTTATTGCAACATTAATTATTTCTCAGCGATAAAAGTTGACAAAGGATAGAAGTGGTATCAAATTTAATGAAAACAAATGTCAGTACAGAAGGCTTTAAAAAAAAATTTCTGTATTCTGTCTCAAATCTTAACTCTGACCCTAATTAGCTGCATTATCTTGGGCAGGTCGCTAGAGATGTGTAGATTTGATTCCTCAACTAGAAAATGAAGGGATTGGATGATTGGATGATAGCAGCTCTCGGACCCCTTCCAGCTCAGGCTGTGATGCTATTTTTTCAGCTTAAGTTGTGCCATGACAGGAAACTTTCTTGGCAGTCTGTGGTTGCTTGGGATGCAGTATCCTGCTTCAGGCCTATGCACATCTGTCCTGAACAGGTATCTTACAGCTGCTCTGGTCCCTCTGATAGAGGCTGCTTAGATGGGAGTGAGTCCAGGGAAATTGTGTACCCAGCTCTACAGAGTTTTTGAAAAGCTGCCATATGACTCTTAGAAGGTTTTCCCATACATTCTGACTACCAAGCCAACTTTACAGACAAACACAAACAGATACTCACAGTCAACACTAATAAATCCTTTGAACATTAATCTTTTGCTCAGCCCCTGCCCTGCCATGCAGAATTCTTTCAGAACAATAAAGCCAAGTCTGTACTCAGACTGTGAATAAAACATTGATTTTTTTTTAACAATAACACATCAGAGGCCTGGTTTACCAGTATTTTTTATTATTATTTGCAGTAATAACCTCTGAGTAAGAATATTTATCAGCAGAAGGAACAAAAACCAAAAACAAAAACAAAGAAGAGCATGAAGGAAACATTTATATTTGTCCTTCTGGGGACTAACAGCCACATCTGATGTTAACACTCATCTCAGAATCACCAGCAGAACATCGAGTCCCCTCTTTTTCTGCTCCTGAGAGGCTGAGTTTCTGGTCTCACACCAACATCTTGTCCCACCACAAGAAAGCTTCTCACTAAAAGGCCAGGCTTCTCCCAACCTGAAACTTCTGGTTCCTGTAGACAGACTAAGGCTAATAGCTGACACGAACTGAGGCCTACTCTATCTCAAATACAGTTAATCCTTCAACCATATTTTTTGGAAAATACTCATTATCATCATTCCCTTTTACACATGCAGATATTGGGGCCCAAATAGATTAAATAAACCACCACATGTCAGCACCAGCATCACCACTATAGACAGATGCTGATGCCACACAGCTCACAACTTGCCTGGAGCCATCTCTGGTCCTCTGTTCTCCTGCCCTTGAGGGTAGAGTTAGCGTAGCCAGGATGAAAAGGGATTTAAAAAGTAACAAACAGCATCTTCTAATGTCCTATTTTTCATTCCCAAATATTCTGTCTTTTAGAGAATTGTCTTGTTCAGGCTCAGGTCTCCGAAGAGAGCTCTGAAAAGTGGATTAATTTGCTTTTCATTTATCTAACAAAGACTCACTCAAGCACCTCTCATGCACAGTGAGTACTGAACTGACTATGAAAGAGAAAATAACACCCAGATGTTGTCCATACCCTAGAAGGATTATAATCCAGTGCCTAACAGCCTTTCAAACCTCTGCCACGCCTATTTACCTTCCAGTACATCTTCTCTTTGCCTTTGTAACTTTATGCTTATATTAAGAAATTTTTTACTAATTTTTAGTAAATGACTAAATGTAAATGACATTTAGCAATAGTAAAATGACTATTGCTCTTTTATAACAAAAGAGGAAAGGGGACACTGGCATGCTAATCTATCTTTGATTAATTTCAGATACTTGGATTCTAATAAATAGTGTTTTGTTGTAACCAACACTTCCCAAGGGAATATCAAGTGCTAAGATTAAAAAAAAAAAAGAAGAAGAACTGAAAAACATCTCTGCCCTGAGGAGAAGAAAAAAATTTCCTTATCTTCGTTTACTCTCTGAAACTACATGGGGCTGAATAGATTATCTACTTGTGTCTGGAATCACTGGAGTGTTGTTCAGGCTTCTTCTTCAGTTTGATAAACTATCATAACCACTATAAGCATGTGGACTTTCCAGTTTTGAGAGCCAAGGGGCAACAAGTGACAAGAGGCTATTCCTTCTTAGGGTAACAATGTTTTGTTAATTTATTTGTTATAAAGCTTTAGTGACTAATAGAGTTCACTGGATAATGACTTTTTTGGAAACCAATTCTCAGAAATTGATACATAAATTAAATACTAGGAGTGAATGCATAAAATAAAGTATAAAACAGACCACAGAATTATATTCAGTGAATATTGTGTTCCTAATGTTGATCTCTCTTCAAGACTTACCTATTTTGTTTTCTGGGTTCTTTTAGCTGTATTTTGAGCTGCTCTTTAGGGCATTATCAGAAGGTGGAGCAGGCTTCATGTCCCATCTCCTCTTCCAAAGGCACCAATTCTAATTTGTGATTCACAGATTCAGAACGCTAAAACTAGATGCAACATTCGAGGAAATTCTGTAAGCCTTCATTATAAGAACAATACGACCCCACCTGGGAATGTAGTCCTCTTGGAATACACACAGTCTTGAGGGGGAGGCACAGGAGCCATGGAGAGGAAAAGGGGAGTCCCATTAGCCAGCCAGATCTGCCAGCCAGGGCTGAGGTTTACCCGGGAGGCATATTTTCAGATCACCCTTCCATCTCAGAGAAGGTTCAGGAAGGCAAAGCGACTTGCTCCGGTTCACGAAGATAATTCATGAAACATCACTCATGGGATTGTTTCCTAGGATGGCCTTCTACCTGGTAAAAGAAAAGAGTAAAATGCATATAGTTATCTTAGTCATAGTCATCCATGGGTTATTTTCCCAGTTTGCTTGGAAAGAGACTTGGAAACTTACCAGTCACTCTAAAATAAAGTAGATTAACTTACTTTGCAAGGTGAACAGTCCATGGTGAGGCTTTGATGTTGTGGGACCCGCCCAATCCTCACTGACTTCTCACCCTCAGCACACTCTGGGCACCAGGCGAAAGGAACCTGCCTAATCCAGACTCTCAATTTACAATTCCACTCTGATCTTTTCACCTTGAGCTGGTGCCAATTCTATCAGTTATCTTTGATTATTGCATCACTCTTTAACTATCTATTGCAGTGGCAGATGCAGGCTTTGAAGCCAGACTTCCTGGGTTTGAATCTTAGCCCTGCCACTATCTAAGGATGAAATTGTGGGCAAATTACTTAATCTCTCTGTGCCTTGGCTTCTGAATCTACAACATAGATATAATAATAGTACCTAATTTATAAGAGTTATTATGAGGATTAAAAAAGTTAATACGTGAGCACTTAGAACAGTGCCTGGCACAGAATATACTAAAATAGAAAACTATTTGCTTTGATGAAAGTATATGTTTACCAAAGAGCCCACAGATAATAACAATTATTACGATGATGATGTTATAACAATACTTATATACCCGGCACTGTACTTTACACATATTCTGATTGATCCTCACAATAACTCTGCGTGTGCCACTAATATCATCTTCCCCTTCCTGCCACCCCCTTCTGTTTTTGCAGATAAGAAAGTCAAGGCCATTCTCTCTCCTTCTCTCTCATCCTCCTCTCTCCTGCTCCATCTCCCTCTCTCTCTCTTTTTTTTTTTTGAGACGGAGTCTTGCTCTGTCACCCAGGCTGGAGTGTGGTAGCGCAATCTCGGCTCACCACAACCTCCACCTCCCAGGTTCAAGCGATTCTCCTGCCTCCACCTCCCGTGTAGATGGGACTACAGGCGCCCACCACCACGCCCAGCTAATTTTTTATATTTTTAGTAGAGACAGGGTTTCACCGTGTTAGCCAGGATGGTCTCGATCTCCTGTCCTCTTGATCCACCCACCTCGGCCTCCCAAAGTGCTGGGATTACAGGCATGAGCCACTGCGCCCGGCCCCCTCTCCCTCTCTTTCTTACACTCCTACCGTGTGACGGCTGGCTCCCCTTTCCTTCCACCAGAACTGGAAGCTTCCTGAGGCTCTCAGCAGACGCTAAGCAGATGCTGGCGCCACATTTCCTGTATAGACTGCAGAACTGTGATAAACCAATTAAACCTCTTTTCTTTATCAGTGCAAAAAAAGGGGGGCAGAAAATTAACACCAGAGAACTTAAACAACTTGCTCATGATCACTTGGGTAGAAAGAAGCAGAGCCAGGGTCTGAACTAGGATCTGTCTTGGTATCTTTCCAATCTCTCCAGAAAAGGGTCTTAGAGTTCTTTTTATAAATCAGTTGTCTCACTTCCCATACAGGTCAGGAAGGCTGGGCTCTCTGCAGAGACTGAAGAGCAACAGGAAGTGAAAGCTTTCTCTTGGAAGGTGGTAGGGGTGAGATGATGACCCCGTAAATGTCTTAACTAGCTCACCCCCTGCCTTCCACCATGCCACATGGTGCCCATGCAGACTGTGCTGCTGGGGGCCAACCCAGGTCCCTTGCTTAGCCAATTACAGTATCAGATGCTCTGATTCCAGCCAAAGTGGTAGCATTTCTCATTTCTGTATCAGTAGTTCTTGGAGTCATTTAATTCTACCCCAGCCTTGGAGTAAAGGGAATTTCTTTTCCTTTCCCAGAGCAAAAAAAAAAAAAAAAAGAAAAAAATATGATTTTTCTCTGTTCCTTCAGAGCCCACAGTAGCCGATTATCTTGCCACTCTTGCCCCACACCCACCCATCCTGTTGTCAATGTCTGAAATGGTGTCTTCAGCAGAAGGTCTGGGGCTGGTGAAGGGCCTGGGGAGGGAAGAGAAGGGGGTACTGAGGTTGTTGGAGGTATGCCAAGCTCCTGTCCCACCTCTGGAGCTTCCTGTCCACCTCCTCCACTCCCTCTCTGCACCTGAAGCCTTCACCCAGCACCTCCCAGGACAACCTCTAGGCACTCCTGTGAAATTCAGGTGAATCAAGTACATGGTCTTCGTTTTTCCCAAAAAAAACCATCCGAAGTATCCTTGCTGGGTATAGCTCATCAAGCTAAATTTAGGAAGGAGGGCCAGGCGTGATAGCTCATGCCTATAATCCCAGCACTTTGGGAGGCTGAGGCAGGTGGATCGCTTGATGCCAGGAATTCAAGATCAGTCTGAGCAACACGGCAAAACCCCTTCTCTACCAAAAATACAAAAATTAGCCACTCATAACTCAGTCTCAAAATAAATAAAAATTTTAAAATAAAATAAATTTTAAAAATTGATTTAAGAAGGGGAAGAGCATGGGAAGGATGTCTACTCTCTTCCCCCTCCCTATATTATTTAACTGTCAAACTACCAGAAAATGTCAGGGAAATTGAAGTTGAATGTTGTTATATGAAAAGTGGTGGAAAAACTGTCTGAAGAGGGACAGAGGTGACTGCAGAGGAGGCTAGGGAAGATAGCAGTCCTAGTAGGCAGCAGGTATTGGCAGAGGAAAGATAAGCAGGCAAGCATATTTCTAGGGCTAGTGGGAGGCAAGAAAGAAGGAGACAGGCAAGTAGGCCTCAGACATAAACCTTAACCCAAGGCTCCTCTTGTCCCATCCCAGACTGTCTAGACCTATCCTAAATTTTCCTAACATCCTCAGTTCTTCCCCTATTGGGCACCTTGTCTCAGTCCCAGAAGCCACCACCAGCTGCCACTCCATGGCACAAAGGGTGGGTGAGGGGAGACAGGGTTCCTAAGCCCAGTTAGGAGATGTATTCTTTCCATCTGTAGCTGTGTTTTTTTTTTCCTAGTTATTCTTTGAATATATATTCTTTTACAAACAAGGTCATGGATGTTGTTTGGCTGCTGCAGTACTTTCCATAGTATGCTTTGCTTGTTATAGGATTATTAGGGGTTGGTCTGCAGCTGTTAACCCATATATGAGAGTGTTCCCATGTGTAGTGAATAAGTGATGCGCTGCCCAGATCCCCTTCTTGGGGTGGTACACATCCCTAGCTGTGGGATTAGTTGCTCTTGGCAGGTTACCCTTGCCCTTCAGGGAACAGAAGTTCCTTCCCTGGGGGTTATCACTGACCCACTGCCAGTGAGTGACTGACAATGGGGGTACAAAAGGCCAGGCTCCTTGCCTCAAGGGGACCAACTCTATGGTGCCACTCTTGCTCTAGGGTTCTGTCTTAGTCTGTTTTGTGTTGCTAAAAAGGAATGCTCGAAGCTGAGTAATTTATAAAGAATGGGTAATTTATAAAGAATTTATAAAGAATGTTTTGTGTTGCTATAAAGGAATGCCCAAGGCTGGGTAATTTATAAAGAGGTTTATTTGGCTCATGGTTCTGCAAACTGTACAAGAAGCGTGGCACCAGCACTTGCTGCTGGTTGGGACCTCAGGCTGCTTCCACTCATGGCCAAAGGTGAAGAGGAGCCCATGTGTACAGAGATTACATGTGAGAGAGAAAGCCAGCAGTGGGGAGTCAGTAAAGGGGTGGAGCGCATCAGGCTCTTTTTAACAATCAGCTCTCTCAGGTACTAACAGAGGAAGAACTCACTTCTTCCCACTACCCAGGGAGGGCATTCACCTGTTCATGAGACATCTATCCCATAACCCAAACACTGCCCATTAGGCCTTACTTCCAACACTGGGGATCAAATTTCAACTTGAGGTTTGGGAGGACAAACATCCAAACTATAGCAGGTTCCCCACAGGATCAGATCAAAGCCAGTCTCCAGCTGGGGCCACACCTTTTTTTTTTTTTTTTAGCTTTATCCTCTTGCTCCATTCTACCTCCCACATTCCCCTCTCCTGAGAGACCATTCTCAATAAGACATTTGAACAAGAATCTCTGTCTCAGGCTCCTCTTGCAGGAAATCTGACCTATAACACATGCTTATTCACGTTTATTAGAAGACCTTTTTCGTCACCACGGTCACGATACATCACTGGGTAAACCAAAGGTGAGATGGGAAGCAGCTTGATGGGACCCTCAAACCAAACTTTTACATACAAACCAATTCAACTGAAAATATGCCTAATATCTGTTATCTTGTTGACACTAACCACATTCTATCAGATCCGAGATGAAGATTTATTTATTCAAAGGTAAATTTTTTCTCACTACAGAATATGAAGTATACTTATTAAAAAGAAGTAGCTATATAGAATTTATTATTAACACATTTGTTATAGTTATTTAAAATGTGGCTGGATGATTCCAAATTATCTCGTAATAATTATTCTTGCTATGAAAGTACAAATGTCACATTTTAAAATCAGTTCCTGGGTGGTTTTTTTTCCCCCCCATGAACTATAAACTCTGCTATTAAGGATGGTTGGGTCCCTGATAAAGAGGCTCTGGTTAATCTAGCAGGGTTTTAAAACAGATCAGATTTCCAGTTTGCAACTAATATAAATATAATTAAATACATGAAGGAAAAAGCAGAACATAATTTAATCTTCTGCTATGATTCACAAGTCATGTCAGGGTCATCATTATAAACCTCAATTACAGTACTGCAGAAATGTAGTGAGATTGGTGAGTGGCATTTAGGTTGAAAGAAAGCTAGATAGACCAGATTTTATTGCATGTATTTACAAAGATGGAATGCCATAACATCTGGTACCTCATCCACTGTTTTTCCTCCAATATTCTTATCCTAGCATAGGTTCTTGTAGAGTCCCCCATACTTAATCTCAGCTGACTAAATCCATTTTTCTAGCCTACAATGAAAGAATCATGAATTTTTAATTTTCATGGAATTATTCTCTCAAATAACTTCCACCTAAAGAAGGATCCAATCATAGTTTAAATCCGATTTCTTAATGTATTTCAATGTATTCTCTTTGGTACAATCTGTTATATTTTCCATTTATGGTTTATGCTTTCTATGCTATATTTTATTAACCAAATATACTGATCATCATCTTCCTGACCCATGAGATTATCTGAGTGTCTTTTAAGGGGTTGTTTATGATTCGGTAACTAAACATTTTTCTTTTTTTTTTTTAAGAAGAAACTATCATTAAATGAGTAATTCCTATAATCTGAGAACTGTTTGCTGTTTCTAAAAAGATCCTTTGTATTGGTCAAATACATCACAATATTTATAAAAGTTTGCAGTGTTTCAGTACGTAAACTAAATTTTCATTAGGAACGAGAAAGAATACTATATTTACTAAGTTAACACATATATACACTGAAGATGAGAGGTGATATAATTTATTTTTCTTTTCCATCCAAATTATCAGTAACAGTGGCTAAATGGCAAGATAGGCTAAAAAAACTCTAAGTGACCCAATTTTACAAATTAAAGAAGTAAGTAAACATTAGAATGAATACAGTTAAACAGGAGAGGCTGGGCACAGTGGCTCACACCTGTAATCCCAGTATTATCCAGTAAAAGTTTAGCAAGCAAATTCAAAGAAGTCTGTTGTGCAACCATAGCCTTTGCAGTAGAATCTGCTATACAGCCTATTATGAGGGATCAATTTCTTTCTTTCTTCTTTTTTTTTTGAGACAGAGTCTTGCTCTGTTGCCCAACCTGGAATGCAGTGGGGTGATCTTGGCTCACTGCAACCTCTGCCTCCCAGGTTCAAGCAATTCTCCTGTCTCAGCCTCCCGAGTAGCTGGATTACAGGTGTGCACCATCACACCCAGCTAATTTTTGTATTTTTAGTAGAGATGGCGTTTCACCACATTGGTCAGGCTGGTCTCAAACTCCTGACCTCAGGTGATCCACCCGCCTCGGCCTGCCAAAGTGATGGGATTACAGGCATGAGCCATTGTGCCCGGCCGAGGGACCAATTTCTAATCATTGCTTCATTTTCTTCATACCACGGAAAAAGACCCAACAAATGGTGCCCATCTGGAAGGATGAAGGCCTCCTGGCAATGTTCTCTTCAACCTATGATGTAGGTTAACAAGAGTGGACCAGTGTTCTGTTTCTGAATGATTATGGAGAAACAAAGGTACCATTAAAATTTCTAACCCATATTAGCCCTTTATCTTCCATCCATGAAGGCATAAGTTTGCCCATGTATAAGGTTGGCAGCAAAATCCTCCACAAATAAAAGTATACCCTATGGGTGCACGCGGGACCACCCCTTTTCCAATTCTATTGTTCACAGAAGCATAAGCAAGAAAAAATTAAGAGGTTATGAGTCTCATGACGGCAGAGAAGTCTTGATCTGTGATCTTGGGAAAGCTGTCCATGACTATGGTGCTGTCTGCTTCTGGAGAAAAACGTCTCTCTGTTCAGCTTTACCTTAAAGTCTCCAATAGATATACAGTTCCAAGAGTCTAGAGGTGCCCCTCTGAGTTGTGAGATTATGGACCCATAATTCAACGTCTCAAAGTTTTGCTACATGTGGGCAGTAAGGGCAGTCTTTCTCTGATACTATTCCCAGAAGACACAGTCTCCAGATTCTAGATCATGAAGGGTTTGATTGTCCTTAGTTAGTGGATCAGGAAAAGCTTCCTTGACCTGGTGAAAATACACATTAACATAATGCATTGAGGCCTCACAGCATTTAGTCCTATCAGAGTTTAGGAGCAGAAGATACATGAGGTTCTAAAATTAGGAGCACAGGCTTTCCAGTGACTATTTCATTGTCTTCTATTGGAAGCGGATCTGCAATATGTTTGACTATGACAATCCAGTCAATTCAGTTAGCTTTGCCTAATGCTATGACACCTAAAAAAAACCTTATTAAACTGTTTTACAACTTGTCCAGTCAAACAAGTACCTTTATTGCTAGAGATTTCTCCAGGAATGCCCCATGGGGGAAAACACATTTCCTACTAACCTTTTAGCTACTGTAATAACAGCATCAGCCTCCTTGCATGGGAAAGCTTCTATACAACCAAAAAACATGCAATGAAAATGGCAATTGAATGAAATCCCTCTCTATATATTCAAATAGCCCATCAGGTAGCAGAAATGTACCTGAAGTTTTGAATGTATTTCCAGGATTGTGAGCATGACAAACCAAATGTTGGTCATAAACCATTTTCGCAATTTAGAACATTCACCACACCAATATGTGTATTTTAAATCTGGATCATTTTCTCTCTTCAGTGATAACTTATAAAGTGCAGAGCCTTTAATAATGGAAGCTTTAAGGGCTCAGGAAGACCCAAGCAGCCATTTAGGCTTTCCATGAATCTATGATTAACATTGGATTTAAGTATCAATTCTGTTTCTCCAATTCAGGTGCATAGCACTGTTTATTAAATGGGTCATCATAGGAAATTTGACTAGGATCATGGAGTTCATTCAAACTACACATCTTAACGATTTCGGTGCTGACTGATTTAGCATGAAAATCTCTGGCACAGTATTTCCTTGGTATTCAATTAATTCTTTTCCTGCTTGGATTAATAAATAGTCAGTCTCTTCATGAGTTCTGGGAATTCTTACCCAGTCCAAATGATATGATCATAAAGCTATCAGAAACATGTATTCAAGAGTTCTTTCCATCCTTTCCATGAGTCTCCTTGAAGGCACAATTCTCTAGGATTTTACTTGCTTATAAAGAGTTTTCAGAAATGCATCAAAATTAGGCAACTCACTGTGGAAATGACTCAAAATGGTCATGGTTAAAGACACAATTGACAAGAAAGTTTATTTCTGCAGCCTATGATGTTTTGCTTTTTTGTTGTTGTTGTTGTTGTTGACAGGGTCTCCCTCTGTTGTCCAGGCTAAAGTGCAGTGGCACAATCACAGCTCACAGCAGCCTCAACCTCTCAACTTCCTGGACTCAAGTGATCCTCCCGTCTCAGCCTCCCCAGTAGCTGGGAACACAGATGTGCAACACCATGCCTGGGTAACTTTTAAAAAAAATTTTTGTAGAGATGGGGGTCTCACCATGTTGTCCAGGCTGATCTCAAATTCCTGGGCTTAAGCAATCCTCCTGCCTTTGCCTCCCAAAGTGCTGGGTTTACAGGCATGAACCACTGCCCCTGGCCAGCCTATAACAATTTAACATAATTGTAATTATGACTAATAACATACAGCAAGACATACCAGATTTTTAGGAATCTCATACAACTTTGGAATACAAAATAATGTATCCATAAAAATATAACTCGAAGGAAGTTAAACATCATTTCTTATTTGACAATGTTTCCCATATAATTTAATATATCAAATAATCTTGTTTATTATCTCTCTTTTGGATGCTGCAAGGGCCCTCTGTAACATCCCAAAGTTGGTTTGAGGTCAAAAAGACTTAATTTTGAACTTGAAATTTAATTTTGAAAAGCCTGTCAAATACATCAAAGGTTTAAAACACTTAACCAAAATAGGAACAGAGGTCACTTTAAAATAATAGTCATTCATTTAGCCAAAGTGATAATTAAAAGGTTTTAAAAAGCAAAAACCTTTATCCTTTGATAGAGAGGAGACTCAATTTAAATAACCAAAAGACCCACTAGAGACAGCAAGAGGCAGAATTTTGACAGAATTGGTCTCTCCTCTCTTCTCTCTCTCTCTCTTTTTACAGTTTATGTAAAAGTCGAATAAAAATCTTTTACTAACTCTTATTAATTCTACATTAAAATCTTATGCAAAAGATAACCAGTTTTACTTTTGTATTAACGTATTACAAACACTATAGTCAATTTTAATAAAACCTTATAAACAAATCCATTTAATCTCAGTCAGCTTTTGACCACACAAGATTTCCATAAACCTTTTATAATCTGACAAAACTTTTTCTTCTATTTTCTGAACTGTTTATACTTAGTTTTATCTATGCCTTTTTTATTTCTTTCATTTAAAACAACCTTTAAGTAACTTCACAAAGTTTTTTCAACACACTTTTTTTTTTGAGACGGAATCTTGCTCTGTTCCCCAGGCTGGAGTGCAGTGGCGCGATCTCGGCTCACTGCAACCTCTGCCTCCCAGGTTCAACAGATTCTTCTGCCTCAGTTTCCTGAGTAGCTGGGTTTACAGACCTGCACCACCACACCCTGCTAATTTTTGTATTTTTAGTAGAGATGGGGTTTCACCACGCTGGCCAGGCTTGTCTTGAACTCCTGACCTCAGGTGATTCACCTGCCTCAGCCTCCCAAAGTGCTGGGATTACAAGCGTGAACCACCGCGGCCTGGCCACACACCTTTTTATGCCTTTACCACTTTCCTTACCAAAAAAGTATCTTGCTTTTCTTTATAAACCCCATATGCAGAATTGTTAACCCTGATTTCTTGTGAAAACTTAGGAAGTAAGTAATTTTGAACTGTTTCACGTAAGGTTTTTGGGTTTGTTTTTTGAGACAGGGTCTCATTCTGTTGCCTGGGCTAGAATGCAGTGGCGCAGTCACAGCTCACTGCAGCCTTGACCTCCTGGGCTCCAGCAATCCCCCAACCTCAGCCTCCTGAGTAGCTGGGACAGGCATGCGCACCACTCCCAGCTAATTTTCTGTATGTTTTGTAGAGAGAGGATTTTACCATGTTGCCCAGGCTGGTCTTGAAATCCTGGGCTCAAGCAATTCACCTGCCTTGGCTTCCCAAAATCCTGGGATTACAGGCATGAGCCACCACACCTGGCCTATAAGTATTTATTGATGAAAATAATTTCATAATATTTTAGAAAGATGTTTTAATTTTTTGTTTATTAACAAATCTGAATATAACTAGCTTTTCTATGCCACACAAAAATAAGATGCCAACATATATAAACTTATGTTTAATAATCTTTCAGATTTTTAACTTATTTAGAAATCACTCGGTTATCTCATAATCATCTATTACTTATTGTAATATAACATAATTTTAAGATTTTAAATTACTTAAAATAATTTAGAAACTAACACAGGTATATTCCCTAATGTCTTCCCTAGCAGTCCTGGGTTCTGAGTACTCACATGGTACCTAGGACAGCTACGAGGGCTGGACCATTCTGAGTCCTGAAATTACGCTCCAGGTATACAACTCAGGACACAGTACACAGTTTTAAAGAGGATGCCTGGAGGATCTGATCACTCCCAGGATGACCAAGAAGGGGTGACTCTTGGGCGTGACTCTGCTTTGAAGTTACTGGTCTAGGCAGTGAGGACATGACCCTAAGCCTCACCATGGCCACCTGTCCAGACTCCAGAAGCTCAAAACCAAACACAAGCTCACAGGCTGGGCATGGTGGCTTATGCCTTTAATCTCAGCACTGGCCAAGGTGGGCAGATCACCTGAGGTCAGGAGTTCGAGACCAGCCTGGCCAACATGGCAAAACCCCATCTCTACTAAAAGTACAAAAAGTAGCTGGGCATGGTGGCACGTGCTTGTAATCCCAGCTGCTTAGGAGGCTGAGGCAAGAGAATTGCTTGAACCCAGGAGGCGGAGGTTACGGTGAGCCAAGATTGCTCCACTGCACTCGAGCCTGGGCAATAAGAGTGAGACTCTGTTTCAAAAACAAAACAAAACAAAACAAACAAAAAACAAAGACCAGCTCACAGTAAAATGTGTGCAAGGCTTGGGGGAGCAAATCAAATAAGTGTTAAAAATATTACAGAATCAAGGCCAGGAATGGTGGCTCATGCCTGTAATCCCAGCACTCTGAAGATCTCGAGGTCACAAGCTCAAGACCAGCCTGGGCAACATAGTGAAACCCTGTCTTTAAAAAAAAAAAAAAAAAAAAAAAAAAAATATATATATATATATATATATAGAGAGAGAGAGAGAGAGAGAGAGAGAGAGCGAGCGAGCTGAGTGTGGTGGCACGTGCCTGTGGTTCCAGCTACATGGGAAACTGAGGTGGGAGGGTTGCTTGAGCCCATGAGGCTCAAGATTGCAGTAAGATATGATCACACTACTGCACTCCAGCCTGGGTAACACAGGAAAACTTTGTCTCTAAAAAAAATAATAAAAAAAGCAGAATCAGCAGTTTTGTGACCTTAAAACATCTATCAGAGACAGCATAGACCTGTCTGACCAGTAGACTAAAGCAAAAATGCCTGAATTATATTTAACTGACAATTCTGAAGCTATTTCTGTAACTGCCTGATGGGTTCTTTCTGCCCGATGCCCAAACTCAATTCATTGAAACCGTGGCATTGTAGTAAAGAAAAAGTTTAACTGACGTGAGGCCAGCCCATACAGGAGAACTGGAGTTAGCATTCAAACCAGTCTCCATGAAGGCTGGGAGGCTAGGGTTTTTTGTGGACAATTTGGTGTGCAGGGGCCTAGGGAATGGATACTGCTGATTGGTTGGAGATGAATCATAGGGGTTTGGAAAACAGTACTCATCCCCTGAGTCTATAACACTTCTGGGTGGGGCCATAGGACCAGGTGAGTCATGAGTTATGGATCTGGGTGGGGTCAGTCTGTAAAACATCTCAAAAAAACCATCTTAGTTTCTACAATAGAATGTTATCTATAAGAGCAATCAGGGAAGCCACAAATCTTATGACCTCTGGAAACAAGACCCCTGAGCAGTATGGGATTATAGAAACTATGCCTACATGTTAGTGGAGTTCAGGCCCTCCCATAATCCTATTCTTGTGGCCTTTCCTTAGTCTCACAAAGGTGGTTTTTGGTCCCTGAGCAACGAGGGGATTAGTTTTAGGGAGGGACTATTATCCTTGGTTTCAAGTTCAACTATAAACTAAATTCCTCAGAAAGTTAGCAAGGCCTATGAAATGACTAAGGACAGTTTAGGGGTCAGAAGCAAGATGGAGTCAACTATGTCAGATTTTTCTTACTGTCATAATTTTGCAAAGGTGGTTTCAATCCTATTATATTTTGCTAACCATTTAAATGCTATATTTAGTTACCAAATATTATCACATACACATAACACACATAGACATACAGACTTAAAGACAGAAGCAGATCTAATAACTTTCATAAACAATTCCCATTTGCTGGCTTTCAAATAGTCTCTTTTCCCTATTTAGACTATAAATCTTCCAACTACCTAATTCATTGCCCTAAGAAATTGTTAGGAATCCTAAATTTGTACTTTTTTTTTTTTTTTTTGAGACGGAGTCTCGCTCTGTCGCCCAGGTCAGACTGTGGACTGCAGTGGCGCAATCTCGGCTCACTGCAAGCTCCGCTTCCCGGGTTCACGCCATTCTCCTGCCTCAGCCTCCCGAGTAGCTGGGACTACAGGCGCCCGCCACCGCGCCCGGCTAATTTTTTGTATTTTTAGTAGAGACGGGGTTTCACCTTGTTAGCCAGGATGGTCTCGATCTCCTGACCTCATGATCCACCCGCCTCGGCCTCCCAAAGTGCTGGGATTACAGGCGTGAGCCACCGCGCCCGGCCCTAAATTTGTACTTCTAAAGGGATGCTATTAGGTGGAACACGGTGAAAAATTCATATCTCAAAAGCACAGAGCTGAGACTTTGGGCCTAAATACTGTACCACTGGTTCCCTAAACCAAGGAAGAAAAGTGTCGGTAAAGGCCCGGTTAAGACAAGATGGCAAGGAAAAGCACCTTAAACAATGGTAAGATTTATGTTAGATCAGTGGTAAGAGTTTCTAGTGACCCAGTCCACCCTCTTCTCAGTGTAGATGCCCTTACAGATGGCGATTTCCTTTATAGATGTAAATTTCATTTACAAAAGGGTTTCAAAGTAGCCATCTAAATGCCAGAAAGGTACATTTTGGAGACCAACTTAGTTCAATAGGCGGTCTTCTTAACTTAGCTACTGTTTCTTTGCTAAAATTACTGAGTTCGGGGCAGAGCTCATTACTGAACTGTGCAAAGAAAGCATTTTCTTTTTTCTTTTTTTTTTTTTTTTGAGATGGAGTCTTGCTCTATTGCCCAGGCCAGAGTGAGAGTGCAAAGGTGCAATCTCAGCTCACTGCAACCTCTGCCTCCTGGGTTCAAGTGATTCTCTTGCCTCAGCCTCCTGAATAGCTGGGATTACAGGTGCGCACCACCACACCTGGCTAATTTTTGTATTTTTAGTAGAGATGGGGCTTCACCATGTTGGTCAGGCTCATCTTGAACTCTTGACCTTGTGATCTGCCCACCTTGGCCTCCAAAAGTGTTGGGATTACAGGCATGAGCCACCGCACCAGGCCAAAGAAAGCATTTTCTTTGCCTGGACTCAGCATGGATAGCTCTAACAAAGAAGCAAGCTTACTTTACCTAAGGGCTTACCTTTTTGTCTTTTTATTGAGACAGTCTCACTCCATCACCCAGGCTGGAGTGCAGTGGTGTGACCATAGCTCACTGTAATCTTGAACTCCTGGACTCAAGCAATCCTCCTGCCTCAGCCTCTCTAGAAGCTAGAACTACAGGCATGAGCCATCACGCTCGGCTAATTTTATTTTCATTTTTTGTAGAGATGGGGCCTTGCTATGTTGCTTGGACTGGTCTTGAACTTCTGGCCTCAAGCAATCCTTCCACCTTGGATTACAGGCATGAGCCACCACAGGTCCTCTATCTTCTATAAATACTTTATCCAGCTTTCTTTTCCCTTTCAGGGCAAGACAGTAACAATGACAAAAGGTTAGAAGACCTAATTTTTCTGATTAGTCACTTAAGCTTTTTATTTGCCTTTTACAAAGAATCTTTTAAAAGAATCTGTAAAATTATTGGAATCTTTTTAGAAGCTTCTGAACTTCAACAGCCATCCCTGAATAATACTAAATTGGGAGACTTCATTTTTATATGTACTTCCTAAAGTGCAGTGTTGTTCATTTGGGATGTTCCACCATAACTTTAGATTACCTTTAGTAAGATTTCACCATTTCTGTAAGTGTTTGCTGCTTCCAGGGCCTATACCTCATACAGGTATACGTAGGTGTAGCCAGAAGGTAGAGCACTCAGTTCCGCAGAAATTAAGGATTTCTTTATTTATTTATGTATTTATTTATGAGATGGAGTCTCGCTCTTTTGCCCAGGCTGGAGTGCAGTGGTGCAATCTCAGATCACTGCAACCTCTGCCTCCTGGGTTCAAGTGATTATCCTGCCTCAGCCTCCAAAGTAGCTGGGATTACAGGTGCCCACCACCACGCCTGGCTAATTTTTGTATTTTTAGTGGAGACGGGGTTTCACCATGTTGGCCAGACTGGTCTCGAACTCCTAAGGTCAGGTGATCCGCCTGCCTCAGCCTCCCAAAGTCCTGGGATTACAGGCCTGAGCCACCACGCCTAGCCCAAGGATTCCATTTTTACGTTGAATCTTGTATTTGGCTCTCAGATCCCCTTGATTAACTTGACTAATGATTTTTCCTGACCGAAGCACACAAGAAAAAGAAACAAAGGGTATAGAACATAAAATTCCTTGTGAGTTTCTTAAAGCCAGAGTTCATACCCCTGCAGTATTGTTATTAAAATATTTACTGGCGGTTTCTATCTGACCCAGTCAGATAACCGAGGCATCTAACTGGATCCAAGCCAGTTAATTATCAGATCCAATCAAATCCTGGACCCAGTCCAATGTCTATCGACTTCCAAACTCAGCTAAGATCAAAAATTTGCTCAAGCAAGCTTGAACAGCTGAAAACGGCAATGTATGGAGCTTCAGAATCTGAGAGAGAATGCAGCCACAATCTCCAGTTGCTGTAAGAGAGCAGTGGACACTGCGAGAGGACGGGCCCAGCAGGTACCCCTTGTGGTCACTCAGTGCTCCTGGGGGATCACTGGGAGCTCTACTTTGGGGTCCATTTCTGACACCATCTGTTAAAAGAAAAACTTCAGACAAATTAAATTTAGCAGAGCTCAATTGAACAAAGAATGACTTGTGAATCAGACAGACCCCTGAACCAGGATAGCTTTGGAGTGACTCCAGTGCTGCTGAGTGGTTGGAGAGAATTTATGGACAAAAAAGGAAAGTGACCTAAGAAAACAGAAGTAAGGTATAGAAACAGCTGGATTAGTTACACCATGACATTTCCCTTATTTGAGCATGGTTTGAACAGTTGGCCACCTCTGATTGGCTGAAACTTGGTGACTGGTACAAGAGTAGGTTACAATCTGTTTAATCATTGGGTTATAGTTCACTATGTATGAAGAACCTTTAGGTTAAACTTAAAATATTGAAGGAGGCAGCTTTAGGGTAAATTTAACACTAGGAAGCTGTAAGTAGTTTATTATGGGTGATACACAGAGTCGGGCAAGAAGGGGGGCAGAGGTGGAAAGACGGGTGAGACCAGGTAATAAAGAATCTTATGTTATATTCATAAGTCCATAATTTATTCCTGCCAGCACCACATACCTATTTGTTTAAAAATTTCATTTCCATAGCCCCCCTAGACTTCCTCATGAAGGAATTTCCTAAGACTTTGACCTTGATGAATTCTGATTCATTGACAATCCCTTCTTTATTTTCTTATTTTTATTTTTTCACTTTCTTATGGTCCTGAGACCACTCCTTTCTGAGTACAAGCATCTTGGCTGGCCTAGAATATAGTCACAACTGTGTTCCACGGACTTTACTGAAGGTGGAAACAACTGTCTTCCCAGCATCCCATCTGTACTGGTCCATTTGCATTGCTATAAAGGCAATTTATAATTCACAGTTTATTATGGCTCACAGTTCTGCAGGCTTATAGGAAGCATGGGACGAGCATCTGCTCCTGGTGAGGCCTCAGGGAGCTTCCAAACATGGTGGAAGGCAAAGGTGGAGTTGGCATATCACCTGGCAAGAACAGGAGCAAGAGAGAGAGGAGGAAGATCACAGACTCTTTTAAACATCCAGATCTTTCATGAACTCATTACTGCAGGGAAGGTACATAGCCACACAAGAGATTCCCCATCACCCAAATACCTTCCACTAGGTCCAACTCCAACATGGCGGTCACATTTCAACACGAAATTTGGAGGGAAAAAACATCCAAACAATATCACCATCTTACAGGCTGGTGTTGTCTGGTGGGCTGTTTGGGAAATACTGGTCTAGACACATTTCTCAAACTTGGCAATATGACTCCACTGGACATTAAAAAGGGATTTCCAGGTATTTCAAGATAAAGGGATTTATTCTCAGGAGCTGCAAACATAAGCTAGGTTTTCTTACAGTGTTAACATCTTGGTTTCAGTTACACGGGTCACCAGATTGATACAGATTTAGCTGAGGTAATAAATCACTGCTTCAGCAATCTTAACAGTCAAGTCAGTTATCTAACGATGATTTGACAAGTAATGAGGTCACCTGCCATTTCCTCCCATAAGTAATTCAACTGCATTTAGTTCATAATACATATGGCTAGAAAAGCATCTAAATCAATTCCTACGATCAGAGAGAGAGATGTCCCCATCACCATGAAGCAGAAGTTACAAAGAAATGGGGGAAGATGCTATGCAGTTGGCCTTAAACATAGAGAAAGGGACTATAAGCCAAGGAATGCAGGTGGCATCTAGAGGCTGAAAAGGGCAAGGAAATGGATTCTCCCCTCGATCCTCCAGAAGGAACACAGCCCACACTTTGATTTTAGATTTCTGACCTCCAGGTCTATAAGATGATCAATTCATCTCTCGATATGGCCTCCTCCTGTTCATTGCCACTGCTCTCCAGTTTAGACTCTCCCTTGGATCTGCCTCTTTTCTGAATCCATCCTCTCAAGTTGTTTTCTTAAAAATCAAATCTTATTATGTCACAGGGTTTGAAGTGCATGAATACTCACTGACTCTAGTTAGGCTCCTTTCCTGGAATATCATTAGAAACCAGAAGTAAGGGTTGTTTACAATTCCCATCAAGGACATTTGGTGTGATCTCAGGAAGGCTTAACAGGGATGTGATTATAGCTACCAAAAAAAAAAAAAAGCTTAAAACAAATTGTACTACACTCTGAAGAAAGAACGCATTAACCAAATGGGCTAGGTAGGGTAAAGATTTTTCTGCACTTATCCAGCACTGAATGGAGGCAAATTCACTGACTTTGGCAGCCATCAGTAAGACTGGAGGTGAGGATACCTGGATTTTTAGGAAGGGTTTTTCCTAAATAGTAGGTATTGTTATCCAATCAGGAAGTTCTGTCCTGATATAAATGCTCATCATATAAGAGTTAGTTATCAAGAGTCAGTCAACTTGCTCACCTCTAGATGTGGTAATACTGAGGTCCAGATCCTCCTGGTGATCAACACAAACTGGATTAAGAGTCAGCTACTCAGTCAGATCCTGAATCCTGGTCCAACGATAACCACACTCTTGCCTGCTACCTGCTTCAAGAAGTACACAAAAGAGGGATCACTACCACAGCCAAAGAAAGGAGGAAAGTTTTTTTTTTTTTTTTTTTTTTTTTTTTGAGATGGAGTTTCGCTCTTGTTGCCCAGGCTGGGGTGCAATGGCGTGATCTCGGCTCACTGCAACCTCTGCCTCCCAGGTTCAAGCGATTCTCCTGCCTCAGCCTCCCAGTTGCTGGGATTGCAGGCATGTGCCACCATGCCCGGCTAATTTTGTATTTTTAGTAGAGACGGGGTTTCTCCATGTTGGTCAGGCTGGTCTCGAACTCCCAACCTCAGGCAATCTGCCAGCCTTGGCCTCCCAAAGTGCTGGGGTTATAGGCATGAGCCACCGCGCCCGGCCAAAAGGCAGAAAGTTCTAAGAAGGAGAGGTCAACATTGGCAAATGCCACAAAGGGCACAAGATGGGAATTAAATTTTTCCATTAGATTTGGCAATTAAGCAATGGCTGATGTTGTTCAGTGGAGTGAAAGGCTGAGAAGGGAATGAGAGGTTAGGAAACATTCACCTTAAGGCTAGGCAACTCCTTTGAAAAGAGTCAAGTAGGGTTAAGGGAGGATCCATGCCCTCCAGGTTGACTTTTAAATCATATTCCCTTTGGTTTTGCATTTGAATCACAGTGAACTTTCTCCTCTCCAAATGTTGATTTGACAAATTTGAGTCTTACCATGGCTCTCTTCTCAGTCCACCTGCAGGTCAAGGAACTAATGAGGTGTGGAGTAACTAAAGGTCAAAAAACAAGAGGAAGAAACAAAGGGCCAAAAAACCCCAAACCTTAAATCAGGTCCTGAGTCAGATACGCTGTAACAAATTCTGCTTCAAGTTTAATATTCTTGTTTTGATGATGTTTAAAAAAAGAAAAATAAAAGCAAGTGTCTGGAAAATTAAAAGGCGGGGTGGGGGGGGGCATTTTAATTGGAATGCTTTCTTGTATCTCATCCACTATCCGCACCCCATCGCCCTGCAAATTAATAGCTGTTGCGGAGTTGGGGTATGTGTGACCACAAAATCCAAAGGCTGAATTTTGCCCAGTGCCTGAGTAATTGCATGCCACACACAAAAAAACAGTAGAATATTGAAAACAACATACACATCTGTATTTCCATATGAAAGCACCCGTTTCCTTTCTTGATTATCTGCTATTTTTAAAGGGGTTGGGAGTGCAGCGGGGCGGGGGGATGAGGCGTTTTTTCTGAATACGAGCCCAGCTCTTTCTAAACTTTTGTTACTCACGTCCGTTTGATTCATTTGCTGTGTTTTTTCTTTCTTTCTTTTTTTTTTTCCCCTCTCCTGCCTCTGTCATTGCCTGCTGCTAAGAGGGACGCTGAATCACAGCCACTGCAGATGAAAAGCAATTCAAACCCAGTCCTTGGAGGGGGGATGGAACGGCTCTTTTTGATTTTTTTCCCCTCTGCAGAAAAAGCCTCCTACTTTCCGGGTGACCGTAGAGGGCAGTTTGACAAGTCTCAGCCCCGGGCGATGGAAGATTTTGCCCGTGGGACCGTCACGAGCCACCGGTCATCTCCCCGCGCCCGGCTTTCGGGTCCTCAGGCCTCGGTGCGTCGCGGGCCAGGCGACAGCGGGGGGGCGTCGCGGGCCGGGCGAGCGTGGCCCGGTGGGCCCGAGGGTCGCGCCGAGCTCCCCGCCGCTTTAAAAGCTCCCACAATGCAGCGCTGGCGTCCCAGTTCCGTTACGAGGTCTCTCCCGGCGCCGGCGAGCGGGCCAGGCGCGGGCGGGGCGCGGAGGAGCGGCGGCTGAAACCCGAGCGCCCGGCCGAGGGGGGCGCCCCCGCGCCGCTCCTCTCGCGCGCTCAGCCGCTGCCCGGCGAAGGGGCGGAGCCGCCTGGCCGCCCGGCCCGGCCCGGCCCGGCCCGGCCCCCAGCCCGGCCCCCAGCCCAGAGGCACCGGCCGCGGGAGCGAGCGGGTCGCCGACTCCTACGCCCGCGCTCCTCCTACGCCCGCGCTCGTCCGGCGCCCCGCGCCGCGCCCCGCTCAGCGTCTGCCGCCCAGCTCCTCGCCCAGCCTCGCCGAGCCTCGCCCTTCCCGCCCGCGGCGGCGTTGGCGCTGGGGGCGGCTCCCGCGGCGTCTCTGCCGCTGGCCGAGCGCTCGCGCACCGCGGCACCCCCGCCAGTGGCGTCCACACTCACCTAGCGCGGGCCGGGAGGTGCGCGGAGAGGGAACGCCGGGGGGCCGGGGCCTCCAGCCGGTGCGGGGCGCGCGGCGCGGGGAGCGCCGGGGAGTGCCGGGGAGTGCGGCGCGGGGACGGGCGCTGGGCGGCCGCGGAGCTCCGGGTGCCGCCGCGTCCCCAGCGCCCCGGCCGGCCCCTCTGGGCGGCCTGCGGGGGCGGCGCAGTTGCGAAACTGAGTAAGTATTAACTTTACTTAGCGGCGGCGATCCGGGCTGCGCCGGGGACCCCGCCCGTCCCGCCTGCAGCCTCGGAGCTGCCCTCCGCCCGGTTGCCCCTCTCTCCGCACCTTGGGTACCTCGTCCGTTCCGCCCCCACCCTGCCCCGCCGCGGGCTCCCGCTCCCTCTGCGTTCACCTTTCCTGGTGTGTCACCCTTTGCGCCTCTCCTCGCGGCACACAAGCCGCGGACTGAAAAGTACGAGCTTGGTCTTTGCTTTTCTGCTTCCTCCCAGTGTCCTTGGCAAGGGAGTTTAGAGGCCACTTTTCTTGCAAAGGGAATTTTATGTCTGGTTTTTAAAATATTTTTTCCTCCGGATGGAAATCGGATGCTCGCTTGCCGGGTGGCGGTTTGGTGAACGCTTTTCTCCTCTAAAAAAATATTGGTTTATAGGTTTTTAAATTTCATTTGAACTATTAACCATCTGCATTCTATTCTCCTTTGCCGCCAGTCCCTTTGGGGAGGGGAGTCCAGAAGAGGGGACGTTCAAAGTAATTCTGACTTGCAAACTAGAAAGTTTGAGAGGGTAAATCGCACAAAGCCGGAAGATTCAACTTGAAGGGACGCGAGCTTTGAATGTGGGTCCTGGTGCGGCACTGGGTTTTAAAAGATGAGTACTTGGGTTCGGAATCCAGTGTTGCGTTGTTATTTTAGCATCATAGAGCCGCCTGGTGTTGCTAAACCACTACTTTCCCAGCCTCAAATGGCATCTTGAACAGTGCAACGTAGGATATATAATTGCGGGTCAATATTGTTGCTGATCTTTAGGGATTTAGAAGCGAAATGAATGCAAATCACGTCTCATAGCTGACTTAAACCTGTCAGGTTAGCCCTGTCAGGTTAGCATTAAAGCATTTCATTAAAAAAAAAAATCCTCTAGCCCTGTGACAGCAGGGACGAACATTTATGGATTTTCCAGTAGATTGTGGCTCAGCAATTCATTAGATCTGCTTTGTCCCCAGGAAGCATTTTAAAATATGTATAAATCTCTGCTTTTCTCTCCATTAGATTAACCACTCATTCTGGTAGGGGGCCCCAGGTAGTTTTTATTTTCTTTTTTGCCTTTCATCTTGGAGTTGCCAGGAGTTGCCATCATGTTATGAAGGAACAGAAAATGAGAAGCTTTCTTAATGGGTTTTCGACATCCTGTCCTTTGCCAGAGTGAGGCGGTAGTGAATGCCAGCCAGCTTTCTGCAGGGAGAGGTGCAGGGTGGACGCAAAAATCAGGACGCAGGAGACAGCACTATCATTTGGGGAAGTGGTTTGTGTGAGTTTTATCTTTTAGCGGGCATACTAATGGTACTTTTAATTTTATTTATCTCTATGAGGCACACTCCCCAAACCATAAAATTACACATGACCATCCCCCACTTGAAGAAGACTGAACATAGTTTGATGATTATTCTATTCAAGGATCAAGTACAACAAAATATAATTTGTAATACAGATGATAAAACCTTTCAAAAATCTCCCCCTTCCTCATTTTTTTCCTCAAGAGTCTCCAGGTGGTACTTTCTGTGATGGACACAATTGGCAGTAATGCACTGAGTTCTTTCTAGGTTTATTGATCAAATCTTATGTCTGGGCTTTAGTAGCTTAGGGGTGCATTAGAGGGCCCTGAGAGGGAGCAAATCATGGGGCTGTGCAGGCAGGAAAGGCACTTCACTTTGCAGAAGTGTCAGTGTGCTTCTGGAAAAAACAGTTACAAAGAACAGAGAGTGTTTAAGTTGTTTATAGGATGCATGTTTCCTGAATTTGGCATTTGGTTCAGATATTTGGTAATTACAGATTTAAAATTCGACATGGTTGTATAATTTGTTTTGCCTTTTATTTATTTTTTTAAGGTTGCAACCTTTTAACCTGAATCTTCAGTGTTTGGCTCTTGTAGGCTTCTATACGTGGTGACTTACGTCAGTTTTTGACCTGACTGCCTTGTGTTTTGAGAAATGATTAGTTCTTCAGGGTTTCTGACTCATTAATTGATCTGTTTTATGTTGATGTATATAATGACTTGGAAGTAAAAATATTGTTTGCCGTGGGATATTGTTGTCTTTTTCTTATGGTTAATTCCTGGCATAATGGCTTTGCTCCTTTATTATAAAACATTAAGATCTTAGATATCTTGCTAGTGTTCAAAACATTACAAAACTCTTTGCAAGTAAAAGTGGAGTGGGAATGGGAGTTGGATAGAAAAACATGCATCATAAATTAAAGATTTGGATTACAAAATAATATAACGTTTATTTACTCTTCTTTGATGCTAACTTGCTCTAACCCTAAATAGACTTAAAAATTCAAAGTGTAGAGAGAGTTTCCAAGTATTCTGTATAGTGGAAAGAATGTTTACCCCACTGCCAGCCAGACTTGGGTTGCACGTGTGACTTTGTCACTCCCGAGGTGAGTGAGCTCGGCCATGCCACTTCAGCCTCTGTGATCTACAGTTGCATTTCTGGAAAATGGGGATACCACTACTTAAAGGGATGCTATGGTGAGTAGAACATCTAATATATATTAGATGTGCCTGGCACATTTCAGCCAATAAATGACAACATCTCAAACTCCTTCAGAATTGAGCTCTTGGTCACTCAAACTTTCAAACTGTTCCCCCTCCATTTTTCATCTCATCCATCCAAGGAGTAGCTCACTCCACTCTCTCTTTTCTTCTATCAGCCCTAGCAAACCAGTCCATCATAAAGTCCTGCTGTCCATTTTTATTGCAAAATCTCTTTCAAACCGGTCTGATTTTCAGTCCCCACTATTCTGCCATCCTAATGCAAGCCACTGTACTGTATTATCTTTTTCCTTGGTGCGGTGCCTCCTGCACACACTCTGCACCCCTTGCAGTCTGTTTTACTACCAGCAGCCTGAAAAAAAAAAGAAAAAGTATTTGCCGTCTTAAAGTTGTCAGGGCTCTCAGGAAACACATTTATTTATTTTTGGGATAAGATACCAAATCCTTGACATTACTTCAGGATCCTGCATGATTTGATCTCTACATCCACTTGCATCTCTTGCTGTCATCTTGGCCAGTTCTCCAGCAGACTAGCCTCAGGCCTGTGGCTCATGCTGTTGGTCTCCCTATTTTAGGATCATCTCCTTGAGTAACTTATCATCCTTGGGTGCTAGCTCAAATGTCCTTTCTCATAAAGGTCTTCTCTGACAAGCCCACCCTTATCGTCATGCGAATTAAATGTCCTTTATTTTCTCCCTCATAGCGTAATCACTTTTGCTTCTGAATATTTACCACAATTTATATATTATTTAATCACTTAGGGTCCTTTTCTTGCCCTTTAGGTTAATATGAAGTTGATAATACCTGGTTTAATCACCAGTGCCCAGTATATGTAGTAGGTGCTCAATAAATATGTTGATATAATGAGTAAGATCGTAATATCAGTTTGTATCTTTATCTTTTTTTTTTGAAATGGAGTCTTACTATGTTGCCCAGTTGGTCTTAAACTCCTGGCCTCAAGTGATCCTCCTGCCTCAGCCTCCTGAGTAGCTGGGACTACAGGTGTGTGCCACCATGCCTGGCTTCTGTATTTGTATCTTGATTGCCTTCTTTATCACTGTTAAATTTGCTTTTCATGATAGAAAAGCCAGACCCACACTTTTCTATATTCCTTCTTTGCTGGTTATATGTATAATATGAAACGGCCTTTGCAAATATCAGGTAAAAATGCATGTAGGTTCTGTGAAATATTCGTAGTAATAAATTGAGACACCTTTTAATTAGTGTTACCCTTGTGACTTTCTGTTGTACATAATCCTTTTTCTAAATACATCATTAAAATAATTATTTTTTTATCAGCATAAGCTTACTGAAAGGAAAAAAAATCTTACTGTGCCTTACTATTTTACAGAGCGTCACATGATAACACGTTAGTCAGCTGCTGTCGGCTGGTGGTGCCAGACATCAAAGGAAGATTGGGAAAACTTTAGTAGAAAAACAAGACCTAGAGTTCTAAGGATGCTCAGTGCTGTCCAGCTGTTGATGTGACTTGCATGGTAACCAGACATCACTGGACCATACACTTAAGAGAGAGGAGGAGTTTTTTTTAAAAAAAGTGGGAGCCACCTAGAAGTCTGGAAGTTCTTTTCTTCTCTCTCACTAAAGCATTCCTTGTTTTAGCCAAAAAAAAAAAAAAAAAAAAAAGTCTCATGACCTTCCAAGGCCAAGGAAGGCTTACAGCTTTGAGTATTTTTGTCATGTGGTTGCTCTTTACGAAATATTAGCTTGATGTCCTCTAACTCTGAAGTACTTATGTCTGTTATTGATGTTTGTAATCTCTACTTCTTACATAATTCTGCATTTTTCTCTTGACTTGTTTTTTAGGACTTTAGTATTCCTTAAAAATCATTTCCTCACACCCTTAGAGTGTAGTTCTAGTTCTTTCTAGTTTTGTATCTTATAGATCACTGAGTGTGTGGGGGCACTTTGGAGCTGATTCAAGTCCTTCAGAACGTACTCCTCTGCAGTCCACCTCGGGGGTTCCCAAACTGTGATCCTTTGAGTGGTCTGGACCCTGAGGTTTCCGTAGCCTGGGTGCTCTTGGGTTGGGAGAGCAAGGAGGATGAAAGCAGCATTTTTGAGCCCCTGTTGGGTGCTCTCGAAGAGGAGGAGTGAGTAGTTTATCTGGTCAGAATTGGAAAAGTGAAGCTTAGGCTTTCTTTCCATATATTTGCTTCACAAAAGAAAATTGTTCCTTTTGTTCCTACATTTCCCCACTCCTGATTTTCTAGTCAGGAAGGCATGAGAAGAGAGAGATGCCCCTGCAAGCCAGACCCTTACCCTGGTGCTTATTTAGACCTGATTTTAAAAATGTTGAGAGCAAGCCCTGAGAGGGGCACACCAGGTGATTTGCCTCGTGTAGGCCCTCTGTGCCTGCAGGACATTCGCATCACGAGTAGCTGCCACTGTGGAGGAGAGGAAAGTTATGGTTGGGAACCCTTGTTATTTTTTTTCCACCATGTATATATGTCCACTGGTTACTTGGGTGACCTTGAACAAGTTGCCTTGAGCTTTTTAACACCAATAATATTTATTACCCATTTATTTCACAGACTTGCTATAGGATTTAGAAAGCTATTCTTAGCAAGTGTTTTTTTTTTTTTTTAAATCACATTCAGATATATCACAAAATATTGCAGTGAACTGTAGGGCTGTCCAAATTTTATGTATGCAGCAAAATATTTTCTTACTCATTAGCATATGTTTTACTCTTTGTTTTAAAAAGAAATCAGATGTAAATGCAGGTTATAACAAGAGGAGAGCTGTGATGGTTTGCTACCAGGTTTTATGTAGGTAATATATTTTGTCACTGTTGTTATATTTGGTCACTGTTGTTAGCTATCATTGGCTCGTGAGTGCTAAATCATGTTTATCCTTATAGTAATTTTACTATTGGAAAATCGCTTAAGACTAAATTATTCTTCCAGATACAAGTATATATGTTTAAAAGAAATTGGGATTCTCTTTAATGGATAGATATTGGGCAGAAAGTAAGGTTTTACCCTTATTTTTGCTTAAAATATTTGAGTGGATTTATAATCGATGAAACTCTACTGTAAAAATACCAGTGAGAAATAGGGATGTTTTGTAATGTTGAAGGTAAAATTTGTTCATTTCTATGGGAAGTTCTAATACGTTAAATGTCAGAATATCTTATAGTAGTTTATTTGTGCTGTATTTTTTCTTTTTAGTGTATAATGACTTCCCTTATATTTCTTTTTTTAAACAGCTTTATTTAATTAATTAATTTATATATTTTTTGAGACGGAGTCTTGCTCTGTCGTCCAGGCTGGAGTGCAGTGGCACGATCTTGGCTCACTGCAAGCTCCGCCTCCCGGGTTCATGCCATTCTCCCGCCTCAGCCTCCTGAGTAGCTGGGACTACAGGTCCCCGCCACCACGCCCAGCTAATTTTTTACATTTTTATTAGAGACAGGATTTACCATGTTAGCCAGGATGGTCTTGATTTCCTGACCTCGTGATCCGCCTGCCTCGGCCTCCCAAAGTGCTGGGATTACAGGCATGAGCCACCGTGCCCAGCCTTAAACAGCTTTATTGAGATATCATTGACACACAATAAACTGCACATACCTAACTGTACAATTTTACAAGATTTGATCTATGTATACACATGAAATCATTCCCACATCACTTTCCCAAATTTCTTTTTTTTTTTTTTTTTTTTGAGACAGGGTCTTGCTCTGTTGCCCAGGCTGGAGTACAGTGGCATGATCTTGGCTCACTCAACCACTGCCTCCTAGGTTCAGTCAATTCTGCCTCAGCTTCCCGAGTAGCTGGGACTACAGGCTTGTGCCACCATGGCTGGCTAAGTTATGTATTTTTAGTAGAGACTGGGTTTTGCCATGTTGGCCAGGCTTATCTCTCCACCTCAAATGATCCGCCCACCTTAGCCTCCCAAAGTACTGGGATTACAGGCGAGAGCCACCATGCCCACCCCAAATTTTCTCATTCTCCTTTGTAATTTATCTTCCTTTCATTCTCCCGTTTCCTCTAAACCACTGGTCTGCTGTCACTATAGAGTAGTTCAAATTTTCTGGAATTTTAGATTAATGGAATTATGCAGTAATATACTTTTTTTTGTTGTTGAGGCTTCTTAAACTCAGAATAATGGTTTGGAGATTCATTCATGTTGATTTATGTAGTAGTAGTTTATTCCTCTTCATTGCTGAGTAGTATTTCATTGTGTGAGTACACAGCAATTCATTTATCTACCTATTGATGAACATTAGATTTGTTGCTAATTTTTGGCTATTACAAATAAAGCTGTTATGAATACTTGCATACAAGTATTGTATAGACATATACTTTCATTTATCTTGGGTAAGTACCCAGGAGTGGAATGGCTGGATCTTATGGTAGGTGTATGCTTAGCTTTTTAAGAAACTGCCAAACTGTTTTCCCAAGTGATTGTACCATTTTACATTCTTAACCACCAGCAGGTAAACATGCTGTTTCCTTTGCATCCTTGTCAACACTTGGCATAGTTGGTCTTTTTTAGACATTTGTGGTATTTTATTGTGGGTTTTTAAAATTTTTATTTTTTTAATTTTAAAGACAGGGTCTTGCTCTGTTGCCGAGGCTGGAGTACAGTAGTACAGTCATAGTTCCCAAGTAGCTAGGACCACACACATGTGCCACCATGCCCGGCTGTTTTTTAAAATATTTTATTTTGTAGAGATGAGGTCTTGCTATGTTGCCCAGGCTGGTCTTGAACTCCTGGCCTCAAGCAGTCCTCCCACCTTGGCCTCCCGGTGTTGAGATCACAGGCATGAGCCATGTGTCCAGCCATCATTGTGGTTTTAATTTGCATTTCCCTAACAACTAGTGATGTAAAGAATCTTTTCATGTGTTTTTTATGCTATCTTTGTATCTTCTTTGGTGAAGTGTCCTAGTCTTTTGCTGATGTTTTTATTGGGTTGTTTTCTTATTATTAAATTTTGAGAATTCTTATATATTTTGAATACAAGTGTTTCATCAAATATATGCTTTGCAAAGAATTTCTCCCAGTTTGTGTCTCATCGTTTTCTTAACAGTGACTTTTGAAAAGCAGAAGGTTTTAATTTTGATGAGGTTCAACTTATAAATTTGTTTTTTATAGATTGGGCTTTTGGTGTGGTATTTAAGAAATCTTTGCCTAGCCTAAGGTCATAAAGATTTTCTCCTATGTTTTCTTCTAGAAGTTTTATGTTTTAGATTTAGATCTGTGATGCATTTTGTATTTCTTACATGGTGTGAGTTATGGATGGAAGTTAATTTTCTGCATATGGAAATTCAGTTGTTCCAACACTGTTGAAACGACTATTCTTTCTCCATTGAATTGCCTTTGCACCCTTGTCAAAAATCAGTTGTCTGTTATATCCTTTTTTATTGTATCAGTTGATATACACATGGTATTACACAGTATTGTTAATTATCACAGCTGGATGACCAACTAAATGAAAAGCAGCTATCTCCAAGCCAGTACTTGATAATGTGTTTTTGTCACGTTTAATCACATTTCTAGTTTCCTTACAATAGCCTTTGTGGAAGGCTTTCCTACTCAGACATTCCTTCTCCCTCTTTTCCTTTCTTTTTTTGTTATTTGCTCTCTGTTATAATAATAAAGTCTGGTGATGAGGGTACATACATACCTTATCCCTTTTAACTAATCTCAAATACACTTTTTAAAAAATGTTTCCTATTGATAATTATATTACTTTTCTTTGAAAACCTCCCAACCTAGATCATTCACTTAATTTTAATTTTTCTATTCTTGATTATGTGTTTCTTCCCCTGTTGTATTCTGCTGAGTAATGGCATGATTGGAAAGAGTGCCCACTTAAGTTAAAGCCTGGCTACACAGGTGTAGCCTTGAAGAAGTTGTGAGCCTTATCGAGCCTCAAGTTTCTAATGTCTAAATGGGGCCACTGATTCTTCACTCTGGGTTGTTTTGAAATAAAGGAGATGTTTATGTATGTCCACATACAGAAACAAATGGATATGAAGTACCTCAGTGGAGAGTTAGTGCCTTCCCCTTACCCAACTCCATGAACTCTGAATAATCATTTTGTTTGAACTGGGAGGCAGGACAGGCCTCTGCTCTCTGGGGAGGACAGGCACTGACCCCTCTGCAGTCTATCCAGGCAAGTAGCTCTGAAGAGAACTGGAGTTAGAGACAACCCTGTCTGTTCAAGTCATGCAAGGATGGGAGAAGAGCTCCTCACCATGCACACCCTGGATCCCGCTGTCTTCGGGGCCCTTCTCTATCAGTAATCCATCCTCTCTCCCGAATTCAGTCTCGCCTTTCCTTGACTTTTTGCTTTGGGCCTGGAAACAATATGTCAAGTCCATTGACCCTGGTGCTGCTTCTAGCTGTCTCCTTTCTCAGCCAGCTTCTTACAGGGGTTGTCTGTGCTTATTGCTTCTACTACTTCACCTGCCAACTCACTCCCCAGCCAGGTACCATTTCTTAGAAACGTTTCATGCCACAGGCATCCATATCTTAATTGCCTAAACCAGTGGAAACTTTTCAGCCCTAATATAACTGAAGTTGTTTGCAGCATGTTTACACTGTTGGGCTGTCTCCCTCCATCTTGAAACGTTGCTTCCTTGGCATCACTCTTTCTTTGTTCTTTATTTTTTATTTATTTATTTATTTTTTTGAGACAGAGTCTCGCTCTGTCGCCCAGGCTGGAGTGCAGTGGCACGATCTCGGCTCACTGCAGCCCCCGCCTCCCGGGCTCAACCAATTCTCCTGCCTCAGCCTCCCGAGTAGCTGGGATTATAGGCATGTACCACCACACCCAGCTAATTTTTGTATTTTTAGTAGAGATGGGGGTTTTACCATGTTGGCCAGGCTGGTCTGAAACTCCTGACCTCAGGTAATCCACCCGCCTCAGCCTCCCAAAGTGCTGGGATTACAGGCATGAGCCATCGCACCCAGCCTGTTTGTTCATCCTTTTAGTTGTTCATTCAAAGCCAAACTGCATGCCCCTCCATGAATGAGGATATAGCAGAGAGTAAAACACACAAAGCTCCTGTTTGCATGGAGAGCACACTGTACTAGGGGGAGAGAGATAATAAATGAACAAATATTTTCACTTTATTTATTTGGTGATAAATGCTTTAGAGAAAAAAATAAGGTGGGGGGATTGAAAATGCTAGGGGTGGGAGTAGAGGTGTTATTTGATATTGGATGGATAGGAAGCCCTTGCTAATGTAAGCACATTTGAGTAGAGACCTTAATGAAATGAAGGAGCCAGCTCTCTGGCTGCCTACAGGAAGAACGCTCCAGATAGAGGGCACAGTGCAGAGGCCCTGGAGCCAGTGCTCACATGTGTACCCACATCCCAGCCACCATGCGGGTAAGGCTGGGGGGAGCAAAGGGCTGGAGATGAGGCAGAGGAGGTAGTGGGGGTCCCTATACCTTAGGCCTTATTGGCTATGACAAGGATCTTGGTTTTGACTCTGAGTGAGAAGACAGTTGAGAGTCTTGAATAGAGGAATGAATAAACTGGACTGCAGCCTGAGTAGCAGGCAGGAGCACAGACTCCGGAGCTGGCTACTGCGGTAAAAACCCAACCGTCTGCCTGCTGGCTGTAGGACCATGGATTAGTTCCATAACTTCTCTGTGCCTTATCGGTAAAATGGAGATAGTAATGATACCTGTCTCACAGTGTCGTAAGGATTAGAAGAGTTAATATTTGTGAAGAACAGAGCATGGCAGATAGTATTATAAAAGTGTTTGTTAAATAGAATTAGTAAAATTGAAAAGGTTCACTCTGCTGTTATATGGAAAGTGTTTGCCAAGGGGAAGTAAGGCTAGAAGTAGAAAGACCAGTTAGGAGATAATTGCAACAATCCGTGCAAGGGATGGCTTAGATGAGGTGCTGATGGTGGAGGTGGGGAAGTGAGGAGAAGGGTCACATCCTGGGTATATTTTGGCGGGGTGGCTGGAGGATTGGATCTGCTTTTCTTTCCATCCTGGAACTTTCCAAGTTTTCTTTGCTGCCTTGTCTGCTCCCTCTTGAACAGGGGTTCTCCAGTGGGGTGGTGCCATTCCGGAATATGTGGGTGCATGTTTTGGTTGTTGCAGACTGGAGAGATGGGTATTTCTGGTATTTAGTGGCCAGGGGCTGGGCCAGGGGTACTCAGCATCCTATCTGGTGAAGACTTGTTCCTTGAAATGTGCCAGTGGCATCCTGGATGAGAAATGCTGCTTTAGACCTTTATTTCCCCGACCCCCACTCACCTCCCGTCTCTGCTCGCTCACCTGCCTCCTCAAGATTTCTTAACCTATAGTCCCTGTGTGGGCAGCAGGGAAGCCCACGAGCTCCCTGATATTTTTTCTCAAAATGTTCATGTGCTTTTAAACTCTCTTTCTTCCTGTACGACCCCACTTTTTTTTTTTTTTGGTGAGAGGTTGCAGAATTTTTCATCAAGTTCTGAAAGGAGTTCACATCCTAAGAATGTAAGAATTTCTGTTATGAGTGATCTCACCCGTCACCCACCTTCATTGTTTTTACTCCAACCTTTATGGTGCTGAATGTCCGGATCTGTGCTCCTGCAGTGCTCTGTGCCCTGATTTCTGGGCCCCTGCCCACTGAACTATGTGTCAGTTTCTCGGGATCAGTGTGTCACCTAACTTCCTCCTTAATTTCCTGCCGGGATTTGTGGGACCATTATCCATCTTACTCTTAATATTGTCTTTCCTATGCCACCTCACCTTGAGTAATTCATCTAGTTCTGATTTTACCTCCTGGACAGCTGAGGAAATTTTCTCCATCTTCCATCATTCACTATCCTAATTTATCATCTCTCATTTAGATTGTTTCCTCTTAACTGGTCTCCCCGCCTGAAACCCATCCTCCATGTTGCCGGATGAGCTCTTGGACACAGAAATCTCACTGTGTCACTGACCTGCTAAAAGCCCAACCCTCAGTGCCCACAGGATTGAGTTCAGACTGTTACGATACACAGGACCTCGGACATCTGGCTCTGGTCTCACACCCTGGGCTGGTCAGATGGCTGTCCTGCCTTACTGCTTGTCTGCCCTCCCATCCCTTGACTGTTCTCAGGCACTGGGCACCAGGTGCCAACAGGACTACATTAATAAGACTTCCCATGCATTGATGCTGAAACATCTGAACATGCTATTTGATGACATGAAGAAATGGTTCATCCTCTTTTTTGCCTGCCAGAACACTTGACGGTATTAAAACCAGCCTGGCTGTCCCTTTCTCTTGAAGGAGGATCTCACTCCCTTAGGAGGTGATCGTGCCTTCCTTCTATATCATATGCATACATAGTTCTTATTCCTTTGCTGTAATTTTAGAAGCCCTCTACTTTAAACAACTAAGCTTCTGAGAGGCTCTTCTTAAGCTCATTTCTTCACGAGTTTCAAGTGACTAAGAGGTCTTTAAGCTTGTAGCCCTCGATGCAGTTCAAGGAATGCAAGTTGGTTCTTTGAAGCATTATAACTGATTATGTCCTTGCTGCTGGATGTTCTAGGGTTATCTTTTTCTAAAATGGAGCAGCTTTGTCTGCATTAAAACTCTCTGGAAACACATGGCTTCTTAATGATTTTCGTGGGGCCCTGGGGAGCCCCTCAGTAGCCCTTGATCTCCAAGTTCACTCCTTACCTCTTGAATTGTAAGGAGCCTTGGTTATGCACAGCCTTTCTGTTGTGGAACAATTTTTTGGCCTCCTGAACTAACATTGGGCCAAGTTCCCACCTTTGGCACTGATCATCCTGTTGCATATTCAGAATGGAAAAACTTCTGATGATCTCTCTTCTGTGTTCTGGTCGGTCATTAATGCTTGTACTTCATCCTTTGCCCTCCAGGAGTCTTCCTAGTTTTCATTTCATATGGAAAAAAAAGAAAAAAAAAGAAGAAGAAAAGTATTTTTTCACCACTCTCAACTGTTTCCAATGAGCTTTCTTTTTGTTTCTGTTATGATGTGTGTCTCTTTTTATTAGCGCTTAAAAAATGTACTGTGCTTTTGCATTGGCAGATGCAATGGCATTAGTAATGTTTGTAAAACACTTAAAAATGTATTGTAGATACAGCAGACACATTCATCCACAGACTAACAAACATGAAAGTAACCACCCAGGAGAAGTTTTCAGAGTTTGGCTCTGGAACTGGTATTTGTTGCCATCTGAGCACTTGTGATTTCAATCACGAGAGTGAGAAGTCCAGATTGGTTTAGTATTGCTTTCCCTGCTAGACTTTGGGTCTCCTGGAAAGCAGGATCCATATTTAGTTATCCACTGACTCTTTAATGGCAGGCACTTGTCTGACTCTTACTGATTCCCACTGGATCCTTGGGCCCAGCACAGCTAGTCGTTGAGTGAATTTATACCCTAAAACAGGACCATGCCAAACTGCCGGTAGACACTAAGTGTGAAGACCAAACGAATAATTTGAAATATAACTGACTTAATCATTCATATTACATGGATGACTTAGGTGATACTGAAATCTAGATTAATAGGAGTGGAAGTTTTACTTGGCTTCTGAAAACACTTCAACAAATAGTAAGTACTGACCATATTCAGGAGACTGACATAAGGTTATGAGGAAGAATGAAGTGGTCTTTGATTTGGGGAAGTTTATTATCAACCATTGAGGATACAGTAAGTACATAAATATTATATAAGCTATAATATGTAATATTATAAATATATAAAGCTGAGTAAGAGGAGAGAGTGGCTAAAAAACTAAAAGAGTAAGGGCATTTACTCCAGCAGTATTTATAGTAATAAACATTAGAAACATCTAATGGTTAATATCAGGGCACTGGTTAAGTAAATTATTGTATAGGCTCCAGATGAACTGTTATACAGCCATTAAAAGTATTTATGAAGAATTTACAGTACTTTGGGTAAATCCTTTTCTTTTTATAAGGTTAAAATGAGAGAATACAAGATTGTACACAGAAGGTGATAAGAATTTTTGTATTTTTTAAAAACAGTAATACCAAAAGGAAAAAACACCAGAATGAAGACATACCAAAATATTAACATAATTTTTTGACTTCAAGTATGTTATGTCTGTGTGTACATGTATATGCACATGCATATGCAGTTTATTGGATTTTCATACACTGAACAAATCCATGCATCAAGTGCACAGATCGAGAATACAGCATTATCAGCATCTCCATAGGCCCTGTGTTCCTCACTTCTAATGGCATCTCATAGTTTTGACTGTTTTTTTTCCTTGTATAAATGAAATCATACAACATGTACTCTTTGGTGTCTTGGTTTCTGGCACCCAAGGCTGTGTGATTCATTCATATTGCGTATAACTGTAGCTTGTTCATTCTTTTTTTTATGGATGACTTTTTTTGTTTTGAGACAGGGTCTCACTCTGTTGTCCAGGCTGGAGTGCATTGGCAAGATCATAGCCCACTGCATGCTTGAACTCCTGGGTTCAAGTGATCCTCCCTCCTCAGTCTCCCCAGAATAAGCAAATATTCTGTAATCATAAAAAGATCGCTATTTTTTTTTTTTTTAGAAGCAAAGGCTAGTTTATTTGTTAAAATGCTTGGGTAGGTTCATTTGGCCAGTTTGGCTAGACTGTGGGACATATGAAGGGGAATTGAGAAGATAAATTGGCACTGTACTGAAACAGATGTGGTGCATGCAGTGTGAACTGAGGGTTAGGATAACCAGGTTCTGTTTGTCACTTAGTAGTCATGGGACCATGGACACATCATTTAATCCCTTTGATCCTCAGTTTGCTCATCATCCATCCGTCAGCTGGATGTGATGGTATCTATCTTCCTTATAAACTGACCATGAGGCTTAACTTGAGATGCTGAGTTTGTGAGACAGACTGCCAGACAGTGAGGTCCTTCATTTAAAAATTAGGGAGCCTGCTATGGTCTGAATGTTTGTGTCTCCCTCAAGTCCATATGTTGACATCCTAACCTCCAAGGTGATGGCATTTGGAGGTGGGGCCTTTGGAAGGTGATTAGCTCGTGGAGGTGGAGCTTTCATGAATGGGATTAGTGCCCTTATAAAAGAGAACTATCTGTTCCCTTCTACCATGTGAGGACACAGCAAGAAGGTGCCATCCGTGAACCAAAAAGTGAGCCCTTGCCAGACACCTGATCCGCTGGTGCCATAATCATGAACTTCCCAGTCTCCAGAACTGTGAGAAATACAAGTTTCTGTTATTGGTAAGCTACCCAGTTTATAGTATTTTGTTAAAGCAGCCCAAATGGAGTAAGAACCCGTGTCCGGCTGCTGTAAATTTCTCTATGAAGTGAGGGATGAGAGAAGGGTGTTATTAGGAAGTGAAAACAGATGGCTTTGAGGTTGCAGTTTGAGCAAAACAGAGAAGTTTGGGGCAAGTGTTGGCTAAGGTCTCAGTGAGCTCGGTGGTCCAGGGAGAAAGCAGCGGGGCTCAGCAGTGTTGAGGCCCCCACTGAGGTTGGAGCAATGTAAATGGAGTGTAATTTTTTTCCCCTAGAAGATTTATTTATTATTGTTTTATTTTGGCTAATATTAAACTGATTTTTCCTGATCATACAAGCGGAGGAGGTGAAAGAAAGAAGAGGGAGGGAGGTGGAAAGCCCAGCCAATACGCGAGAAGTGCCACAGCTAATCTGCAAAGAGAATGGAGATTCTGTTTAAAGGAAACCTCTGATTTTAAATGTGAGCAATGTGGAAGTCCACATTGAATTGGAACATGTTTTTCCAAAGGTATTTATCCTACAAGGGATGGCTAGGTTTTTTGTTTAATCCATGAGAGTCTACAAAACAGACAGGGACTTTTACTAAAATACCTTTTTTTTTTTTTTTTAAGCCATAGCACTATACTAGCAGACACAGAGCAATACTCTAAGCCCAAGTTAGTTCTAAAGCAATCCCAGCATTTCCTAATGTAGAATCTGAATAAGTAGAAATCTTAATTTTCCTCAATACAGCTTTAACTATTTTAGATTTTTCAAATTGAATAGGGCTTGATGTACCAGCTTGCAAACCTATACATTTATGGTAGTATTGTTTCTATGGGAATATTGCTCAGGTAGGTGAAAAGTGTTGGGGCTGCACTCTGAGTTTGTCTGCCTCTTCCAGACATATTGACCAGTGAGCACTCAACCCTGAATGTAGCGTGGGTAGGGTAGCTATTGGTAGATAATTGATGTCGGTGGATTGGGTGGTGCCTTTATTCATCAGTGATTCATTCATTCAATATCTGTGGAGTGTTTGCAAGCTGGCTATGCAAAAACAATAAGAACCAATCTTATCTTTGAGACACTTTGTTAAAAGAGGGGCCTTTAAACAAATAATTTGTGAAGTGTGATAATGGATAAAATAGAGATGTGGGTTCCCAGGGTGGGGTTGGGAGTGAGTGCTTCTGGAAAGATCTTCCTAAGTCCACCTGAGGAAATCAGGGAATGTTAAAGAGGAAAGTTCAGTTTGAGCTAAGACTTGAGGATGAAAGGCATTTTTTCTGGGAGGACACTCCATACAAACAGGACAACAGGTCCAAAAGCACAGGATATAAGGGAGAATGTGGTCTGCCGGAGAACAAATAGTCTCGATATCATTAAAGTTAGATGTGCACAGTGGGCTGGGGGAGTGGCTGGAGCTGAGGTTAGGAATACTTACCCACCCCACCAGGGTAAAGGATGTTCATGCTGTACTAGAGTTTGTTTAGCTTTCAGTTGGTAGCAAGCTTGGTTATGAGAAGCAGCTTTTCCGGTCTTTGTCCTGAATTAAGATTTTGACATATTCAGATTTTAGATTAGAGAATGTTGGGATTGCTTTAGAATAACCTGGGTTCAGCATACTGCTCAGTGTCTTCCAGTGTAGTGTATTGAGATTGCTGTGTTTATATTCACTCTACAAAGATTTATGTGAATTAAGTTAAAGGAACAATACTTGTAGTGGTTGATGTTACAAAGATAAGAAATGGCCTCTGCCTTTTAAAAAGCTTGCAATCTAGCAAAGCAAAAGTTGAACTTTAAGAAGACTTATTTTAGAAATAGAGATAAATGCAAAGGAAAGAGGAGAAACAGAGGAAGCTATTTAGAAGGTAGTACACGCTGATCAAGGACCAAAGGACCAGAAGAAATAATACCTGGGGACAGTGGCATAAAGGTGGATGAGAGGTGATGGGGTGCCCTAGGGAGAGGCCACCACAGCCAGAAAACTGTGGTGGTGGCTGACCCTGGAGCATGGATGTACAGAGTACCTTTGGGAAGCAGCACAGTGTCTAGACTCAGTCAGCTTGGGATGAGACTAGACAGAAATGGGGCCCATAATGTGATTGGAACCAGGTGTAGAGGAGCCGCACCCAGAAATTTTGGACCTTATTCCAAGCCAGTAGGCTTTTATGAACAGGTCTCCTGGTCTCCTCTCCTCACCCAGGCTGCCAGTGAGGCAGGAGAATAGGGTCTGGAGGCAGGGAACCTAAGGCTGTTTCATGCCAACTTCCTAGAACTAAATTGAAAGGAAAACCCATCAGATCGACTTCCTAGGACTAAATTGAAAGGAAAACTGTAACCCTCCGCTTAAGGAACAAGAGGACCAGAGGCTACTCCATTTGACCTTTTCTGTCTGGAGGATGGGAAATTGGCTGTCTGCAACAAATCATACTGAGTGCAGGTGGAGTCTTCATTTGCAACTTTGTAACTTCATTCCAGCCTCAGAGTGGTTGCTGTCCACACCAGCGGAGTCTTGGTTTGCACAGAAGTATAACTTTGTAACTTCACCTTAGCCTCTGATTGGTTGCTTCTTCTTTTGCATGTGACATTTGTAACTTCACTTCAGCCTCTGGTTGGCAGCTTTCTGCAACGAATCAGACTGATTGTGGGCTACCACTTCGGTTACATGAGATGAGCCTGAAGTGGCCAATGGGAAACTTCTAGTGGGTATTTGGACCCAAGAAGATTCAGTATCTGGGCCATTGAGCTGCTGCTTGGGTCTGCTCCCACACTGTGGAGTGTACTTTCGTTTTCAGTAAATCCCTGCCTTCGTTCTTTTGTGCTTTATTCTTTCTTTGCTTTGCTGGGCGTTTTGTCCAGTTCTTTTTTCAAAATGCCAAGAACCTGGACAACTTGGAGTCACGACCCTCTACCGGTGACATGACTTTCTCCAGCCTCTCTTCCCCCTGCTGCGTTAAGAACAAGCCCAGTGTGTTACTCCCAAAGCCTAACACCACATGCTTGGGACCTCCTGGTTTTGCACGAAAGTTGTGAATTTAGCCTATAATTCTAAGACGTTTCCCTGGTCCACAGTTTATCCCCTCATTGTTGGTTCTCCTCACCTTAGATTTTTACAGAGCACAATGTAGTCTTTCAGCCACTTTTGTATCCATTATCTAATTTGATTATTAACAGTCATTGGAAATAATCAGGTCTGGCAATTTATAGGTAGGAAAATTAAGCTCAGAAAGCCTAAGCGAATAGCTGCAGATGAGATTAGCAACATTGTCATTATGACCCTGTTTGTTTCAGGCTTCCTTCCATTAAGTCATTACACCACAGCCTTCCACCTGACTGATTCTGACTTATTACCAGTGAATGCACGCCAGCCACGTCGTTATGGCATCACTGAGAAGTTTGCATGGATTCATCCTTGTTGGGCTGTGACTTAAGTATTTTGAAATGGCTGAGATTATGGGCTATAACCGTGACCATTACACAGAGAGAAACTAACTGGCTTATATGGTAGTTTGCCCATAACCATCTTATTCATTTTTCTTCTATTTAAGGAACAACCCAACTTCCTACTAAGTCTCTTTCATTTATATGATTATTTTGATTTTTTTTTTCTGGAAATAACCCAGATCATTGCAGTTCTTGTTCTTGACCTCATGTATTTAACAGGAAAATTGTTTTCCATTTTTCAGATATTCAGCAAGCTAACAGAGTTAAGTGTAACTAATTTAGTGAATTTAGTTGGCAATATGATTTGCCAACTTTAGTATACAAGTTAAAATATTTGTAAGGCAAAAAAAAAAAATAAGAATCTTGCTTTACAAGTATACTTTGATTTTGCCAACAGTTACCAAGTTGGCCTTTTAAAAATTACCATTGAGAACAACACGGTTGTAAGGCAGCTACAGTAAGGGCAAAGATAACTAGTTTTTATCATTAAGGACCACTGACACCAAACAGTCTGTGGAATTCCTAGTGACAGGTGGGATTGACACTGAGAGACACTTGGAAGGTCATTGTACCATCTTTCAAAAGAGCAGTCACTGAAGAGTAGAAGTGGAAAATCATAGTTAGTGGTAAAATGGGGCATAGGGCTTGTGACACTCCTCTTTTCAAATCCTCAGTGGCTGCCTGTTGCTGAGAGGGTCACTCCTTGGCCTGGCCCTTCTACCCACTTGCTTATCTGTGCTGAGCGAATGCACTTTGATGGCATTTTATTAATGACAGTGGATTCAGTCCTGTCGTGGAAACAAAGATGAACTCTTCTAACACAATTTTTTAAAAAACCATACAGTACATTCTAGCTGAGTATGTAGAAGCTTCTGAGATTCTGATGCAGAAAGCCGATCTGGAACACTGTTTAATTCAGGTCAAATCAAGTTATTTTTAAGCGCCTAAATGACTAGGACTGGGCCTAAATATAACATCCTTATATATTCTGGAAGTGAGACTGGCCAGCTGCGTCTAAGAAGAGCACCTGCAGTGGCAGTCACAAACCGCCACATTCCCTCATTCCTATCTTTATTAATTTTTGATATTGTGTTAATTATATATGTACTACATATAAATATGTTAATAAGTATTGCTTATCTCATTTCCAGTCCAGAGTGTTTTAGATGTTAGACAGAAGCATGTGCTTGTGCACCTTATAAGCAACAAAATAGTTTTTGCCAAACTAGGTCCTTAGAGGCAGGAGCAGTTTCTTATTAGAACTCTTTGGGACTCAGGGCTTTATTCAGCATGGGAGGCACTCATTAAATATATGCTAGTAAATAGATTGTATTCAAATGTGTACATGTAGGTTAATTTTTTTTTTTTTTAACCAGGGGCACGATGGGATCAGATCATTATAGGCTGGTCATTCTGGTGGCATTATTTATGAGGTGCCTATTTCCCTGCCTCTCCAGCAACACTGGAAGCTGAGAGACCAGAAGGTAGCACAGTAATAAAAATGAGAGCATGAAAACCTTAATGAAAGGATTTCATTATGGTAATAGGGAAGAGAGGATGTTTCTTGCCCACTATTGGATGTTAGAATAGGTAGGATTTAATAGCTAATAGAATACCAGATCTGGAGAGACAGCAGTCACAGTACTTCATGCTAGTTAAATGTAGCACATTTGAGGGAGTAGAAAAAGATACGGTAGTATGTTCACTTCTAGATGGATATTACCTAGAAGGCAGTAAGAAATAAAGATTAGAAGCTCAAAAAGAAGCTTGGGCTGGAAATAGTGATATTCCCAATCATTCTTCCAATCACTTATTCGACATGATGAGTCCTAAGACAGATTGGACACGTTGGTAGTTGAAGACCAACTAGTAGATAAGCTTGTCCTGCACCAGGCAGTATAAAGAGAGAATCAAGCAGCAGGGAGCTCTAGCAGCTGGCCCCAGGCAAGAAGAGAAGCTGAGAGAGAGAAAATGAGATCAGTGCCCTCCCTAGAAACAAAGGGGAAAAGAGCCTCAAGAACAAAGAGTTGGCCAGCAGTATCAAAGCTGAGATGGAAATCGTGTAGATAAGGGCTTGATTTTTGGCAACGAGGAAATCATTGAGGATTTTCTGAAGAACAGTGAGGTTAGCACTGAGTTGAGGATTGTGAAGAATTGGAGACTTAAAAAAAAAAGATAATTTATAATCTATATTTGAGTGTGATGTGCTAGGTCCCAAGCACTTCACATGTATTAACTTATTTAAATCTCACAATAACCCCATGAAAGTCTGTGCTTTTTTATTCCCCATTTTACTTCTGCAAAAACTGAGACAGAATAATTTGCCCAAACTCACATAGGTAAGAAGTGGAGCAGAGCTAGGATTCGAGGCCAAGGGCAGCTCCACCATTATTGGTTTTAACTAACATTCCATGCTGATGCTTCACTGTAGAGGAGAGAGGTTGAGTACCCATGTTCCTGTTGGTGCTGTGTAAGTGTTGGGGAAACAGAGACAATACCCTTGAGCAATTTTTACTAGCAGTAGGGGAGCTGGATCAGCAGCACAGGGAGTGTTTCAGTTGCTGGAGCGGGTGAAGGATGTAGCAGGTAGGGAAGGCAGCTGCCAGCTTTTACTGTTGGAAGAGGAAGGGAGGCATCAGGAAAGGTTTCTTGGAAAAGGTGACTCTTAAATAGAGGTTCACAGTGACAAAATTCAGAGTGGTAGTTACGAAAATTTAGGCATGAGAAACTAGCTCCTATCCTTAAGGACTACTTCCTTCTGCTTTCATCAGGTTTTCTAAGTACCGACCTCCATGGTTAAAAACCAATTTAAGCAAATATACCTTGTCTTTAAGTCTCCAGTGGGTTTATCTTAACAGGGTACTTAACCCACAAACGAGAACTTTCTGTTGTTGTTCTTTGGCTAGGTGGGCCATTATACTGTAATACTCATAATTTGATTGTATATTTGCTTTAGAGTTGGGTAATATGACTCTTTCCGTAATCTATTCTAAGATAAATGCCATATATACAACAAAATGGTCATTATCTTTAATTTTAAAAAGAGATTAAAGAGTAAATGCAGTAACTGCTATGTTTTCTGCATGGGGTAGGAAAGACCCTTCCTCCGTAATCATTTCTGTGCCTTCACCAAACACTGGAATTCCAGAGACTGCGTCTTCCAAACAGGGTTTGATTTTTTTCGGGGATTGAGATTTTTGGGGATGATTTCCATTTTTTAAAAGCATCAAAACACTATGTTGGCCAAACAAAACACTTATGGAAGCTGGATTTGTGCTTTACAGTTGTATCAGTATCTTCCCGTTAGCTGGTGGGAGTGGGGTGGGGGTAGTACTAAGTTCTAAGTCCTATGAGAAGGGATTTCAGCCAGCTATGAGCAGGTGAAGCCATAGAAGGGATGTGGATATCAGAAAGGCTGTTGAGAGAGTCATTGCAAGAATAATTTAAAAATCACTCTAATTAAAAAAAATTCATGGAATGAGATATTTCAATTCAGTAATTGTTTTAGATAAGTTTCTTAAACACTTTCCTCTTAAGAAAAAGTATATCATCCTGTCTCCTTTAACAAAACATATTTTGGGGGATTGAGGGGCATTATTAGCATATTATCCTGAAACTATGGTTGTTGTCCAGTAGAAAATAGGCAATGGGTGGGTACTTTTTATGGGCAGTATAAGGAGATACTGAGGCAGTTGCTTTATTAAAAGAGGGAAGTGTATGATCAGGGTCGGATGCGTCCTGGTTTGCTGGATTGGTCCTGGCTCACTCCTGTTGTTCTGGCATAATAACAGGACCTTTCATTCTGGATGATTGTTTTGTTGAACCCCTTTGACTCCACCAGGGATGGTACCAGGTTCCTGAGGCCAAAGAAGGGACCCAGAGCCAGGAAACGAGATGACGTGGGGTTTTATTGGGGGCCTATATCCAGGGAAGAGAGTCTAGTGGCAGTGGGCTGGGCAGGAGAACCAGCCCCAAAAGCATGCAGTTTATATAGCATTTTCACTTAGTGTCCCCCTGCTCAACAGTCTCCATATGGTAACCTTCCCTCAACCCAAAACTAAGGGCCATGATCCTCTGTCTGGCCTGCATTCCACCAGACCTCAGAGGTTGTGCAGTTGGGGGTTCTGATGTTCCTCGTAGACAAAGAACGAATCTCCTGGTTGGCAACTCCAGGATTCCCTAACTTGGAATATTCAGGTGCTTCTGCCATACAGGGTTATTCTCAGGGTATGCTTAAGTTATTGCTATCAGATGCATTTACCATGCACTGATAAATTGTATGGTCACCCTGCATAATGTTAATATGATTTGTAGTTGCTGGTCCCTTTCTCATAGAGGTGGAATGAGGCAGGTATGCTGAATGACCTTGCTGTTTCTTGTAAAATTAATCACCAAAGCAAAGGCTAAACCTTAGAATGACTCTCAGCCTTCCCTGAATGATCTTTACTGTTGCTGTCAGGGCTTTAACTTGTCAGCACTATCGAAAGCATGATTGATTATTTCTGTATTACAGCGTTCAAAGCCATCCTCCCTGTTAACTTTAACCTGCTCTTAGGTCTATATCAAATTTAATTTGTGGTGTGTGAGGGAGGTATAGGAATCCCTATTTCAAGGATATGTTTCTTAATAATCGTCCTCAAATGATACTGAAGTAGAGATAATATAACATGAATTTTTAAAAAGCACGTTTTCAGACAAACGTTTTTGGGGTATGAAATCGAAGATACGGGGTACCACTTTGCAGGTGGATCTTTTTTTTTAGAAACTTAAAGTGATTTATATGCTGAATGATACAGTGTTCCACATCTTTTTCAACTTAGAATAAAATATAGAAGGCATGTTAATCAAGTTTGTGAATGAAAAAGTTTGAAGTTGTAAATAATATTTTTAAATGAGAGATTGAGAATTCTTTAATAGCTTAAAACAATGACTAAAATATAGACTAAGTTGAATAGGTCAGAATATGAATTTCTGCATTTAGATTACAAATAGTAGTTATGCAAGTGCAGAAATAAGGAAACAACATAGTTCATATGAAAAAGACATAATGGTTTTAGTTGAACAGAAGCTCAGTATAATGGCTGTTTAGAATGTCAGTGTACTTTGGTTTCTGATGGCATGTGAGACTAGATACTCTGAATTACTCCTCTAGTAAAAATGAATATAAATAAAAATGCTGGATAAATTATGTAAGATGTATCCCTAAATGGCAAGAAAACATGAAAATAAAAGACCAAACATTGGCCTGAAAGTGAAAGCAAGAAATCAGAGAGATAAGGGGAACACCTGGTTAGAGAGCACTTGCTGAGTCCCGTTGAGCTTGAATTTTCTTGGTCCCTTGTTGCACTGGAGACAAGAGACAAAGCCCAGAGCCTCCTATGGGGAAAAAAGTTTAGTAGACAATGTCTCCACATAGAGCTGGGACCCCTAAAGACTACTTTCATAGTGTATTGTAGAACTAGAAATATAACTTCCTTTGACCACCTCCCAGTCCGCAGAAAATCTCAGAAAAACTGCCTAATATTTTATAACCAATAATAATCAGCATTCATGGAGGTTTTCAGTTCTAATTTAGACCTATAGGTGGTCCAAAGAAAAGGCAAATTATATAGTTGTAGAGTGGTTCCACCATAGTAGCACAAGGCAGAAGCTAGTGCAGGTCCTTTTTGGAGGAATCTTTCTTCAGGGCAAGCCTTGAAGAGTTTAAAAAGTTTTAAGAAATTTTAATGACAGTCAGGAATCACAAAACAAAGTAAACAAGGCATCATCGATAGAACCAGCCAAAATAGTAGATAACAGAATTAGGTGTGTAATAATCTCAGATATTATAGTTGTCAGAAAGAATGTAAAATAACTTTTAAAGAAATGGAAAGGTTAAAAATATGAGTAAATTGCAAGTGAATATAAAAATGACAAAAAAAATCTGAAACTAAATAGTTCTTTGAGAAATAAACATATAATTGGAATTTAAAAACCAGCAAATAGGTTTAATGGCAAACTAGACATAGCCAGAGCAAGAATTAAGCAACTGGAAGATAGTTCTGAGCTTTTTGACTGTGACCCACAGAAAGAAATTCACTTACTGACACATGTGTATGCATATGATACATGTGTATGATTTAAGCCAAAGTATCTAGAAACTGATCTTATCAGTTCTCTACTAAAGGTAATGTTCTCTACTATTGGCTTTTCTCATTTATTCTTTTTCATTAAAAATGTTGGGACCAACCCAGGAAATTTTATAAACTGCAATGGGTTACGACCATAGTTTCGAAGGAAACTGATTTTAATAAAATTGAATATGTGTATACCCTACAACCCAGCACATGTCCAGCATAGTTCAGAGCACTTTGTGTGGTACCAAAAAAAGAAAAAAAACAAAAAAGCTGGAGAAAAAACATGGATTGTAGAAAGCATAAGGCATTTTTTATCTGTACAGTGGATTACCGTAGGACAGGGGTGATACTAAAAATAGTGAACAACCAGTACAGTGTAGACACCATGCAGTCAGTGTGGCTGCTGCCCATAAACAGCGAGCCTCAACCCATACCCGTGTGTGCCAGCCTGTTGACAGCCCTTTCTGTACCTTTGAAAATGAATGAACTACCAGTTCGTGCATCAACAACAGAAAAACAAGTTCTAAAAGATTTTATGTAGTATGATTCCATTCATATGAGCTTCAGAAATTTGCACAAAACTGAAGTAGTACATTGTTTAAGGATACAATCATGTATTTATTTATTTATTTCTGGAGATAGGGTCTGGCCCAGTCACCAAGGCTGGAGTGCAGTCGCATGATTATAGCTCACTCACCCTCTAACTCTTGGACTCGAGCAATCCTCCTGCCTCAGCCTCCTCAGTAGCTGGGACTACAGATGTGCACTGCTACACGTAGCTTTTTTTTTTTTTTTTTTTTTTTTTTAGTTCTTTTGTAGAGATGGGGTCTTGTTATGTTGCCCAGACTGACCTCAAACCCCTGGGCTCAAGCCATCCTCCTGCTTCAGCCTTCCAAAGTGGTGGGATTACAGGTGTGAGATGGAGTTCTGCTCTGTCACCCAGGCTGCAGTATAGTGGCACGATCTCGGCTCACTGCAACCTCTTCCTCCCCGGTTCAGGCAATTCTCTGGCCTCAGCCTCCTGAGTAGCTGGTACTACAGGCGCACACCGCTATGCCCAGTTAATTTTTGCATTTTTAGTAGATACAGGGTTTCACCATGTTGGCCAGGATGGTCTCGACCTCTTGACCTCATGATCTGCCAACCTTGGCCTCCCAAAGTGTTGGGACTACAGGCGTGAGCCACTGCACCCAGCCTAAACTATTTTTTAAAAGGCAAGGGTACACACAAAATTAAGGAGAATTGTTGTTACCTTTTAGTGGAGGACAAGAGGTTGGATTAAGAAGGGTCACAAAAGGAGCTTCAAGGTAACTTTTTCTTCTTAAAATTGTGAGTGCATGAATGTTTCCTTTTGTTTATACCTTACTCATTTTATGAGTACTCTTTTGCCTGTTCAACATTTAGTAAAATTAATTTTAAAAAGTCAAGGCAGGATTAACACAGGCAATAAATCATTTATGCTGATCAGACCATTTTTGGAAAGTTGTTTTTAGTTTTGGGTGCCAAATTTTATGGACATTAACAAACTGAAATGTGTCCAGAGGAAAGCATCCAGGGTGGTGATATAAACCACCACCCTGGTCTTGAGCCTTTCATTTTTCAGATGCAGATTCACACGCATTCTCATTATTGGTGGTTTTGACTCCCCTGGATTGGCCTGCTAGTGCTTAATGCAAACCTTTTGTTAACTCCCAGGTTATTGCACTTTTTGCCGCACCAATCAGAAATGAGTTCCAAGAAGTTCCACAAATGTTCTGTAGTGTGATGGTTTGCTAAAGGTTTTTTGTGTGTGTGTGGGAGGGAGGCATCTAATGCTGTAACTATAGACCCTATGTCATGTTGTTACTGTATTATACCAAATTATAGCTCAAACAAGGGATCTTTCATTGCTGGGATCAGACAAACCCTCTGCTGTCCACAGCTCCTGAAGGCATCACTAGATTCAGGTAGTATCCACCGAAGGGAAATACATAAGGATAATTTAGTTTGGTGCCTTTCAGAGACTATCGTATGGTTTTCTGTCTATGGCAGTGCAGGGGTCCAGTTCATCTGGCCAGGGCCTTAGCTCTGTGTAAACAAGGAGGGGTAGGCAGATGGCAGCATTTGTCTGGATAATAATTACTTGAGGTAAATGAGTAAATCGGCAATTATCGAGGATCTGCAATGTGGCAAGTGTTGTTAGGTGTTTTCTCATAAAAATATTCCACTTCATAGGGAAGGAAGTGGTCTTATCCCCATCTTACAGATGTGGAATTTAGGGAGGGGTCGCCAAAATTAATATTTGGGGGAGAGAAAAAGGGGAGGAGAGCATGCTTTCAGCAGTGCAGTGCTAGGGCTGTGGAGTCCTGGCTAAAGGCAGTGTGTGGTGTGGTTAGGAGCACAGATTGCAGCAGACAGGGCTGGATTCGTATGCTGACTGTCATTTACTAGCAGGGACACCTGGGACATATGTTCTTTAACTACCTGTGCCTCTCGTATCATCAGAAAACAAGGAAAACCCCTATTTCATGAGATTGTTAAGATAATTAAATGAATTAACATACATAAAGTACTTTGAACAGTGGCTTGGCCCACAGGGCTATAAAAGTGAAGTGTTTGGTGAAGTTTTTTTCTATGCTGGCTTGTAGCAAGTGATTCTCTTGGTCTCAGTGACCCTGTAGCAGAGTCTGTCCTCAGTCTTAAAGGGGTGAGATTTTTATATCCAGTCGAGCTTCCCAGCATCCCAAGTTGGGTTCAGATGTACCCAGAGGATAGGTGTGGCCTTGATTTACATTAATTAGATCTTCTTCCTCCAGGCTCCTGCACTTCACAGGGCTATAGAAACCTGCCAGTGACAATTTTTAAAAGACACACCAGGTGTACTTATTCCCAAGAACTTGCTCTGCAGATGAGGAAACTGAAGCTCAGGGAGGTTATAACTGTCCCAAGTTCACATGACAGCAGAGCTAATATTAGAATGTTTGCTGTTATCTGTGTTACCTCTAGAATGTACAGAGGAGAAGGGCAGTTTTCTCTTTGAAGCCTTAATTTCATACAAGGTGGATGACCTCACATATCTTGGTCCACTGGACTATCAGGACTTGTAGGTTCTCTGTGCCCTTTTGAGGCCTATGATGTGCAGGCTGCTCCCAGCTTTCAAGCCCCACAAGAGCAGCTTACTTCTTCTTAGAGCACCTCTTTCAGCTGCTCCTCTTAACCCAGTTTCCCTCTAAATTGTGTAGGGACTAGACATTCATTGACTCCTTCCATGTGTTTCTTGTAGTCTCACCTATTCTTTCCAGTGGCCATTGGCTTCTCATAACCCTGACAAGGCTCCTAGTTACTTACTGCTGCCTTTCTCTTCTTTTGCTGCCTCTTCTCTTTGCTTTAATTTCCTTTCGTTATCCACTTCTCCCCTCTTATGGATTCGTACACACTGTCACTTGTGTATTGCTACCATTTTTTTTGTAACTTGGGGCAGGATTGAACTACCGTTTTTTTTTTTTGTTTGTTTGTTTGTTTGTTTGTTTTGCAACGGAGTTTCGCTCGTCGCCCAGGCTGGAGTGCAATGGCGCAATCTCAGCTCACCGCAACCTCGCCTCCCGGGTTCAAGCGATTCTCGTGCCTCAGCCTCCTGAGTAGCTGGGATTATAGGCATGTGCCACCATGCCCAGCTAATTTTGTATTTTTAGTAGAGACAGGGTTTCTCCATATTGGTCAGGCTGGTCTCGAACTCCCAACCTCAGGTGATCCACCTGCCTCGGCCTCCCAAAGTGCTGGGATTACAGGCATGAGCTACCACGCCTGGCCCAGGATTGAACTCTTGACATTTGGAGCCGTTGCTAGGCAGTGAGTGTTCATGATATGAACTGACCAAAATCCACAGTACATCTTGTGAGCTATGCGGTCATGCCTCTTAGATTTTTTTGACTAGCCTGGAGCCAAATTGAACATTATTAACACAGCATTACAGCCAATATAAGCTTTCATCAAGGAGAGTATACCAAAATTGAGCCAAAAACTGGGATGCTTTAATTCCATACTAAGGCAGGAAATGATAAGGTTTCAGAAACAGGTAAAGTATAATCTGTACAAGTGCCCGGTTTAAGTGGTGTTTAAACCTAAGGATAATTTTTTCTTCAGCTTGAAGTGGCTTTATTGTTTATGCTTTTCTTTGCACTGAAATAAGGACAATATTCAGAATTAACATACATTATGCAACAGCTCAATTTAGGAAATTAAATAGTTGTTTAAAACATACTTGAACATGCCAACACATTGTATTCATTTTCTATCCAACAGTAGAATATTATTCACTTTCTATATTTTTTGCCTTTTAAAATATATGCCAAAAATTTCTACCAGCTCTTTTTTAAAAAGAGAATGAAGGTCATTGTTGCTTGAAATTAATTTTTGGTTTTTTATTATTTATTTATTTATTTTTTCGAAATGGAATCTCACTCTGTCACCCAGGCTGGAGTGCAGTGGCGTGATCTCGTCTCACTGCAACCTCTGCCTCCCGGGTTCAAGCGATTCTCCTGCCTCAGCCTCCTGAGTAGCTGGGACTACAGGCATGCACTACCATGCCTGGCTAATTTTTTTTTTTTTTTTGTACTTTTAGTAGAGACAAGGTTTCACCATGCTGGCCAGGCTGGTCTCAAACTCCTGACCTCGTGATCTGCCTGCCTCGGCCTCCCAAAGTGCTGGGATTACAGGTGTGAGCCACCACGCCTGGTCGAAATTAATGTTATTTTTTAAAAAATGAATTCCTTCCTAGCATTTGAGCTTGCTTTTTTAGTAGGCTCTTTTTAAAATAAGTTTTTTTGAGACCATAAAGGGAACACAGTGGGAAAAAGTATAAAACATCCATGCAGACAGCCTTCAACTCAAAACTGTCAGGTCTTTAAAAGCAATCTTGGAACTTTTCTTTTTGTCTGGTAGCAGTCCTATTATTGAACAGATGGTTAATTCACACAATAAGCTGGATAATCAAATCCGATGAGCTAAGATGGGGTTAACTAGAGCAATCTGTAGTATTTAGAAAAATTTCCAGGGTGATTGGGGAATGGTGACTGCAGTCATTATTTGGGATTCGTTTCTGTTAGTACAAAAATAGAACTTAAAGTCACAATTTAATAAAAAAAATTTCTTTCATTTAGAAAATAGCCCTCTCCCTCATGACTAAACAATCATTTGTAGGGGAGAAGAAGAGAGATTTGTATCAGCCACCTGCACTGCCAGTTCAGGAAATAGTATGTGAAATTCCTGCTTTATCAGGAACCCCTCCTGGCCTTCCTCTGGTTCTCATTTATTGAGTTTGCCAGATCCTGTGCTAGGTGGTGGGACCATAAAGAAGAAATGGGATGGGATTCCATGGTATGGTAGGGAAATGGGTCTAAACAAGTAACAAAACAGTGTGGAAACCTCCCGAGAATTCCTATAGTATGTTTAGAGAAACTGTCTCCTGGAGGATGGTTCACAACATCTGTTTAATTACCTTTGTAATTTTCTTCACTTAACTTAAAAACTAGTTAGCTTTTTGAATTTTTCTTGATTTTAGAAAGCATCTCTGAGGGGTATGCCTATCTTGCTGGAATTCTGCAAACTCACTGTGCCTCCAACAGAGCCTTGTACTTACCAAGCGGTAGTAAAGACAGATTTACAATGTCTCCTTTGCAGAGTGATTCTACTTGTCTGTTCTTCAGGTTTCTTTCCCTCCCAACATTTCTGCCTGTCAGAATGTTTTCTCTTAAAACTAAGGCCCAACCATATGTTTTCTCATAATCACTGGGTCACACCCACAGCCATACTGTTCTTTTCTGGGGGCTTCCTTGATGTAAACCTTTAGTATGTCCTGATTTCACATTTTCTGATGTGTGTTCTATAGTGAAACACAGTTTCTACTACTAGTGTGTTTTATATTTGTCTTAATCTATAGGCATTTAACAGTGTCTTTCTTTCCCCCCACCCCCTCTTTCTTTCTGATTCAAATTGGAATGATAGAAGACACCTAAATAATATGATGAATACTTATCAAAACGGCGAAGTTGGTTTTCTGAAAAAAGCTCTCTGTTGTGTGAAATATTGAAGTGTTATCCAGGAGAAGGAGACTTTATTCAAATAGTCATCTTATAGCTTGTCTACTAAAGTTGATGAAATTCATTTTCCAAACTGGTTTAAACAAAAATGATTACTTAGCTATTTAAAAAACAATTGATCATATCTCTTTCTTGTCTTATCCCTTCTCCTCTGCCACTCTTCTGATTTCTTGCATAACATTTAATAACAAATCATAAGACTAACAAGGATGCATTTCAATTCCTTATGGTTTATGGATCAGTTTATTAGGTCAAGGGTGTGGTGGGGCATGGGGGTGGAGGAATTATGGTAGAGAGTATGAACATTTGCTAAGAGCAGCATGGGATAGGTGAATTTACCCAGTATGGGAGTCTGGCAGAAGTTTTAAAATCAAGTACATCTGAGTTCAAATCAGGGCTCCACCGTTTACTAGTCACCTGAACCCGGGAAGGTACTAAATCTGAAATCTTAGTTTCTTCATGTGCAAAATGGAGACTGTAGGATTGACCTTGACAAGGTTGTGAACAGTGTCTGAACTGGGCAGAGTGGTGCCTGGGACTTATTTGTTGAGTGCCTATTATTACTTTTTAAAGCAAGGAAATGCATCCTGATCAAGTCACCTAATCTTAACCTCAACTTTGTATAACCTGTATAATGGGAATATTGATAAATTAATGTGAAAAAAGTAAAAAAAATTACAGCCATATATAAGCATAAGGGGCTTATTTCATGAAGGCTTCCTGGATATCCACCAGCCATTAGTGATTTCTCTTGTATGAACTCTGCTGTAGCTTTTTTCCAAATCTCTTTGGTGTTTATCAAACATTTATTTGATACTATTGTTACTAGGCATTAGTTACATTTCACAAGTACTGTAGTTAGTGGAATGAAACCCATATCTTCATCATTGTAATCCCTGTGGTATTTTAAATATGATAAGAGCTTGGTAAAGGTTTATTATATAAATAATTAATTTTGGTATTACCATTTTTCTCTGCTTTGCAAACTAATATAGCTTAATAGCATCATAATGGATTTATTTCCATAGAATATCTACCTTATTGTTTCTGTGATCATCTTATTAACATTTCATATGGACTATGTAAAACCTAAGATACCTTCCTTACTAACATTGTGTATTGCGTTTAGCAAAACTGAATTATATTTGGAGATGTAAGTCTTTGTATTTTGATGACAAGGTGAAAAAACCACCTTGAATGTTCCCACTCTTTTATTAGACAACAAAAATTTAGGAATAGTTTAGAATTCTGTAGTATTTATAGTTTATTTTGTGGATACACAGGGATATCACTTATGAAAATGTGCTACCATAGTTTATTTGTAGTTGAATATTTACAATTTCAAACGGGTTTTCTCTTTTCAATAAAAAGAAATGTGCCTAAAAAAATACACACACACACACACAGAAAACATTTTGGGGATCTTGGAGTCACAGAGTAGAGAGTAGCTGGTTTCCTCCAAAACTTTTAGACTTTTTAGCTGATCTATAATACTTAAATAACCAGAGCAATAAACTCTTCTCATTTTTACAGTAATAGAAATGTCAATATTGTCCATTGATTATCTGTCCTGGTGGGCCTAGTTTGGAGGAAGGGAGCACACCCAACAATTAATCAGCTGTCATTAAAAGAAATATACAAGGAAATGAAGGGTTTGCATTCTTCTGTTGTTTAAAAAAAAAAGGTAGAGCCTCTTGGAAACTGGAATTTATTTTGCTCTTGAGTTATTCTTGAGCATTCTATTTTGCTTTTGTTCAGTGTTTAGAAATTACAATAACCTGATATTGTGTTAACATCAATAACTTCTATTTGCATTGCTATAAACTATTTAATTTAAATAAATTACTTATTACTGCATAACAAGTTGCCCCATGCCTACAGACGTAACTTTTTTTTTTTTCTTTTTTTGAACTCTCACCTAGTTTCTTTGGATCAGGGATCCAGGAATGGCTTGGGTGAATGGTTTTAATTCTGGATCTTTAATAAGGTTGCAACCTAGGTGACAGTCCATTTTGTACGTAGTCTACATGAAGGTTTGACTGGGGCTGGAAAATCTACTTCCAAGGTGGTTCACTCACATGCCTCACAAATTTGCGCTGGTTGTTGGCAGAAGGCCTCAGCTCCTCACCATGTGGACCTCTCCATAGGGCTGCTTGAATGTCTGGCTTATATCAGGACAAGTGATCAGAGAGAGCAAGATGGAAGCTACCATGTCTTTATGTCATCATTCCACAATATCCTGTTGGCTGTACAGGTTATCTCTGTTCATTGTAGGAGAAGAATACACAAGGGTGTGAAAACCATTGGGGGCCATTGTGGAGGCCAGCTACCAAAATAAAAGAATGCTTAATCTTTAGCACATTTTTATAAGTGTCCAATTAATGTTTGAATCACGTTAAGTTTTACCAAAAATAATATAATTATTGGTGGGGCTGCCCCAATTTTTATCCTCTCCTTTTCCCCATAATTACATGTTGGTGTTCATTGATTTATGGTCATTTCAAATATTTGTATAATAGATAACTGTTTTTCAGACATGTGGTAATAGGAGTATTATATCTAGGTAAAAGGAATCATTTAGGTGAGCAGGACTTTCACTGAGGATAAGCTCAGAACCACTGTACAATCTGCTGCCATTCTGTAAAACCCTCTGAATTCATCAAGCCTTCAGCAGACATTTATTGAGTACCACTTATGTGTTAGGCAATGTGAATGCAGGTGTCAGTGCAAAGTGTCTCTGCCCTCAAGAAGAGGCAAACATTTCAAACAGTTGTTGAAGAACATGGGCTCTGAGGTCAATTTGCTTGAGTTCAGTTCTTGCCTCTCCTGTTTAGCTCTATGACCCTGGGCCAGTTATTTAACCTTTTGATTCTTTTCTAATTATTCCCTTATTACATATTACCTGCCTCACAGGGTTGTTGTGAGAATTCGATGAACAGTACCAGTGAGTACTAAGTGTCAGCCACTTGAGAATACCTGGAGTGACTAGTTTTGATAAGGGGAGTTTCCAGGGAGTGATGAGATCATATTTGAGTGGAGTCTTGGAGAGTGAGTTGGAGTTTGGCCAGCACAAAAATTTGGTAAGGCCCGCACCTGGGATGCCAACTTGAAGGAGAGGCAGGGAAACTGAAGTGGGGTGAGGTAATGCATGCTACATGGTGGCTTCAGGGGAGGCACTGGAGGTGGGCCTGGACAGCCACGGGAAGGGATGTGAAGGGGTTTGTGGAAAAAACACAGTGCCTGCAGTTTCCTGAGACCGTTTTCACTTAAGCCTCTTGTTTCTCATTGCCTTCCTAGGTACTCGCACACCTGCCAGAGCTCATGTTTGTATTTATGGTTAGGAACATTTTGTCACTGCAGTTACCTGACAAAAGAAGGTTGAACTTTTTTGTGGAGACTTTCAAAAGCAGTAGGATAATAGGATTGGATCTTTTGGTTTGTTAGTTTTTGTAAAGTGACCTGGTGAAGAGTGAACAATGGATTGAGTAGTTAGGAGGTTGTAGGAATCAATGGGGAGCTGAGGGTGGGGGGCAGGTTCACAAGAGCCCAAGCCCTGACTTTTGTCAAGCTTGGCATTTCCCAGAGACACCCTGAGCACATTACATTCCCAGGGTACCCACAGAACTGCCCCCGCTCCCTGCACCGCTCATCTCATCTCATAGTGAATTTTGCAATTATAAAAGTTTAAGAAAGAGAGATTTTAATCTCTGCATATATGTTAGTGTCAGTTTGAATTACATATGGGAGAATAAGCACCATAATCTTTTTGGCCTTTAAATCTCTGGCTCTAGTGACAACCTTATTTTATGGATGAAGAAGATAACAATTATGTCAGTTTTAGAAACTCATTCTCAGCTATCTACTTCCCACTCTTAAAAGTTTTTCTTGAAAACACAACTAAAAAGAGAGATGAGATGAGGCTTTACTGAAGAAAAGTTGGTTAGGAAGAGATTTTGATTTAGGTAAATAAGAATAGTTTAGAAACCAGGCTAGACTTCAGACAGCTCCCAGGCCCAAGGATGGGAATGAGGGTAGTTGTTAGTCTATTTAGCCTCTTCTCACTTGGTTTTCAATTTGCTATCCAGTCGTCTTTCGCAGCAGGGTTGACCCTTCATTGCTTTTTGGATGGCACCGTCCACAGACAGGCTCTTTTGCCAAGTCCTGTCACCCTCACATGTGTATATTTCTTTTATCTTCTTTAGGAGGTAGGTAGGTCTACTTGAAGCCAGAAGACTCTAACTCAACATCTGGTATAAGAAGATGCAGTAGAAATTCTGTGTATCCAGCTAGCTTAAACCTATGTATTTTTATTAGAAAAAAAAAATAATGTGACTGCTACTTTCTTTTTAAGATTTGGAAGCGGGCACTAGTGCACCTTTTTGTTACAACTGTAACACTATGTAAAAAATAATCAGGAAGCCATTGGCATTTTTATAACAACTATTAAGTTATATGAAGTGTGAGTGTAGTAACCAGCTTTGGAGACAAAGTCTTCATTCAGGGCTATAGCAGCTGTGCAGGGAGAGCCCAGCTATGAAAGGGGAAACTTTGGACTAACTTTCCCCTTCCTCAGTGGTGTTTGAAATGTGTATGTTTTCTTACATTTGCATCAGATTTGGGGTCTGCCAGTTCTTTCTTCTTATGCTCTAATTTGATATTTCATATTATTTCATGACTAGGAAATTTAAGGATTTTAACATTTGGGGGCGGTATTTTCTATTCATAATAAAAGTAGTTTGATGTCTGGATAGATTTTTAAAAAAAAAAAAAATGGTTGATGGAAGCTGGTCTTGTTGCTAAAGTAAATCTTTCTATAAATAAATGCAGAAACATCTGTGAAGGGCATAGTCTGAATGTGGCAGACATATGAATTGCGTCAATTCCCATCTTGCGGCCAAGATTTCTTCCTTGGGCTTTCTTTATAGCTAATGTTGTGGCAAAGTTTCACATTCTCACAGCATTAGGCAGTAAAATGGTCAAAAGAAATGGTGCCAAGTTACCCTCTTTCTTAGGTTAGTCAGTAGTAGGAATTTGTACTTACCAAGGAAAAGTGCAGTGTATTTTTGTTTTTATTTTTTAGGACTGAAGACCTGAGAGGTCTCCTTCAACTTCAGTTTTAGCCCTGGCTTTAGGCAATTTTCCAAATGTAAAGCTACTTTCAAGAAATCAGTGTGGTATCACAGGGAGCTGGGGTCAGTAGAAAAAGAAGACACAAAGTCTCTCCTAGAACTCCATAGGCCAATCAAATGACCTTTTATAGAAACAACTGAAATTCCTTTTTCAAAAGCACAAAAATGCTAATTGAAACCAAACCAAACAAACCCACCCCACAAGGACTGCAATTCAAATGGCTAAGGGGGAAGAGTGGGGACAGGGGAGGAAAATTCTTAGGAAAATTATCTGAAGCCATACACTTGTGTTTTGCTCTTTGGTGATTGTATGTTAAAATGGAATGATTTAGTATTTTTAAGATACAAATTAGCCAGGACTGTAAGAACCCTATGTACCTTTGCAGGTGCCTGTGTAGATCATCCTAGAATACCTGTGTGGTGCTGTCCTTCCTCAAGACTACCTCATTCTCACTGGCTCGGAGACTCCTGCCTGCTGAGGTGAGTGGTGCTGAGGTGTACTCCTTACATGCATTATATCCTAGAAGAGTAGCACTTTCAATGACTTTTAAAAAAACCTTTCAAAGTTTTGGGAGACTTTTATAGATCATGTTCATTAGTAAAGTCTTAAGAATCATCATTTGTAAGCCATTTATTTAGAGAAGGACTAAGTATAGGTGGTGATAGTATCTGTTACCACTGCAGTATAATTCCTAGGTCCAAATTTGGGTCGACACTAAAAGCATCATAAAATATGCCTTAGGTTTCAAGTTTGGAGTCTGAAGCAAAATATTTCAAAGCTGTGTGTCACCACTCTTGGGCTTTCTGAGCACTATTCTACTAATGCTATAAATTGGCAACCTCTTTTAAAGCAGAGAAGTATTTCTAATAATGAAAGGCTAGAAAATCTTGATGGCTAACTAGTTTTTCAGACTTTTCTCTATAATAATCTTGGTAAGTCTGGAAAATCCTTTAGCTTGTGTTTCCATTTTTTAAATAATGTCTATTATTGGCTTCATTAAGTCAAGGGGGGGCATAAAAATCTCCTTAGGTAAGGATATTCAACTAAATTACATCTCAGTTTTAGTATGCTTGCTGTATATCATCTCTTGTCTCTTGAGCATTTAAATGACTTATTCGTCCCAGGAGGGAAAATAATTTGACCTTGTTTGTAGTAGGTAAATCACTTATGAATAAATTCTTCACACTTTACAGGTAAATAAACTCTGTAAGGGCACCAGCCAGCGTGCTGTCTCATAAATTCCTTAATCTCTCATTTGCAAAAGTTATGTGTGTGCATTTTTAACTAGATGCTGGATCTCGAAGGTCTCACATAAACTGATTTCCCCCTGAAATAAAAAACTTTAACTTCACAGCCTTCTAATAATTGCTAGATTATATGGAGAGACTGGACTCCTAAAACCACAAATCCACATCCTCACCAGTTCAGTTGCCCTTTTGTAGACCCTGGTATGTTGCTTACAGCATTAGCAAAAACCATGACTAGAAGGCTGCAAATGTTGAGAGTCAAAAGATAGCCTGATTCTAATAAGGCAATTTTGTTATATCCACGTGAGAGTCAAAAAAGCCTATTCAGACCCTATTTTTAAGGCCTTGCCATTTGTAATATGGCCTAAAAAGGAAAAGCATAAGAAAAAAGTAATGTGCTATGTAGTACAATTGACTAAAGTTCTCTCTGATTGTCACTTAAATTTTAGTTTTGACTACCATTACTGATGAAGCTGTGCTATAAAGCTTTCTTTTATACATTAATTATTTTTTATTAAGGAGGATCTATGTGTAAGTTATACCAAGAGGAACTGTGGTTGAGGCTTAATGTTTGGGGATTTTGTGTATTTGGGTTTGAACATTTTAGTTGTTTTGTTTCTCTGGATCACTAGTAGTTATCCACTAATACAGGTGGGGATTGTATGAGTTTGATTGATTGGGGATTGCTGCTGAAGAGTTTTCATTTTTTGCGGTTTCTTCTCAAACATTCAATATTCTCTAGGTCAGCAGCCTTTAATTTTGATCCTTGACTTACAGTACAAAGAGACGCCTTTAGCTTACTGCTTTGTTTCCCTTTTTTGAATGAAGTGTTATTTAAAAAGGTTTTAAATAAATGAAGGGTTTACCTAGCATTGAGGTACATTTGTACCTGAAACTTAGAAAACTTGTTTGCCTCTGTTGGCTACTGAACCTGGTTTACAGGAGAGGGACTTCCCTAAACCTTTCTGAATGAAACATCCAGTTCTAGTCATGTTAACTTTGGTGGTCAGCAAAACCAGCCTTGAAGTCTCAGTATTGCTACACTGTAAAACTATCTTAAGTTTTTTTCATGGAGCTACTTAAAATTTTTAATTTCTTGCAATCAGAATAGCTTTCTACTAAATTACATTTTTTTCCCCATAATGATGCAGTTTCTCTTGAGCCATTTTTCTTTTACAGCATGTGATATTAGAGAATAATTTACAGTTTATCACGAGATACCTTTGTTAGGCTGTGTGAAAAGAAAGTTTAAAGCCCATATTTTGTGTAAAAAGACAGATTGGGTAAAACAATAAATTTTACAGATTATTTATTTGCTTGTCTTTCTGTTCTAGATAGGACCGTAATCTTCCCTCATCCCCCCTTTCTAGTACCTTCCCATAAAATACGTTAGTGAAGGGAAAATAATGATAAACAGGACTTAGTTCTATAATAGTTCAAAACTGCCTTCCAAGTAATTTTCCATACTTTCTGGAATGAAACATATGGCAGTAATGTACTGTGCCTCTGGTAATGGAAAGTAGTTTAAAAATACTCTCAATATTTTATATTTTAAAGGGTGTGTGTATGTGTGTGTGTGAGTGTATGTGTTTTCAGGTTTTTCTATCCCATGTAGATTTAATGGAATTATTTTTATATGCTTATACCTGTTTTTACGGGTTTACATAGGGGCATTTTTGAATAAAACTTGTAACGAGGTGTTTATTGTTACAGATAATTTGTGCATGCAAGTTTTAGAAGGCTTGAAATGATCTTGCAGAGAAAACTACTTGGTAGGAGGGGGGTGACATTTTCTGTAATTTAAGTTGTCATAGTAACCTGCATCAAGACGCATACTTGGAATCCAGGCCTGAAGAATTTCAGTGACAATAAACATTCCAATTGCATTCATCATCCTTTTTTTGGCCAAGAAAGGAGCCATCCATTGTGACCTAATTATTTTATTTCCGTTTTTAGAAGATGAGTAATAATTTGCATGTTTCAGTGCTTTGAAACTTCCCTAGTAGAATAAAAATGAAAAAAGTTCAGCTGTTTATATTTGAGATTGACATTTTCTGATAATGTATCGCAAACTAGTTATTTCAGATTTTGAGACAGGTTTGGTGTGATGATTACTTAATGAAATATGAAAGAAACAGGATTTGATACTGATTGAAGAAATTGCCATATCCATTGGTTAACGTGCAAGTCTAATATTAAGAATATTGGAATTTGGTTTTCATGAAGCTCTGATTCGAGAATGTTATGACTTCCCTATTATCAGTTTGCTAATATTTTTATTTGATGGCATTTTGTACTGCAGTCTTAATTGGGTACAAATGTATTTTAGTAAAAAGGATGAGGCATCGTTTTTATTAGTGGAATCAGCTTACTTTGAGAAATTTGTATCCAGACATCATTTTTAGATATCTTTCACAAAGGACTGTAGAATATTGTTTCTGAAGACAAAGCTTTTTTTTTTTTTTTTTGAGATGGAGTTTCACTCTTGTTGCCCAGGCTGGAGTGCAATGGCGTGATCTTGGCTCGCCGCAACCTCCGCCTCCTGGGTTCAAGCGATTTTCCTGCCTCAGCCTCTGGAGTAGCTGGGATTACAGGCATGCATCACCACTCCTGGCTAATTTTGTATTTTTATTACAGACGGGGTTACACCATTTTGGCCAGGATGGTCTCGATCTCTTGACCTCATGTTCCGCCCACCTCAGCCTCCCAAAGTGCTGGGATTACAGGCGTGAGCCACCGCGCCTGGCAAGAAAGCTTTTCTTAAGGTTTGATTCTCTCTTGCCTTCTGCAAGATATTGAATGCTAGCTAAGATTATTTGAAGTTAAAAATTCTCAAAGAAAGAATACTAGGAGAAATAAGGTGGTAAGAGTGAGTATGTGTGGGCGTGTATGTGTGTCCATTCATTTAAGGAAACTTGGAAAATAAATAGGGAGAGTTCATGGCTAGTCTAATTAATAAAAAAACAAAATCAGAAATCAGTTTACCGGGAAAATGTGAAGGAAAATAACATCACTCCTCTCAATGTTTAGAGATATTTACTGTTAATATTTTATGGGAAGTATCTATAATTTTTTTTTCTAGTCAGTATATAATTTATTGAGGATCTGTTATTTGCCAGGTAGGCTTAAACAATAAACAAGACAAAGACCTTACCATCATGGTTTTTACAGGCTCTGGGACAAGTAAATAAGAAAATGACACAGCAGTATGGTAGGTGAGTCTTCTGATGGAGGGAGAGATGAGTGAGGTTTACCTACCTAAACTAGCCTGGGTCATGGAGGAGAAGTGATCAGGTTAACCTTTAGAGGGCTCAATAATTTCAAACCCAAATTAGTTTCCTGATTCACAGTGAAATCAAGAGAAACTTTTTCCACCAAACCATGCTCTGTGATATTGATAACAATGACTAATATTTATATAGCACTTTCTATGGGAAGTATCTATAATTTTGTAAACAACATTGAGATCAAGCTCAGCCAAAATACTAAAACAGTGAATTTGACCTAAAATTATTAGAATTTGCAACATACTTGCTGTTATCAGTAGTGTCTAAAATAGCACTGATGGGCCAGGCATGGTGGCTCACAACTGTAATCCCAGCATTTTGGGAGGCTGAGGCAGGAGGATCACTTGAGTTCAGGAGTTCAAGACCCTGTCTCTACAAAAAAAATTTTTAAAAATCAGCTGGGCACAGGATTGCAACCTGTAGTTCCAGCTACTCCGGAGGCTGAGGTGGGAGGATTACACCACTGTGCTCCACCCTGGGTGACAGAGAGTACTATTGAAAAGGAGACTAAAAATTATTTGCAGATAATAAAAAGTTCCCAAGGCAATCAACTAAAATGTAGTTTAGTAGGGTTCCACTGTAAATCATGTAAATATCATGATCTTTTGTGTATGATAATAATAACCAGTTTAAAAGTATGAGGAAAAAAGCCCATTCATAGTAGCAACAAAAAATATGCCAGGGATTAAACTCGGTAAGAAATGCAATTGGCCTGTAGAAAGGAAACTAGTGAACTTTGCTCTGAAGATAATGAGGAGACTTATGTTTCTGGATAGGAAGACAATTCTTTAGTTAGTTTTAATATTTTATATTGATTTGTAAGTTGAATATAACTCCAAGCAAAATCTCAGGAATTTCTCATAGATCAGTGATTCTGAATTATTTTACATTTTTATAGAATAAATAAGAGCCAAGAAATGTTTATACGGTAAAGAAGAATAATGAAGGAAAAGTTGTAATGCTAGACATTAATTTGAAAATGGTATGATTTTGATAAAATAGACAAATATTTGGAGCAGAATGGAAAGCTCAGAAGAATGTTGTGTTGATAAAAGTGCCACTGCAAATAATGAATGTAAAAATGTAGTAATACATATACTAGAAAAGAGTGTATATGAATATCTATCTTGGGCTTGGGAGAAAGAAGCTACTAAAACATAGAAGCAAATGTTAAATGGAATAATTCCTATGTGTAATGATACTAAAAATTAAAATAATTTAATTTTGCTTATATCATGTACAAAAAGGCAGTCACCTGGGGAAAATATTCAAGTCATGTATTCAAATTTTTTTCTTTCTATAATATGTAATTACATTATTAATATATAATTACATTGGTAATATACAGTCATCTGTCACTTAACGGGAATACACATTGAGAAATGTGTCTAGGTGATTGTTGTTGGGGTGCGAAAATTATAGAGTGTACTTCTACAAACCTAGATGGTATAGCCTCCTACACACCCAGGCCATATGATACCCCATGGCTCCTAGGCCACAAACCTTTACAGCATGTGACTGTACTGAATACGGTAGGCAATTGTAATACAGTGGTAGATATTTGTGTATCTAAACGTATCTAAACATAGAAAAGGTATGGTAGAAATACTGTATAAAAGATTTAAAAGTGGTACACCTGTATGGGGTATTGCCTAGAATGGAGCTTGCAGGTCTGGAAGTTGCTCTGGGTGAGGCAGTGATTGTTTAGTGAATGTGAGGGCCGAGGACATTATTGCACTCTTCTGTAAACTTTGTAAACACTGTGTACTTAAGCTGCACATGTATTTTAAAATTTCCTTTTTTTTTTTTTTTTTTTTTTTGAGACTAGGGTCTCTGTCACCCAGGCTGGAGTGCAGTGGCATTGTCACAGCTCACTGAAGCCTTGACCTCCTGGGGTCAAGTGATCCTCCCGCTTCAGCCTATCGAGTAGCTGGGACTACAAGTGCATTTCACCACACCCAGCTAATTTTTAATTTTTTAAAAGTGCATTCCATCATACCCGGCTAATTTTTAATTTTTTTTTTTTTTTTGTAGAAACAAGGTCTCACTATGTTGCCCAGGCTGGAGTTGAACTCCTGGGCTCAAGCAGTCCAACCACCTCAGCCTCTGAAATAGGTGGGATTACAGGCCTATTTTTAAGTTTTAAAAATTAAAAATTTTTATCCACTGTGTTTTGCCTATTAACAATTTTTATTCTTCAATATGAAATTAACCTTAGCTTACTATATAACTTTTTTACTTTATGAACTTTTTAATTTTAACTTTTTGATTCTTTTGTGATAACACTTTGCTTAAAATACAAATACATTGTACAGCTGTGCAAATATGTTTTGTTTATATTCCTATTCTATAAGCTTTTTTCTATTTTTAAAATTATTTATTTTCGAACTTTTTTGTTAAAAACTAAGACACAAACACACATTTTAGCCTAGGTCTACACAGGGTTGAGATTACCAATATCACTTTTCACCTCCACATCCTGTCGTACTGGAAGGTCTTCAGGGGCTATAACACACATAGAGCTGTCATCTCCTATGATAACAGTGCCTTCTGCTGGAATACCTCCTGAAGGACCTGCCTGAGGCTGTTTTACAGTTAACTTAAAAAAAAAAAGGAAGGAATACCCTTTAAAGTGTGGATTAAGAGTATAGTAAATACACAAACTGGTGACATAGTCATTTATTATCATTTTCAAATATTATGCATTGTAAATAATTGTAAGTGCTGTTTCTAAGACTGGCAGTGCAGTGAGTTTGCTTACACCAGCATCAGCACAGACACTTGAGTAATGAATGCATTGTGCTACAATGCTATGATGGCTACGCCGTCACTAGGCCAGTAGGAATTTTTCAGATCCAGTGTAATCTAATGGGGCTATATGTGGTCCATCGTTGACTAAAACATTGTTATGTAGAGCATGACTGTATGACATAGTATATAATTACAATATATAACAAATAGAGTTGGTTGGGCACAGTGGCTTATGCCTGTAATCCCAGCACTTTGGGAGGCCAAGGCGGGTGGATCACCTGAGATTAGCAGTTTGAGACCAGCCTGGCCAACATGGCAAAACCCTGTCTCTACTAAAAATACAAAAATTAGTCGGGCTTGGTAGCAGGTGCCTATAATCCCAGCTAATCGAGAGGCTGAGGCAGGAGAATCGCTTGAACCCAGAGGGTGGAGGGTGCAGTGAGCCGAGATTGCGTCACTGCACTCCAGCCTGGGTGAAAGAGCAAAACTCCATCTCAAAAACAAACAAACAAAAAAAAACAAATAGAGTTAATACCTGTATTATATAAAAAATTATTGGCCAGGCACAGTGGCTCACGCTTGTAATCCCAGCACTTTGGGAGGCCAAGGCGGGCAGATCACGAGGTCAGGAGTTTGAGACCAGCCTGACCAACATGGTGAAACCCCTTCCTACTAAAAATAGAAAAAAATTAGCCAAGCGTGGTGGCGCACACCTGTAATTTCAGCTACTCAGGAGGCTGACACAGGAGAATCACTTGAACCCAGGAGGCAGAGGTTGCAGTGAGCAGAGATCATGCTTGATCTCTTGGATGTCTTTTATTTCTTTCTCTTGCCTTATTTCTCTGGCTAGGACCTCCAGTGCTGTGTTGAATCGGAGTGGTGAAAGTAGGCATCCTTGTCTTGTTCCAGTTTTTGGAGGAAATGCTTTCAATTTTCCTCATTTAGTATGATGTTAGCTGTGGGTTTATAGTACATGATGTTTATTATTTTAGCACATTGTATTATTGAAGATTCAAAAACATATACATGACACACATATAAATAACCTATACATAAATGTAACTCATTCATCTAGAGTTAATTTTTATATATGGTGACATGGATCCAGTTTCATTCATCTACATTCAGCTAATTAATTTCCCAGCACCATATATTGAAGAGGGTGTCCTTTCCTCATGTATGGTATGTTCCTTCTGTGCCTAGTTTGTTGAGTGTTTTTATCATGAAGGGATGTTGAATTTTATCAAATGCTGTTTCTGTGTCTATTGAGATGATCATATGGTTTTTATCCTTGATTTTGTTTAGGTGATGTATCACATTTATTGATTTGCATATGTTGAACCATCCTTGCATGCCTGATATAAAACCCATTTGATCATAATGGATTATCTTTTTGATGTGCTGTTGAGTTCAGTGGGCTCGTGTTTTGTTGAAGATTTTTGCATCTGTGTTCATCATGAATATTGCAGACCTTTGTCTCTGTAATTCCCAATTCTGGCAGTGGGAGAAGTAAGGTAAGAATGCTCATACAGTGCAACTAGAAGGCAGACTATTATGCAGCCAATAAAAGAGTTTATCTGCTTATCTATAGATTTTTTTTAACTCTTTAATGAAATGGAAAAATGATAACCTGAAAAGTGACAATATCAGGACATAATATATTATAACCTTCAAAAAATAACTGTATAGGGGGAATAAAAACCTAGAAGGAAACATACTAAAGTGTTAATGATGATTTTTCTCCAAGTGGTAGAACTATAGGAAAATAATTACTGTGTTCATTTAAAACACAGATTATGTAAAGCAAGTATTAATAATCAGAAATTTTATATATAGATTATATTTTTAAAAAAATCTAAGGTTGACCTGATGTCTATGATTTCATTATATGCCTTTAAAAATACATATATGTATTTATAGTAAAAAATACATTTTCCATAAGGATAAATGTATCAAGGGGCCAGGTGCGGTGGCTCATGCATGTAATCCTAGCACTTTAGGAGGCTGAGGTGGGAGGATCACTTGAACCCAGGAGTTTGAGACCAGACAGGGCAACATGGTGAAACCCTATCTCTACAAAAAATACAAAAATTAGACAGGTGTTGTGACATATGCCTATAGTCCCAGCTACTGGGGAGGCTGAGGTGAAAGGATTGTTTGAGCCTGGGAGGTCAAGGCTGCAGTGAGTTGTGATTGTGCCACTGCACTCAAGACTGGGTGACAGACTGAGACCCTGTCTCAAACATAAAAAACAAAACTTCTTGAGACTGGACTATACACAGAATTGAATAACAAGGGGCATATCACAGTCTCTAGGCAGGGATGAATATACTGAACTCCTGAGCTGTTATTAATGAATGATTTGACTGAGATTTATGCCTACATTGTCAGTATCATGCTTCCTGGAGGTGTGGGGCTCAGCATCTTTGGGAATGAGAAAGAGCAGTGTGTTCCTGTCTTAGTCTACAGTTGACCTTGCACACAACATGGGGGTTAGGGAGTGCCAGCCTCTTGTGGAGTCAGAACTCTGCATATAACTCTTGACTACCCCAGAACTTAACTACTAATAGCCTATTGTTGACCAGAAGGCTTACCAATAACATACACTGTCAATTAACACATATTTTGTATGTTATATGTATTATATACTGTATTTGTACAATGAAGTAAGAGAAAAGACAGTGTTATTAAGAAAATCTTAAGGAAGAGAAAATATATTTACTATACAGTAAGTGGAAGTGGATCATCAGAAAGGTCTTCATGTTGAGTAGGCTGAGGAAGAGGAGGAGGAGGAAGGGGAGCTCTTCTGACATGACATGACTGGTACCTTCTACTTTTCTGAAATTCTGGAAAATAGGTTTTTAGCAAAATGAAATTATTAGTCATTGTACATTTAAATTGTTCATTGAAAAAAAGTAATACAATAAGTGAAAGGTATAAAATGAGGTGGTTCATGCTTATAATCCCAGCACTTTGGGAGGCCAGAGCAGAAGGGTCACCTGAGGCCATGGGTTTGAGGCCAGTCTGGGCAACAAAGGGAGACCCTGTCTTTACAAAAAGTTAAAAAAAAATGGAAGTTATGAAATGAAAAATAAGGTTTCATTCTTTCTCATTGTTTTTCCTCTATCCAAAGGTAATCCTCATTAGCAGTTTCTTGGGTTTCTCTGCAGAAAAAGAAATGTGTACATATAACGTGTATTTGTGTCTTTTTAAATTTTTACGGATGGGGTGTGTGTGTGTGTGTGTGTGTGTTTTACACTAGGTTTTTGTTTTGTTTTGTTTTACAGATTGATTTGTTTAATTGCCAGATTAATCTTAAAGGCAGATAGGATAATAGTTTGCAGGTTGAATTGGTGAGAGTTTGGTGACCATTTATTATTGGTTTGCATTCTTTCATTTGGCTGAGTTTGTAAAAATGGGGTCAGTATGTAATTACCTGACAGGTGTGAAACTGCAACTGATTCTACTCCTCATTGCACCGGTGACTGTCATCTTAATCAAGTCATTCTCTGTGACCTAGTTTTAATACGTGAATATTGAGACCGTGCCTATATTAACCTGAATGCAGTAGAGAAAATGTAAAAATAAGACAAGGTTAGAATATAAAATCTTTTTTTTGGTTGTTGTTTTTAAGCTCTACTAAGATAATTTTGCAAAGGCTATTTCTTTTATCTAAAGTGAGCTTTGTGAAAGTTATAATACTAGAATAGGATGAAACCCATCGTTTCTGCCTTTGAGGAACATATAGTCTCACCATGTTAAGGTTCATATCAGATGGGAAAAATACAGCTTTTATTGCCACATAATACCATATTATATCAGCTAATGCCCTGTCTGTTTCTCCCCTACTTTCTTTTACTTTCTCCCAGATTTCAGCTAGGCTATACTTGCTCCTTAGAAATTTTAGAAAAACTTGTCTTGAACCTCCAATTTCAATACTTGTGACAGTTTCCCTGTGATCTTCCTAAGTCCAGAGTTCTGTATCAGTTGAATGGTTTTTCATCTGTCTTTGTCATCTACTTCAATGTGTAGTCTTCGGTTTTGCCCTTTAAAGCTTTAAACGTTAAACCTTTCTCTTCCGTTGGTTTCTGTTAAAAGACAAATATGGGTGCATATGTGCACAGACACACACACACACACACCCTGCTTAGTAGACCTACCAAAGACCCAGGAGTTAGAAAAAAGATACTCATATTGTAGGAAGGGCAGCCTTGATTTCTTCCTGGTCTCTGGCTTCATCCTTATCTCTATCCTTTTCTTCTTCCCTTCCCTTCAGGATGTCCCAAGGAACTGTGTCTGTGTTCTGTAGTTTCAGAAATTGCCATATATCATCTAGAGTGATTAATCTGGGTGCAAGTCAGCTTCTCATGTTAATTAATTGTATGCCCTTGAGTACTTGGTTTCTCTAAGATCTCTTTTAGGTCTCTAAAACCTCCAGTCTCCTTACTTGAATATTGGATATAATGATATCTGCTTTAGTGGATGTTTGAAGACTAAATTATATATGTAAAGGACTTAGCATGTAAGCAATTCAGTGAATGATAACTGTCATCCTTTTTATTAAAATAGTACTGTTTTTCCCAAATGCTTGTCTCGCTCTAGACGTGGACTACATATATGTTTATACAAGTGGACTTTCAGTCTTTTATACTTAGGGGTAGTTGTTTAAACCAGACACTTTGGAGAGGGAACTAGGGCACTATTGATAATTACACCAGAATAACAGTTTAAACCATTGCTGTTCCAGGTAAACCAGGACCCATAGTCACTCTAGATACACGCTTCGTTTCTGACTCATGGTGCGTGCTCAGAGAACAAGGGCCCTTGTCCATTGAGTGGGACAGTGTTGGAATAGTGGAACATGGGATGAAACGAGGTCACATTCATCTTTCTTAGCTTTAGTTCTTACTCACTAAAATCGAGTTTAACAATACTTAGTTCATTTTGGGTTGCTATAGAGGAATACCTGAGACTAGGTAATTTGTAAAGAAAAAAGGTTTATTTGGCTTACAATTCTGATGTCTCAAAAAGTTCAAGATTGGGCATCTGGTGAGGGCCTCAGGCTGCTTCCACTCATGGTGGAAAGTGAAGGGGAGCCAGCGTGTGCAGAGATCACATGGGGAGAGAGGAAGTGCTTTAGGGGTGGCAAGTGAGGGGTTGGCCGGAGGGAGGAGGTGCCAGGCTCTTTTCAGCAACCAGCTCTGGCAGAGCTCATAGTGAGAACTCACTCACCATCAGGGGAGGGCATTAACCTATTTATGAAGAATCCGCCCCCATGACCCTGACACCTCCCACTAGGCCCCACGTCCCCACTGCCACACTGGGGATCAAATTTCAACATAACACCAGACTGGAGGAAGTTATAGGTGTCAAAGTTTGAATCTTTTGTAAAAGGAACAAAGCCTTTTCACCATTGTCTTTCATAGTTGTTCTCCTCACTAGCAAATCTGTCTCTCAGACCTGGCATTACCTAGACTTGAGGCTTACAGCATCTACTGGAAGGACAGGTAGGTAGTAAGTGGTAATAGTCATGTTGTATATACTGCAAGAGCAGAATGAAGAAGGTGCCTGGGAGCACAGAAGGAGCTCCTTCAACTGTGCAGAGGTGAAGGAGGGCTTCTTGTTTGATGTCAGTGTAGCTGAGTTTGTAAAGGTGAGTGGGTCTTTAGAGAGGCCTACTCTCACAGGAAGTAGCCTCTGCAAAGCCCAGAAAGGAACAGGGGCATAGTGTTTTTGGGAAAAGCAAGTACAGCCGAGTGTGGGCAGGGGATGGCTGACTTAAAAGCAGCATTCTTACTCTAGTTTAACAGAAACAGCCTTTTAGTGGCATTGGGCCATATGGTAATTGAAAGGATCAAAATTATTTACATAAGTACATAAAGTTCTAGTTGGAGGATAAGCAGAAGTAGTAACAATTTGGAATAACCTAAACCTCACATCTGTGTAAGTAGAAAAATTACATTTTTTATTCCTGATCATTTCTTTATCATCTCAAGACATTAAATATTTAATGCATCCTCATTCTTCAAAAGGATATTACTTTAAAATGTTCTCACATCAGGTGCGGTGGCTCACGCCTGTAATCCCAGCACTTTGGGAGGCCGAGGCGGGCAGATCTCAAGGTCAGGAGACCGAGACCATCCTGGCTAACATGGTGAAACCCTGTCTGTACTAAAAATACACAAAATTAGTCAGGTGTGGTGGCGGGCGCCTGTAGTCCCAGCTACTCTGGAGGCTAAGGCAAGAGAATGATGTGAACCCGGGAGGCGGAGCTTGCAGTGAGCCGAGAAAGCCACTGAATTCCAGCCTGGGCAACACAGCGAGACTCCGTTTAAAAAAAAAAAATTATCACTTAAATGTTAGATATAGATAGATAATATTAGAAGCTATACTGTTTCCAGCCAGTTGATGTAATGTTGTTCCATCCCCTTTAGCATGTTCTCCTGTGAGCTGCTATAGCTACTAGACAATTTTACTGTGTAAATTCTTTGCAAATTTGCCTTACTGGAGTGGGAATTATGTAAGGGATACAGTGATTAAAGATCACAATATTTTTGGTACAACAAATAATGCTTTCAGAAACACAGGCTGATATTGTCATTTGTATTCCATTTTGCTCCAAGGATCATTTGAGTGTATACTCTAAATCTTTCTTATGTTAAGAAGTAGAAATATAGTGATTTTTACATTAATAACAGAGTAATTTCTTATAGTAATATTTGTGTTCTCATTTGAACATAAAATAATGTCATATGGGTGGCTTGACCTCAGCTCTCTAGTACCATAGTGTCTGCTTCTGTTTAGGCATATTGCAAGCATCTGCATAGAATCTTAATTTTCTTTTTTACTTGGAAGGTACTTTGGAGATTCAGATTTGAGGTTGACGAAATCAAGACACAGAGACTGATATGCTCCCTCTAGCCTTCCCTTCTAGGTCAGGTCACTCTTTTATTCATCTTGGTGGTCCTGGTGCATAGCCAGTAGATAAAGCTCTGCCAAATGAGCAGATATATCTGTATATTCACAGAGCCTGAATTACAACCCAGATCTTTTGACTTCCAGATCAGTCCAGTGTTTTTTCTTGCACACTGGTAGTCCCCTGTGTACCACAAAATGGATTTCTGTAGCAGCATTCCCAAGTTTCAAGTTATATGATGCTTAGCTGCCAGCTATCATAACACCATCCTTTTCTCACAAGAAATCCAAGCTCACCGACGTGTTAGGATAAGGGACTATCTGGGCTGAGAACCAATGGATATATGAGGATGTTCTTGAATAAATTTTAATTCCACACTCATGATGGAATTTTGTGCTTTTCAATATGTTGTTAACACTTCTACTGATCAAACTATAGAATAAAGCTATACCTACAGGAGCACAGACCTTATTTCTAAGTAGTGTTTCTAGGCAGGAGTGATTCTGCCATCAGGGGTGTTTGGGAAATTGGTGAGGGAATTTTTGGTTGTCACAATGATGGGAAGGCTGTTACTGGCATTTAGTGGATGGGTGGTGGCGGAGATGCTGGGCATCCTGTAGTGCACAGGACTGTCCCACATAACAACTTCCAAATGACCCACGTTGGTATTTCCAAGTCATGAGACTGGATGAGATCCCCAAGGGAGTGGATAGAAATAGAGAGGAGGAGAGGACTAATGATTGAGACCTGGGATACTCAAATATTAAAAATTCCTAGAGCAGAGCAGACTGAGAAGGAACCCCAGTAAAGCAAGAGGAAAACCAAGAAAGTGCTGTGTCCTGGAAGAGAGTGAAGAAAGTAGATCAGGAGGAAGGAGTGACAAACTGACCCTTATATTTAGCAAGGTGAAGGTGATTGGTGACCTCGATAAGAGTAGTTTGGTTAGATGGTAGGGGCAAAAGCATGGCAGGAATGAGCTTGATAGAGAATGGAAAGTGAGAAAATGAAAGCAAGTGTAGACAATTCTTGAAAGGAGTTTTGCTGCAAAAGGAAAGTAATCAGTGGGAGGAGAGAGATCAGAAGAAGGCTGTTGTGTTTAAGATGGGTAAAATAGCCATTTATTCTTTGATTGAAAAGAAAAACTGATGGAGAGAGTGGTGGTCCTGGAGTGAGGGTGAGGGGGTGGCATCCTGATGCCCACAGGGTCCTGCCCCTGCAGTAGTACTGGTCTCCAGGCCCCCCACGTGCCATGGCCCAGGAATGGCTAACCAATGCCTAATCCATTCTGAGGCCTTGGGACCAGAAGGCTTCCTTACTGTCCAACATTTGTTCCTCTTTCATTTAGGAGAGTTAGTCAGGCACCAGCAAAGGGTTTGAGTTTTAAGTCGAAATTAAATTAGAAATTAGAAATTAGAAGGGAAGGTAGAACCAATGGCTTTTTCTCCGTAGGCAATGACTTGAGAGCAGCTGAAGTTTTTCCTTCTTGTCCCCTGGGGGACCATCTTTACCAAGATGGCACAGAGCCTGTAGAATAAAGCAAGTGAGTCATGCAGGAGGGCACGAAGTAGAAGGAGGCATTGCCCAGGGTCATGCAGGCCCAGTGCCAGCACATGAGAACGGAACTCCCATATATTTGTGCCCCAGCTGCCTAACCTGCCCCTCCTGATTACCCCGGCCCTGGGGAGGGCACTGTGGTTTAAGGGAAACAGTGGGAAAGCTCTTTCCTTAATTATCTCTTCTCATATTACCAGCTGGAGATTAATTGAATGTGCTTTAGTTTAATCTGATATTTCCTTTCCCCCTTTATATTTAGTTGACTTCAGTCACTTTAAGGAATAGGAGGAGGATGTGGTGAGGAGGGAAAGGAATGCTTCTGGGCTGAACAATTCTATTGTTGGTGATAGGAGAGGGCGGGGAATGATTGATTCTGGGCCTTTGCACAACTGAGGGACAACGTGAGAGACTTCTGTATACCTAAGATGCAGGCGAGGGGGACCTGGGGGATAGAAAGGAGATAAAAGAGGGTCAATCCTGGTCACAAAGACCAGAAAAAAAAACAGCTCCTCTCCACCTAAGTACCCTTGTCGTTTTTAAGTGTTGTAAGGGCCCTCATACCACTTTATCTTTCCTTCCTTGGAATCCAAAAGTGATAGATATCACTCACCTTGTTAATTAATCCCAGGGTTCTGCCCAGTGCAGATCTAAAAGCATTCTCCTGAGGCCATCTGAGGAATTGTCCATCTTTGTACATTAGAAACCACAGGAACCCTTACAGGAACGTCTACAGCATCTGGAAAATAATTCTCAAGGCATAAGTTTATATTGCAGTTTCTTTGGGATGAGGCCTGCTGCTATTTTGGTTTGTGTTAGCCCCAGTTCTGCCTAAGAACTGAGTCAGTCATGTGTCCATGGAAAGAAATCCCCATTGAAAATAGTAGGTACTGACTGTAGCCAGGATTGCATAATAGGTCCTCTTTAAGAATTTCCTCAGAACCTTTCCAAAAAGATTAGCCAGATGCTTCCCAGAAGAACTTTCCTCTTCCTGACGAGCAGTATTATTTTTGAGAGTGGTAGATGACTCTTCTAAGCCTTGCTTCCTCCCTGCCTGCAGTCCCAAAAACACCTGAGTCAAGTAACTATGATAACTTGACATAATTAATTAATTGAGTGCTGTGGTTTGAATGTTTGTGTATCTCCCCCATTCCCCCCGAATTCAAATGTTGAAACCTAATCACCGTTAGGAGCTGTGACCTTTGGGTGGTGATTAGGTCATGGGGAGTCATGAAAGTAGGGCCATCATAAATGGGATTAGTGCCTTCATAAAAGGCCCTGGAGAGCTGTCTTGCCCCCTCCGCCATGGGAGGACACAGCTAGAAGGCACCATCACTATCAGCGAACCAGAAAGCAGGCTCTCACCCGACGCTGAGTCTGACGGTGACTTGACCTTGGACTTTCCAGCTTCCAGAAAAGTGAGAAGAAAATTTGTGTTGTTCATAAGCCACCCAGTTTATGGTATTTATTATATTAGCCCAAATGGACTAACACAGTGACTCATGAACTTCAGTTTAAATCTAGTGTCTTTAAAGCTTTGTTATTTTATGCGTATCATATCTGTGATATATGTATAACATATAATAACATATCCATGGCATATAGTAGGCCTGTAGTGAATGTTTTTTGAAACAATTAGGTACAATGTGTATTGTTTTTCTTTATCTTATTAGGCAGTAGAGTATATTAGTTAAAGTTCTGGTTCCAGAATGCCTGAATTGAAGTCTCGGCTTTTCCTCTAATGAAGTGTGTGATCTTGGGCAAGTTTTATAACTGCTCTGTGCTGAGTTCCTCTTCTGAAAAGCAGAAACAATAATACCTACCTTACAAGATTATTATGAGACTTAAATAAATTGACACATTCAAAGCACTTAGAACATCTCCCGGCATATATAGTAAGAATTTAACAGATATAACAAAAGCTCTCAGGCATTTAATATTTAAAAAGTGAGAAAACCAAATCTCCTCTTTTTCCTCAAATAGCAGTGTAACTGGCAATGAATATTTGAGTATTGATTGTGTGAACTGTCATTATTTAGCCTTTTTTCAGTGGCTATAAACAGCTTCCTGTGTTTCTGAAAAAGGAGGAATAGACATCATCTCCTCATCCAGTCTCATACCAGTGTATCACTCATGACACCTAAACATAACTATATCCATATATTATTTATATCATTGTTAATTATGTGAGTTGAATTTTTAAAATATGTGGGCCTATGATTAGTATCCAGATTTGTTTTTTCTGGGCGTGATGTTCCTTCCATGTGAGGCCTTTTTTCTTTTTTTTTTTTTTTTGAGATAGGGTCTCACTCTGTTGCCCAGGCTAGAGTGCAGTGGTATGAACATAGCTCACTGGAGCCTTGAACTCCTGGGCTCCATCAGTCCTCCTGTCTCAGCCTTCCATGTAGTTGGGACCACAGGCCACCATGCCCACGTAATTTTTAAATTTTTTTGTAAAGACGGAGTCTCACTTTGTTGCCCAGGCTGGTCTCGAACTGCTGGGCTGAAGCAATCCTTCTGCCTCATCCTCCCAAAATGCTGGGACTACAGGCATGAGCCACTGCACCTGGCCTCACGTGAGTTTTAAGAGCTGTGCCAGTTTGCTCTGTCTTCTTGCTCTGTTCCTACATTCAAATTTATAGAATCAAAATAAAGGAGAGTATATCTCCCGGAGCTAAAAACTGATCAGGTTTTCATGTAATCAGCAGCATGTTTTCCACAGGATCCTTTGTTATTGGCAGTCCTGCCCAATAACAATAAAAAGGCCTGTATTCTCGCTGTGTGGTGTGTCTGCAAGACTGCCTTGCCAGCTCTTTCTCATTTCTAGTAATTCAAGTCTAGTAATCCAGTAAAACCATAAGAAAATGTGGCTTCTCTAGTGATAGCCACCTGGTGGGACAGTACTTTAAAATTCATAAGACACTTTTAAGTAGTGAGTATATTTTAATTGCTTATAGCAAACCCATAGAGATATCCTTATAGATGAAGAAATGAGCCTCCATGAGCTTAAGGGAGTTCAGGATTATATGGTGCTGTGAACTCAAGTCCGCTGATTCTTTAAATCCTGTGTCCTTCTAGTTTTACTATTTTCCATCAAATTCACTCAGGCCTGGTAAAATCATAGTAATAACACCTGGAGTAGTAGCCAGGCCTCTTCATTAGAAATCATAATCATGGAGTTATAATTCCAATAATATTGTACAACTTGTTTGCTGTTGAAAACTTCACTTTTTTTTTTTAATAATAAAAGGACCAAGTTTACTTTTACCTATGTTGTTTATTCAAACTGGTTATATATCATAAGCATTTTCTAACTAGCTTTAAATTTTTAAAGATGTTTTTCTAATATATGTATACTTTGTTATTAAGTTTCATGTTGATAAAAAAATCCTTTTTCCTTTAATGTGGCTATTGTTGAATAGGTCTAAATTAAGACTCTGAAATTCTTCGTAGTGTAATTACCAGTTTTTATTCTATACTTGGCAGGTAGGTGAGTGGTCCTGGGAAGAATGAAATAGTTCTATTTTGTAACCATTATTTTTCTAAACCCCATCTGAGTAAATGGCACATTTTTATATTTTGTGGACAAAACTCAGACCTGTGGTATTGGTTTGAGGAATATGAGAGTGTGGACCTTTGTTGCTTTGTGAAATTGTGTTCTTGTGCCCTGCCTGAGCTGCCAGTGCCTTTGTACAGCAGGTATAGGCACAGCCAGCTGGTGCCTTGTGCCCGGTGACTTGCCAAGTGGGTGCTCACTCACTACAGCAGCAAACTTCAGCAAATGTGTTTTAACTAATAACGTTCATACTAGCGATGAAAACATATGTATGTGTTTCCTATGCCCATGGCAGACATAATTAGTTGATCATGGTATGTGTTCATGCTGAGCCTGATCATCCTTTTAAGCATCACATTCTTGGCATGTACAGTCAGACACTCAAGCTTAGTAGGCAAGATAAAACGTATGTGCTATCCTTGGCTCTAAATGTGTCTGTGTTAACTTTCTCCCAATATGTTTTGGGAAATAATAAATACGATAAATTATTGCGGTGTTTTATAGGAAGAACAGACACACAGCATTTTTCTGTATGTCTTGATTGGTTTGGACAGTTGCACTTAATACAGGTCATTTTCATTTTTAATAGCATGTAAAAGTCTCCATGTCAAATTTTTTTTCAGGTTGATTACTGATTCATAGTATGTATTTATTTGAAAATTATTTTTCAAATAGATATTTGAAATAAGAAACAAATTTTGACAATACTCATAGTTTGCCATGATGAAATTAGATCTTTTTATATAATTAGCAGAAACTTTGAAGTTTTCATTAAATTCTAATCATAGAACAAAAATGCTAATCCTTTGAGAATTGAATTTAAAACTCTGTGATATGGCTGTAATTGTGGAAATAAAAACTTGTTAAGATTAGGATTATAGCTTTTGTTTATTTGGTCCTTTTTCCTTTGAGACCTTACTATACTTCAGTGGAAAACAGCATTAAAAAAAAAATATTCCATACAGGCTGGGCATGGTGGCTCACGCCTGTAATCCCAGCACTTTGGGAGGCCAAGGTGGGAGGATCGCTTGAGCCCAGGAGTTTGAGACCAGCCTGGGCAACATAGTGAGACCCCGTCTGTCCAAAAAAAAAAATAGAAATTAGCCAGGCATCATTGTGTGCGCCTGTAGTCCCAGCTACTTGGGAAGCAGAGGTGGGAGGATCATAAGCCTGGGAAGTCGAGGCTTCAGTGAGCTGAGATCGTGCCATCGTACTCCAGCCTGGGTGACAGAATGAGATCCCGTCTCAAAAAAAAAAAAAAATCCATATATGGTCAAAAGGTATTTTAGGCTCTCTACTGATCCCTTGGTAAAAGATGCTGCACCTACTGCAAGATTATTGAGGAGCACTTTGTCATGGAGATCAGGGTTGGAATGTTTGAGCCAAAGACCACAAAAAACTGACAGTAATCAATTATCGTTCCTGCCTGCTGCTTAGCGTTTACGTTTCTAGAAAATGCTCTCTTCAGTTTTCTCCTCTGAAATCTGAGACACAGAGCCGAGAAATAGAAAATAGTTTATGTCAAAATATTTTTCCGTTGATAGGCCACCTGACAAGCAAAGAGATTGAGGTGAAATCTCATCCAAATTAATGTGTGAGGCCGTGGAAAACTGCTTATGTTTTGTGTACGTCTTTAAAGTTAAGTAAGATTATACTTGAAGTTACTTATCTCAGTTTGCAAAGAAACAGAAATTATACCTACTTATTTTTTAGTGATGTTGTTAGAATAAGAAAACAATACCTAAAGTTAGCGGACCTATTGTGTTGTAAGAAATGCTGATTTGGATGTGCTTTGGAAAAATAAACGAAATTAAAGAAAATAACTCATTAGCAATGTTTTTTTTCAGGTTTGCTTTGCCTGTTCAGTGGTACAATTTCTCTTTTTTCTTTATTGATAAGAATAAAGCTGTGCATACTTTAAGAACACAAGGCGGCACTTCTCTATAACTCTGTGATCACATGATCACAGACCCCACTAACTAACTAATGGTTACTTTCAAGTGCTTGTGGCCAGTTGGAGTTTATAATTTGTTACCAAATCACTAATTATCTTTATTTTTAACCTGTATTTTGCCTGTCGAGCAGTCATAATCTCTAAAATTGGAGACTCAGAACCTTCAACTATAAAGAGTTTGTTTAACTAGAGGCAGGAAGAGCTGATTTTCCCTTGAAATGCATGGAAAATTCATTCATTTTTGTTTGTTTTAAACTTTTAAAAATCTGGAGTTATTAAGGGCTGTTTTTGGGTTTTTTTTTTTTTTTATTTGTTTGTTTGGTTGGTTTTTGTTTTGCTTCTGGATTATATAAAATGAATCTCCCTGGTTTTAAAGTCTAATAACCAGTGCTTTTGCTTTGCTGTTTTTGCTTTGGTTATAGTGGTCCTTTAAATAAAGAGTTAGCTTCTCCTTTGGCCTGAGATTTTAAGATCTTCCCAATAATCTTTAACTGTAGCCCTCATGTCCAGATGTTTTCTTGCCGTGTTACCTTAATATGCACATTTTTGCTGCCTGTTCTGGAAGTTCACAATTTGGAACCTGGGGTACAGGAAGGGGAGTGATCTTTTTGTTGATATTGTTATCTACATGTAAGAATCTGTGCGAAAGAGCTTTATAAATTGCAGATTTTATATTGAGTGGGCAAACTGTTTTTAGGTAATTCTAACTATAAAATATAAAATTTCTAAAAATCAACAGACTTCCTTCAGAGTTTAAGTTGCTTATAAAATTAGTTTGTTGGCAGTTATCCACGTCAGTCCATTTCATAAGGTGTGAAAATATTTTCTTCTTCCTCTTTTTCTTGCCTAATGTTACTTGATTTTCATCTATCCTGTTGAATAGTTGTTTATTTTTGTGATTTTCTACTCACATTAACAAAACAGGATAGATAATGAAAATATCATCTGAAGTTCATTCATTAGTTGAGATCTTTTTCTTTTCATTTCTAGTGGTTTGTAAAATTGACCTAATTCTTTCATTTATCTGCTGTGTACAAACTAGACAAGTATTTTTTTCCACAAATTTATTTGCTTCATGTTTTTAGTACTTTCCACTGGAATTTTTTTTCCTATGTGTGAATAATATTAAATGAGGAAACATTCTTACTTGGTTTTCTTTGATTTTTCATATGGGAATAAAAAGCTATTTAGCCATAAGTAAATGAAATATTTTTTTAAAAAAATTTTTGGTTGCTTTTGTCTTTATATCAATATTGTTAATTATAAGTAGGAATATTTATCCTAAGTTACACAAAGAAGAATTAGAAAACAGTGCTTTCTGTTGCACATTCATTTGCTGGAATTGGATATCAATCTTTGTCCAATCAGGAGAGAGAAACTGCATGATAATTTGAATAGGGAAAGTTTAATGTAAAAGCCTATAAATATAACCAGGGATTGGAAGTTAGAGATTGATAAGAGGTGAAGAGACTCTCAAGAATGTAAGACTAGCAGATGTAATATTATATAATATGAACTTAAGAGCTACTACTACTAAGGCTGAGATAGAATGCCCAAAGAAGAGGCCCCCTGGGACTGTGATCCATATCATGTTGGAGAGGGCCTGGCTCAGGCTCACTGGAAAGCAGAGAAGTCACCTTGTTGATGGAACTTACCAGTAATCCACTTTACTAGGGAGGTGTCTTGCCAGGGGCAGTCTACCAAAAACGCACCCAAGGTGAGTGTTGAGGGAACCTGCTGGTTGCTGCTGGCTCTTGTACACTGTAGGAGCTGGTCACAGGAGAAGCTGCATTTGCTGCAGGACCTGCAGACTGGGGAAGCCCCCATGCCACAGGAGGACCCCAGAAAGCAAAAGCCGCTCCTCTTGCCCTTTCCTGTGTCTCACTAGTGCCCTCTCTTGGCAAAACTTCACATGGAGTGACTATCTAGGAAAAAGTATTTTAAGGGTCCAGATCCATTTTCATAAAACAAGCAAAAAGGTTGAAGTTGGAACAGAGGCAATCATTAACAGCCCACACAACCCGAAAAGTCTTTCATGGTGAAAAACCCTTTCCCTTTCCCATTGGCTATGATAGTTTGTGAGATCACGTGATTTCATTTCTACTGAAATGTCTGTAAGAGTTATATGGATTGTTAGACATACTGATTTATTAACTTTTGTTAACATTTATTAATATTTTTCATTGGAGGATATCTGTATTCTTGAGATGAATCTTTGAGAATTTCTGTGTCACTATAAACACCAGTTTTTGTTTACTTTTTTTAAAGGATTGCTTCATTTAATCATGTTTCTTAGCTATATCCATTAGAATATAAATTTAAATGCTATGCAAGTCATTTAAATTTGTGTAGCAAATTTAGCAAATTTGGAGCTGCCTATGAAGATTTTATTCTTAAACTATTTTTGAAATAGCTCTAGAACCTTTTTTTAATAAATCAATTTTTTAAATTTAAAAATTCTTTACATTATATAACTAGACTAAAATTTTCTAACATGTCACTTTAACATTTTTTTATTGACAGATAAAATTTATGTACTAAAAAAACTAAACTAAAAATAGGAATTTTTATAAAACCAAATGTGGATCACAGCATTAGTAACCATAGAATGTGATTTTAATTTCTTAGAGGATGATAAAGTTGTCAGGAAACAACACTTACAACTTGGAATCACTGACCAGCAATTACATAGTTGCGAGAACCAGCAGAAAGGGGGTGTAGGTGACCCTATGTTGTTCTTGTTGTACCCCATGCCACTCTCAGAGGAAAGAGGATGAATACTGGGTCAAACCAGGGATAATTACCTGCCCACCACAGGAGTCATTACAATGAGGAAGTAAATTGGCAGATTTGATACGGCCCCAGACCCAGTGTCTGATGTTGGCCTCTTGGCAATCAGATAAGTTATTTAGAATAACTGCTTCATGAGTTGCTTGAGTTGATGCATCCAAACTTGCCCAGTAAGCCTTTCTCAAGAGCTGGACTAAATTCTGGTAAATCTGGTCCTCCCATGCATCATGGCTAAGTGAGATTATTGACTTCCACCTGGCTTGGTTCAGCCATAGTGGTGAAGTGGTGTGGTATGCTGTCTTTTAATCAAACAGACATTTAGAGGAGGTCTTTTGGGTCATAGGTGGCATGGGGATGGATTGCACAAAGGTGACTGAGTAGTTAGTTGGCTCAGGTTATTATGGAGTGATCGTAGCTGTCCCTTGGAGAGTGTCTCTATTATGAGCAGTACAGAGTATACTCTATTGCGCTATATTCTTTCAAAATAATCTTAGTAATAGCAAAAGCATGTCACATGAGGTAAGTTTTGCTCATGAGTGAGTTTAGGAATGCTGTTTTTAAAGACCATATGACTATAAAAAATAATATAGAAGCAATTTCTAAAAGAGGAGTTCAAATATATTTTGAGAAGGAGCAAAAAATAAATAAGTATATATTTCCCAAATCGCCTGCCTTAATAGGTACAGCACCCATCTGCACGCATGAAATTATATATTAAATAAAAATGTAGTCTCATTACATTACAGCCATTAAAATAACTGTGGTGCAACAAAATCTAAACTTTCTTATGGCTCCCAGAACAGACTAAATAACATAAATGTTCTTCAGGCACAGGCTTGTGTGGAAGTTCGGGCATACACTGTGTGTGTGTGTGTGTGTGTGTGTGTGTGTGTGTGTGTGTCTGTGTGTGTCTGTGTGTATAACTAAATTGACTTAAAAGAAATCTTGAAATTTAAAAGGATTCCTGGTTGTAGAAGATTTATCACTTTGCAGAAGGGTACCATGTTATTTTTAAAAATTATTACTATTTTTTATTATGTCATATTGTAGCCCCAGTAGGAGTTATTTTTCCTTTAAAGGAATGTTTGGATTAGGCAAAAACATGGATTTTAATGCTGTATTTTAAACTGTGACTTAGATAATTCTCTTATAAGGGGGAATTAATTTTTCTGGATATTGATTGGTTGATAATTATTTTTAAACTATGTGTCTCTGAGGTACCTCAGAGCTACAGCTTAAAATTTGCAGCTTTATGGCATTTGTCTAGGATGTAACAGGAAGAAAATGAATGTGTTAAGGATCACATTTGGTGTATATCTCAAGTAAATTCTTGTCACCTTTTATGGCAAAATAGAGAATATTACTGTATATAGCAAAATAAATCAGTTAAAAATCTGGAGAAGAGGGACTTACCCTGAATTATCTTGGTGGGTCCTTACAGGAGAGTGGTAGAGGCACAGAAGATGATGAGGCTGTTGAACTGTGGAGGCATAGATTAGAGTGACGTGGTCACAAGCCAAGGAACACCTGAAGCCACCAACAGCTTGAAAAACAAGGAAAGCTTTCTCTCCTGCAACCATTGGAGGGACCCTGGCCCAGCTGGCACTTTGATTTCAGCCCAGTGAAAGTGATTTTGAGCTTCTGACCCCCAGAACTATGAGAGGAAAATTTTTGTTGTTTTTATGCTCCCCCAGTTTGTGGTAATTTGCTACTGCATCTCCAGGAAACTACTGCACTTTGTACTGAAACAAATGTAAAAATAGATTGTAAATATAAAATAAACCAACCATAAGAGAAAACACTTTACAAAGAGATTGAAACTTTTTTTTTAAAAGAATATTGTTTTCAGTGCGGGTGAGGAGGTAATGAGACATGAGCTGAGCTATCTGCTGTGAAAGTGAAAACTAAATTGCCAATATGGAACAAAATTATGCAGCCGTTGGAAATTATATTTAAACAATATTTAAGTTTAAAAAAAAGACTACCATTTAATACACAGACTTAAAAATTTACTTACATTGTGAACCAAATTTTAAGTATCTATTTCTAGGGAAAAAAGTGAAATAAAAAAATACAGTCTGTGAAGTTAATTTTCCTTTGTTTAAACCTTGCTTTTCCACTTAGCTGTGTGACCTGAGAAAATTTCTGAAGCTTTTGGGGCCTATGTTCTCATCTATAAGATGAGGAAAGTAAAACAACATGTGTATCTTACGAAGGACTAAATATATTAATATTTTCTAAGCACTCAGGGCAATGTCTAGCACTTTGTAAAGTTGCAGTATTTGTTTTTTGTTTATCATAACTATTGGAATAAAATGTAAAAATCTAGGAGAATTCTTTACTCCAATTACTTCGAAAATCTTTTCCTTCTTTCTATACCTAAAATATAGAAACTGGAGCTCCCCTTTGAAAATGGCAGCTTGAGAAGTTGCACAGACCTGCTCCACAGCAAAACAAACATAATTGGTAAAAACTATTTTCAAAAAAAAAATAATAAAATTACTGGAAATTGTCCTACAGACACTCAACAAATGAAGAAACATATATTTAAGAAAATCTAAAACTTGGTCAGAACAGCAAGTCCTGCACTTGAGCTATGACCCACTCTGCTATGGTTTGAATGTTTGTCCCCTGCAAAACTCACATGGAAATTTAGTTGCCATTGCAACAGTATTAAGAGGTGAGACCTTTATGAGGTGATCAGGTCTTAAGGGCTCTACAGATCCCAATGAGGGGAAACCATATTTCACTGGGAGAGCAAACTGCTAGCATTTATCATCCCCTCCAGCTTTAAGTTACAGAGGCTAAACTCCTGGTGAGTGTGCCAATGTGGTCAGAGGTTCTCTTCCTCCACCCAGCCCCTACGCATAGGGCAGAGTTTCTACCCCAGGTGTGGCAAGCCTAGAATACTGGGGCTCTAATTGCCCTCACCCCACCTTGCTTGTAAGGTGCAGGTCTGTGCAGCTTCTCAAGCTGCCATTACCTTGCTTGTAAGGGAGAGAAGTTCAACACTGAGAAAGGCAAGCCAAGAATACCAAAGACTGCTCCCCCTACCCAGCCCCCAGAGCAGTGGCTGAGAGATTTTGCCCACTGAGAGAAGCAGTCTGTAAGAACAGAGAACTCCAAAAACCCTCCCCAAAGGAATTGATTTTATTTGAAGCACAGTGTGGGGAACTTCAAGCCTAAGGATGCTTTCAGAAACGAGAGGCTTTGGTGGTAAGCAAATAAGAGCCCACTGCTAGCTTCTTTTAAGAGCAGTAGGCTAAACATAGGCCAACTAATTCACAAAAGAGAATCAGAGAAGGAGCTAAGAAGAGCGCTCCCTCTTGAGGGGTCAGATCAAACCTCAAAGACTGGCCAAAGAACCCCACCCCCTAGTTTATTTGGATGAGACTGTGAAACAATTTATACTCTAGAACATTGTTGAAAACAATAGAGCAATCAGCTGGGAATTGGTTGAGCTACAAAGCTGAGCGGGATACCAGATGAGGCAAAAGAGAGATAAGGGAAAGAGACAGAGTCCTGCTAACATGACACTGTCATTGCTGGTAACTGTGTGCATGCCCAGTGCTGACCCTCCGAGGAGTAGCACCAAAGGCTTCACGCTGCAGGAGAAATAGACTTCCCAAAATAGTCAAGTTACTCAACAAATAAAGCAACAAAGACAAGCCCAGAGAGGGAGGAGAGGTCTCAGTAAATTCAGTTGATTAAATACATTACCTAAAATGTCCAGGTTTGAGCAAAAATCTGACACATGCAAAGAAACAGGAAAGTGTGCCCCATACACAAGAAAAACAGTAAACAACAAATTATGAAAGGACCCAGATGTGAAATTTAACAGAAAAAACTTAAAGGTCAGAGGAAACCATCCTTGTAGAAGTAAAGGAAGATATGATACACTGCCTCATCAAATTGAGAATATTGGTAAATAGATAGAAATTATAAAAAAATTATAAAAAAGAATCAAATTGAAATTCTAGAGTAAAAAGTATAATAACAAAAAAAATTTACTAAAGGGGCTCCACAGTTGATTTCTTTCTTTCTTTTTTTTTTGAGACAGAGTTTTATGCTCTTGTTGCCCAGGTTGGAGTGCAATGGCGCGATCTCGGCTCACTGCAACTTCCGCCTCCCGGGTTCAAGCAGTTCTCCTGCCTCAGCCTCCCGAGTAGCTGGGATTACAGGCATGTGCCTTCACAGCCTGTAATTTTGAATTTTGTATTTTTAGTAGAGACGGGGTTTTTCCATGTTGGTCAGGCTGGTCTCAAACTCGCGACCTCAGGTGATCACCCACCTCGGCCTCCCAAAGTGCTGGGATTACAGGTGTGAGCCACCATGCCTGGCCAGTAGATTTCAACTGGTAGAAGAAATAACTAATGAGCCTGAAGATAGATAGGTAAAGATTATGCAATTCAAAAGACAGAAAAAGGAATGAAGAAAAATGAACACAGCCTCAGAGAAAAATATGGACATCATTAAGGGCACTGACCTATGTAATGGGAGTACTACAAGGAGAGAGGGAAGAAAAAGGAATAAAAAAATTAAAAGAAGTAGCTGAAAACTTCTGAGATTTGATAGAAAACATTATACACTCAAAAAGCTCAACAATTTCCAAGTAAGATAAACACAAAGAGACACATCATAGTAAAAATGCTGAAAGATAAAGAGAAAATCTTAAAAAGCAGCAATAGAAAAGTGTTATTGCTTAAAAGGAAACATTAAGATTAATAGCTGACTTCTCATCGGAAACAATGAAAATCAGAAGTCAGTGAGTGGGATCACTTTCAAAAAGCTGAAAAAGAATTTTTAACTAACAATTTTATGCAAAATGAACACATTTCCAGATCAACTGAACTTGAGAGAATTTGTTGTTAACAGATCCATCTTAACAAGAAATACTAAAGGAAGTTATTTGGGATAAAAGCAAGTAACTCCAGACGGTAATTTGAATCCGCATTAAAAACAAAAAAAACAAAAAACAAAAAAAAACAGGAAAGGTAATTAGTTAATTACAAAAGATAGTATAGATGTGTGTTTGTTCTTTTTTTATTCTAGTAACTGATTTTAAAAGAAATTATAAAAAAAGTATAGATTTGATTGTTGAGTTTTCAAAAGATGGAGATGTAATATATTTCATAACACCAACACAAAGGAGATGATAGGTGATGCAAAGATGTATTGGAATAAGGAAATTATACCACATGATAAATCCACAGGAAGAAATGAAGAGAACGAGGAATGGTAAATAAGATTAACATAGCAAATTCTGTCTATATGCTTGCCATTCTTACTTACCTCAGCTCATTTATTTGATAGTCAAATAATTCTACAAAGTAATAAGTGTAATGGCTTATTTTGGGGTTTGTAAGGTACATAGATATTGTCTTACATAGTATGTATCACAATAAAGACACAAAAACTGGGAAGAGGAAATACTTGTACTGGAATAACAATTCATTATTTTCTTTTTTTAAATTTTGAATTGAGATGAGGTCTTGCTCTGTTGCCCAGGCTGGTCTTGAACTCCTGGCCTCAAGCAATCTTCCCACCCCAGCCTCCCCAAATGCTAGGATTACAGATATGAGCCACCACGCCCAGCCTGGAGTAACATTTCTGTATCTCATTGGAATAAAGATCTCCTCACAAAGAAAAGTCTCCGTCCAAATGGCTTCACTGGTAAATTCTGCCAAACATTTTAGCAAGAGTTAATACCAATTCTTCATGAACTCTTCCAAAAGTAGGATAGAACATGTCTCAGCTCATTCTGCGAGGCCAGAATTACCCTGATACCAAGACCAGACAAAACTTTACAAGAAAACTACACAGCAATTTTTAAATAAATACAGATGCAAAAATTCTCAAAAAACACTTGCAAACTAAATTTAGCAGTGTATAAAAATGACTGTACACTGTAACCAAGTGAGATTTTTCCTAGGAATGCAAGGGTTGGTTAGACATATAAAAGGTCAATTTAGGCCGGGCGCTGTGGCTCACGCCCGTAATACCAGCACTTTGGGAGGCTGAGGCAGGTGGATCACTAGTTCGGGAGATCAAGACCATCCTGGCTAACATGGTGAAACCTTGTCTCTACTAAAAAATACAAAAAATTAGCCGGGCGTGGTGGCGGGCGCCTGTAGCCCCAGCTACTTGGGAGGCTGAGGCAGGAGAACAGCATGAATCTGGGAGGCGGAGCTTGCAGTGAGCCAAGATTGTGCCACTGCACTCCAAAGCCTGGGCAACAGAGCGAGACTCCGTCTCAAAAAAAAAAGTCAATTTAATACACTACATCAATAGAATAAAGAACAAAAACTACATGATTATTTCAATAAAAAAAGCATTTGACAAAATTCAACACCTCTTTATGATAAAAAACATTCAACAAACTAGGAATAGAAGGGAACTTTGTCAACCTGATGAATGGCATATAAACACACGCACACACGCAGCCAAAAGACTGAATGCTTTCTCCTGAAGATCAGAAAGAAGGATTTCCACCCTTGCCATTTCTATTCAACATTGTGATGGAGGTTTTAGGCGAGACACTTAGGCAAGAACATGAGATAAGAGGCATTCAGGGCCAGGCGTGGTGGCTCACGCCTGTAATCCCAGCACTTTGGGAAGCCGAGGCGGGCAGATCACGAGGTCAGGAGATCGAGACCATCCTGGCTAACACAGTGAAACCCCGTCTCTACTAAAAATACAAAAAATTAGCCAGGCGTGTTGGCGGGCGCCTGTATTCCCAGGTACTCGGGACGGCAGGCTGAGGCAGGAGAATGGCGTGAACCCGGGAGATGGAGCTGGCAGTGAGCCGAGATCGCACCGCTGCACTCTAGCCCTGGGCGACAGAGTGAGACTCTGTCTCAAAAAAAAAAAAAAAAAAGCATTCAGATTGGAAAGGAAAAAGAACTAACTCTGTTTGCAGAGAATACTACCTTGCATATGGAAAAATCTTAAGGAATTCATTAAAAACCTATTAGAACTATTCAACAAGATTGCTGGATACAAGATCAGTATGCAAAATTTAATTGCATTTCTATATACTATCAGTAAACAATTGAAAAATGAAATTCAGAAAATATTTCTATTTATAATATCAAAAAGAATAAAATGCTTAGGAATAAATTTCACAAAAAATTGCAAAAGTTATACACTGAAAACTATAATACATTGTTGAAAGAAATTAAAGACCAAAATAAAAAAAAAGACATCTCATGTTCATGGATCTGTTGGATATCCAAGTGCAAAAGAGTGAAGTTAGCCCCCTATATACACGTATATAAAAATTAAGTAGATCAAAGACTTAAATGTAAGAAGAAAAACTATAAAACTCATAGACGTAAACTTAGGCATAAATCCTCTTGATCCTGAATTAAATAGTAGTTGCTTAGAAATGACATCAAATGTGCAAGCAACAAAAGAAAAGATAGGTAAACAGGACATCATCAGAATTAAAGATTTGTGTTCACATGACACCATCAAAAGTGAAAAGACAACTTTAATGGGAAAATATTTGCAAATAATTTGATAAGGAGCTTGTTTTTAGAGTATATAAGAACTTCATCGTAAAAAAGACAAATAGTCCCATTAGAAAATTGACAAAGTATCTCAGTAGACAAATATCTATGTACAAATGGCCAATCAGCAAATGAAAAGATGTTTGACGTTATTAGCCTTCAGAGAAATGAAAATGAAAATAAGATATGATTTCATACTAAGTTGGCTGTAATATTAGTTAGTTTATTTTTTATTTTTTGAGATGGAGTCTCGCTTTGTTGCTCAGGTTGGAGTGCAGTGGCGTGATCTCAGCTCACTGCAACCTCCACCTCCCGGGTTCAAGTGACTTTCCTGCCTCAGCCTCCCAAGTAGCTAGGATTACAGGCACACACCACCATGCCCGGCTAATTTTTATATTTTTAGTTGGGACAGGGTTTCACCATGTTGCCCAGGCTGGTCTTGAACTCTTGACCTCAAGTGATCCGCCCACCTCGGCCCCCCAAAGTGCTGGGATTATAGGCGTAATATTAATTTTAAAAGGCAGCTAATAAGGAGTGTGAGTGAGATTGTGAAGAATAAGAACTCTCATACACTGTTGGTGGGAATGTAAAATATTACAGCTACCTTGAAAAACAGTCTGGCAGTTCTTGAAAATGTTACACATAGAGTTATCATATGACCCAGCAATTCTGCTCCTAATTACATACCCAAGTGAAGTTAAAATATATGTCCATGCAAAAAGTTGTACATGAATGTTCATAGCAGCATTATTCATAATAGCCAAAAATAGAAACAACCCAAATGATCTGAATTAATAGATGTGATATAACAATACAATGAAATATTATTTGGCAATAAAAAAATGAAATACAGATATTTACTACAATATGGATGATTCTTGACCACATGTATGATTTTATTTATATGAAATATCCAGAGTAGGCAAATCCATAGAGACTGAAAGGAAGTAAATGATCGCCTATGGCTGGGGATTTGATGGGAAATGGGCAGTGAATGCTAATAGGTATGTGGGTTATTTTTTGGGTAATGAGAATGTCCCAAAAGTAACTGGTGATAGTTCCATAATTTTGTGAATATATTTAAACTATCAAGCTGTATGCCTTAAAGTGAATTGTATGGCATGTTAATGATATCTCAGTAAAGCTGTTGTTTAAACAAACAAACAGAAGCTGGATAGCACCGATAATTCACCATGGGTATGATTTAGGCAAGAAAGACACTGAAGGGTCAGCAGGCCCTCACTTAAGAGTTGGCCTGACTATAAAAATATTGGCAGATGAATGGGTATTTATCTGGTTAAAGTTAAGTGTACAAAATGCTTTCATGTTTTCATGATTCACTGCTTTAACCTGCTTTTATGATTAACCAGCCAGTTACCAGTCTCAACTGTGCTAAGAGACTTCTGCTGTGTGGTTGTGGCCTTGGAGCTGAGAATTTCCTGGAGATTAGATTGGAAAGTTACTAATCATTAAGCCATTGATAAGATTAAACATTTATTAAGCACCTATTATGTGTTAGGCACATCAACATGTAGTTTCAGTTGTTGAAGCCATGAGTGTTACTTTGGTCACCTAGGGAGAGAGGGGATAGAATGAGAAGCATAGAGGACTGAGCCAGAAATTCAATAATGTTAGCCTGAAAAAGAACAGCCCAGAAGATGACAGAGGGGAATGACCAGATGGGTGGGAGAAGCCATGGAAAACGGGATGTAGAAGTCAGGACAAAGGAGTGGCTGTGAGGAACGTCAGCTGTGCAGATGCTCTGGGGACATCAAAGATGGTGCAAGGAAATAGGAAACAGTATGAAGAAAGCCCATGCAGCATCGGGGTCTTGGTGAACCTGTTGGAACTATGTCATTGGTAAAGCAGGGGACAGATTATAGTTGATTTGGGAATAATGTGGATGAATTATAATTAAAAGAATTTGAGACTGTATAAATTTAATTTGTGTGTTTTAAAAGTGTTTCACTCAGAACTTCATTTTCTTTCCCTGTACTCTTTGGAAGTATAGGTGATTTTATTTTCTAAAAGCCTTTTTCATTTTCTGAATATCTTTTAATGAGCGTACTTTTCCTATGTAGTTAGAGAAAAAAGTTGTTAGGTATCAAAAGATATGATGATGTGTGATAACCTTATTTGCCAGTGTGTTGGAATGTGAGACAATGAATTCTAACCAAGTATTTCACAAAGAAATTGCTAAGGACTTCTACTAGGCTGCTAAGTACCTTTTCTTTGGGATTTCCTTTGGTGCTACATGGAATAAATACTGTGCTTTGGAAGGTTGTAATTTCTTGGTAATCATAAATGTCTACATGTTCCTTGGCCACGTACATGAAATTATTAAAAACCACTCTAACCTTTGAATTTTACTTCTTGCAGCTACGGTAAGTGACAATAAATAGAATTGGGCCCTCTTAACTAACAGAATTGAAACAAAAGAGGTTGAAACTTTTGGTTGTCAGCTCCTTCTTGTATTATATGTAAGGAGGGGTGAATGAGGAAGAGTGTACTGGGTATATTTTGTATAAGGTGCTATGATGAATTAAAGGTCTCTTTATTATATGTAAGGAGGGATGAATGAGGAAGAGTATTTGCTGAGTATATTTTGTACAAGGCACTAGGATAGATTAAAGATCTCTTTCTCTCCAATTCTATTGTAAAAGTATATGTTGAATTCTGGAGGAACCCTGGCTAATTTGCTTTTTTAAAAAAAGCCAAATTTGGTGCACGATACTTAGGTTTGACATGCAAAACTAATTGAAAAAAGCCGTATAAAATTTTACTGCAGTGTTAGTTGAAGAATGTCCAGGAGTGGTTGTGTTTATGATAACAGTAAGAATTCTGGAAACCTCTTCCAGTTTTCTCCATTATCCCTCATTAGCATGGTGCTATTCCACAAGTCTCTCTTCTACCAGGGAACTGCATCCTGTCCCTCGCCCCTCAGTGATTTTTCTCATGTCTATCATGTAGATCACTTTAGCCTCTCAGGCTGTTTGCAGCTCTCCTCTTCTCCATTACCAGCATGTCTGCATTAGGGAGAGGTGTGGGGCAGGTCTAGCCTCACATATGTTTTAGCTGGGGAAAGAAGAACATTGACAACCCATGTTATTTTTTATTGTATTCCTTTAACAAATACACAGTAAGTGACAGTGCTTCAGAAGCCCTGCTTTTTAATCTGTCTGGGGAAGGGTGACCTCTGGTGGCTAAAACCATAAGCCCCAATTTCAAGAAACAAAAAGATTTCTTTTTACTGTTGTTTACATTATATTCATATGTTTATGTTTTGTCACTTTTTATAATGTACTATATATTCATTAGAAGTAAATCAGTGTCTTCTGCCACCGTGTTTAAATGCGGCATCTTCTGTTAATCATCAGCTGTGCTCTGTACTCATGATTGGCCTTAATTTGAGATCCAAAATATTTCCTTAACAGATTATTTTTTGTTCTGAGGAACAAGATCATTTCCTTGGCACTCTTTTGTTATTAAAACTTAAAACTTCTCTGTTGGTTTAAATGTTGACCATTATTATTATAACAGAAAAACAGTTTTACCCACTGGTTAAAGGAAAAAAAAATCAATCTCAAACTATGACGTCCGAGTTATACTCCTGGCTACTATTTATCTTTGAATCAGCCATCTAACCAACATTTAATTGGCTTGCTTCCTCAGAGATATTTATTCTTAACTTGTTTAGTCTGCCAGTAAATGACCACCAAATCGTCAGTTTTGTTTTTATTACAGTCTTTGCTGGTTTGCTTATTTGTGCATCACTTTATTTAAAAAGAGTTTAGGGCAACTAATTTATTTTTTGTAAAAATAAATTTTGAAATAAAATGTGGCAAAAAGATAAAGTATCTTTCTCTTGGGATTTTGATTATGATACCGTATGTCTAAATTGTCTCAAAGTTGATTTCAGTTCATTTGTTTTCTAGTATATAATTGATAAACATTATAGTGACTTGTATTAATTACACTTAGTGATAAAATAATTCTTAGTAGGTTTTTTTCCCCCCATGATCCAAATAATGTTTTATTCAGGAGAAAATAAAAACTCATTTTATTCAAAAGCCTTGGTTTTTAAGTATTTTCTGTGACAGTGTAAATCTTCCTTCTTTCTCATGGTTTATAAGCCCAGGTAGAGGGGCTACAAGAAGCAGAAACAAATTCATTCCATGTAATTGTGCTTGTTTTCAATGAAAGTTCTGCAGGGCTCTGTAGGATGACTTTTTAAAACCACTTGTCCGGATAAGATGGATTCTATTCCTTTTATTCCGGTATTGGGTTTTTGTCTATCACACATGGAAATGTTTTTACAGCCTGTGATGCTCTGCAGTGCTGTTACTAATGCCATAGTAAAAATGCTGAGATGTTGCAGTGCAACAGAAATTCCCACTTAGAAATACATGTTAGTCAAGTGAATAATATTTAACTTCTTTCTTTTCAAACCAAATAGACATCCCCGAAGTTATCTTTTTTTTTTTTCCTAAACTTAGATTTTAGTAGATAAGCAGCCCAGATTAACTTCTGGAACAAAGTTAGGACTTAAAAAGTATTTCCTCACCCATACTGTACCAGACAAGTGCCTGGTTTTGGGGCTAGGTAAATAAATATTTTAGGCTTTGCAGGCAATATGGTCCCTGTTGTTACTACTCAACTTCATTGTAGCACATGAGCAGCCATAGACAGTACGTAAATGAATGAACCCGACTGTTTTCAATTCAACTTTATTTACAAACCAGGTAGCGGGCCATAACTTGCAGACCCCTTCAAGATGGTCAGGAACAGTGAGTTGAAGCAGTAGGAAATATGATATTTCTTCTTAAATATGTCTGCAGCTTTTACTGCTGCAGCTTTCAGTATAAATGAAGACTCTTTACAGTTACGTAATGCCTGAGACAACAATCAAATAAGCTTTATTTTACAACTAGTAACTTGGTGCCAAATTTAACTTGTAGACTCCCCCTGCCCCATTTTTTTTTGAGGTATTATGAGGGTTTGTGATACTCTGCCAGTACATTGGGTTAGATTTCTGGATTACTTTGATTTTGCCAATTGTCAAACCTTTAAAATTCCAACACCCCAAGATGCTAGATTGTTTCAGTATTTTTTTTTCTAAACACTGCCATTTAACTTGGATTCTCAAAGTATATTTTGGCTCATCGTTACACGTGAGACCCATCCATCCTCATCATGATGGTGTGAAATCAGTGTAGAGTTCTTGAACTCAATCAGCAGCCCTTTGTTAAGCTTCTGCCACAGGCCCAGTAGAGTTACTAACAGGATTTGAGCCCAACTGAGGGCAGGGTCAGATTTGGTGGCAGTGTGCCAGGTGGATCACAGAGAGGTGTAAGCAACTATAAAATTATAAGGACCTGAGATGATAAAGGTTTGGAACTATTGCTGTTGGCAGTAAGAATGGTAAGTAGTTGGTGGTCTGAGAGACTTAAAATAGAGGACTAGAAAATGCTTGCCTGCTTCTAAAGGCACTTGTTAGGTAGGGTCTGCGGGATCAGAGTGGGAATGGGAGAACTTGAGAAAAAGAGGGTTAATAGAGATTTCAATAGCAGCCACACATGTAAAACTACAGATATTTCCATCATTTTTGAAAATATTTCTTATTCAGAGTAATCTAAAAAATCTGAGGAGATGCTTCAATGGCTTAATCTGACCTATATGTTTTGCTTATAAATATGTTTCAAAATATCCTGTTTCTCATCATCATGTTAGTTACTTTGATGAAATACATGTTTTGGTTTACATTTATGTGCATGATGTCAGCAGCTTACAGTACATGAAGGAAACTTCCCATATCCCAGAAGTAGTGACTTAGGAGAACTATGGTCTTGAGATGCTTGGAAATTTTGTATCTGGAAAATTTACCAATCAGGGAATTTTCCATTGAGCTTGCTTTTTTGAAAAGGTCCTTCAGTTTGTAGCAGTTTGTTAGCCCAGTTTATCCTTTCTTGTGATGAGCTAGTCATTTTGCATTTTCACATATAAAACTTTGAAATGTCTTTTAAAAAGTTTATGGGAATATTGTGTATGTTATTGCTTCATTTTCCCCGAAAGGAAGTGGGAGAAATTTGAGTCATTAATATACATTAAAATTCTGTGTATGTTTTTCGTACTCATAGCAGGTTGTTCCAAATCATCTAGGTAACAAACTTTGGAATGTTGATAGAAAACAAACTTCTAGCACTGTTTGTATGGAGAAGTATTTCCCAAAGTCAAGTTCTAGGACTCTTGGGACTGTTTCATGGCTGAGTCAAAGGTTCCCTTGTGACATGTGAATTTTTAGGAAGGAGAACAATGACAAATTTTTTTGAAATTGCTACATTAGCATGCAACAAAAAATTCTGAGGGAAATGTTTCCTGGCAGTTTTTTTATTATATTTACCTGCAATTTATAGCTTAAGGGAGTTTTAACCCATGAAACCTCCAAATCTATTAAAAGTGAAAAGAGCTAGATAGATTTCATTAGCATGCGTAATGCCCAGTTTCCATACCCATCTATAATCATTTAAAGCAGGAATCATAATGGGAATATGAGCTGAGAAATTCTGTTGATGTTTGAAATGTCTGGAGTGTCAACATAATTAAACAGCGTATGTACACAATTGGCCCTGCTCCAAAACCAGTGATTATGTGTCTAACATCAATCCCCATGTGTCTACAAAGCTGTTAGAGTAAACATCTGGAATCTTTTACTACCAAAGCTAAAATATTACATAATCAGTTAAAAGAAAGAGCTTCCTACCCACAGAGGTCCTGCAGAGAGCAATGTATGCTGTGATCTTGTTTTCAAGCAGGCCTGTCTTCTTTAGAGTAGCAACTAAATATATTAGATACTTCAACTATCCTTGAAATGTGACTTTTCCCCTGAGGTAAATACTAAGGATGGTTTAAATGTTGCTAAATGGTTCAGCTGAATCATAAATACTCTGTAATGAGACCAGAGGGGATCAAGTTGATCAGTGGGAGACCACATTCTTACCAAAACTGAGGCTCAGCTCTCAGGCCATTTCAAGGTATGCTGGAGTTCCTTTGAGCAAAAGAATTTGGTATTTTCTCATGTATGTATTGAAGCACTAAGTAAAAATTGTGATCTTTCAGGTCATAACAGAAAACCCACAAATTGTTTTATAGCATGTTTTTGATTTCACAATATAAAATGACAAGAATAATGAGATCTTCCACATCTTTTTATATTTTTCCACTATATTTGTGTTAAAGCTTAGGTATTATTTTCATTCTTTCATGCTAAAAGCACATTAGCATTTTCTAGAATGTAAGTGGTTTTGCTAGAAAAATGATATTAATATGATTATCCAGATTGTTATTTTGGAGGGAAAAAGGAAATAAGTTCTGCAAACACTGTTGGGTTTCTTTTTTTTAATGATAGAGGCATAAGATGAATAGTATCCATCTTCATAGAAAGAAAGAAACGTAGAGCCAAGTATTGAAATTTTTTAATGGCATATTTCTTTGTGGAGGTGAAAACTGTTTCTTTGCATTTAATATGCACATCTGCCTTGTCCCTGTCAAGTTTGCCACCTTCCAGATAAAGGTTGAATGCCAGGACTCTCAAATCAGCCTCCACTCAGATCTCAGCTCCCATCTCCTACCAGTTGTATTGTCTCCAACTAGTTCACCTTTCTGAGCCTCCAGGGCCTCATTTGTAAAATGGGGATGAGAATAAAAACATGACCTCAGTGGATTATTCTGAGTCGTTGTATGTGCCTAGCAAAGAGGAAGCACTTGGATCTGCTGGTGCCTTCTCCCCACCACCATCATGTCGACCAGACCCCAGCAAGCTAGCAGGGAGGTGGTGGTGGAGTGGGGAGAAAGATGTTCCAAGCAGAGGAAGCAATACATGGCAGGGCAGGGAGATGTGGCTGCCTCACAAAGGTGGGGAGTAGTTGAAGAACGGGCTGGAGTGAGGTGGGCAAATGGTAAGCACGTGGCACACTGTTCAACTAAGATAATCACAGCATTAGCTGGGATTTGGGGGTGAAGGAGTAGGAGTGAGGGGAGATGTGTCAATGTCCCTAAGTCCACAGGGGCAGGACAAAATAGCCCTATGGTCTGTCTAGGACAGAGGTGTTCAATCTTTTGGCTTCCCTGGGCCACATTGGAAGAAGAATTGACTTGGGCAACACATAAAATACACTAACAATAGCAGATGAAGTAAAAAAAAAAAAAAAATCTCATGATGTTTTAAGAAAGATTATGCATTTATGTTGGGCCGCATTTAAAGCCATCTGGGCCGCATGCAGCCCGCAGGCCACATGTTGGACAAGCTTGATCTAGGATTTCTATCATTCCTACCACTTCCAAAATTAAACTCATTCTTTTCAGTGGGAATGACTAAGCAAATAATCTTAGGGGGGAGAAAAAGATCATTATTCTTTCTGACAGGCTAAGTAACTCCTATTCCTTTTCCTCCAGCATTTATTTCCCATATTTCGAAATTAAGGAACCTCCTACTTTTTACATCCTAGCTAGAATGCATGAGGGGAAATCAAACAAGGGTGGGATAAGATCCAAACACAGCAAAATTATTTATTACATCTTTTCCATGTAATGTGCCTATTAAAATTCATGATATTTAAGCTACATTAAAAAAAAACATCTAACTAAAAAACACCATACAGCAGATTCACCAAGTGTAGATGCATTCTCATTGGTTTGTTGTAGACTGCTTTTACCTTTCTAGGTACTGTTTGTCATAGCATTTGGTTTTTAATTTCTGTGTGAATTAGTCACTATGAACTATCCTATTTTTGGTATTATGGTGATTACTCTGGTGTTGCCCTATAAACTTTAATAGACGTTTTTCCAGTTGTCCAATACTACTGGTAAAAATTATTAATCCCTAGAAGTAAGGTTAGTTAATGAACTTCTCTTCTAGGCTGTACTAAGGCACTGACCCCTACTCTGTGGAAATGGCTTTCCAACCAGTTTTACTCTTGTATGATAAGTTGTAGGGTTTAGTGATAGCTAGTCCCTGTCTTCAAAGTTGGCTGAGAAGAATGCTACTTCGGCTAGAAACAGAAGAACTTCTTCACACAGTTAATATTTCTTTAAACAAAATGAAAGTGTTTATTGTAAGAGAAAAAATTTTAAGCCCAGAAAATACTGAAAAGATGAAATTATATAATCATATAATATAATTATATGAAATTATATAATTATATAAGTATATGAAATTATATAATTATATAATATAAGTATATGAAATTATATAATTATATTATATAATTATATAATTATATGAAATTATATAATTATATAATATAATTATATGAAATTATATATAAAAATTATATATAGTGTATATATTTTATATTATATATTGTATATATAATTTTATATTGTATACATAATTATATATATAATTTTATATAATTATATAATTTCACCTTTTCAGTATTTTCTGGGCTTAAAATTTTTTCTCTTACAATAAACACTTGTTTTTTTTTAAAGAAATGTTAACTGTGTGAAGTTCTTCCATTTCTAGCCCAAGTAGCATATAATACATATATCACTATATATCTGATATATATGATATACATCACTAGATATACAATATATGAAATTATATATAATATAATTTCATATAATTATGTATTATATAAAATATAATAAAATTATATATTATATATTATATATAATTATAATCATATATGATTTCATATATATGATATATATCATATATTTCATATATTTTTATATATTATATATTTATAATTTATATATATATAAAGCCATCCATGATTTCACTCCTCTGAGCATAAGGGCCCAAACTCAGTCTAAAGGGCAGATACCATGACAGCTTCTTCATTTTAGCTTTTTTCTTCAGCTCAAATCCATTCAAGAACAACCTAGTTTACTCCCAGTGATCACTCATTCATCTCTTTAATATTAATCTACATCTGGGCCTCTCTTGCTTAAATCCATGTTCCTCGCTAACTTCTGGATAAGATCAGCAATGGCAGAGACGCTCTGAATATTTTTTGTGAATCATATCTTTATAATTGGAGGGCACATCGGGGGAAACCAATGGCTTCTGTTTCTGTTTCGTTTTGTTTTGTTTCATCCATCCCTTCAAGAAAAAGAGAAGGCTTCTGTTTCTTGAACTGAAAAATTCTTACCAAGGAATAAATAGAAAAGCATTTAACAAAAATTTAAGCTATTCTTAAAATTTTGATACTTATTTCAATATTTATTATTTTTTAGAAAGTTATTTTTATATATGGGCCATTTGGAACAGTTTCATTTTTTAAATTTTAATGTAAGATGTCCTAATTTTTATTTTAAAAGAGCCAAGATGACTTTGAGACTAATATTTAATATTTAATATAGCCCAGAAGACTGGTAACTTGAATTTTTTAAAAAGTGTATGTCTGGTCGAGCGCAGTGGCTCACGCCTATAATCCCAACACTTTGGGAGGCTAAAGCAGGTGGATCACCTGAGGTCAGGAGTTCAAGACTAGCCTGGCCAACATGGTGAAACCCTGTCTCTACTAAAAAAATAAAAAATAAAAAAATAAAAAATTAGCCAGGCTTGGTGGCACACGCCCAGCTATTAGGGAAGCTGAGGCAGGAGAATCACTTGAACCCAGGAGGCAGAGGTTGAAGTGAGCCGAGATAACACCACTGCACTCCAGCCTGGGCGACAGAGCAAGACTCCATCACAAAAAAATAAAAAAAAAACAAAAAACTGTATGTGTATTACCCTAGGATAAAGTAGTATCTAAGTGATAGGAAGTTGGTGTTTTCCTTTTATATCTCAGAGTTTATCTAATTTTACTATTAACAGTATTGGTTGGTTGCCTAATAATTTGTTTGAAATCCCCTTCTTTTATTGTGTGAAAAAGTCTACCCAGGGACTATAAAAGCCGTAAAGATTAAATTCGGATAATTGCTTGACAGTGCTGTACCCAGGGCGGGGCAGTAGGAAGAGGCAGGGTGGGAAACAGTGTCTGTACAGAATTTGAAAACAATAAAATTAAGAGTCCTGAAAGCTGACCTTCCTTATCACCATGGTCCAGATATTTTAAGCAATATCAGTGATAAGATACTCTTTTGTCACCTCCGTGGATCTTTGTCACTGCCAAACACCACCCTCACTCCCTTTGGTACACTCTTTAAAAAGTAAACGCTATACAAATAAGTTTAAATTTTCTTACAAGGTATTTCATATAGTTTTTGTATTTTGTATACTTTTTAGGGCATATTTAGAAAGGGGGTAGAGTTTATAATTATTTTACTACCAAGATCCCATTTTATTATACTTTTACCAAAATCTTCATTCCATTTTTAAACATTTTATTACCAAATTGTGTTTAGTTAATAATATTTTTGTTTTTATTATTTGATGTTTATAACTAGCAATGAGATTGGCATAGAAACAACAAGCTTAGCACAGTGAATTCAGGTAGTTATTTTCACAAGCAAATATATTTCATTGCATGGATAGCCTTTATGTGGCTGGTGGGCCTTCATGACACTTTTGTTAGGAGGTGGGTGCTAAAGAGATACTTGTATGAGATGCAGGGGGAAGCTTCAGAGGAGTGGCTGTGTCCTGAAACCAAGAGCTTCCCCTAAAGGGTCACCACAGCAAGCTTGTTTTCTCAGTCAGAGACTAAAGGAAAATTGTGCCCTAGCCAGCTAGCCTGAGTGTGAAACAATTTAAAGGTGGAGAGAGGGAGAAAAGCAGGTATGTATTAACCAAGGCCAGCTCAATTCTGGGACTGGGCTGAGTGCCTGTGCTGTGTGTATTTGCACGGCATCCCCTCCTCTTTGGTGTGTTGTCTTTCTACCCTGTACACACCCCCATCACAGTCATATTGAGTTGGGATTATAAACTTCTGGAGTCAACACACAGGTTGCACGTGTTGTGTATGCTTTGGATGAACTAATGGCACTGTGATAAAATAGTTTGCTCTCAGACCCTACTGTTTTGTACTTTTATTCTTAGAGTGAAGCTTTGTTTCATGATCACGGTCTCAGAGAACCTCAGTCCCTTTGGAAATAGAACTGACTAGATGAAATACAATGAAGACCACAAAAATAAGCTAAAAACTGTAGTTTTGACTGTTTCCTTGAAAGTATTTTGCATTTTCATTTATGAGCACCGTAGATCCTGCAAATGTACTTGTGTGTTTTTATACTTTGTGTTTAGAACCTCAGCTTCTGAGGCATACTGGAAAGGCCAAAACTACAAAACTAGATATTTGGCTTTTAAATGTATCTTCAGCATACATATTCGTCACTGTTACCCAGGGCACATTTGAAAAACTCCAAAAACCTTGTATAACCTACTCTTTAATTCCCAAGATTAATTTGGGAAAATAAATGCTTTGTTTTTTAAAATGTTCTTATTAAAACACACACACACACACACACACACACACACACACACACACACACACACTTTTAAAAGGGAACATATTTAATTTGCTTGGTTTCCAACAGATATAAGTAGTGCTCAGTGAAGCCCTAGCTCCCAGTGCACAAAACTAGGACATTGTTTTTGTTGGTTTTATTTAATTTGACTTTAGTGTCCTCACAATGAATTTTATTGCCCTGATAAATTACTCCTTTGTTTTCAAAGACAAATCCTTCCTATCATTCAGGTCTGTGTCAGTCTTTTCTACTTAGAGCTTTGTGGTACATGCACAGATATTTATTCTTTCTACATAAGTGTAGGACTTTTTCCCTTATTTTTCTAGAAAATGTTTATATTTCTAAAGTTTGCTTTTGAATTCTTTTTTTAAAAAGCTATTTTAATTGTTTCACAGTGTGAAGCATTAGAATCACAGAACTGTAAGGAACATCATGGATGTTCCTTGTGATTGGGAAAGGAATGATCCACGGCAGTGAGTTTCATTGGGGATCCTACTCCTATGAAATTTGGCATACTGCTCAGGTCAGGTTCAGAAGGTGAATTCTTAAGGTAACTTTCACAGCATTGCCAGAAGAATTAGCTTTTGCTAAGTAGATACGACAGTCTTCATTCTGTTTTTTTCTTAGGCAGGTGGAACGTGATCTCTCTGTCTGCTGCTCATAGTTCCCTTGTGAGACTGGGGGGGATAATAGCAGGTCCAGGTGGGCAGAGTTCTGATTTCAGTGGTAGACTCCTATTGAGGCTGGGTGTTAGAGGGTGGAGGGCTTGGGACTTGAGTTCTTTATTCAGTTCTTGTAACTTAACTCTTGAGTAGATCAGTTAATCTTAGCTGTTTGCTGTTTTGGTGGGGGCGGGGGTCGGTGTTGCAAAATGATAGTGTTAAATGCCTTGCCTAACTTTGTAAGTTATCTAAGACTTATCAACACTATTTGAATTTTTCAGAGAAAAAAAACCCAGAAGGTGTTATCTCAGAGTTGTAATTAACCTGTTGCCTATTGCATAAACTTCGTGGTACATTAACAGTACCAGTAGTTGGTGATTCCCATGTCGTCTTCCATTGATTTTTCTAATAATATGAATTTTCATTCAATGTTTTTGCCATGTTTCTTCTGAAAGAATCACCCTGTGACCTGGGAGTTGAGGCGAAAACTTTTGCTTTTACTTGTTATTTACTTTTTGAGTGGATCTGTTTAAATAAAAGGTATAACTAATGGCTTAATGTAAAGAAATTAATTGATTTGCCTGGATTTAATGAATAAATAACTTTAGACAGAGAAATAATGTTTGTCTTTTTTGTCTTTTCTACATAATCATGTATGTTACTGAATGTCTGACCCTGGTAATACTGTAATTAACATAGAGCTTATGAATCATATCATGTATTTAAAATTAAATTATGACTTCATTTTCTTGACTTTGATTAATCTCTCAGCGCCATTTATTTGAGCATTAAGATTCACTTAAACTGTGGTTCTTTTGTTTTATTTTTAATAATCTTTTTTTGCCTTTTTAATGGTTGAATCATAACTTTAAATATATTAGTATTATTGACTTTTAAAAAAGAAATTAGGAAATTGTTTATCTCCTTAACATAAGATTTTTAGTGTGATAGCTAAACGCAAATAATTGGCTCCTTGGGTTGGAACCAGAAAATTTCCCAACTTCATTCCCTTATCATTCTGCCACTAGTAAGTAAATTTTGAGCAGTGGAAAGACTTCCAAAGTGGGCTAATATCAGTGAGGTAGGACATGCGGTGAAGGTTACTGGGGGGTAATAGTGGCCGAGGGGAGTGGTGAAGTGGCATCTTACCCGGAGGAGGAAAAGTATTTTGTTCTAAAGTTTGGAAGAGGCAGGAAAGGGTAGGAAATGTTTTTTCTGACGGGCTTGTGCCACAAAGTTTGAGAACCAGGTCAGTAGAACCTGCAGCTCCTGCTAGTGCTTCAGTTGAATAGTTACAGATAGATACCTCTTGACTCTGAAAACATCTGTCCCATGCCACACTGCTGACATCTTTCCTAACACCCCACTTTACCTGGCCTCCTCAGTGGTAACTTACTTAGTCCTTGAATCCTTGCTTCCCATTTTAATAGCAAGGTAACTGCTGACCCTTTCTTGAACTGTGGCTTTTTCCTGTTTTCTGGGCATTGAATATATTCATATAGGACTAACATGAATATTTGAGTTCAGTTTGTTAGACTATGATTTTTGCGTAGTTTATTCTTATTTTTTGTTAGTATTCTTATACTAACAATTATACATAGTTTTTTTTTTTTTTGAGACAGAGTCTTGCTCTGTCTCCCAGGCTGGAGAGCAGTGGCGTGATCTCAGCTCACTGCAAGCGCTGCCTCCCAGGTTCACGCCATTCTCCTGCCTCAGCCTCCCGAGTAATTGGGACTACGGGTGCCCGCCACCGCGCCTGGTTAATTTTTTTTTTTGTATTTTTAGTAGAGACGGGGTTTCACCTTGTTAGCCAGGATGGTCTCGATCTCCTGACCTCATGATCCTCCCACCTCAGCCTCCCAAAGTGCGGGGATTACAGGCGTGAGCCACCGTGCCTGGCCAGTATACATAGTATTCTTAATAGTTTATTTAATCTGTCCTTTCTGCTGAATATGTTGTTATCTATCATGTTGAAACACAAGCTGAGTTTTTGAGGATTTCTTATGTTTTAATATATACAGCTTTTAGAGATTTTCATTCTTTCTTAGAGGTCTGTACTATTTTGCTTCTTCAGGAGCTCAGTTGGATTAATATTATTTCCAATTTGTAGAATTTTAGGTAATCAGAAATGCATGAATCTCCTTGGCTTTGACACTGAGTGATTGTATAACTTGAACAGTTTATCAACTGGATAATACAGTTAATTTAATGAGTATGTACTATGTTCACAAGACTAGGAATTGTAAAGAAGTGGGGAAAACTCTGATTTCTAGCTTAAGTGATACCTAAAGAAGCAGAGTGGGGGGGTGTACACACCCATATATATCTACATACATAAATATATATATATACACACACATACACATATATCTACATACATAAACATATATATATACACACATAGTAAAATACTAAATTCCAAGCCTAGATCAGTCTTAAAATGGAAACATAGGACAATATGACACGAATTTGTATAATAATGCTAAGGAGATGCCATTTAAAGTATAAAGTATACTTAAATGAGTTTTATAGCTTTATGTCACATCTCTGATAATTTGATATATTGTACCTGTCTTAGTTTTAGATGCAAATTTCAAATTTTGCTGGATAGCTCTACAGAAATATGTATTGTCCTTACAAATTCAAAATACCCAAAACCTAACAATTGTTTTATTTATGGCAGAATCATACTGAGAGGATGAATTGCTGATGATTGTAAATGTTTTGGACTTTTCAATCTGAATTTAAAAATGAAACGAGGTATATATTTGTTTAATATAATTCTTTTCTGAAATATAGTTATAAATCAGAAAGGTTTGGTTTATTATTTATCCAGTTAAAGGGGAGAGCATGGCAATTTAAGGATTTGTCAACTGAGAAAATAACACATTTGAAGGAAGGGTTAGAAAAAGAGCACCTGCTGTGTTGTGTTCACTCTGTATATTCCCAAGCCTAGGAGTGGGAGATAATGTTAATCACAGCCTATTCAGGCCTATCTATGGGTCTGGGTTGTTTTGTTTTATTTTGTTTTGTTTTGTTTTTTTCCATAATCTAAGACAAGTTATTCAGATAGATAATTTATAAACCAGAATCTGAAAATGGCTTGAAAAGTCTGCATTGTTTACTTTATGAATTCCTTCGTTTTGGTTTTGTTAGATTCCTTACATTCTTTTTATTAAAACCTGAGTTTGTAGGGTGGAGCATGTCTTCTTTCCTGATGAGATTCAGTCTATTTTGATTAACTTGTTTTTAGGGAGTAAAAGGCTTTGCTTAAGTGATAAGGTGTTAAGAAATGTGTCAGGATAATTTTATACTGTGCTGATTTTTTTTTCATTTCTAAGCTACATTAGATATTTTCTTTGCAATTTTCTGCCTCTTTTATAAGTATGATTTACTTGAGCATTTGCTGTCCCTGAGCATTTTTAAAATATTTATAAATTATTTCAATTAATTGTTTTATGAAACCACAAATTGTAGGTTAGAACAATAGCATTTTTTCTTGAGATAGTGTGTTGGGATATATTTAAGGGTTTTACAGTGTGATATCATATTCACAGTAGCATCAATTAGTGGTAAGATTTATTTCAGGAGTTTAAATCAATACTGCAGGGCTTTTCTGCAGTACTGCTTAAAATACTCGAATGCCAATTTTATTGCCTCTGGGATCACACTGACATTTTCTCATTAGTATTGTGCCCATTCCCCCCCTAGTTAAGCATAAACTCTGTTTGTTTCCGTCCTGTACAATTAGTGCCTATATTATTCGACAAACACACATGGTTCACCCATTCTGTGCCAGCCACTATGCTGAGGGGTTCCAGAGGTAATAGGACAATCAGAGGAGTAGCCAGATAACCACTTTGATATGAAACAAAACTACCTAATGCTTTGAAAGCACAGGGAGAGTGGCCACCTCCACACCAAAAAACTGGGGAAAGCTGCCTGTTGAAGGATGTGCAAAAATTAGCAGAGAAGAATGCAAAGCATTTACCAAGGAAGGAGAGCAGCATATGCAGCTCAGAGATGCTTGGGAGAGTGATAGATTGAGAGAACAGAAATGTCTTGGCATAAGGGTAGAGGGGAACTGGGAGAGTTGCAAGATGATTAAGGGGTAGCACATCAGTAACCTGCGCAGAGTTTGGATTTTATCCTGAAGGCAGTGGAGAGCCGTTGGAGGATTCTGACCAGGGGAATGGAATCCAGTTTTATTTGAAAAACATTTACCTCTAGCAGTAATCTGCAAAGTGGATGTGCAAGGAGGGAGACAGGATGGGAAGGCAGGGAGATCAGTTAGCAGGCAATTGCAGCATGCAGCAGTTTTGTTCCTAAGTACAAGTGCTCAAAGCAGCGTTATTTGTAATAGACAAAAAACTGGAAATCCAATTGCCTATCAGCAGTAGAATAGATGAATAAATTGTGGTTTGTTTATTCAATGGAAATCTCTACTGCAGAGAGAAAGAATGGACGATTGCTATGCACGGCAACGCAGATGAAACTCAGCAAACATAATGTAACGCCAAAGAAACCAGACAACATTACATATGATGCAGTCCGTTTATAGAGTCCAAAAACAGGCAAAACTAGTCTGTGATGATAAAGATCATAATAATAGTTGCCTTTGAGGGAGGGTGTTGGGACTAGGAGAGGGGCTTTTCTTGATCTTCGAGGTGATTAGACGAGTGTGTTCACTTTGTGAAAATTCATAACTTAAGATTTCTGAATTTTTCTGTATGTTATACTGCAATTAAAATGTTTCTTTAAAAACCTAGTTATCTCAACTGCTAGGCATGAACACTGTCCCAATACTATTCCCAGTCCTCTTCTATCTAAATAGTCACTATTGCCATGCTGCTACTTCCTCCCACTTTGCAGCTCACTAAGGCAGGCTGGAGATTTTTGTGACTGCTGGAGTGATTTTTGCCAGTTTGCTTAACCCATTTCATTCCATGAGTTTCCTGGCAGAGATTCCACAAGCAATCTCTGCCAGGATGACTGCTTGTAGCAGTGCTTGAGTTTTGGTTTTTACTGTGAAATTGTAGGACTTAAATATAAACACATAGTGGAAGTCAGATATATTAATGAAATGCAAATATATTTATGTAAGCATAGCAAAAACTAGGGTTTTTCCCTCCTTAAGCATGAAGTTTATTTTGGAAAGTATGTTAGAATTTTATACAGTTAATTGATTCAGTAGCTGTACCCTACAGTTGAGCTGTTTATATTATCAATGTACTGTAGGTTAGGTTGTATAGCTCATTCATTCTGACTGCTGATGACTATGTCACATTCATCTACACCTGGTGATGTACTTTCAATAAAGGACAGAGACCAGGCCTAAGCTCAATTCTATATGTAGAATACTGTAAAATAGAGTACCACTTTAATCAGTATCACTGAAATTTACAATAAATATCAGGTATTTTGCCCTGGAATTTCACAATGCACATCTTAAACTTAGTATCTGTCTTCTCCAGTAGTATGAAACACTCATTAAACAGTATAGCGCCTCCTGGATTATTTAAAGCCCAAAACTTTCCCAATTAATTGCAGAGCAGCACACAGTATCTCTTTAAAGAGAATGACAACTATAGAGAGTATGAAGAATAAAGTATAGCTGTTTGGAACAAAAGCATTATTTGTTTTATTACAGTGAATAATGAGCCTCTCTTCAAATTTGGCTACACTGAAAGATACCTGTTACTTTGAAATATCACCAAAGGATGTACCTATTTTTGCATTTCATCTAGGGACTTAATTATTTAATTGGCTTAGATTTTCTTCAGAAAACAAATAGAACAATCAAAATTATTCTTAACCCTTAGAGATTAGGAAAAAACTAACTGCCTTTTCAAATTGTTTGAATGGACACTTTTTTTGTTCTCTATGAACTGAAATAGCCTTAATTTAACAAAGACTCATAGGGATCATGCATGATTGGTTTTACCAAATATTATTTTTGGCTTCCATATCCTTAAAGCATTTAATATTTTATCAACTGAATAAGTATAGTAAAGAAATTTTAAGAAACATTAAAGTTTTCTGCTTTGCCTGCTGTGCTCATTAAATTTTAACATTGAAGTCCAATAGAAGTTTTGTAGTCTAGCAGCCACTCTGACTCATGAGTCAGGGGCTCAAATTTTCCTTAATCTTACATATTTGTTTTATTACCGTTTCCTCACAAAATTATTTTATTTTGTCTTTGAAGTATTTCCATACCAACTTAGCTTTAAAAATGTATACCTGCAAAGGAATATGCTTTGATATGTGACATTTGGCTCTTTGAAGCCACCACTGTAGTCCTCACAATGGACAATGTTTTGTTGAAAAGTTTTCACATTTACTTTATTGTAACTATAGAAATGTTCTTGTTTGTCAGGATTTATGGGCTCAATATTTACAATACCATAAATGAGAAGTCCATAGTCATCTTGGTTTCATGGATAAAAAATAAATGTCTTTTTATCCCCTATTAAGTAGAATGGTGGATTTCATTGCAAAATGTTAAATATTAAATATGTAAATAATTCAAGTAGTTTGATTTTTAAATATTAAATTAAGGAATTAGATTCATTATACCTGAATGGTGACTGGAAGGTAACGAACTTAATTTGCCATCTCTTACGTAGACAAAAAGTCCCTAATCAGGTGGCCCATACCTATTCAGGTGTGCAGAAGAAAAGTGATTCTATTTTTGGCAGACAGATTTTAATGGAAAGGACATAGATTTGGGCGATCAGATAACATCTGGATTCAGACTGGAGCTCTATTCCTGCTTTACTGAGATGAGAGAGACTGGAAGGAGCAGTTTTCACCAGGAACCTCAGGGGTTGTATATTCCTAAGTCTGATTTGAACACCACCTCTTTCTTCTCCTTATTTCTGTGGCAACAATTGACTAAATTTATATCATTTGGTTTAGTAGTGTTGGAAATTATAATTCCCATGGTCACATTTACTTGATTACTTTCTCTCCTAAGCCAGAATTAGTGATTACAAATGTCCTTGCAAACTTTGCTAATAACTTTATTTCATGAATAGAAGTAACTGTGTCACTAGTGGTTCTGAGTGTTAGATTTGCATCTGCCACTTACTGGGTGGGTAACCCTGAGTAAGTTACTGATTCTCTATGCCTGCATTTCCTCTTTTGTTTAATAATTCATGTCACATAGAGCAACAGATGAGTATTAAAAGGATTAAATATCTGTTCTGCCTTGGTGACAGCCAAAAAGATTTAAAAAATTTTTTAAAGGATTAAATAAAAGGGTGCCTGGGCACAGTGGCTCAGGGCTATAATCCCAGCACTTTGGGAGATCGAGGTAGGAGAATCACTTGAGACCAGAAGTTCAAGACCAGCTGGGCAACATAAGGAGACCCCATCTCTTTAAAAAAAAATAGTATTTATATAAAACAGTCAACATTGCGTCTTTCACATAGTAAGAATTCTTGTTGCTAGATTCAGTAAAAGCAAGGTGTTACCATTTGGCTAGTTAGTTTTCAATGAAGGTACCAATGTGTACCTGCTTAAGGAGAAATATCACAGATATAGTTATACTTAAATCTACCTTAAAATATCACCAAGTTTTCACTAATTTTGTTTTTCCATAGGAGTGTATTATACTCACTGTCAGTTTTCTCATGATTTGTGAAAGAAAGCCATGAAATAGCACATGTAGTAGAAAGCATAATTTAATTGATGGCAGAGTTCAGGGATTTTCACATGAAGACTTTGAGAGTGTGGTCTCTAATCCCAGTTCTGAGAGCTTTAACGGGAGTTAAACCATCATAGAACTTGGCACTGCACACATGCCTCAGATCATCTCTGGAGGGTTGCAAAGTAGTCTGGGAACCTAACAGAAAGTATAATTGCAAAACAGATGGCTTTTTATGTTCCTTTTTATAATACTGCAGCAAGAAATGGAGCCCAATGGTATATTATTTTTATATTTCTTATTTATGAGATTTTGTGCCAGGAAGGTCAAATTGTAAGGTCCCATATTGTTCCACCTTCCATAAACATTTAAGAAAATTAGCAAGAACAGACCACACACAGTTTTTTCTTGCTAATGTTCTTATATCAATAATAACTCATTTTATGATCTCTTTTAACTAGAATTCTTGAGAGGGGCAACTCCCTCAACATCTTCTGTACTGGGCCCTTTAATATATGTAAAACTTAATCATTTAATTTCAGTTTTCTGAATAATCTAAAGTAGTTTTGTGCAAAGACTGGCTCTGCCGTCACCTGTGCATGGGACCTTGATCCTGTGTATAACCTGGCCAGGCCTCAGCCTTCTATGTTCAGTGAAATGACTGTACTAGTTGATGACCAGTGGGCTGCCAGCTATGAAAGGCGAGACATATTAATGCTTTGAATGAAACTATGTCGACTTAGCTGGTAACTACCGTCTCTAGCAGCAGAGAGGCCTGGACAAAAGAGCACCAGCAGGAGATCCACCTGCCTGGGTCCCTTCAGGGCTGCCCTGCCATCAGGGGTCAGATTGTAGGCATGGCTTCAAAGACAGCCACACTGTGAAAGTTTAAGAGTTTGTAGTACTTACTGACCCTGGGGGGTACACAGCACGCCTGGAGGCCACATGTAGGTAGGTCAGGTTGCAAGCAGGTAGAGAGAAAGGGAGCTGGCAAGTAGCATTCTATTTTGGGTAATGAAATGTGAGTCACAGGCAGATGCCGTAAGGGTCCATTTAAAGGAAGCGGCTAGAAAGCAGGAAGCCCAGTCCATGAGGCAGGAGAGATACCTCCAAGTTTTTATTCCTGGCCACTGGCTGGAACCATTTGGGTAGGCTGTAGTACTGGAAACTATGTCAAGGGCAATTGAGCCGGGTTGACTTATATTTAAAAATGGATGCTGAGGCAGCATAAAATTAAAAGCACTCACTGTGCACTGTGCTGATCCATTTGGTTTCCGGGAACTCTGAAATGCATAACCTTTTACATGCCTGGAGAAAGTACCATCATTCACCCATCCCTGACATCTCTAGGTATGAGAAGCTGACAGCTTCTTTAGAGCCTTCACCAGGTAGAACCAAATGTATTTTTGAGTGTTGCTGGTAGGCTTATGACTTGGGAAGAAGAATATAGCAAGGCTGGAGTGGTAGAGAGGAGGGGGAAAAAAAGAAAAGAAAGATGCATATGCTGAGAATAATGGCATTTGTGTGGAATGGTGGATTCCAGTTAGAGGTGACTCAGGGCTACTAGTACTGGAGAGATTGGGCCCATCAGGAATTGTCTTGTAATGAGGGCTACAGGGCCATTGGAAGCCCTGACCAAGACTGAATTGTACATTTCTGTGTGTTGCTCTCCATTCATTCCTTTGCACTATTTTCATTTTTCATACCTCCCAAGTGGCTATTTTTTCATGCCACTCATGGCTCTCTCTAGCCTCTCTGTGCCTTCTTCCTCTCTCACCTTTTTGTTTTTGTTTTGTTTTTTGTTTGTTTGTTTTGTTTTGTTTTGTTTTTTTCAGACGGAGTTTCACTCTTGTCGCCCAGGCTGGAGTGCAATGGTGCATTCTTGGCTCACCGCAACCTCCACCTCTCATGTTAAAGCGATTCTCCTGCCTCAGCCTCCCTAGTAGCTGGGATTACAGGTGCCCACCACCATACCCAGCTAATTTTTTTTTGTATTTTTAGTAGAGACGGGGTTTCACCATATTGGCCAGGCCGGTCTCGAACTCCTGACCTCAGGTGATCCGCCTACCTTGGCCTCCCAAAGTGCTGGGATTACAGGCGTGAACCACTGTGCCCAGCCCTCCTTCATCTTTTTTAAGGTATGGTGTTCTGGGCTTAAAATCCCAAGCTAAATACTTGCCTTGTAAGTGCACTTCTGTCAGATAGATGTCACAGAAGAATTCAGTCTAATAAGCATGTTCTTGTGTTTCCATGGGGTATTAGAATGATTTTACAAAACATAACTTGGAAGGGATGGGAAGAAATGACTTTTTAGTGGTGTTGGCTAGTAAATTAGATTAGTAAGAGGAATTATTCTGAAGCTGGGCTAATTTTTGAGATGAGCCTTTGATTATTGAAAACATATCTCTTAGTTTTCTAAAACAGGTAATTTTACATAAAGATTTTGTTTTTCCTTGAATTACAATTACTACATAAAAATCTTACATTTCCACTGTGAACTTTAATTGACTGGCAAAAATTAACCCAAATTGTTAATTTAGAAATAAGTGCCATCCTTCAGTTATTCTGCAGCATATTGTACTCCCAAAAGATTTCCAATGCTGTTTTATGCACCGTTGATTAACCCTGCTGGGTATGAGAGAAGTCTCTACTTCAAAGTCATAGAGCTTTAACATTGTATATGGTCGAAAAAATATAATTGTCAGTAAGCTATCTGGAGCTGGGCTTTTAATAAGAAACTCAACTGAGTGCCCTTGTAGCACTCAGTGTAAATTTGATGCTCAATGAAAAACTAAAGTTACTAGTTATATTCATTTGAAAAGTTTATCCTAAGGAAAAGACGGAATTCTTTTTTTTGTTTTTTGAGACGGAGTCTCGCTCTGTCACCCAGGCTGGAGTGCAATAGTGTGATATCTGCTCACTGCAAGCTCCGCCTCCCAGGTTCACACCATTCTCCTGGCCTCAGCCTCCCAAGTAGCTGGGACTACAGGTGCCCGCCACCACGCCCGGCTAATTTTTTGTATTTTTAGTAGAGACAGGGTTTCGTGTGTTAGTCAGGATGGTCTTGATCTCCAGACCTCGTGATCTGCCCGCCTCGGCCTCCCAAAGTGCTGGAATTACAGGCGTGAGCCACCACGCCCAGCCAAAGACATAATTCTTAATAGAAGGATCAGTATTCTCATACCAATAACTTTAACTTGATTCATAGCATGTTTTATACTAGATGTGACTGAAATTTTAAAATATGAATTACAATTTCTAATATCTGCTTACAATTTTTGAATGTGCTGCTGCTCTAGGTATGTGGATTAGTAACCTAAAATGTCTTTATTTTCAGATGCTCTTATTAGTATAAATGTTTCTGAAAATTTGCATTGCTATTGATTTGTCCTTCCATAAAAAAGAAGTTTATACTTTTTAAGTTAGAACTTTCACTTCTGTCCCAGACCTAACTCTTGAATTCAAACTGTGTGCCGAGCCCTGTACTAGATAAGGTACAATTTGAAAAGACATTATTTCATGCCATTTCTTACAAATGCTGCTTGGAAAAATATGCGTCTTGACTCAAATCACACAAGAGGTAGTAGACTCGGGATTTGAACCTTGGTGCATCTTGTTTCCACTAATCAACATTGTCTCAAACAAAATGACTTATTCCAGAAAGTATATTTTAATAGTGTGAATTTAAAGAAAATGCAGAAAATCTCCAAGAAATTTTGCTTTGTATTTAAGACAGGAGTTAAAATTAATGTGTATGTTCAGACATATTTTATTTAGGATTCTGTAGAAATAAAGCTGGATGTGATTTTCCAAAACTGAAGGAATAATTCATTGATGCTGAAAAAGGAACCTGAGCATCAGATGCTCATTTTGCTGGCATGTGTTTTTCATAGATTCTTTGAATTAATTAATTCTTTGCAGTTTCTTAGCATGATTTAGCACCTCTTTTCTTTGTTTTGAAATGGCAAGTTTGTATATATTATCTGATCGTTGTTTATTGACAAAAACCAGTTTCCAGGTGATTAAAGATAAGATTTCTTAGGGTGGTTTAGGACATTTTAAAAAAACATTTATTGGGTACAGTGAATCCTTTTGGGAACCCTAGCCTTATTTATTCTTTAGTTTCTGTATTCAGCCAAATTTCAAATATGTGTCCCAAATTACTAGATTTTTTTGACACTGGAAAAGTTATTTAAACTCTCCGAGACTCACTTTTCTCATATTGAAATGAGACTAATCATATCTAACTTGATGAATTATGTTGTGAGGAATAAATGAAACATGGTGCATGGTGCCTAACATGTAATAAGTACTTGTGCCATTTATTTCCACAATTGCCAAATACTTAAGTGTGTAATATTTGAGAGTGTTAAATCACTGGGCATGTGTGAATGCTGGCACCTGAAGGTAATGAATAGTAGAAGAAAGAGCATGAGCTTATTCAATTTAATAATGAATATTCCTGTTAGTTTTTGGGGAGTTTCTGGTCACAACATTTTTAGAACCCATCAATACATAACCTTGCTTTATGTGTTTTTTTCTGTTTAAAGATAACTTATTTAATAAACATTAAATATAAACATTTATATTTAATATGCAATAAGTATAAATATTGGCAGACCAAAATTTACCCAAATCGTTAATTCAGAAATAAGTGCTATTCTTTAGTTATTCTACAAAATATTGTACTCCCAAAAGATTTCCGGTACTGTTTTATGCACTGCTGATTAAAACCTCTGGGTATGAGAGAAGTCTCTATTTCAAAGTCACAGACAGAGCTTTAACATTGCATATGGTTGAGAAAAATATAATTGTCAATAAACTATCTGGAGGTGGGCTTTGAATAAGAAACTCAACTGAGTGCTTACTGATTCATTAACGTTGAACCCACACCCAACAGCACTATAACTCATGCCTAAACAAAGTTTACATAATATATATGTTTTCCCCATGGGTCACCTCACAGCCTTCTTGCCTCAGAAACCCTGGACACCACTTCAGCACTATGCTTGGGGGCCATTTTAAATGGTGAAATCCCACCAACAAAACTCACAAAAAACATGGCACCAAGTAGACTGAGAAAGGACACATGTTGACAGTATGAGAGCTGAAACACAAAGGCAATGTCACCTTGTTCAGTCTCAGCTGGGAGCGTGTGTGTCAGCTAAAAACTTTCACACCCTGTGCGTATCCACAAATAACCCTGAAAGCACCACAAATAGTGATTTTTGGGATTACAAACAAATTTTTAGCAACTAGGTAGGTTTCACAAATATGGAATCTGCAAATAATGAAGATTGGCTGTAATTCCTTTAAGAAAGCATTGATCTTGAGGTAATATGTTTCCACAAATGCAAATGCTCAATTCCAGGAGGATATTATGACAATAAATGGTTCTTAGCTAAAGAATACTTGTTCCCTGGTAGCATGTTAGTGAATAAGCCTAGTGCTTCATTGTAAAAACTATTAAAATAATAGTGATTTGCATCTGGAAACCTCATAATGAAGACAATAACTGAACTATATTAAAACCTTTGCAGTAGAGCCTTCTATCTGCATCACTGTTTCCATGGAAAAATATATTCCAAATTCCAATTGGAGTGTCCTTTTGCTTCCTAGGTCTTTAGTCTGAACGATGACCAATCCACCACACGCACCTACAGTGTAGGTCTTCCATTTTACTCTCTAGTCTGGTTCTGGGGCTGGGCATAGAACTGTTGGAGTTGATATAAAGATCAGGGTTACAGCTCCTAGAGTGGAGTATTTTGGGCTGAGACGATGGGGTTTTCCAGATATTGGATCATGTCATCTGCAAAGAAAGACAACTTGACTTCCTCTCCTCCCATTTGACTACACTTTATTTCTTTCTCTTGCCTGATTGCCCTGGCCTGAATTTCCAATACTATGTTGAATTAATGACTCAATATATGACTAAAAGTTCAAAGTGAAACAATGATAATTCAGATAGGAAAATATGTGGCAGTATGCTAAAGTCTAAAAAGGAATATAAAACGTCTGTGAGATACCTAACATCAGATTTATAGAAACAGAATAGAATGTAGGTTGTTGGGGGCTGCGGACAGGGCGAAATGGGCAGTTGCTTGTAGAAGGGGTATAAAGTTTCAGTTACACAATTATGAGTAAGTTCTAGAGATCTGCTGTCCAACATGATGCCTGTAGTTAATAATACTGTATCATGTACTTAAAAATGTGTTAAATGGATAGATCTTATGTTTTCTTCCACAATTGAAAAAAAAAAAAGTCCTATAGAATCATTTGAAATGATGGGTTTCTTGGTGGCAGGGGGGCTTTAATGAGATCTGTACCCTTTCTTGCTTGATTTCCCAAGTTTAAGATATTTTAATGAATAAGAAGGCACTTTAAATAGACTTTAATCCAGCTTTTACAAAAATTTAATAAAGCAATATATTAATCTTAGGCCATTTTTGATACCTTAATTTTATCCCAAGAAAGAATAAAACATATTCTATTTTTAGTAAGTAGAGTGCCTCGCAGAAGAGGAAACAAGTCAGAACTTTTCTGTTTTCTTAAATGTTCTCTAGATTGGGCAGCATATAAAACTCTCCTTTGAAATTTAGAGTGCACACCAGCCTATTAAAGTCTCAGAGAAGTCTAGCTGTAAAGGAACTTGTTTAACTTTATTTACTGGCTTTCTTAACATTTCTTTAACTTTGGAAGCCTTTATCCCCAGGAACTTTAACATCTCACAGGCCCTCATAACTGAGGAGCACAGTTATGGAATCAGCTTGTCATTGCCAAGGTGGCCCCTTCTTTCTTCATACAGGGGATAATGAAACCTATGCTGTGTCATATGCAGAGAGCTAAAGCAAAGTGCTAGGAGATTAATGTTCAGCCAGGCCTTTCTTGTTTTTAGGATGACAAAAAGGATTTGTGTACCTTCTCTGGAGAAAATAATTAGGTTTATTCTCCTTCCCCTTGCATGTGTTCTGACTTACCTATCCAGGTGACCAGATGGCCTAGAACTGTCTTAGGTCTTTTAAAAGAATGTGCAAGGGACTAAGCCACTGTTTGTAGTAACTACTGTTTTACAAGAAAAATTTCTAGTGTTTTTAAAATAAGCTTTTAAATAAGCCATTAATTCTGAAATACCAGTGCCACTGTAAACCTATAAACAAATCCAAATGTTCTCTTAATTAAATCAATGTTTATTATATCTCATGAATTTTAACAACAAAGACGTGGGAAGACCACAAAACAATGGACAAACAAAAAATCAGATTGATTAGAGAATTTACATAGGAAGAGTTGAGAGTTTTTTTAAACCCACAGGAAAAAGAATTGTGATCATTTTTAGCAGGCTAGTAACATTCTTATCGATACAGGAAATAAAGAATATTTGGTTTGACTATATGACAAAGTAAAAATTTCTGCTTTGCTTATAATGCAGCCAAATACAAAATCAAACACTGGGTAAACACAGCAAGTAGAACAAACGGTTAATGTTTATATTTTTTGAATAACTCTTGTAATTTAAGAAAACTATCAAACCCAGTTAAATGAGAAAAGGATAAACAGTTCACACATGAGGAAACTGTTGGTCGTCAAAGGAATTCGTTTCCTTTGACTAAGATTTTTTACCCACCTGCCCTCATGCTGTGCCTGGTGTTGGCATTTCAGCGGGAAGACACTCTTTGTCCTGTGGGGAGAGGGAGGCAAGGGACACATTTAAAACAGTTGTCAAGACATCATACATGAGAAGAGAGAATGAAATAATAAGGGAAAAAAATATTAGGAAGGCAGACAGGTAGCAGTTTTTTTGTTTGTTTGTTTGTTTTAAATCAGGAATGTGAGCTGAGTAAGATACTTTGACAACTGTTCTTAAATTTGTTAATAGTATTGGCAAAACACTGCACACTGCAAAGTGGTTCAATTTTATTGATAATTCCTAAAATGACAAACTTTTTTTCTTTAGTTTTGCCTCAGAAATTATCCTAATGAAATAATCCAAAAAGAAAAAAAACAGGACAGAAAAACAGCGCATATATTGAATAGGGCTTGGCAACTAAATAGGAATTTTTAATGTAATGGAGCATGAGTTCATGATTAAAATTATGATAAAAATAGTTGTAACATGAAACACTGTCATGATAGGTGACTGTAGTTGCATTTGTGTTGCTTAATTCATTTCTGTAAAATAAGCCTGTGTACTTCAGTAAGATTATGATATGTTAAAATTTGTTTTGTGTAATACTTACATACTTACTAGAAGAAATGTTGATTCATTTTATTACAAGTGATTTTTTGCCCTTTTTTAGCTGACTACACAGACTTAGTCTTCTCCACTCCGTGTTCCTGCAGCTAGAGACATGACCTAACACCCTGATGACCACTCTCAGGGACCTTGAGTGACTGGCCGGTGCACCATGGAACTTAAAGTATGGGTGGATGGAGTTCAGAGGATTGTTTGTGGAGTCACTGAAGTCACAACTTGCCAGGAGGTTGTCATAGCCTTAGCTCAAGCAATAGGTGAGTGAACTCTGTGGGTATCTGAGAAAAGTACATTGTGCTTTCTTTCGTTGTATGTGTTTGTTTTAAATATAGATTTCTAGGGGATTTTGTTCATTTGGTTCCATAATAAGTCTCACAGGCACTCTTGTACTTATTACAGTTTGCCTGTGTTTAGGTACATCTGTGATGATGCTTGTTCTCTGACACCCCTAGATTTTACTAACCCTGAGTTAACATCTACACTGCCTTCTCCTCTCCTGTTGTTCAGCCTAAACAGTGACTTCTGAAACTAAAGATGTTTCCATGAGCCAAAATTTAGACCCAGATTAAGAATTTAGATTCTTAGTTCCCAGAATCCCTCATTAGGAAAAATCCCACCTATTGTTTATTTCTCCATACTTTCAGAAAATACAACAAATGAAATAACATCGTTCTTCACTGGAAAGATAATGTATACTTTTAAAATCTTATGATTGGCTGGGCATGGTGGCTCACGCCTGTAATCCCAGCACTTTGGGAGGCTGAGGCAGGCAGATCACTTGAGGTCAGGAGTTCGAGACCAGCCTGGCAAACATGGTCAAACCCGTCTTTAATAAAACTACAAAAATTAGCCGGGCGTGGTGGTGCGCACCTGTAATCCCAGCTACTATGGAGGCTGAGGAAGGAGAATGGCTTCAACCCAGGAGACAGAGGTTGCAGTGAGCCAAGATCATGCCACTGCACTACAGCTTGGGTGACAGCGAAACTCGGTCTCAATAAATAAAATAAAATAAAATCTTATTATACAGTGAAAATGAAGCACAGCTCTTGGCTTCATGTTATTCTCCCACCATGTTTTACCCTTTCTTCTTATTTATTTTAAGCTTATCTTCATCATAGTTTATGTATATTTAGTTGCCTTAAATGATGAGGGCATAAACACCTGCATCAGAAAAACCAGCAATATGGGTCCAAGTTTATATTTGCATCTTAAGTCTTTCATTTAACAAACATGTACTAAGAGGAAGCTGTGTGGCCAGCACCATGCTAAGTGTTCAGGGCCTCTTTGTCTTTGAGCTCCTTATCAAAAGTTGATTTTATGTCTCGCCAGTTTATATTGGAAGCATGTCAATTAGCTCAGCATTGAAATGAGTCATACTGTTGCCAAGGCACTTTAGCATTTGGTAGAGATGATTGTGCCACCTGTGATGTGGCAGATGCACTGTTAGAGGTTTACAGTGCCCTATACAAGACAGAGACTTTCTGGTAATATTGACATCTTTTGATTTTTCCTTAAACACTATTGCACAAGAATATATTGCAGCAATGCTGAAAATTCTGGGCTTTCACATCCGGTGAAACTCTTTTTGCATTTGAGAATCTTATATATGTAGACTTAAGTTTAATTATTAAAGAGGAGAAAATTAAGGCATTTAATTTTTTCATATTCTTTCTATGAGCTTATTTAGTAATTGTCACTATTAAGAGCTTCACTTAATTTATGTGAATTAAAATATACAGCTTTTTTTTTCTTAGTGAAGACTACGTTTATTAATTGTCAAACCTGGCTTTCCTTGTTATATTTGGGAATTAAGCCATGGACAGTGCTAAAAAAGAAAAAAAAAAGTAGTTTTTACAAAAGTCAAGGTAGTTGAGTAGTGCTATAAGCTGCATCTGTCCATAATGACACTTTTGTGTGTGTGTGTGTGTGTGTGTGTGAAGTTCCATTTTTTTAAAATTACACTTTAAGTTCTAGGGTACATGTGCACAACATGCAGGTTTGTTACATATGTATATATGTGCCATGTTGGTGTGCTGCACCCATTAAGTCATTTACATTGGATATTTCTCCTAATGCTATCCCTACCCCATCCCCCCGCCCCACAACAGGCCCGGTGTGTGGTGTTCTCCACCCTGTGTCCAAGTGTTCTCATTGTTCAGTTCCCACCTATGAGTGAGAACATGTGGTGTTTGGTTTTCTGTCCTTGTGATAGTTTGCTCAGAATGATGGTTTCCAGCTTCATCCATATCCTTACAAAGGACATGGACTCATCCTTTTTTATGGCTGCATAGTATTCCATGGTGTATATGTGCCACATTTTCTTAATCCAGTCTATCATTGATGGACACTTGGGTTGGTTCCAAGTCTTTGCTATTGTGAATAGTGCTGCAATAAACATACGTGTGCGTGTGTCTTTATAGCAGCGTGATTTATAATCCTTTGGGTATATACGCAATAATGGGATGGCTGGGTCAAATGGTATTTCTAGTTCTAGATCCTTGAGGAATCGCCACACTGTCTTCCACAATGGTTGAACTAGTTTACAGTCCCACCAACAGTGTAAAAATGTTCCTATTTCTCCACGTCCTCTCCAGCATCTGTTGTTTCCTGACTTTTTAATGATCGCCATTCCAACTGGTGTGAGATGGTATCTCATTGTGGTTTTGATTTGCATTTCTCTGATGGACAGTGATGGTGAGCATTTTTTCATGTGTCTGTTGGCTGCATAAATGTCTTCTTTTGAGAAGTGTCTGTTCATATCCTTTGCCCACTTTTATGGGGTTGTTTGCATAATCACACTTTTTACACAGAATTTCAAGGGGAAAATGCCCGGAGGTACCATGTATGTGCTTGCCCACTTGGACTACAGAGTATACTTATTTGTGAACAAGCCAAAAACACATTTTAACTAAATCTGCCCTCCTATTTTTACTTTCTCAATAACTCAATCCAAGAGCTGTTTTGAAAAGTTGACAACTTCAATACAAATGTTTTATGATATTCCTCCAAACTTGGCCAAACAACTCTTTCTGTATCGTAAATACTTCATTGAACTCAGAATTCATCTGGAGATGACTCCACTGGCAAGTAGCCGAGAGCTGTGGATCCTGATTTCTGTGGTGAGAGTTTATTAATTAGAGAAAATTGCTGCTCTGAAAAGCAACCCCAGAACTTCCAAGGCCTAACACAGTAAGTGGCTAGCTAGATTATTAGTAGAGCATGGACTGATGACCAGAACCACAGGTGGCTGTCAAGAATGTATAGTGAAGCAATTTGTAGACTGGTTTCTTAGGTTTAAGTGCGCGTCTTTGCCTCATGGGGGCACTACACACATGCGCACGCGCGCGCGCACACACACACACACACACACACAGAGTGTATTCTTGATTAGGAGTTACAGGTTTTTTTCTGGATAGTTAAAATTATTTTTAGGAAACCATAGAAACTATCAAAATGACTTACTATGAAAATATGCACACAAGTTGTCAACCTGCAAATATATATATGACAGCTAAGGTTTTCTTCATGCTACTAATCAATCAAATTGAATTAGCAAAGAGCTAGAAACAACATAGTTTGATGAAAGATGTTGAATCTATAGGAAGAAATCTTTTCTACACTAATCTGACAATCTTGACAGATTAGATTTAGGTGATGGATGTAGGACACATGCTCAAATGATGACAGAATAACTAAAAGTGAAACCTTAGTTGAAACCTCTTCTTGGCATGAAGTGGTTCAACTGTCCTGCAAGAGTGCACTCGGAGTTTGTCACTGTACACCCTGAACTTTCTGAAACATTCCCAATTTAAATGTTCTACTTTGTTTCCCCTGTAAAATATCTCAGAAATGCATTTTTTTCAGAGTCTAAACTGCTTCTCAAATCTAAGTGAAACAGAAAGCCTTTGACAGATCATCTATCTCAAGTTATAATGGAGAAAATGCATTTGCTTTTATCTCAAACCAAAAATATGACAAGGATGTATTTCTGCCCTCAGGCAGCTTAGAGCTTAACACAGAAATAAAAGTCCAGCTAACAAAAGATGAGAGAGGAAAGAAGGAAGAGAAGGAAATCAAGGAGATTGAGGAAAAGGATTTCTGATCCACGGTACTTTGATACTTGGTGTCATTGAGAAGACAAGGAAAGAAATATGTACTTTGTCATATTTAACTCTTAGCTTCACATGTAAAATATCAATTTCAGAAATTTAAAAATTGATTACTTTTCTACATTTATAAAGTAATATTATTTATTGTAGATTATCTTGAAATTTAGAAAACACAAAGAAGGTAAGAGAATCACTCATGATTCTACTTCCTAGCAATAAACAATGTTTTTTGTGTACCCATAGATGAGCTTTTAAAAAATTATACTCTTCATATGCTTTTTGTAGTTTTGAGTCTCATTGTCTCATTTTTCATTTACTGTATTGTGAATTAATTTTCCACATATTCATTTGCAATTTTAATATTTATAACAATAGTCTAATTTTTTATTTTAATTAGCTTCTGTATTTTCCACATCTGTAGAATATTATTTTAATGAATGTTAATACATGTTAATTCATAGCATGCATCAGTCAAGATGGGTTAGATTATGCTGTGTTAACGAACAGCTCCCAAAATCTTCTGGTTTGTAGTGTTTTCTACTTATTTTGGTTTATATTTTTTTAACGTAACCAGCACAATGCCCAGTAAATCACAGGTACTCTGTAACTGTTTTTTTGAGACGGAGTCTCACTCTGTCACCCAGGCTGTAGTGCAGTGGTGTGATCTCCGCTCACTGCAAGCTCCGCCTCCCAGGTTCACACCATTCTCCTGCCTCAGCCTCCCGAGTAGCTGGGACTACAGGCACCCACCACCACGCCCAGCTAATTTTTGCTATTTTTAGTAGAGACGGGGTTTCACCGTGTTAGCCAGGATGGTCTCGATCTCCTGACCTCGTGATCTGCCCGCCTCGGCCTCCCAAAGTGCTGGGATTACAGATGTGAGCCACCGTGCCTGACCACTATTTTTATTATGTTTAGTAGTAGTGAGCTTATCATATAATTCTAAGTAGACAGTAATTCTGTGATTACATGATATACACTGGGAAGATACACTGTGGATGATGTAACTATGGTTTGAATGCACAACTGGCTGACAGGTATATTCAGAGATAATTTTTTATTGTATCACTGTTATTCTAAGATATACTGTGGGGTAAGAGTTATTTTAGTAGTTTCACTCAGAACTTAAATAGTATAGTAAAAAAATAACTAAATGTCATCAGAAAATTACTTAAAATTCTTTAAGCTTTTATTTCTTCACTGATAAGATGAGGATCGTAATATCTATACTGCTTAACTCACAGAACTAACTAAGATGATATATATAAAAGCATCAAAAGCATTTTACAGGCTATAAGATAATAAAGTGTAAGTTCTGTTACAGAGATCAACGCTTACTGTAAGAATTCTAAGTCATTACGGAAAAAGCTAGTTGTGTTCACTAGAGTTTGCATAAGAGTCCTGGACTGTGTAATGTATTTTACAAAATTTTCATTAAAATATTTATAGCTCAAGAAGCAAAATATCTACTATCAGAAAAATTCAGTGCTGTTGGATAGCTTATCCTCCATAGATAAAGAATAAGTCAGGTGTTACTGACATTATTTCTCATATGTCCAGAAACCTGAAGATATGTTAGCATTAAATTCATAAGAGATTAGTGCCATTTCTTTGTCATGTTCTTTTGAATAATGTCCAATATTCATCTTTGGGGTGTGGAGGATTTGGTACTGAAGAAAATATCAAATGTCAGTTAAAATGAAGACTCCAGAGGGTTGGTGATGAAGATGTTTAGTAGAATCTATTTCTCTAGAGCCTGGCACTGTTTCTGACACATATGTGGTGTTCAATATACATTTGTTAACTAAATAGCAAGATGTAACTTTTAAATCATGATTTTGATTTATGACTGTAAGGAGAAATTTCCTAAAATTATAAAAATTGTTGGAGTATTAAAAAATGGTTGAATTCAGGGCATAAATTTCTGAGTGACCCTTGTTTGAGTTTTGGTGTGTATTTTCAAAATGTTATGTTACTTTATAGTTGTGTATTCTGCTTTCTTAAGTGAAAGTAAGCTGTTATCCTGTTTTCTTTTAATTTATGTCAATCAGTCATTCAATAAGATCTCATTAATGCATTAAAATCTGTATGTAAGTTTCTTCAGTATATAAATTTAATGATTCTTGGGATTAGTCTCAGTTGCTTCAATATTTAAAAGTATAATTAATATTTTTTACCCCACTAAATTGGATCGAAATTATTTGATAGTGTCACACAGTCCTACAATGCAAAAACAGCTTAAACTACAAATGCCATAGATAGACAGACAGACAGATAGATATTCCTTTTTATTCATTTTAAGATTACATCAAAATAGTACAGAAGGTTTAACTGAATGTATCCATGTGGTCAAATACGCTAAAAGGAGTTTTGCAGGAGGAATCAGAATCTGTGTAAATGAAGGAAATAGAATCTGTAGAGTGCTGCCAAGTTATGGATATTAAAAACAGCGATTGTGGAATTTAATTCCTATATAAAATATTTAAAACCCAATTTATATAATAAAATCAAATCTATTAATTCATTTGCCTTTTTTAAAAAAAGCTTTTTTATATTGCTGGATGGAATTTTTTGACCCAGTGGTACTAAATGTGCATTATTTAACAAAAGCCAATACTGGCAGTAAAAGCAATTCTAAATAACCTTCCAAGACATTCTCAGAGGGTAGCAGTACCAGTAAGCACTGGAAAATTAGTTTTATTTTTAATTATGAATAAATTAGGGTCTTTAAAATATTTTGTTTAGTTCATATAATGTGATGATTCGGTTTTCCTTCTAAAGATACTTCATTGGGCTGATAGAATTGGAAAGAACTCTACCGGTTTATCTAACCCCTCCTGTTACCGAAGGAGGACACAGAGGTTCAGAGAAGAGTAAGATTCCTAAAAGCAGTTGATAGGCATAGTGCTATGACCTTTGAAGCAGTTTGTACACATGGGACAGTTTTAACATTGCAGATGTGTCATGTGGTTTTTCTTTGGGAGCAATTAGAGTAATTTTTAACCTGAAAATCATTGGAAACATTTTTTATTTCAAGAAGCTAATCTATTGTGCTAAGGTTTTCTTTTTCATCCCCCTTATTAGCCTGGGCATTTTGATAAATGTAACTAATATTATCTAGCACTTTTCAATTTCACAAACATATTTATATTTTACATTCTCACTTGAGTCTCAGAACCACCTTGTCAGATAAGGCAATACTACTCTTATCCCACAGATGAGGAGACTGAGGCTAAAGGAAATTTAATTGTTCAGATCATGTAGGTAAGCACAGTAGGAGGCAGAGCCACATTTGAACCCAGACCTTTCTACTCCAGAACCTTTGTCCCATCTCTGTCTAGTTTACATAGTTGGAAGTTGCTTTTTAAAAGTCAGATTGTTGGGCAAGGGAGGGGAAAAAATAAATAAATAAATAAAAGATCATTGTGATGACACATCACTATTTAAAGGAATTCTGTGGTCAGCCCTTTTGTTATAGGAAAAATGTCTTACTAGCTACCACGTGTTGAATGCCTGCTGTGGGCCAGGCAGTGTGGTAGGTGCTAACCCTCAGAATCTGCGAAGCGTTTTAGAAGGGAAGTTGTGCTGCTTATCTAGTAAGTAACTCACGTAGGATTGTTTGCCTCCAAAACCCCAACTTCCAGCTATACCCCAAATTCAGGTTTCCCTAAAGGAGAACACACTCATATGCTTATAGCAAAATCATTTTTTAATGTGCTCCTCATGAATTACATACATGGGTGTTGATATTTACACATCTAGATTTCCATTTATTGATGCAGTAATTGCAAAAATACTACTATTGGCTCAGAAGCTCATGAAATTTAAAAAAGAAAGCCAGGAAGGTAAATCAATCAATAGCTGTTTATACAAGTATAATTGCTGGATGGCAGCGTTGGTTTTTTTTCTTTGTAATTATTTATGTACACTTTTCACAAAATTTAAATAATCTATCTGACCCACTCAAATGAAAATATTTAAAAAGCATGTTCAAGCTTATGGCATTACAATCATATTCTTCTGAAACTTTATCTTACTTTCATAATGATTAGATTCAGTATATTTTTCAATGTATATGTGATTGTATTCTGGTGTTTGTTTGTTTTGTTTTTTTTTTGAGACAGAGTCTTACTCTGTCACCCAGGCTGGAGTGCAGTGACACAATACAGCTCACTGCAGCCTTGATCTCCCAGGATCAGGCGATTCTCCTATTTCAGCCTCTCAAGTAGCTAGGACTACGGTGCACAGCACCATTCCCGGCTAACTTTTTCATATTTTATTTGTAGAGACAGGGTTCTGCCATGTTGCCCAGGCTGGTCTCAAACTCCTGGGCTCAAGAAGTCTGCCCACCTTTGCCTCCCAAAATACTGGGATTACAGGTGTGAGCCACTGCACCCAGCCTGCTGGTTTGTTTTTAACAATATTTTGCTTTGAGTTTTTTTTTTTTTTTTAGAAGAAGAATCTCTGATACTATCATATTACCAAAACTGAACAAGTCTTCTCTTCAGGCCCCTCTTTTTATATGAATTTGTTTTGAAGAGTTTTTTTCATTGAGCTGGTTTTTTGTTTGTCATGGGTGTCCAGGAAGATGTCAGCTGTGTGAGCGATGGGTTGGTGGAGCACTCAGGTGGAGATGGAGAGGAGACCTGGGCACCTCCTGTGGCTGAGTCACAGTTCTCCACTGGTCCCCATGTCTCCTTTCAGGAGGAGAAGTGGGGCCTCCAGCCCTCCCAAGTTCTGATGTGGAAAAAAGCCGAGGGATTTCCACAGTGGAAATGTATTTGAGTTTTGAAGTTCCACCTAGTTCCTGGACCAGCCCCTCATGTTTCACATGGCGATTCTGTTGTCCTTTGTTTCAGCTAGAAAATAAACTTTGTTCAGTCTTGCCCCAAATGAGAAGTTCTAGGCAGCCAGGTATTTGGCAAGAGTATAAGAGTCCCACCAAGGTTTAAAGTATAAAGTTGAATTTCTAAGCAAGCCTAAAGAGTATGTGCAATACACATCTTCTGATTTTATGTTGTTACATGTCGTGAGGGGTTTGGTATCTTCAAGTAAAGGTTTTAAAGGAACCTGAACTAGACTCAAACTTGACCCTCTGATGCTAATCGAAAATACACAATCATCAAATGGCATTCTTACTCCATTTTTTAACTATTACATATCCCATTTTGACAAGTTATTCTTACCTTTTTTACATAGGTCGAACTGGAAGGTACACCCTTATAGAGAAATGGAGAGATACTGAAAGACACTTAGCACCTCATGAAAATCCTATCATATCCTTAAACAAATGGGGGCAGTATGCTAGTGATGTGCAGCTCATTCTACGACGAACTGGGCCGTCTCTCAGTGAGCGACCCACTTCAGACAGTGTGGCTCGAATTCCTGAAAGAACTTTATACAGGCAGAGTCTGCCCCCCTTAGCTAAACTGAGGCCTCAGATTGACAAATCAATCAAAAGGAGGGAACCGAAAAGGAAATCACTGACATTTACAGGAGGTGCCAAAGGATTAATGGACATTTTTGGAAAAGGTAAAGAAACTGAGTTTAAGCAAAAGGTGCTGAATAACTGCAAAACAACAGCAGATGAGTTGAAGAAGCTAATCCGTCTGCAGACAGAGAAGCTTCAATCCATTGAGAAACAGCTGGAATCTAATGAAATAGAAATAAGATTTTGGGAGCAAAAGTATAATTCCAACCTTGAAGAGGAAATTGTCCGTCTAGAGCAAAAGATCAAAAGAAACGATGTAGAAATTGAGGAGGAAGAATTCTGGGAAAATGAATTACAGATTGAACAGGAAAATGAAAAACAGCTGAAGGATCAACTTCAAGAAATAAGACAGAAAATAACAGAATGTGAAAACAAATTAAAGGACTATTTGGCACAGATCCGGACTATGGAAAGTGGTCTTGAAGCAGAAAAATTGCAACGGGAAGTTCAAGAGGCACAGGTCAATGAGGAAGAGGTTAAAGGAAAGATCGGTAAGGTCAAAGGGGAGATTGACATTCAAGGCCAGCAGAGTCTGAGGTTGGAAAATGGCATCAAAGCTGTGGAAAGATCTCTTGGACAAGCCACCAAACGCTTACAGGTAGGGACACTTTGATAAATAGAATGTTTGGCCCATGTAAAATAGTATCTTCTTGGAATCTCCTTTTCATCATTGTCAATTTTTCCTTATATTCAAAGAATTAGAAACCCAGCCTTGTTTAAAACTTTTGTCGAACTCTTGTGACTTACGACAGCTTAGATGGGAGCAGTAGCCTTGCGGATCCTTCTCCATGGAAGAGCCTTGTCTTACTGTGACAGTTGTAGCGTTAGATAATGGGATGGAATGGACACTAATGATGAGATAGTGAATCTCACCTTCTCCTTTCAGAGATAGGGAAACTAGAGCTGAAAGAGCTGTCCATGGATTGGTTGGCCAGGGATTGTTGTGGCTAGCTGACTGCTTATCTGTCACTTCTCCATTGTTGCCAGCCAATCCCAGCTTCTTTCCTGACACATAAACAGCCCCCGTCCCTTCTCCCCTCTCCACAGTACCCTCCTTTGCTTTCCTGAGAGAGGCACAAAGATTTCTGTCTGATTTTCCCCCTTTCTAGTTCACATACGAGAAGTTCTATTTTGCCACTTAAACCCTAATCACTCAACTTACATTTCTTGGATACCCATTCTTGAAAAGACCCTGTGATTATGTTGCGGAAGTTGCAAAGATGTATCAAACAGTCTGTATCAGATGGGACGAGAAAGAGACACAATTGATTACAATATGGCTACTTAAATTTAAATTAAGATTAAATAATAAGGCAGTTAAATTATTAAATAATTTAAAATTCTGTTTTTAGTCACACATGGTCACATTTCAAGTGCCCAGTAGCTGCTGTACGGGCCGTGCAGACACAGAACATTTCCACCATTGAAGGAGGTTCTGTTGGACTGTGCTGGTTTAGAGCTTACGATTCAAAGTGTAGTCCATGCCAGGCAGCTCCAGGGTACTACTTGTAAGAAATTCAGAATCTACATTGAAACAGGATGCCCAAGTAATACCTGTGTACAGTGAGGTTTGAGAAGAGCTGCTTTAGAACATCAACAGTTAGTTCCACAATCAGAGAAAGCTGAGGTTTTAGGAAGAACTGATGTGATCTCCTTTCTCCGTCATTATCTGTAGTAAGAGATAAAACTACCACCCAAATTTTGAAAATCAAGAATTTCTCATGCAGTAGAAGCTTGTCAGCCTCTAATTTGTCAGTATTTTACTATTGGGATTCATTTTGACATTTAAAAAAAGGTACAAGTGGAAGTTGTGTTGCTTTTGATATCACAGAAAACACTAACTTATCACAGTCATTACTAGCAAATCCCTCTACCCACTGAAAAGTGTCTGATAATCAAATATTGATATATCCCCAAGTACCCCCTACACTCAAATAAGTGGAGAAAACAACCATTCACTTCTAATCTCTTCCCAACCCCTACCAAATCCTTGGGACCCACCCAGCCTGGGTAGAGCCAGGGTACTTTTTCTTATATACAGTAGAGGAAAGAAAGAAATGAAAAGCTGTTTAAATAATAGGATGCCCCTCCTTGCTTTTACAGCTTTCCAGCTATCCAAACTTGATCTCCTTCTGTAGGACTCTGTAGTTCTCAGATCTTTGTCAAGGATTTAGGAATTCCATAGTGAGAATCTTGTGGGAATCTTGCTTTCCTCATGCTGTAAGATAAATCTCAATAATGTATCCCATGAAAATTGAAACAGCTTACAAAAACAAGAACTCTAAATCCATGGAACAAATTACAATTAACTTTGTAGTTATAAGTTAATATGAAGTGGTTAATATGTAAATTTGTGACCAGCTTAGCAAGATTGCTGCAACACAGAGATGGGTAAAAACCTGTGGGGTTTTTTCTTTTTATTTTCCACCAATGAGTTTACAGACTGAGAAACCCATTTTTGTTTTTGTTTTTTAATGAAAGTTTATAGACATATTTATTTCAGAAGGGTGCATAATGGTTTTCCAGAGGAAAGCATCACATTTAAGAGGACAGACTAATGAAACTGTTGTCTTCCCTTGGCTTATTTCTTGGCCTACACCACAGAGTGAAAGTGACCTCTTTAGCCCATTGTGTCAATATAAACCAGATTTGTTAAATGTGCTTTTATGAAAGCAGATGTTGCACATTTAACCCCTGTAGCAGATGGATCCTCACAAAGATGTCTTGCACTGTCCAGTAGTGAATCCTCAAATTTAAAAAAATAATAATTTCCATCTAGGACAAAGAACAGGAACTGGAGCAGTTGACTAAGGAGTTGCGGCAAGTCAATCTCCAGCAGTTCATCCAGCAGACAGGGACAAAAGTTACCGTTTTGCCAGCGGAGCCCATTGAAATAGAGGCCTCACATGCAGACATTGAAAGGGGTAAGATGTTGATAAATATGGTTTATTTTCCCTTTATTCTCACTGCTTAACTTTTTTTGTTTTTGTTTTTTGAGATAGTATCACTGTATCGCCCAGGCTGGAATGCCAGGGGTATTACCACGGCTTACTGCAGCCTCGACCTCCTGGGCTCAGGTGACCCTCCTACCTCAGCCTCCTGTAGCCGGGGCTACAGGTGCATGCCACCATACCTGGCTGATTTTCTTTTTTTGTATTTCTTGTAGAGATGAGGTTTCATCATATTGCCCAGACTAGTCTCAAACTCCTGAGCTCAAGTGATATGCCTGCCTCAGCTTCCCAAAGTGCTGGGATGACAGGCATGAACCAGCATGCCCGACCATCTGCTTAACTTTGAATAAACTACTTGTATTCAGTTAAAATATTACCCTAACATTCATAGCTAATTTTTAAGTGGGACACTTAAAAATTCTTTTTTTAAAAAAATATTTCCCATTTCTAGAGGAAAACCAGTAACATTTAGGTTATTTATTTACTTAGGTGAGCATGTAATCACCAAATGTCATATCATTAGTTTGAAACTACTTCTTTATTAAAACTTTTTTCTGAAGTATATATGAGTTATAGTCTATTAATTTGAATTTTGGCTTCTCTGTTCCTTATGCCCCCCTTTTCCTTCTTTTTCTTCTAAAAGTTATTATTAATTTGTGCTGATATTTAAAAGACAATTCCAAATCTGTGTATGCATATGGTGTGAACAACCAAAAAAAGAAGCAGAATATTCACCTTTTGTAAAGATCATTCACTGTTCAAATCAACAAAAACTAGTTTATCAAAGAGACCTGAGAAGGTTTTAGCCTTCTCCCCCAGCCCAGGGCACACAGGGGATTGCAATTATTGCTCTATGCAGTTTTCCCTTTTGGGGTAGGAAGCAGTCTGATTTTTTATATTGCTAAGTACTCCAAGTTGACGAGCTCATCAGGTGGCTCTCTTTGTTTCCTGTTTAGAGGCACCATTCCAGTCTGGGTCCCTGAAGCGACCTGGTTCATCTCGGCAGCTCCCCAGTAATCTCCGCATTCTGCAGAATCCTATCTCATCTGGTTTTAATCCTGAAGGCATATATGTATGACATTATCTGTCTTTAGGGAGGAGACCCAACAGAGGTACCAAGGACAGTAAACTTCCTTTTTGATTTGTGCCAATGATGAACAGAGGATCTATTCCACAAGACGCTGTATGTTTTTTCTCTCCTAAATTGCATACCACTTGGAGCCATACCCTGTGCACTGATGCTAAAGAACAAAGAAACTGTGTTTTCACACATCAACAGTGTTGATATTTTTGTCCAGCAGCTATAATGCAAAGCCTTCGTTTTTATTTGTAGCATTTTGAGAGCTTTAGGAAAGTATTATATAGTGTGTATACATAAATAAGCCGTGACTTAAGTAAGAGTGAAGAGAAATTTGTGACTGGCTTAGTTTAATTTATTTCATGTAATCAATGTGTGAATGTTGATGTTTTAATATTTTTATTGACTTATCCTGTGACTGACTTACGTTACATATTGTGTGATTATGACCGTGTGCATGTTGCCAGACTCCATCCATGCATTGCTGATTTACACTACACAAGTGTCCTAGGGTGCTCCACCATCGAAGCTAACTCCACAGGAAGCCACTTGCATTTGTTTTGTGAAACTGTCCTAGCCATTGCTTAATTAGGTGAAATAATTCAGGGTTTTTTAAATCTGGAATTTAGTCGTTCCTTTACAATATTTCCAAATATACGTGTGGCCACAGAGCATAACAGATATTTTTCATAAGCTAAATTGTATGTATAAAACATTTGCAGTGTTTCAGACACTGTTGAACAAAAATGTAATTGGTAAGTATGTATCCAAACAGGCATGGGGTTTCCTGATACATTATGTGTTTTGTTTCTGCCCTGTCTTATCATTTACACTCATGGATCTTCAGAATTAATCTAACATGGAAGTTATAGATACCTGAAAGCTGGGTTGGTCTACTTCAGGAACATTGCTTTAAGTGATGTATTTTAAAATAACCCGCTTCATATGTATGATCTGTTGGTGTACACACCATGGGTAAGGTATTGCTTGCACATAATTTGCTCTGCATATTATGGACCATTGTGGTTTCTTCCAGTCACTTAGATGGAAAGGAGGTTAAACCTAGGTACTTTTTAGCAAGGATATAAAGTCAAATTCAGCATATGTTTTTATTTTTAGGCTTGACTTTTACAAGACATTAATCTCCATTTGTACATATGTTATTTTATTTGTAAAACCAAATATGACTCAACACCTTTTTGATGAGTAGTGACTTAACTAAGATTTACAAGTAATATTTAGACAGATTCAGTCAGACACCACTTAGCCATTTTTACATTCCCTCTGGTTAGATTTGGTACAGTATAATTAAGACTTTAATCTGAAATTTAAAGTAGTTTTAATTCTGAAGAAGTTACATCCTCTGTATTATTTACATGCAACAAAATAAAAGTGGATTAATATAGTAATGCCATGGTAACAATAGAGCTATGTCTTATGCATGAAGGCAACTTTGGATGTTTTAACACATTTGACTGACTTTGGTTTAGTGAATGCTGACAATGCTGCTCTACTTAGGTTTCCTATGAAATTTTTAAGAATGGCTATGAGACTGTATAGAAGCTTCTAGAGAACTGAAAGTCATAATGCAGAGTTGCCTTTTCTAGTGCAGCTAAGTGGCGGACCTCAACTGAAGATATGAGTTTCTTTGGGTTCTTGGAGTTATCAAATTGATCTTGCCATTATGTTACTTTGCAAATAACTGAAGTAAATGATTCTTACCTAAATAACCACAACCTGTACACATTTGCTCACAATTTATAGTAGTTATTTTCTATCTACCTATATTTAAAATTAGGATGATTAAAAAATAATTTATAGATTTTGTGACAGTAATGATTTACATATGCCCAATATATGCCTTATTTTTAAATAAGTCATTCTGTATAAAGTCATTTTGTTGTTGTTCAGAGAAATCAAGATCTTATTCACAAAGAAAAACATTTTATAAATTGATCGCATTTTCTTTAAGTCAAAATGTTAAACTGGAGGCAGTATTAAACTTTGCAATTAGGAGTTTCAGAGATGCCTTGGCATACCACGAAAAACACTGTCAATATCCAACTCATTATAAATTGTTATCAGAATTAACCTAATAACTTTAAGTAAGGACAAGCAGCATCCTAGCAACTTGTAGTAGTCTTGGGTTCCCAGCAGAGTATCACAGTTAACCTCTCTGACAACTTCATCAGAATTTCCAAGCTGCCAAATAATCTTCATAGACCTAATTACAGATTTAAAAAAATTTCCTAGGCGACGAAAGTATAGAAATGTGAATATGTTGAATACATTGAGAAGCTGTACTTTTTAATTAGTTATATTACTTCTGGAAGCACATATCTAAGGAATATTTTCTAAGACTCAGAGGGAAAAAAACTCGTTTTCATAGGATCATCTGAAGATACTTTAGTATATTTGTGATCATTTTTATCTATTGCAAATACAAATGAATTAGATAAGTGCCACATCCTGGATACATTTCGGAGGGGTAGTGGGCAATGGTATACAAAAATACCAAATATAAAATTTTCATCTGGGGGAATGTTCAGGTTCTAAATACTAAATTAGATTTCAATGTTTTGTGTTTTTTTTAAAAAAATCATATTGCAACTTGTTTTATTGTGATTTTCTACAAGTATTAAATACATTTAAAGATCTTTTTATCTTACCAAGAAATAATTTGGAATAGCATTGGTATATTTGACCTTTTGAGTGTCTGTCATCCTCAGAGAATGGCCCATAGTGTGTTGCCTGTGGACATAGTGTCCATAGTCCCTTTCTTGTCCTTCTGAGATATTTTGGTTTGATAACATTTTGTTTTTTGTCTTGATGCACAGGGACTTTTTTATAATATGAGACTTCAGTTGGTATTAATAGGAGTTACCTATTTAATTCTCCCAGTCATCAATGAGGTAATCATCAATTCCTATAGTTCAAATTAGTCATAAACAAGAGCTACAGCAAGACTGATAGAGTAAAAACTATATAAATACAGTAAAAAAAAAATAGAATTTATGGTGTGAAATATGAAGTATAGCAATATATAACAAGAACATGTAAGCACTTGCTTCCACAGCATAAATGTAATTTACATCTGCATTAAAGGATAATTTTCTCTGTGAATAAGAGCAAAATGGTCTTCAGAGAAACAGACTGTTCATTTGAAGCCATTTCTGTAAACATCTTCCAAGATAGAACTGTAATGGATTGAGGAAATAACACAGAAAAGACAAAAACTTTTGATTTCAGGCATGCAAAGTGCTTGGGCAGATGGACAGTTCCCATTGTGCATTGCCTTTGATAAATTTGGCCTTAATTTATATAACGATGCTGTGTTCACATCCCTCTCCTACCTAAAGTTGTCTTTATTGGTTTATATTGTGTTAAAATTAGCTTATAATTATTACTTTTGTATTGTGTTCAGTTTTTTAAGTTGCATGTTTATACTATTTGCTACAGTATTTTTAAGTTTGGGGTGAAGGCCATCAGCTGTATCAAAAAGACAAAACAATCACTATTTATTCAGTATTGCTGCTTTACATCTCCAGAATAAGCTTTCGATGCCAGGACAGTGACTGCCTGAAAGCTGCAGGAGCTCTTTTCAATGCATTTTATATATTTTTAGAAACCAAATAAATGCAGAAAACTATTTCGTATACTAATTATATTAAACCAGCAGAAATATAAAGGCAATAAAGTATATACATATATATGGGGGGAGGGGAAAGATTAAAAAATAGATTTACAGCCAGACATGGTGATAGCCCTAAATGTATTTCTCAATATGTTTTTCTTTATTGACCCTAGGAGGATTTGAGTTGCTGCAGCTTTAAACAGAAAATTGCCATGTTCACTAATTGTGAGCACATAAATATGCTTTTAGTACTGCTTTGCTTATGTACAAATAAATCTGTAATATGTATTATATGTAATTATCCTTTTCTTTGACTTTCATTTTAAATGTATATTTTCTGATCATTATGAGCTGTAAAACAAAGAATCAATATTGGATATTCTCCCAAATAATAAATTTTCAGGATTCATTGGGGCATTACAGTTGTCAGTTTGTTTCTTACATCCTTTATATTTTTAAATACAATTTTACTTCCTTTAAAAGATACCAAAGAGAATAGTGGCACATATCACTACACATAATTACATTTTTCATATATACTTAAAGAATCATCTACTGCTCCAAAGATGGCTTCATCAAAGTAAAACTGAATTAAGAAACTACTATGCCTTTTATTTCAAAAGTGAAAGAAGAAATGATATCTTAATGAATCTCTGTATTCCCAGATTTCCCTAAAACCATAAGTGAGAGGAAGAGAACTAACATTTCAGTCCCTACTACGTGCCAAGTGCAATATGGGGCACCGGTCACACTTTAAACATTCACAGCCATCCAAGGAACTGCTCCTAAATCACACAACCCCTAAGTAACTGACATAGCATTTGAACTTAGATGTTTCAGACCTCAAGGCACTTTTCTGTATTCCATGGTAGAGATGCATGAGCTTTACGGTGCCCAGTTTCTGCATTTTAACCACTTTTTAATGTGGAAGTATATAAATTGTCATTTTTATAGGAATATTTTTATAAGAAGTTAAACCTTTACTTAGAAATTATACATGAGGGCCGGGCGCAGTGGCTCACGCCTATAATCCCAGCACTTTGGGAGGCCAAGGTGGGCAGATGACTTGAGGTCAGGAGTTCGAGACCAGCCTGGCCAACGTGGCGAAACCCCGTCTGTACGAAAAGTAAAAACAAAATAGCTGGGCGTGGTGGCGGGCACCTGTAGTCCCAGCTACTCAGGAGGCTGAGGTGGGAGAACCACTTGAACCCGGGAGGCGGAGGTTGGAGTGAGCCGAGATCGCACCACTGCATTCCAGCCTGAACAACAAAAGCGAGACTCTCTCTCTCTCTCTATACACACACACACACACACACACACACACATATATATATACACATTATGTATACACACACATATATATACACATACACACACACACACACACACACACACACATATATATATATTTAGCCAAAGTAGTATTTATTGAGCCAAAGTAAATTTCCTAGTAATTTCAACTTTCTTTAGGGCCACATAGAAGAAACAATTTCCCATCTATATATATAGAGAGAGAGAGAGAGTCTCACTCTAAAAAAAAAGTATATATATGAGAATAATAGTACGTTATAAAAGCAAAGATGAAATGAGAAACTTAAAGTCATTCAAAATACCAATAAGTCCTAGTTTGGGGGACTTTTAAAATGTTAATTATCCACCCTGTCCTCTAAAATCATGTTTTGTTAATGGCAGAGCAAGAAACAGGAACTACTGTTAACTCTTCACCCACTACCCTCTCCACATACGTGTGCTGTGTCTATTAGGAAAGACCAGTGGAGTCCTATAAAATGGGCATAAATATGCTGGATGCGTTTATACTTTCTACAGACATTTAGTGAGCCCCTGTTTTTGTCCGGACACTGGAGTGAGATGCATATATTTGTTCTCTACCTTCAGGAGGTTTTTTTTGAGGTGGAGTCTCCCATTGTCGCCCAGGCTGGACGGCAATGGCCTGATCTCGGCTCACTGCAACCTCCCCTTCCTGGGTTCAAGCAATTCTCCTGCCTCAGCCTCCTGAGTAGCTGGGATTACAGGCGTCCGCCACCATGCCCAGCCAAATTTTTTTTTTTTTTAGTAGAGACGGGCTTTCACTATGTTGACCAGGCTGGTCTTGAACTCCTGACCTCGTGTTCCACCCGCCTCGTCCTCCCAAAATGCTGGGATTACAGCAGTGAGCCACTGCACCTGGCCGGTTTACAGTCTTGATGATAGAGATGACAACTTCAGTACAACATGTTAAGAACCACTAGAGGGGCAAGGATAGGGTGTCACGGAGACAAACACATTAGGAGATACTTACCCCAACCCAGTGTGTTGGAAGATCCTGGAAGGTGATATAAACAAGAAGGGCTGTCTGGTGGAGCTGTAGCCAGACAGTGAAGAGCCCGGGAGGTCCAAGAGAGATGGGAAGTAGGCATCTGATCATGAGGGGCCTTGGTTGCCATGGTAAGGAGTTTGGACTTTATCCTGACAGGCACAAGCAAATTTTAAGCGTGGAAATTAAATGATTAGCATGTTAGGAAGATAATTCTGACTGGATATGTGAAGAACTGACTAAAGAAGGGTCAAGACTAGAGGCCAGAAAGACTACTTAAGAGGCCTGTAGGAGTCCAGGCCAGAGGTGATGGTAACTCAAACTAAGAAAGCAGTTTGTGCACGTAACAAATTTTTATTGGGCACCTTCTCTGAGCCAGGAAATGAACCAAACAAGTTATAGATATTCTAAGTAGACAATAAGAATCAAAGATACTCCAGGTGTTTACCACTTACCCACAGCCTTAAAGGGTGGTGGAAATGATGGCTGTGGGTCTCTCAGTGAGTAGTCACAGATAATCTGTTCTTTGTGCTGTTGGGCAAGGGGTTGGCACAGGAGCAAGGAAAAAGAATAAAAACATGGAGAATAGAATATGTATTCAAGAGGTGGGCCTTCAAATGGGCTTCCTTTTTATAGAGTGTTTTTGCAGTGTTCCCTGTGAGAATGACATGGATTTGGAAGAAGTGCTCTTCTCTGCACCAAATTTAGCCATCCACAAGTCTCATCATCCAGTATGTTGGAATCCTGTTTTCCCAGCGTTATACTTGACTGCATGTTCTATATCCACCACTCTCTTTTATCTGCCATGTGTTTGTGTCCAAGGTGATAGAGGGTCTGACATGGTCCAGAATGAAAGAAGTGAAGAAGGTGGACAGTACAAATTCCGTGTACACAAAGTCAATATTTACAAGTCTCCTGCAATGCTGGAAGTGTGAAGATCAAATAAACAAATTGAAATACTTAGTAACAAAATATTTTTAGGCATAAAGCAAATCATAGGCACTTTAAACAAGAAACAATCAGCAACAGTCACCACACAAAGGGAGGCTGGGGAGACAGGGAGGAGTGCGGCATGTACACCAGGAACAACTCACTCAGGCAAGGGAGGGGCTCACCAGAGAAGCCACTGTGACAGTCATTGGGCACAGCCACAAACTGCTCCTACATCACCCCACCAACGCCAGCCTACATCTGAATCCTTTGAGGGCCACACCATCCCAGCCCATCTCGACAAGCTAAAAAGGTCTTTTTATTGAGGCAAAGTAGATTACCTTGTAATTTCAACATTCTTTAAGGCCACATAGAAGAAACAATTTCCCATCAATATGACAGCACTTCAGGTATTTGGGGGGCATCTATGATGCCCCCTAGTCTTCTCTTTCCCAGGCTACATATTCCCGATTCTTGCAAATAGTGCAGTCTTCAGTCTCCTCTCTCCTGAACACACTCTACACCAATCGTGACTGTGACTGCCAGGACTGATCACAAAAATCTTTTTTTTTTTTTAATTATACTTTACTTTAAGTTCTAGGGTACATGTGCACAACGTGCAGGTTTGTTACATAGGTATACATGTGCCCTGTTAGTTTGCTGCACCCATTAACTCGTCATTTACATTGGGCATTTCTCCTAATGCTATCCCTCCCCCAGCTCCCCACCCTATCACAGGCCCCAGTGTGTGATGTTCCCCACCCTGTGTCCAAGTATTCTCATTGTTCAGTTCCCACCTATGAGTGAGAACATGTGGTGTTTGGTTTTCTGTCCTTGTGATAGTTTGCTCAGAATGATGGTTTCCAGCTTCATCCATGTCCCTGCAAAGGACATCAACTCATCCTTTTTTTATGGCTGCATAGTATTCCATGGTGTATATGTGCCACATTTTCTTAATTGTCTATCATTGATGGACATTTGGGTTGGTTCCAAGTCTTTGCTATTGTGAATAGTGCCACAATAAACATACAAGTGCATGTGTCTTTATAGTAGCATGATTTATAATCCTTTGGGTATATACCCAGTAATGGGATTGCTGGGTCAGATGGTATTTCTAGTTCTAGATCCTTAAGGAATCGCCACACTGTCTTCCACAATGGTCGAACTAGTTTACACTCCCACCAACAGTGTAAAAGTGTTCCTATTTCTCCACATCCTCTCCAGCATCTGTTGTTTCCTGACTTTTTAATGATTGCCATTCTAACTGGTGTGAGATGGTATCTCATTGTGGTTTTGATTTGCATTTCTCTGATGACCAGTGATGATGAACATTTTTTCATGTGTCTGTTGGCTGCATAAATGTCTTCTTTTGAGAAGTGTCTGCTCATATCCTTTGCCCACTTTTTGATGGGGTTGCTTTTTTCTTGTAAATTTGTTTGAGTTCTTTGTAGATTCTGGATATTAGCCCTTTGTCAGATGGGTAGATTGCAAAAATTTTCTCCCATTCTGAAGGTTGCCTGTTCACTCTGATAGTAGTTTCTTTCGCTGTGCAGAAGCTCTTTAGTTTAATTAGATCTCATTTGTCTATTTTGGCTTTTGTTGCCATTGCTTTTGGTATTTTAGTCATGAACTCCTTGCCCATGCCTAGGTCCTCAATAGTATTGCCTGGGTTTTCTACTAGGGTTTTTATGGTTTTTAGGTCTAACACTTAAGTCCTTAATCCATCTTGAATTAATTTTTGTGTAAGGTGTAAGGAAGGGATCCAGTTTCAGCTTTCTACATATGGCTAGCCAGTTTTCCCAGCACCATTTATTAAATAGGGAATCCTTTCCCCATTTCTTTTTTTTGTCAGGTTTGTCAAAGATCAGATGGTTGTAGATGTGTGGTGTTATTTCTGAGGCCTCTGTTCTGTTCCATTGGTCTATATCTCTGATTTGGTACCAGTACCATGCTATTTTGGTTACTGTAGACTTGTAGTATAGTTTGAAAACTCTCTTTAAATTAGGAACCTGGCTCATTGTTAGGAGTCAGGCTAAAGCTAAACTGGTTTGGTTGGCTGGTTTTTTTGGAACTTCATCTTACTGAATCATTGAACTGACAGTTCATTAAAATCCAGTTTTTCACATTTTTCTACTGGGAAATCTTCCATAACTTGTATGTATGTAATTGAGTTTCAGAGTGCATATGCAGGATCATACTTTGTTAAAATACTTATCTCTAAAACCTCTGAAATAATAAAGAGGGAAGATGTGGGCTTTAATGTCAGGTCAAAATCGAGGTTAATTTTGTTGAAGGCAGAGTTCTACAGAAGCATAAGCAGGTGATAACTGAGTAAATCCGGGAAGACTCTGATGAGGAGGTGAATTAGGCTTTTGAAGAGTAAACAAGTTTTCACTGAGTCATATTTATTGAATGCCTACTGTGTAGTAGACACTGGAGATATAGCAGTGAATCACAAAAACCAAATCCCTGCCCATGTGGAATTCATACCTTAAAGAGGAAGACAGATGTTGAACAAAGAAGCAAAAAATTAGTATCTTCAATTGTGATTAGAATTAATGAGAAAAATAAAAGCAGCAAAGAGGGATAGGAAGTGCTTGTGATTTTATACAGTGGCTTGAGAAGTCCTCTCTTAAAAGATGGCCTTGGAGTAAAGGTGAAGGAAGTGTGGGCAGGCCATGCAGAAATGAAAAGGAGTAATCTGGGCCACATAACCCACATCAGGCTTCAGTGAGAGAGGTCTGAGAAGCCTGGGAGGCCTCTGGAGTCCAGCTTTCTGTTTGTAAGCAACAGATTTGGAATATATAGGCCTTTTCCTGGCTGTGAGCCAGTAACCCCTTCCAAGTACTCACTTGATCATTCTCAGATCTAATATAATGCAGGAAGAAGATATTTTAAATATAAACACATGTTTAAAATCTGAATTGAATTACCCTTAATTCTTCCCAAATTAAAATTAAATTCACAGGTAAGATGTCCTTCTATGAATAGACACAAACTTGGTTTAGTCTATTTCCCAAAATAGTAGTAAGGAATAACCATTGGATTTAATGGTGCCTTCTTTTGCTACATATCCTCCTCCAAATATAATACAGCTTTATAACCTAAAGATATGTATTTTTAAAATTCAGGACATTAAACAAAAATAATTCATTGTCAAGTACTCTTGTAAACTTAAATGAATATTTCTAGAAGGTTCTCAAAAAAAAAGGCGCTAACCGAAAAGACAAAGACCCAAACTAAAGCTAGTAATTGAGATCATGATTATGTATACAAAAACAAATTCACCAACCTTAACTCTTTTTTGTTGTTGTGTGTTTCTTCTGTTTTATCTAGGGATCATCATTCTTTCTGATAAGCAGGAGTGTAAAGATTAGATATCACACCAAAAGCTCAGGCAAGAAAAGCAAAAATGAACAAGTGGGACTACATTAAACCCAAAACTCCTGCACAACAAAGGAAACGATCACCAAAATGAAAAGGTGGACTGTAGATTGGGAGAAAATATTTGCAAACCGTTATCTGGTAAGGGTTTAATATCCAAACTATATAAGGAACTCACAGAACTTAAAGAAAACAAATAATCCAATTAAAAATGGTCAAAGGGGCTGGGCATGGTGGCTCACGCCTGTAATCTCAGCACTTTGGGAGGCCGAGGTGGGAGAATCACAAGGTCAGGAGACTGAGACCATCCTGGCTAACACCATGATGGGCTAACACCCATCTCTACTAAAAATATGAAACATTAGCCAGGTGTGGTGGCACGCGCCTGTAATCCCAGCTACTCGGGAGGCTGAGGCAGAAGGATTGTTTGAACCCGGGAGGTGGAGGTTGCAGTGAGCCGAGATCGCATTACTGCACTCCAGCCTGGGTAACAGAGTGAGACTCCATCTCAAAAAAAAAAAAAATAGATATTTTTCCAAAGAAGACATAAAAACAGCCAACAGGTATATGAAAAAGTGCTCAACATCACTGATCAGCAGGGAAATGCAAATCAAAGCCACAATGAGATACCACCTCACACCTGTTAGGTTACATCTGCTATTGTCAAAAAGATAAGAGATAGCAAGTGTCAGCAAGGGTCTGGAGAAAAGGGAATTTTTGTATACTGTTGGTGGGAATGTAAATCAGTACAGCTATTGTGGAAAACAGTGTAGAGGTTTCTCAAAAAATTAAAACTATCATACAACCCAGCAGTCCCTGTGCTGAATAGATACCCAAAGGAAATGGAATCAACATCTTGTAGAGATATCTGCACTCCATGTTCATTGAAGAATTATTCACAATAGCCAAGATTCAACCTCAGTGACCATTAATGGATGGATGAATAAAGAAATTGTATATGTATATATATAATATTATATATATATATACACACACACACACATACACATATATACACATTATTCAGCCTTAAAAAAGGAGATACTGCCATTTGTGACAACATGGATAACCCTGGAGAATATTATGCTAAGTGAAATAAGCCAGACACAGAAAAATAAATACCGCATGGTCTCACTTATATGTGGAATTTTTAAGTCAAATACATAGGAACAGAGAGTAGAACAGTGGTTACCAGGGCTGAAGGGGTGGGAGGATAGGGAGCCATAGGGCAAAGGGTACGAACTTGCCGTTATGTAGGATGAATAAGTCTAGAGATCTAACGCACTGCAGGAGGACTGTAGTTAATAATATTGTATTACACATTGACAATTTGCTAAGGGGGTAGGTTTTAGGTGATCTTACCACACACACACACACACACACACACACACACACACACAAACGTAACTCTGGAAGGTGATATATATGTTAATTTGCTTACCTATAAGTAATACTTGCGCTATGTATATCAAAACATCATGTTTCACACCTTAAATATATACACTTTTTTTTTTAGAAAAAGAAGAAATTATCAAGACAAGTCACTTATGGTGTATAATGATGGTTAAATAAGAACAAATTGGTTCCCATAAAACAAGCTTCCAAGAACTTGCCCGGACTTCCATTGGAAGCTCCATTTGCCACATGGCAGAAGCAAACCCTCTAGGAGTATTTGCTTAGAGAGGACCCTGTAAAGAGTTTATCCACTATGTTTTCTCCAAATCTTCTAAATTTATTTGGTGCCAGAGGTCCTGGCAAGAGAGATAAGGTCATACAGCAATAGCAATATAGCAATTCGAGTGGTTTACTTGAGAGTCAAATTGGAGAATCTGGTGATATTCAATAAGAAAAAAAGGATTTATTTTGCTTTTGAGACATGTATTAGTCTGCTTTCACACTGCTATAAAGATACTGTCTGAGACTGAGTAATTTATAAACAAAAGAGATTTAATTGACACAGTTCCATATGGCTGGTGGGGCCTCAGAAAACTTACATCATGGCAAAAGGCAAAGGGGAAGTAGGCACTTTCTTCACAAGGAAGCAGGAGAGACAGAGAGCAAAGGGAGAAGTGCCACTTTTAAGCCATCAGATCTCATAACAACTCCTTCACTATCACAAGAACATCATGGGGAAACTGAGCCCATGATCCAACCACCTCCCACCAGTGCCTCCCTTGATCCATGGGGATTACAATTTGAGATGAGATTTGCGTGGGGACATAGAGCCAAACCATATTATTCCACCCTTGGCCCCTCCCAAATCTCATGTCTTTTTCACATTTCAAAACCAATCATGCCTCCCCAACAGTCCCCAAAGTCTTAACTCATTCCAGCATTAACTCAAAAGTCCAAGTCTAAAGTCTCATCTGAGACAAGGCAAGTCCCTTCTGCCTATGAGCCTGTAACATGAAAAACAAGTTTGATACTTCCAAGATACAGTGGGGGTTCAGGCATTGGCTAAATGTTCCTATTCCAAATGGGAGAAATTGGCCAAAGCAAAGGGGCCAGAGGCCCCATGTAAGTCCAAAACCCAGCAGGGCACTCATTAAATCTTAAAGCTCAAAAATAATCTTCTTTGACTCCATGTCTTACTTCCAGGGCATGCTGATGCAAGGAGTAATCTCCCAGGGCCTTGGGAAGCTCCACCCCCATGGTTCTGCAGGGCACAGCCTTCACAGCTACTTTCATGTTTTGGTGTTGAGTGCCTGCAACTTTTCCAAGCACACAGTGCAAGCTGTTGGTGTATCTACCATCCTGGGGGCTGGAGGACAGTGGCCCTTTTCTCACAGCTCTACTAGGCAGTGCCCCAGTGGGGACTCTGAGAGGGCTCCAACCACACATTTCCCTGCTGCATTGCCTAGAAGAGGTTCTCCATGAGGGCTCTGCTCCTGCAACAGACTTCTGCTTGGACATTCAGGCCTTTTGATACATCCTCTGAAATCTAGGCAGAGGCTCCCAAAGCTCAATTCTTGTCTTCTGTGCACCCACAGTCCCAGCACCACATGGAAGCCACCAAGGCTTGGGGCTTACACCCTTTGAAGCTACAGCCTGAGCTGTACCTTGGCCCCTTTTAGCCGCAGCTGGAGCTGCAGTGGCTGGGATGCAAGGCACCAAGCCCTGGGGCTGCACAGAGTAGCCAGGTCCTGGGCCTGGCCAACAAAACTATTTTTCCCTCCTAGGCCTCCAGGCCTGTGATGGGAGGGGCTGCCATGAAGATCTCTGACATGGCCTGGAGACATTTTCCCCATTCTCTTGGCTATTAACGTTTGGCTTCTTGTTACTTATGCAAATTCCTGCGGCTTGATTTTCTCCCAGAAAATTGGTTTTTCTTTTCTACCACATGGTCATGCTACAAATTTTCCTTTATGCTCTCTTCCCTTTTAAAAATAAGTTCCAATTTGAAACCATCTCTTTGTGAATGCATATGACAACACTTTCAGGAAAAGCCAGGTTACCTCTTGAATGCGTTGCTACTTAGAAATTTCTTCTAAGCAGATATCCTAAATTATGTTTTTTTAAGTTCAAAGTTCTGCAGATCTCTAGGGCAGGGGCAAAATGCCACCAGTCTCTTTGCTAAAGCATAGCATATGTGACCTTTACTCCAGTTTCCAATAAGTTCCTCATCTCCATCTGAGACCACCTCAGCCTAGACTTCATTGTCCATATCCCTAGCAGCATTTTGGTCAAAACTGTTCAAAAAGTCTCTAGGAAGTTCCAAAGTCTCCCACATCTTCCTGTCTTCTTCTGAGCCCTCCAAACTGTTCTGCTTATTACCCAGCTCCAAAGTTGCTTCCACATTTTCAGGTTATCTTTATAGCAGTGCCCCACTCCCAGTACCAATTCTCTGCATTAGTCCATTTTCACACTGTTATAAAGATACTACCTGATGCTGGGAAAACTGGCTAGCAATATGTAGAAAGCTGAAACTGGATCCCTTCCTTATACCTTATACAAAAATTAATTCAACATGGATTAAAGACTTAAATGTTAGACTTAAAACCATAAAACCCTAGAAGAAAACCTAGGCAATACCATTCAGGACATAGGCATGGGCAAGGACTTCATGTCTAAAACACCAAAAGCAATGGCAACAAAAGCCAAAATAGACAAATGGGATCTAATTAAACTAAAGAGTGTCTGCACAGCAAAAGAAACTACCATCAGAGTGAACCGGCAACCTACAGAATGGGAGAAAATTTTTGCAATCTACTCATCTGACAAAGGGCTACTATCCAGAATCTACAAAGAGCTCAAACAAATTTACAAGAAAAAAACAAACAACCCCATCAAAAAGTGGGCAAAGGATATGAGCAGACACTTCTCAAAAGAAGACATTTATGCAGCCAACAGACACATGAAAAAATGCTCATCATCACTGTCCATCAGAGAAATGCAAATCAAAACCACAATGAGATACCATCTCACACCAGTTAGAATGGTGATCATTAAAAAGTCAAGAAACAACAGGTGCTGGAGAGGATGTGGAGAAATAGGAACACTTTTACACTGTTGGTGGGACTGTAAACTAGTTCAACCATTGTGGAAGACAGTGTGGCGATTCCTCAAGGATCCAGAACTAGAAATACCATTTGACCCAGCCATCCCATTACTGGGTATATACCCAAAGGATTATAAATCATGCTGCTATAAAGACACATCTACATGTATGTTTATTGTGACACTATTCACAATAGCAAAGACTTGGAACCAACCCAAATGTCCATCAATGATAGACTGGATTAAGAAAATGTGGCACATATACACCATGGAATACTATGCAGCCACAAAAAAGGATGAGTTGATGTCCTTCGCAGGGACATGCATGAAGCTGGAAACCATCATTCTGAGCAAACTATTGCAAGGACAAAAAACCAAATATCTCAAGGACAGAAAACAAAACACCTCATGTTCTCACTCACAGGTGGGAATTCAACAATGAGAACACCTGGACACAGGGTGAGGAACATCAAACACTGGGGCCTGTCATAGGGTTGGGGGAGGGGGGAGGGAAAGCATTAGGAGCTATCCTAATGCAAATGACGAGTTAATGGGTGCAGCACACCAATATGGCACATGTATACATATGTAACCTGCACGTTGTGCACATGTACCCTAGAACTTAAAGTATAATTAAAAAATAATAATAATAATAAAATAATAATAATAAAAATATATAGCAATGAAAAGAAAAAGAAACAGAAGGAATAAAATGCCAGGGAGACATGAGTTCCAGTCCTTGCTTACTACTGTGAAAGGAAAAATAAATCTTGGGGCCCCAAAATCACTAAGCTAAAGAAAAAAAGTGAAGCTGGGAACTGCTTGGGGCAAACTGCCTCCTATTTTTTTTTTTTTTTTTTTTTTTTTTGAGACAGGGTCTCACTCTCTCACCCAGGCTGGAGTGCAATGGCCTGATCTTGGCTCACCACAACCTCCGCCTCCCAGGCTCAAGCGATTCTCCTGCCTCAGCCTCCCGAGCAGCTGGGACTACAGGTGTGCACCACTACTGCCTGGCTAATTTTTGTATTTTTAGTAGAGACGGGGTTTCACCATGTTAGCCAGGCTGGTCTCGAACTCCTGACCTCAAATGATCCACCCGCCTCAGCCTCGCAAAGCGGTGGGATTACAGGCGTGAGCCACCGTGCCCTACCGCCTCCCATGCTACTCAAAGTCACCCCTCTGCTCACTGAGATAAATACATATCTGATTGCCTACTTTGGAGAGGCCAATCAGAAACTCAAAAGAATGCAACCATTTGTCTCTTATCTACCTATGACCTGGAAGCTCCCTCCCTACTTCCAGTTGTCTCGCCTTTGTTTCAAGTTGTCCCACCTTTCCAGACCAAAACCAATGTTCATCTTACGTATATTGATTGATGTGTCATATCTCCCTAAAATGTATACAACCAAGCTGTGCTCAGACCACCTTGGGCACATGTCTTCAGGACCTCCTGAGGCTGTGTTACAGGCGCACGTCCTTAACTTTGGCAAAATAAACTTGCTAAATTGACTGAAATAAAATAAAATAAAGATACTACCTGAGACTAGGAAATTTATAAACAATAGAGGTTTAATTGACTACAGTTCCACATGGCTGGGGAGGCCTCAGGAAACTTAAAATCATGGTGGAAGGTGAAGGGGAAGCAGGCACAGTCTTTACAAGGTGGCAGGAGGGAGGGAGAGAGAGAGACAGAGGGAGCGCAAAGGGAGAAGTGCCACATCAGATCTCATGACAACTCCCCCACTATCACAAGAATAGCATGGGGAAAACTGTCCTCATGATCCAATCACTTCCCACCAGGTCCCTCCCTTGACATATGGGGATTACAATTCGAGATGAGATTTGGATGGGGACCCAGAGCCAAACCATATCAAGACAGAATCTCGGCCGGGCGCAGTGGCTCACACCTGTAATCTCAGCACTTTGGGAGGCCGAGGAGGGTGGATCACAAGGTCAGGGGATCGAGACCAGCCTGACCAACATGGTGAAATCCCGTCTCTACTAAAAATACAAAAATTAGCTGGGCGTGGTGGCACGTGCCTGTAATCATAGCTACTCAGGAGGCTGAGGCATGAGAATTGCTTGAACCTGGGAGGCAGAGGTTGCAGTGAGCTGAGATCACGCCACTGCACTCCAGCCTGGATGACACAGCGAGACTCCGTCTCAAAAAAAAAAAAAAAAAAAGACAGACTCTCACTCTGACACCCAGGCTGGAGTTCAGTGGTGTGATCATAGCTTACTGGAGCCTCAAACTCCTGGGCTCAATCAAATCCTCCTGCCTCAGCCTCCCAAAGTAGCTGGGACTACAGTTGTGTGCCACCACACTTGGGTAAGTTTTTCATTTTTTGTAGAGATGGAGTCTTGCTATGTTGCCCAGTTTGTTCTCAAATTGCTGGGCTCAAGCAATCCTCTTGCTTCAGACTCCCAAAGTGCTGGGATTACAGGCATGAGCCACCATGCCAGGCCTAGAAGAAAGGTTTTATCTGGTTGCTATTATATGTATTGTAATCTAAATATTATGTATATATCTATATAGGAATATTTACATATACATATATACTGTGATGATTAGCTTTATGTGTCAACTTGACTGAGCCACAGGGTGCCCAGATATTTGGTCAAACAGTATTCTGGGGTTACAGTAACTTTTTTTTTTTTTTTTTTTTTTGAGATAGAGTCTTGCACTGTCGCCTGGGCTGGAGTGCAATGGTGTGATCATGGCTCACTGCAACCTCCGCCTCCCGGGTTCATGACGCAATTCTCCTGCCTCAACCTCCCAAGTAGCTGGGATTACAGGCGCACATCACCACACCCAGCTAGTTTTTTGTATTCTTAGTAGAGAGAGAGTTTCACTATGTTGGCTAGACTGGTCTTGAACTCCTGACCTTGTGATCTGCCTGCCTCTGCCTCCCAAAGTGCTGGGATTACAGGCGTGAGCCACTGCGACTGGCCAAGAGTAACTTTTTTTAACTAGTTTAACTTTTACTGGAAAAAAGAAAACACTTCACAGAGGAAGTAGCCTTTGAGTTAGGTCATAACATGTTTTAAAAGATTTCATCAGTTATGGAGACTACAAAAAATAATCAGCAGAGACGGAAAAGTGAGATGAACCTTTCATAATCTAGTGTGTCTGAAATTTTAAGATGAATGGGTAAATGTGATGGGAGATGAGGTTGGAGAAAAATCAGCAGATAGAAGTGATACCACTTTTAGAAAAGAAACCCAGAGGCTTCTGTGTAGGATTGAGAAAGAAGAAGGGGATATGAGGAGACTGGCTTAAAAATTATTTTAACAGTAACTCAAGAGTGGATAGGGATGAACTAACAGGGACAGAGAAATGTAAATTGCTGAATATATTCAAGAGACAGTTTTAGGGGTAATATTGACAGAATTTTTGTCCAACTATCTAAGGGGATGAAGGGAGACTAGTCATGAGTTTCAAGCAAGGTAATCAGGAAGATTCAATCTGCTCTAGTGGGGAAATATCTGGCATAGCCTAGTTCTGATTCTAGCTCTGCCATCTATTCATGGTGTAATTTGGGAAAGGCCATGTAACTGCTCTCATTTTCTGCTTCCCTATCTGTAAATGGAGGAAGCCCTCTGTCCTCATCAACTGTAAATGGAGGAAGACTTCCTCTGTCCTCACCAACTCTGAAATTCTACCACTTCGTGATAGCTTTAGTGGACATGGGATCTACTAGGAAAGAAGATATTTACAAGATGAGTAAAGTTTTACACTTGTCCTGTTGAGATGCTGGTAGGATCTGCATTGAGATCTCCAGAAAGGGTTTGAATTTGCATATCTGAACTTTGACAAAGAAACAAAGCTGAAGACAGACATATAGAAACTAACTGCACAGAGACAATAGTTGAAAATGTAGAACTCCCCGCACCCCGCCAACACCATCCCAAATGCATACAAATATATATGTATATGTATTCTTTATTTTTAAAATTTTATTTATTGATTGATTGATTTTGAGACGGAGTTTCACTCTTGTTGCCCAGGCTGGAGTGCAATGGCATGATCTCAGCTCACTGCAACCTCCGCCTCCCAGGTTCAAGCAATTCTCCTGCATCGGCCTCCTGAGTAGCTGGGATTACAGGTATAAGCCACCATGCCCAGCTAATCTTGTAATTTTTTATTTTTATTTTTATTTTGAGATGGAGTCTCGCTCCGTCACCAGGCTGGAGTGCAGTGGCGCGATCTCAGCTCACTGCAACCTCTGCTTCCTTAGTTCAAGCAATTCTCCTGCTTCAGCCTCCTGAGTAGCTGGCATTACAGGCATGTGCCACTACGCCCAGCTAATTTTTGTATTTTTAGTAGAGATGGGGTTTCACCATGTTGGTCAGGCTGGTTTCGATCTCGTGACCTTGTGATCCGCCTGCCTCGGCCTCCCAAAGTGCTGGGATTACAGGTGCGAGCCACCTCGCCCAGTCCTCAAATACATACAAATATATTTAAAAATGAAGACGAGGTAAACTTTCTCAGAAATCTAAGCATTTATTACCCAGGATGGTCATAGGACCAGCAGCCTTGGTGTTGCCTGGGGGTTGGTTGGAAATGTAGAGCCTCAGGCCCCACTTACTGAGCTAGAATATATATTTTAGTGAGATTCCATGTTACTTACATGCACATTCAAGTTGCAGAAGTGCTGGTGTCATCCAAGAAGAGGGCCAAGGACAGGAGCATCTACAATTACATAGATGGAATATCTACAATTATGACACCCACAGGTAGAAGAGGCCAGAGAAGGAGACCAGGAGGAATTAGAAGCTAAAAGCACTGGGAGAAGAGTTAGTGTCTTCATCTGTTTGGACTGCTATAACAAAAAATGCCATTAATCGGGTAGCTTATAAACAACTGAAATTTATTTCTCACAGTTCTGGAGGCTGGGAAATTCAAGATCAAAGTGCCAGCAGATTTGGTGTCTGGTGACGGCCCATTCATCTTAGACGTCACCTTCTTGCTGTGGCCTCACACGATGAAAGGGGCAAACAAGCTCCCTTGGGCCACCCCCCATGACATAACCACCTCCGAAAAGGCCTCCCCTCTTAACACCATCACCTACGGGGCTAGGATTTCAACAGATGAATTTTGGGTGACACAAACATTCAGACCATAGCAGTCACTATCTAACAACAGGTGGATGGGACGTTTGTCTAAACCGAATTGTACTTCGGTAACAGGATCATATAAGGACAAATTTAACCAATGTCTTTTTTAGTTTTTAGTTTCTTTTGTTTTGGTTTTAGCAACTCTAGATTTTCTAGAGACTATCAACATTACCTTTCTTTGCTCTCCAGCCCCCATGCCCAGAAAAGAAATAAGATTATTAGGGAGTCAAGTATCTCGGCTCTTCTTACCTCTTAGGGTAGTAAATTGCTTTTTGTATGCGAGTGGTTTTGCGTATGTGAAGATAATTTTGAGATAGGAGTAGAATGCCCTGAAGATAATGCTTATGTTTTAAAGATAATAAGCCAACACAGTGAACGGAATAAGCTGCACTGGACCTGAGGAGTGAGGTTAAATAGGGAAGTAAGACACCACCTGGAGACAGTATTGCTCAAGACTGAAAGTGGATGAGGGTTGCAAAGCTGTTTGCACAGTGCTTCTGAAGCATCATGGCAGCCTGGGGAATTTCCCATGCTGAGCTTGCCTGGAGTATGTGTGTGTATGCATGCATGTGTATGTGCATTCGTTTGTGTGTGAAGGAAGGGGAGCAGAGCTGCTGGCTTAGTCAGCTACCTTTGAATGCTTCTCCCTCAACAGGGGCTGAGAACCAGACCCCTTGCCTTTGTCCCTGAATTATATTAGCTCAGGGGTTCTTATGCCATCCAAAGATAAGGACATAAGAAGAATAGGGAAAGTGCCAAAAATTAACTGATATTGTATTTAATTAAGAAAAAAATAAATATAATATTTATAATATTTAAGTTTGAGTGTTGTGGAGAGATATATGCCTGTTTCATTTAGCTTCTGGCATACCCTTTATTGCCAGAGTTGCTTCATTTCTGATAGATTTTTATTGGAAGTAGTTTCCAATAGGTTGACTTCATGTTTGTTTAAACTCCCCATTTCCTGACTCTATCAGGCACTTTAAGAGAAAGCAAATAGTAAATTAGAAAGTAGAAAGGAGTCTGGAGGCCCAGCAGTTCCAAATCATCTTTATTCCATAATAGCCATCAAACACTGGGCAAGGCACTGAGTCTCTCTGGGCCTTAGTTCCTACTTTTGTAAAATAAAGAGCTAAGGTGAGTTCATTTCTGTCTTTTCCAGCACTAGCACTCCACAATTCTCTGATATGTATTAAGGACAATGAATACAGAAAGGTTTGAAAATCACGCAGATGAAGAACAGAAATAACAAACATGGCTGCAACTTAAATTTGTCAGTCAATTCAATTTCTTCAAAGTTTTTTACTAAGCATTGTCCACAGTATGGGCAGCCAGGGAAACAGAGAACAATGAAGAGGTAACAGATGGAAGAAGGTCAATAACTCCGAACACAGCTCCCTAGTGTGGGGATCCAGTGTCCCCACTGTGTAGCTGGACTGGCCTCCTCCCCTCAGGCTTCTTTCATGGTGGCAGGGTGCTCTTGCACATCGGGCTGCCTGTTGCTCTTAAGGACTGATCCTGCATGGAGAGGCCTCTGTGTCTCCAATCGTCAGCCTGTCCTACTGGTTTTAGCTAAAAAGTCTTACCTGGGCCGGACACAGTGGCTAACTCCTGTAATCCCAGCACTGTGGGAGGCCGAGGCAGGTGGATCACGAGGTCAAGCGATCGAGATCATCATTTTTGTACAAAAATTCAAAAATTAGCCAGGCGTGGTGGCAGGCACCTGTAGTCCCAGCTACTCAGGAGGCTGAGGCAGGAGAATCACTTGAACCCAGGAGGTGGAGGTTGCAGTGAGCTGAGATTGCACCACTGCACTCCAGCCTGGCGACAGAGCAAGACTCTGTCTTAAAAAAAAAAAAAAAAAAAAAAAGTCTTACCTAACAACCTCCCTTCCCTTCCCACCAGATTAGGTTCACCTATTAAATGCTAATAGCATTCTTTGCTTTCTGTCACACAGTTATGTAATTATACAGTGATTTTTCTGGTTATTTGATACCTATCTGTAAGCAGCACAAGGGCAGGGACCATGTTTGTTTTGTTCACTGCTCAATTCCTAGAACCTATTACAGGCCCTGGCATATAATATGCCTTCAGAAAATTTGAATTCAATGAAAAGGCGAATGTATGAGTCCCATCTTGCATATAAGAAGACAAAAACTCTTTGCCCAAGTCAAATTACTCACAAGTGAGACAACAGGAACACGAATCTGTTCTCACTGGCTCCGCAGCCTATCCATTCTCCATTCCTGGTGGCCTCCTCTTCTGTCTCCTAGACTTCGGTCTCCTGGCAACAGCACTGGTGCTAGGGGAGGCTGAGAGGGAGAAGCAGGAATAGAGACAAGGACACACTGATGTGACCTGGTCCCTTCTAACATGTCCTTCCTCTGTTTGTTCGCCAGTGCTTAGTATACGCTTCATGAGTATGCACTCGGATCTACTTGGAAGAAGACTGCCTATTTGCAGAAGGTCTTAACATACGGCTCCATGGCCTTTTCCCATTTGGGGAATGAGGTATTGAAGCTTTCAGAACTATGACTTCTCACCTGTCATCTACTTTCATGCATACCATGGATTCCAGCGCATGAACACTCATGCTGGAGATATGTGGTATGTGTATTTCTCCAGTGGACTCAATTCAGAATCACTTCTCATTCCTAAGGCAGCAATTCCATCTCTGTCCCAGATACTTGGGCTACGTAACCTGTGGCCAGCCTTTGATCCGCCCATGTGAAGCTGCAGGTCCATTTCCAAAGCCCAGGTGTCCTTTGCCTCCATTTCCTCTCTCTTGCCTGGAGCTACATTCCTCAACACGCACACTCCATCTGCTGCATCTGCTTACCTCCATCTCTCTTCCATGGCCACAGCTCCTTCTTATTTAATTTTTTTTCAAAAATCCATAAAGCATAATATCTCTCATTTAAGATAAACAGAATAAACACATTTTTTTGTCCAAACAAAAATTAGCTTAGCTGCCTTTCTTCACCTTACAATGTCATCAAAGCAAATTCTCAAAGACTGAGTGGCTCAAAGTACTTCGTAATGATTCTTTTCCTGATTTGTTCTGTTCATCATAACTCAGAGAAAATGCATTCCCAATAGTGTTTCCTCAACCTCCATTTACCATTTATTTAGAAAAAGCTCAACATTCTCTAAACCAGCTTGCAGTGCAGAGACTGTAGAAAGAGCTGGAAAGTTTGCCCGTGTGGAGAAAATCATTCCTTCTGCTCAAACTGCTATGGCATTCTCCAGTTTTCTAACAGAGCAGGATTAAAGAGGGTCTCTCCCAGGATTACACACTGCACCGCAGTGTGGGCTCTCCTCAGCGCCTGGTCATCCTATGCCCTCTGCAGGAGGACTCCGATTTGGCTCTACTGTATCGAGAGCTACCTGAAGTTATGCTCTTTCAATCTTTACAAAATCAGAACCTGATCTTGCGACACTGTTAATATTAGCTGTCATTAGCCCCAAAATTCCCATCTGTTTAAAGTTTAGGATTTGTTTTCATGCCACTAACTATCACTAAAAAAAAGTCTCTCTCTACTAAGAAACTCTGGTGCTTGGGAGACTGTCAAATTTGGGGGGGAAGTTCTGATAGGAATATTAATATTCTGATTTTAATTTACTTTAAGAAAAATTATTGGTATACATAATTAGTTACCTTCTTGTTTTTCTTTTGTTCTAGATCTTCATCCCAAGTCTGTATGTTTATTTGATCCCCCGTATTGAAAAGAAAACATTTGGAGCAGGCTAGATGAAAGCATAGAAAGAGCTGTGAGGAAAATAAACCAGATTGTAGGCCTAATTTTCTGCTACTTATTGTAGCTACTTACTGCAGCAGAAATTAGGCTACAACCTGGTTTATTTTCCCCACAGCTCTTTCTATGTTTTCAGCTAGCCTGCTCATGACATGATTTTTCAAGGCCACACAATAAGTAGCAGAAAATTAGCATGATCTGTAAAATAAAGAGGCTGGCCATGATGATACCTAAAATTTCTTCCAGTTCTGAATAGTATCACTTCATGCTTACTCCTAGGTCACCCCTCCCGGTTAGTATTTACTGCCTTTTTTTTTTTTTAATGTGTATTTTCTTTTTCTTTTTTTCTGAAACAGGCCCAGAAGATACACTGCTTTTTTTTTTTTTTTTTTTTTTTTTGAAGGAGTCTTACACGTCAGGGGTATTTCCTACCATGTCTTTTGTGGTTTTTGATGGTCACATGGATGGCTCTGTTGTATTTGCTTTATTCTCCTACACAGAGATCAATGCTTTTACATAGAGATCGCTCATGAAAGACAATGACATAGTTATTATGGTTCTATTTTTAAATTTCAGAAAAGGAGTTTTTTCACTGTCCCCTTCCCAAATTATTTATAACTTATATAAACAGTGTTTTCACTCTGTAGATTTTTTTTTTCAAATTCAGCATTAGTCTCTTAACAGGGATAATAGTTAATGCTATTCATCATCTAACAATGAAAACATTTATTGAGTACTTACTGTGTGTTGGAAATTCTGCTAGTTGCTATGATTACAAAGACAGACAAACCCTTGACCTTGTCAACTAAGGCTAAGGGGACATGTTCCTGTAGAAGTTGATGTGCAGCCAGGCACGGTGTCTCACACCTGTAATCCCAGCACCTTGGGAGGCCGAGGCAGATGGATTGCCTGAGCTCAGGAGTTCTAGACCTGCCTGGGCAACATGGTGAAATCCCGTCTGTACTAAAATACAAAAGATTAGACTGGCGTGGCGGCGTGCATCTGTAATCTCAGCTACTTGGGAGGCTGAGGCAGGAGAATTGCTGGAACCCGGGAGGCAGAGGTTGCAGTGAGCAGAGATTGCACCACTGCACTCCAGTCTGGGTGACAAGAGTGAGACCCTGTCTCAAAAAATAAATAAAAATAAGTAAAAATAAAAAATAAGTTAATGAGCAGCTCCCTCCTTTTTATGCCTTCTCTATCCCAAAACACTGAATCTATATTCACTGATATGAACAAATAACCTAAGGCAAAGAACATGACCTTTGTACATAAAATGTGTCTTCTGTTATGTACATGTGGCAAATGAACTTAATTCTTAACATGATTATCTCAGCTTCATGTAAGCTGCATGTGCAGAGGTGGGCAGGGATTGGGCCACACAATTCCAGGATGCTTTCTAACTCTAACACATCTGTGGTTTGGGATTATAGTCCAATTATATAGTGCTTTTAATAGTTGTTAAGAGGTAGAATTTTATTTCTTTATAAGGACCAGTAGGAATGAAGCAAAATCTACTAAAGCTTCATCAAAGGAAAATGTATTTACATGCCCAGCCATGTCTGTTTTAGATCCATAGTGGGAGACTGACTACTAACTGTTTGAGGCCACAAAATCAGTGGAAAGAAAACTCACTTCATTAAAATGGGCACATGCATTCAAAAATGAATCTCATATCTGGCTGTGAAGATCATCATTATCTTTCAAAAACCATGGTGAAATAAAGTTGAATGAATTCACCACAGACCTGAACTATAAGAAATGTTAAAGAAATTTCTTCAGGCAGGAAGAAAATGATATCACTTAGAAATATGTATCTACACAAAGGAATAAAGAGCTCCAGAAATGATAACCACAAAGATGCATATTTCATTTGCAGATTTCATTAGCAGGTCTGAGGCAGCAAATGAAGAAATGAAGAAGAGAGATCTGGTAGAAACAGATGGATTGATCATTCAGAGAAGGAACAGCTGCCAACTCTACACTCAGGGAAGAGAACCAGAAAGATAAAATTTATTGCAAGATTTATTAGTAAGGGTTCTCCAGAGAAACAGAACCAATACGATGGATGGATAGATAGATGATAGATAGATGATAGATAGATAGATAGATAGACAGATAGATACATAGATAGATACATAGACAGAGATAAATATTTGTATCTCTATCTCCAGAAAGTGACCTATTACAAGGAATTGCTGAGACCTCCCCACAATCTGCTGTCTGCAAGGTGGAGATCCAGAAAAGCTGGCAGTATATAGTCCAATGTACCTCTGGAGGTCTGAGAATCAGAAGTACTGTTGGTTTAAGTCCCAGTTTGAAGACAGGAGAAAACCAATGTCTCAGCTTAAGTGGTCAAGCAGATAGCACGAATTCTCCCTTTCTCTGTCTTTTTGTTCTATTCAGGCCCTCAACAGATTGGATAATGCCTGCCCACAGAGGGAGGACAAACTACTCTACTCAGCCCATCCAAATGCTAACCTTACCTAGACACACCCTACAGACATTCCCAGAAATCACATGTAGCCTATATTTGGGTACCCGTAATCCAGTAAACTGGCACATAAAATTAACCACAGAGAAGGAGGACAAAGAAGGGAGGAGAAGAGAAATCATTTAAAAATTCTAATAGGCTAATGTCAATCAGTCATCAAGCAAAGACCAAACGAAGTTCAGTATACCATTTGAGAAGGCACAGGGAGGGAGCTGAGATATGTGTTTAAAAGATTGTTGTCTAAATGGAGTAAAATGAAATTTTACTATCAGCCTAGTAAAAAATTTAAATTGGATTTTCTACTGTATTATTATTATTATTATTATTATTATTATTATTATTATTATTATTTCAGAGATACTGTCCTGATCTTCCAAACCAGGTGGGTCCTGGAAAGCAGGAACTTTGCCTTCTACCTTTGGACTTCCTCTTCCCATGCTCACTCAGCACATTCCCCAAGGCTGGTACTCATAGAACAAGTGCATTTTTACCGAATCTTTCGTAAATTATAAATTTTCAATTTAAAATGACTCCTCCTAGCAAGCACAGTCACACTTTTTGAAAAGTTGAGCTGAAGAAATCCTAGTACTTGTCTATGCTTAAGTACTACTGAGTTTTAAATGTGAACTTGATTTTGCTTCAGAAGTCACATATTTATGCAGGTTTCTTTATAGCAAATATCCTTCAGTATTTTAGTCATTTAAAACATATCTCATTAGATATAGAAAACATCTTATAATAACCACATTAATAATCTTTATCCCCACCTCAAAATGATGGCTCTAAACTCAAAACAGTGTGCAAGTCAAGGTGCTATGAGGCCAGGAAACAAGCACATGGTTCTACCATCAGAATCCCATTTCAGCTGTTCCTGCCTGAGAGTAACTGCTGACCAGTTCACTAAAAGTTCCTCCACATTCTTCCAAAGAGCCTGAATTATACATTCCTATTGGGAGTTAATGGAAGCCCAAACAAGCAAAAACTAATTTTGGCTGTACTTTTGTGAAATTGATTCAAGTTAGGGCCAACTTCATGGGTATGTAACCTGCATGGTTGTACAGGGCATAGAACTCAGAAAGGCCCTGTGCTTAGTTCACTGCTCTGCTCTCAGCATCATGAAATGCTTAACAATTTTATTTTTGAACTTGTGTTTTGTAAGTGAATCCTGATAGGACAATGGAGCATGTGTGAGCAGAAGAGATGCATGCAACATGCCTACGTACTATGCTTTCCCTCCTCACCTGCATACAGAATTCATAGTGTCCCAGAGCACAGAATTCCAGGGGGCCCACAGTGCAAGACTCAAAGTTCATAAAGGAGGCGTGTTATATCTATAGCTGAGCAAGAGAGAACACTGAGAGGCCACTCTTTCCTTTTGAACCACAACTTGCTTCTAACACAGATAAAAATAATGGCATTCTCAGAAATTATATCACATCCTTTCTTCTTCAGCCAGCACTTAGGCTGAAAATTTTGACAAGAAAGGAAAGCAAAAGATAGGGCAACCCAGAGTCCCTTTACGTTTCAGTCCTTCCTTACTCATCAGCACACCAAAGGCAGACAGTGTTGGTTGAATATGCACGAATCAAGAAGTGACATAAAAACAAAGTAGTTTTGTCCAGCATTTTCACTATTTTGGTAAGAATCAAATATACATGCATGTGTGAGCTACAAAATTCAAATTGTGTAATTTTGGTAATACAAAAGCACAAGGTATATTTGTACATAATGGAAGTTACATTTGCTCTTATATTTGTGCTTAAAGGACACATCATAAAGATAAATGGTAACATTTATGCTAATCATGAAAATTTTCCATTTTTCTTTGGCATTTAATGGCATTTAATGCCAATTTTCCATTTGGCATTAAATGGCAAATTTTAAAACCCCATAACTAGTCAGGAGAGAGACTATGGAAGAAAAGAAAAGGTATTTTAGTACCTTTAGTGGCATTTTTTCCTGTTTGTTGAACAAAGGGCATCACATTTTTCATTTAGTGCTGGGTCCTGCAAATTTTGTAGCCACCTTGTAGGTGAGAAAAGCAGAAAATGATGAGAAAATTAAACTTGAAGCAATGACAGAAAAACATTAAACGACTATTTCTGCAGGGAGTCAGCAAAAAGTGTTCTAACTATTCATTCTGAAAGAATAATATACTATAACTTTCTCAATTACCTCTATCATTTAAACAAAGCACATTAATTTACTTCCCATTCACTTGGCCCTGGGGGTAGGGAGAGTCCCTGGTTATTTCAAGAATCCAATGTCTGCAGTAACAACGAGTCTTACACTAGGGGGCAGCAGCTACCGTCCAGCCACCTTCCAGGGCTCCAAAGCTGCGCCTTAGGTGAATCCTTACTTGAAGAGATCCTGAAAAAATGAAGGAAAACACATTACTAAAGAAGTTTTCTTTTTATCTTTATATTAATTTGCTTTGCTGCAGTGTTTCTGAAAGAGAATGGGCCGCTCGTTCTGAAGATTTAAGGTGTTTCTTTGCCAATAAAGAAATAGCAATTGAACATATTTTATCTGCTCACACTCCATGGCTCATTTCTGAAGTGACAAAGTAACATGGTCTGAAAGATCTTTTTAAACTTAGTTTCTCTGTACAGCCTAGTAGTAATTGGTAATTTTTATCTACTATGGATTTGATCAAAAGGAACAACTCATTGCACTGAGAACACTAAGCTATCGAGTGATACCAAGTGTTAATTTTGTAATTCATGAAGAGTACAGATTTTAGAGGGAAACTGCTGAGTCAAGGGATTACTCAGTCTTTACAAATCCACACTCACTCAGCTTGGCTTGAATTATTAAAGAATCAGGTTGTCCTAACTATGAACAAGAATCCAGAAGTCCAGACTTTATTTAAAAAAAAAAAAACCAGAATGTGTGAAGATGGGTATATTTGCAAAGATGTGGAGAGTTATTCAGTTTGTGCTAAAATAAGAATAGCATTGTCCTACAACTGAGTTGGCTCAAATATAGTTTGCAATATAGCATTCATTTGTTCCAACACAATTTTCCAAATACAAATTTAATGAAAATGTAGATTGAAAGTCCCATTAAATAACATGCTAAGAAACCACTATTGTGAATTCCAAATTCTCTGGCAATATTTCATAAAGAAGTTCTTTTTATCCCAGCTTACTATAAACCTTCAGGGTGGTGGTTCTCAATTGAGACAGTTCCATCTACTAGATAGTATTTGAAATTTTGCAGGGGTGTTTTTGGTGGTCTCAGTGATTACAGGAACTACTTCCTTTTAAGATGGTGGAAAAACGGTAGCAAGAAAACAAACAAAGAAGTTTACCAATGGGCCAAGAACCTGAACAGACATTTCTCAAAAGATGACACACAAATGGCCAATAAGTTCATGAAAAAAATGCTCAACAGCACTCATCATTAGGAAAATGCAAATTAAAGCCACAATGAGATACTACATCACATACAAAAGATAACACATGTTAGCAAGGATGTGGAGAAAAGGGAACCCTTTACACTGTTAGTGAGAATGTAAATTAGTACAGCCATTATGGAAAATGGTATGGGGGTCCTCATAAAACTAAAAATAGAACTACCATATGATCAAGCAATCCCACCTCTGGGTATGTATTCAAAAGTGTTGAAATCAACATGCAAAAGAGATATCTGCATTCCCATGTTCACTGCAGCATTATTCACAAGAATGTGAATGCCAAACTACGGAAGCAACCTAAGCGTTCATCGACAGATGAGTGGATAAAGAAACGTGGTACATAGACACAGGGAAATACTATTCAGCCTTAAAAAAGAAGGAAATTCTGCCATTTGTGACAACATGAATGAACATGGAGGACATTATACTAAGTGAGATAAGCCAGGCACAGAAAGGCAAATACCACATGATCTCACTGACATGTAGAATCTAAAAAAGTCGAACTCATACAAGTAAAGTGGGGGCTACCAAAGGCTAAGGGAGAAGGAGTGAGAGGGTATGGGGAGATGTTGGTCAAAGGGCACAAAGTTTCAGTTAGACAGAAGTAATAATCTTTCGAGATCTATTGCATATCAGGGTGATATGGTTAATAATAACGTATATTTCAAAGTAGCTAAGAGAATAAATTTAGAATATCTCCCAACAAAAAATGGTAAGTGAGGTAATTGATATGTTAATTAGCCTGTTTTAATCATTCCACATTGTATACCTATATCAAAACATCACATTGTACCCCATAAATGTATAAAATTATCATTTGTCAATTAAAATAATGTTAATTTTTAAAAATATGCGTGAGAGAGCCAGGGATGTTAAACATATTACAGAGCATAGGTCAACCCTTGACAATGAAAAATTATTGTCCTATCTCTCACAATGTTTAATGCCCTATCTGTTTTACATATAAGCATAAATTGTTTTTAGCATGGTTTTTTTTCCTCTCTTTTTGTTTTTAGAGACAAGATCTCATGCCCAGGCTGGAGTGCAGTGGCAAGATCATGGCACACTGCAGCCTTGATCTCCTGGGCTTAAGCAATCTCCCACCTCAGCCTCCCAAAGTGCTGGAATTACAGATGCAGGCCACCATTCACAGCCCTAGCATCATTTTAATAAAATTGAGTGTTCCAAGAATACAACTACCAGTTGAGTTGAGGAGAGATTATGCTTTATTTAACTCAGAACTTTACCCAGGTTTGTTAACCATCTTTGAAGTTCATTTCACAGGAGCATCTTAACTTCTGGAACTGAGTCACCAATAGAATAAACTGATAACAATCTGTGTTTGTAGCTCTTGATTCAAGGTGGTTCTAAGTATACATTTAAATATACTTTTTATTCTTTATTCAAAATGTCAAATATGAAAAGAAGAGTCAACTTGAAGGTAATATATTGGCATCAATATATTAACAGTATAAGCACCTGACTACTTCATTACATTTTGTAGCATAGCTACCATCTGTGCCTTTCCATACTTAAATATATATATATTTATATATTATTATATATAATTATATATATAATTTCTTTTATTTCTCCTTTATATCAAAGTTAAGGCATTACATTATTTTAATAATATTATTGATATATGATAGTTATATTTTTTAAAATTAATGTGCATTACAGACTATATTTTCTATAAATTTCATTTTAAGCTAGTAAAGGAGCATAAGAAAATATTTGTTATAAAAGGGGACCTTTAGTTCTCATAAGCTTGAGAACCAAGATTCTAAGGGTCTCTCTTTCATTTGTGAATTCCTCACTATTCCTCCCTCTTTCCTATCCATCCTACCACTTAAAAGAAGGAAATGGTCAGTAATAAGAAATTATTAGTAGCTAGGCCCATGAAGTAAGTTTTATTCTGATTAATAATGTTCTTTAAAAGACAGTTGTAAGCTGAGCATTCCTATGTGATGTGGATATAAATATAGGATTGTCAAAAGTTCATATTAACTCATTCATTATTTCATTTGTTAAGTATTACTATGTACCTGTGAGGTGTAAGGCATTTTGCTATTAAATTGATCGTGTCTGAAAAGCACCAAAATCATTGCTACACTGAAGAAAATCTCTCTCTGGGGGAACAAATGGATATTACATTAGGCAACAAAACAATTGACTGAGTGAAATGTTCAACTAGATATTTTGGAAGCATCTAATTTGTAACTCGTATTGGTCCCGAAAGCCAATCAGAGTAGATATGAAAGGGAAAAAATGCTAAAACTTTACAAAACAATTTTCATATTGGGGGAAAATACAATAAAGGAAATGGTGAGACTCTTTCTGACCCAAATATATATTTTTTAGAATCAAGATTACATCACTGTTAAATTAGTATAGCTGTAAAAGGTCTCTTGCATAACTATTTGCAATGAAATTCTTCATAGTAAATTTAGTAACAGAAAGAAACGGTCTTCTGCCATTATGAGAAACAAATTAATGTTATTTCCCCTGTCCCCAGCTTTTGAAATAACAGTAGGCAAAATAGCCTAGTGAAGGGTGGCTGTATGACTAGGAGCATGTTGCTTAACCTCTGAGCACATAGGTTTCTTTATATGATAACATTTACCTCATAAATTAAATGAATTAGCAGTTGTTATATGCTTAAAACACTGCTCAGCATATTAGAAACACAAAGCAAATAATAGCCATGATCATATCTCTTTTCCATATCAGAAGCGTGAAAACTGTTCATGGAAACAATTGCCTAATGTTGGAACGGCGGGCTTGACTTGACCAGACAGTCATATGCTTTGCTCAGTGCTTTTGTGCTCCAAATGCATGAGATACTAACCGGTCCTAGTGCAATTAAGAGTGTTTGACAGCCGGGCAATCCTAGCATGTTCCTAACTAAGCGATAATTGAAGATCTGTGTAGATTTTAGGTACAGGTTGTTACCCAGCAACAGATTGAAGTTCCGGAAGAAATTCTGAATTATCTCATTAATAAAGCAACTTCCTGATAGACAGCTATTGACTCTGACCACAGCGAACCCAAGAACTCATGATCCTCTAACCCAGAAAAAAAATATGCAGGTGAGCACTGATGAGGTGGCAAGATGCCAAAAAAACTGGTTTTACAACCTATCGGGTAAGTGAGCAAGTGGTGGCTAAAGGTTGGTCACATTATCTGGAAAGAGCAGGAAGATCAGGTCGACTGTGTTTTGCAGAGGTTATTAGCATAGCATGGGAATGCAGCTCTGCAGCCAAAGAAAGAACCCTGATGCCACTGGGGCATGCTGACCCATGATGCCAAATGGAAACTGCACCTGTCTGCCTTCCTTCTAGTCTCTCCATAGTGTATTGCATGACCACTGAACTCCCCCAAAAAGACATGCAGGAGGTCTTAGATTATGTCATTTAATGCTTGTAACTGTCCTACAGAGATGCTACTCTCATTAAAATCATCCTCTTTACAGATGACGAAACATAAATTTTGAGAAGTAAGTTGCTTAATGTCACAAAGCTGATGAGTGAGACTCATGAGCGAAGCTGTCTCATTTCTGATTTCATGCTGTCGATGAGATTGCCCTCTAGGAACCAATTACAACTAATGTTTGTTTAGGACTTTAACATTCAACGAGCTCAGAACCCCAGCATGCTGTAAGGTGGACCTTATCTTATCACCATCCCCATTCTATAGATAAGGAAACAGACAAAAAGATGTATAAGTGGTTTTCCCATGTTTATGCAATTAGGTGGTAGAGCCAGGATTTGAACCCCTGGTCTTTTGAATCTAAGCAGAATTTACAAGAGGAACACTCAAGCAGAATGGGGTGAGTTATGCTGAGCACAAAGCTTAAGAGAGCAGAGTTCTGTGGTCAGGACCTTAGCTGTTTTTTGCCTTTGCTTTGTCTGCCCAGACAATTATCTGATGATAACTTGCAATTTGTACATTCTGGATACATTACCTTTCTCTAGATGACATGTAGGATTTGTATAACCTAGATATGTCTTCTCTGTTGAAGATGAATATTGGAGATAGCACAATTGGATTTAAGCAATATCCTTAAATTAACATGTCAAGTGTACTTAGCTGCACTTGGAAATCCGTCCAGGTTTAATAAGCAAATACTACTGGTCCAAAGAGGAGATCACAGGATGAGAATCTTCCATCCTTTATGTTATAGACTGAATGTTTGTGCCCCCTACCCCCAAATTCATATATTGAAATCAAATCCCCAATGTGATGGTATTTGGACGTGGGTCCTTTGGGAGCTAATAAGGTCATAAGGGTAGAACCCTCATGAATGGGATTCGTGCTCTGATAAGAAGCCCCAGAGAGCTAGTGAACCCTCTTATTGCCATATGAGGATACAGTGAGAAGTCAGCTGTCTGCAACTGGAAGAGGGCCTTCACGAAGAACCCCAGCCAGCTGACACTCTCATTTTGGACTTCCAAACTCTGGAACTGTGAAAAATAAGTATTCGTTGTTTAAGCCATCCAGTTTATGGTATTTCGCTATAGCCGCCAGAGCTGAATAAAATATTCCCGGAGGACAGACATCTCTGCATTTTGGGGAGAATGTTATTTGCAGTTTTATTCCACTATTTTTATCTAATAGCCTGTTGCTTATTATGGATTTCAGCAGGTCTGATGATGAGAGGGTGGCTGAATGTCTAGGAAATTGTGCAGTGTAAGAAAGGAAATAACTCGTATAGATCTCTGCCAAAGTTTATTCCGCTGTTGGTCCTGAGACACTGGGTTGCCTAGTATCATAACACTGGCCAGGCATCACGAGGAAGCTATGAGCACTCGGTTGATGTCTGCAGTCACACGGAGGCCTCAGTTACTAAAGAAAGAGGAGTGTTACTGAGATCAGTTACTTCACACCCATTTTACCACATCTCCTCACCCACAGGGTACTGAATGTATCTATCTAGGAGACTGTATTTTCAGTTATAAAACATGATAAAATGTTTCATCAATTCATCCCTTTGGGCTCACTTTTAAATTTTGTTTAAGTTTTTCTGTTAATTTACTATAAATGTTTAATAAATTAAGAGTATATTATTCTCATGAGCTAACACTTCCTCCAAACTATTTTCAACCAATGAATTAAAGGATAATGGAATGCTTTTATCGGGTACATAATAAATGGTCAATGCCACCAAATGTTACCAATTTCCAATATTAGAGACATAAAAAATGTAGAAAGGCTGTTCATTTTATGAGGGGATGGTTGAGTGAATTAATTTTAAAAATATTTACTGGATGCTAGACACGGTGGTAGGTACTGGGGGTACTTAAATTAATAATTAGCCAGGACCCAATGCCCACCCTACATCAATTTCAAGAACAGGAACAATAAATGTAAATACATCAGAAGTATTCAACTTGGGGACTTTCAGGAGAATACAAAAATAGAAATAAGGAGACATTCTTTTCATCCTATTCTGGTTCAATTACTTTGTTCTCTGTACAAGCTGGAGAGCACATATTCTCCCATCATGAGAGAAAGGGTGGCGGTCATTCAACCCAAACCAATCACATGTGCTTTGGGCAGAAACTGTCAATATTAAGGCAAATCACATCCAGTTTATCACAGACTCAGTTAAAATAGAAGGAAAATATTCCCTGAAATATGGTCTCTGATGCTTGGTAACAGTGCTTTGGAGCTTGACAGATGTAGAGACAGCCAATCACCTTTACATCTGCCAAAATATCTATTCTCCAAAGCCAGAAAGATAAAACGCCTAAAACCACAATGTGAAGAGTTGAATATTGAAAATTCCATATGTTTTGCAGGTTGATGCTAAATCCTATGAGAAAAACCAGCACATCGGGGCTCTTGTAACCAACTTTCAGGAAAGGAATCCTAATCTCCGAGAGGCAGGTATAAGAAAGATTACTGTTTATAAAGGAGTATGGCCATGCTGACCTTCAAAGTGGGCAGAGCCACAGCAAGCCACCTCATCAGGTCTGATAACCATGTCCTGGAAATGGGTGATTTGGAGATGGCTGGTAGGGCCAACTATATAAGAGTTGGCCTTATTGGTGAAGTAGCCAAACAAATGAGGATGCTTCAAAACTACCATTCGAGTGAACGGAGTTGGGCAGTGGGGGACAGGATTTAGGGCTGAGCACCTAATTTCTCAATCAGATAAAGGGCAAGGTGGTTCTCCTCCTCCCAGCTTGGGTAGGAAGTGCAATCAGTCCGATTTCACAACAGAGAAGGCAAATCCTCCTATGCTGATGTCTTCTCCTAAAATCTATTCCTTGCTCACTCTATCATAGGCACACTGGCCTCCTGACTGTCCCTTGGTTGTGCTGTGCATGCTCCTAGCAAGGGCCTTTGCACTTGCTGTTCTCTGTGCCTGGCACACTCTTCCCCCTGATTTCCTCATGGCCCCCTTTCTCACCTCCTTCAAGACTTTCCTACTATCTCAGTGAGGCCTAGTGTATTCATTTTTTATTGCAGCCATAACAATCACAACTTACTGGCTTAGTATATATAGGGTGAATTCCCATATACACTTCATGTGGCATAAGACAATACAGATTCATTTTCTTATAATTCTGTAGGTCAGAGAGTCAAAGTGAGTCATATCAAACTAAAATCAAGATGATTCTAAAATCGAAGAGGACAGTCTGTGTTCCCTTCTAAGGGCTCTAGGGGAGGCTCCCTTGTAGGACGGAGGTCCCTGTTTCCTTGCTGTCAGCTGAAGGCTGCTCCTGGCTTCTGGAGACTTCCTGCATTCCTTAGTGCTGGCCCCCGGCCTCCACCTTCAAAGCCAGATATGTGGAGTTCTTCTTCCTTCTTTAAATGTTATGAATGGCATTTATTTAGTAACACTGACATTGGTATTAAAATGGGACTACACATTTAAAAAAATCACTGTATTATAAAAATGTCATAAATTTCTCTGGACTCTAAAATTGAAATAAAATTCATAAACACATATCCTCATTTCTCTAGAGATGGATGCGTCTTATGTAGGTAGAAAGAAAATGAAATGGCTAATATGTACCCAGTTTTAAAGGGTATCTAAGGAAAGGTATATTAAGGACACTCAGTTTTTAATTTGGGCTATAATTTTTTTTTGTTTTTTGAGACAGAGTCTTGTTCTGTCACCCAGGATGGAGTGAAGTGGCGCGATCTTGGCTCACTGCAACCTCTGCCTCCCGGGTTCAAGTGATTCTCCTGCCTCAGCCTCCTGAGTAGCTGGGATTACAGGTGCTCACCATCACGCCCAGCTAATTTTTGTATTTTTAGTAAAGATGGGGTTTCACGACGTTGGCCAGGCTGGTCTCGAACTCCTGACCTCAAGTGATCCGCCCGCCTTGGCCTCTCAAAGTGCTGGGATTACAGGCGTGAGCCACAGCACCTGGCCAATTTGGGTTATAAATTGTGAGTGAGAAAATCACAGAGGTGACATGCCCTTGCATCACTTAATATAAATGGGTACATGATATCCACCTGACTTATCACTAGTGATATTAACCATGATCACTTGGTTAATATCACTTGTTTAAGGTGGTGTCTGTCAACTTTCTCCACCGTAAAGTTACTATTTTTTTCCCTACTCTAATCTTTAGAAATGAATCATTAAGTCCAGTCCACACTGAAGGGGATGCTTTATTTATTCCTTATTTGAAAAAATTTTTTTTAACTTACAGAAAAGTTACAAAAATCCTACAATGAATTCCCATATACACTTCATCTAGATTCACCACTGATAACATTTTCCATATGTGGTTTATCAAGATCTCTCCTGCTCCCTCTACAAATATACATATTATTGCTATTCATATGACTATTTGAACTGAAACATTTGAGAGTAAATTGAAGACATCATAACCTTTTGTCCCATATACTTCATCATGTATACCCTAAGAACAAGCAATTCTTTCATCTTCATAGTACAATGACCAATTTCAGGAAATTTAATATTAATATAATGCTATTATCCAATATAGAGACCAGCACTTCCACTTCTGTCTCTGATGGAGTATCTGGGACTAGTCCTCTTGCCTTAACTGTAAAACTGGATGAAATATCAAAGGCAAGTGTTTTCAGACATTGGCGAACAAGCAATACGAGGCAGAGTAGGCAATGCAAGACTGCAATCAATCCCTGAAGGCAGGGAAACCTAAGAGGTGAACGTCATGATGAGCCTGGCTCCCTGCCTGGGGAAATTTTCCTAACTGCAGAGTAGTGATCCAGAATGCACGCAGAGCACAGCAGTCCCTCTGAACTGAGGAGGAAGAGATCAGAGGTTGGGGCAGCTGAAGTGCCAGAATCTGCAAGGCAAGGTCCCAGGGAGATGGGAGCTGTGCAGGTTACAGAAATAAAATTATGAGTTCATACTAATACCTCTACTTCCAATATAATTGCACTAGGCTTTCCCTAGCCTTCCCCCAGCCCATATTTCTGGCTCCCTTTCAGAAGCCCGGTTTGAGAGCAGACAGGCAAAGTCACCATTTCCACTGTCCAGTTTCCTAGCCAAGGGAAAACCTGCCAGTGATAAGGTGCGTAAAATGAGGGATGTGGCCCAAGAGTCATTGGTTTGAAACCCAGAGAACTGATGACGTAAAACTCAGAGAATAACAGATTTAGTAAGGGTGCACCAAACATAAATAGAAATGTAGGGGGTAGAGAACAGCATATTTGCCATCTAAAGCCCCAGTTGTGATATTCTTTAACAAAAATTCCCAGTTATTTAGTTGTAGTTTTTTTAAATTGACTCACTTATTACTGCTTACCACAGCTCCTTCCTTTCTGAGTACTGTATTTTGATTCCTTTCTTTATTGTCTGGTGTCCATCTTTCAGTAACTTTTTTCAAGAAAGCTTCGTGGATTTGGTCTCCCTTGGTTCCATGATTATCACCTTGGCCACATATCGTAATGAACTTGAAAACTTTTGAAAAACTACTGACTTTTGGGCATCATCCCAGACCAATTCAGTCAGGTTCTCTGAGGGTAAGATCCATGCAACAGTATTTTAAAAAAAAATTCCTCTAGTGAGTCTAATATGCAAATGAATATCTCCAATCTCAAATAAATTACACAAACAGGCTCTCTTAGTGGGGCAAAGAAAAACCAAAGAAAGTTGCAAGTGAAGTTCAAAAACACAGGGTTGATTTGAGAATGTTGGTTTGTTGCCTTTATACTAAAGGAACTCCTTGGATTTTTTTAAAAAATGCATCACTTTTTTCTTTCTCTCACAACTATATAGGCTGGTGCATTTCAAATTTTAATGTGCTTTGGTCCATTGGAATCATCTTTGCATCTGGTCAAAATGCAGATTCTGATTCAGTAGATCTGGAATGGCAACTGAGATTCTGCATTTCTAATAAGCTCACAGGCGATGCCAATGCTGCTGGTTCATGGACCACACTTTTGAGTAGCAATGGTATAAATCCTGCTCCTCTGCCTTCTGTAATAAGAATTGCTTTGGAGGAATCTGGGGATACCTGAACATGGCCATTGTTTCCCTCTTGAGTGGCTTGCTTCTTTTTCCTTGGATGTTAATATGATTTTCTTCTTATCTTTGAAATTCAGATATAGTTAGGTTACATGTGTTAAGCCATAAAATAACGATTCCCACATTGATATTGCATTTGCCTCTGAACCCTTTTTTGTTCTTGTGCCTGTGAGGCCTAACTCCACAAGACTTTCAGCTCTTCCTGAGGACTTTTCATAGGATTGACAGGATGCCTGGCCTACCTAGTGACTGAGATTCTGGTTTCCTTATTTATGCATTTGTTACAATCAAATGGGTTTGTTCTTTGCAACCAAAAAAAATTAAAGACTATGGATTTTAAACCAGACAATGTAAAAATAAAGACTGCATAGAATGCTGTGGCAAAAAGCAACATTAATGCAAAAAAAATTTAGTTATAGTGGTGACTGGCAGAAAGAAGGGCAAGGGCAAAGAAGATTCCTGTATTCAATGGGCTTCTTACAAGTCATTATTTGAGCTAGGTTGAATGACAGACTTGTAAATAAGAGAAAAGGGTTAAAAAAAAAGTTATGGTGCCAAAAAAGAGAGGAAGAAAAAATAAAAGATTAGAATGTGATGCTAAATGATGCTAGAATACTTTAAACCAAGTAAAAGCTGTAAATTAAGAAATAAGAATAAAAAATTTTAAACGAGTAACAAGCCAAATTTTAAACCAAGAAAACTATTTTTAAAAGCCCTAATAAAACAGAAGTATGAGCTATAAGATAAATGGAATAAAGGTTGGAGCAAGAAGATAAATTTAAAAAGAAAATTAGAAGGTTAAAATAACTAAGGTCAAAGTTAAAAATGAGGTCAGTTATGAAATAATTTAAAGCAGATATTCTAAGTAAGTAAAGGTTGAAAGCCAACAGGGTAATAAGGTAAGATTTAAAATAGGACATGAGATACTTTAATCCTTCATGAGAGTAGGATTAAAGATAAAAATAATCAGATGATTTATATGGATGTTAAGATATCATCAAACATAAAAAAAAAGTTTAAGTTAGAAGTAAAAAGAAGAGAAAACATACAAGGAGTAAGAGGGCTTGGAGCTTATCTGTCTTTTCCCCCAAAATAATCTTTTAATGGAGTAGTGGTGTCTTAATGGGGTAAAAACCCAAGAGGACAGAGAGCAATGTGACACCTTGGTCATGGAGGCTCCCCTTTGCTCCCCTCAGCAAGTACCAGAATGCCAGCCTCACCAGCAGTAACCAGAGAAGACAGACAGGAGGTTTCATACAGCAAACTCACAGCTGGATGGCACCAACCTGACCCAGGAGAAACTCCCTGGCCTGCCAGCTACATTCCCTCCTGGATTATCTCCTCCAAATTTAGCCCATGCACAGAGTCAGGGGAACTACCCTCTCGAGATCAATAACCTATGAAAACTCAGGTTTCAACAGTTGTCTCGTGTCTCTAGAAAGTTTAAGGACTGGCCCAGCCTCCAGAGTTTTTAAAAAGGTATTTATTCAATAAATGTTTATTGAGCCTCTTCCCTGTCCCAGGCAGCGTACTAGACTCCAGGAATGCGATGATGAATGAACAACAGATCTCTCTTAACAGAGGTCCAGACTTGTTACATGCGGCGGATAGGGAAGTTTTAACAGGTAGTTTCAATGCATCACCAACGGCACAAGTGGAAGCCTTGGCTTTGAGCAGGAGGAGGGTCACATTTCCTCTGCAGCTGGAAGGAAAGTGAGGACACGGGAGGAGGAAAGCAGGGAGGGCTGAAAGCTGGGGAAAGCATGACCATTGGCAGAATTTTCTTGGTGAAATAGGGGTTTTCCTGAGAGAGAGGAGTCTGGAAATAAGCCGAGGTCTTGGGTAAGTGGGAGAGAGAGGTCTGGGAGGGTCATAAGGAAATTCGAGAAGGAGCTAAGAACAAGTAAACAGTCTGACAGACAGCAGTGCAGGCCAAGCGAAGGCTGGAGGTGGTGCCAATCTGCCTGACAGGACTGTTAGGGCGTCCAGGTGCTGGAGACATACACAATTAATTACAATACAATGTGAAGAGTCTCAATGTGACAGGATGATTTACTGAGACGTTACTCTCTGTCTGTTCTCCTTGCATTTCCCCCCTCAACCATTTTCAAGAATGGCTCTGGGGCTAGTTACATCAGGGGAGTTTTGAAGCAAACCTCCTACCAGGCCCTTTATTTTTTTCTTTTTTATAGCAGAGGTCTCAAAGCAGCCTTCTCCAGATTGAATAATACTTTAACAGATAGATTTCATTTGTAATGAATAGTGTTTTGAAGTTTTCAAAAATAATTGCCAACATTTTGAAAGTAGATTTCACATAAAATCTAGATTTCAGCTTTTCCTGGAAAAATTGGATGATCTCGCAATACTGGGCCTACGTTTTCACCAGGCTGCAATTGCTTGGAGCTGAGTAATGTCTGTCCCTTTTAAAGGAGGCGCAACCTCCAGTTCACTCTGGTCCCTACCATTTTCTCTGCCAATACCATTCATTCAGGTTAGCTGCCTGGTCTCTGCAGCCCTCTCTAAATAAAGCTGGAAATTATGTTAGGGGGAAGGAGTGGAGGCAGAAGCAATAAGCAGTGGGGCACAGGTGTGCAGCTCCTTGGGCGTGGCAAAGCCCAGGAGGGGAATAGGGACACAATGCCCCAAAGGCCTAGGACTTCCAGCATCAGCAAAGACTCCTACCTAGAAAGTGACAGAGAAGGCAAGGATACCAAACAGCAGGCTCTGACACTGACAATTATCTAGGGCAGTCTGAGAAAGAAGGGGTCCTTCCCCTGGTTCCTGAAATCCCGAGTCCTTGTGAAAATCCTAGAGAGTTTGGGGAGGGGAGGGGGACAGGAGAGTCCACAATGACTGAGATCATTTTCCAACAGCCCTTGGGGAAGTAGCGTGAAGTCAGACTTAATGAGAGAAAATAAGAATATCCATCACTTCTTGTACATGCACGTTTGTGGAATAAGATGTTAAACATCAAAATGGAGATTTAAAGAAAGGGCTAAGAGTAAAGAAGTGGGTGAGGTTAAGTTTTGACTAAAATAGTTATGGAAGTTTTCACAGAGGAGGTGCAATTTGAGCTGAGTTTTGAAGGATGAGTAGGAGGTATCCAAATGTAAGTTAATCTACCTAAAGACAAACATTTGAGAGTGCAAAGCATATTCAGGGAACTTGCAGTAGTTCCGTGCAACTAGGCCATTAGATGCTCATCTTTCGGTGGGGGAAAACAGGACAAGGAAGGAAATGGAAGAGAGTGAAACCAGAAGGGAAGGTTTAAGCCTTCACACATTCTTCATGACTGTATGAAGTATACTATGCTTTAGTATACCTTCTGTGTTTAGAAAGTTAATTGACTGGGCGCGGTGGCTCACGTCTGTAATCCCAGCACTTTGGGAGGCCAAGGCGAATGGACCACAAGGTCAGAAGTTCGAGACCAGTCTGCCCAACATGGTGAAACCCTGTCTCTACTAAAAATACAAAAATTAGCTGGGCATGGTGGCAGCGCCTGTAATCCCAGCTACTCGGGAGGCTGAGGCAGGAGGAATTGCTTGAACCCTTGAACCCGGGAGGCGGAGGTTGCAGTGAGCCGAGATCGTGCCACTGCACTCCAGCTCTGTGGGACTGAGCAAGACTCCATCTTGGGGGAAAAAAAAAGAAACAAAGTTAATTGTGCTGGCTGTGTGTTCAATGCTTGGGGAAAGGGAGATTGGACAAAGGCCGTTAAGTAGGCTCTTGCAACAGTCCAGGTGAGAGTTGATAAGGGTTTGAATAGTCACTGTGGGAATGGAAAGGCGGGTTTGGATTTCAATAGTCATTTATTGAGTACTTACTGTGTGCCAGGCATTGTGCTAGGTGCTGAGATTACACAAATAAATACTGAGCCTTGCTTTGAAGAAGCTCATTGATTAAGGGACAAAGATGACCACACCTGGTAGAGCCAGCCTAGAGCTGAAGCAGCTGAGACTGTCAAGCCTTAGTCTCATGTGTTGTACATTCCATCATGGGTCACATTCTGAGGGTCTGTTTCCACACAGGGGTTGGGGCCATCTAAGAGGTGAGATACAACCTACCTTGCAAGTTTTGAAACTCATTTCTTCCTCTACAGGGCTATTACAGCTATTCTTGCTGACTAAAGGGATCAAATGATCAAAATCTCCTTTAATTTTCAATTTTACAGAAGGAACTTCTCTAGATGAGCAATTTTTTAGACATGGTAACTTGCAATCATTTGGACTAAGGTGAAATTGAATTAACTCTATTGTTAAGGGAACTCCATTAATGCTTCATCACTGTTTCCAATAAGCTTCCGAATCAGGCTGAATCTTTTCCCACTTGCAGGTATAAGATGTTCACTGCCTTTGCCTCCTTACCACTTGCTGACTTCTCTATGTAGTTTATTCTTTGGATCACACAGTGCCTGGGACATAGGTGTTCAGTAAGAGTGGAGGACATGGGTTCGTAACACGCAATGTGATGCTTTGAAAAGTTGTGCGCTGTTATCTTTGGAGGCGATCAAACTGAACTAGTTGCTAGAAATGTTCATTCATCCAGAAAATATTTATTGAGAGTCATACATATTTATTTACAAAAGGCCATGTTTATTTACTTATTTATTGCCAGACACCATTCTTGCATTGCACAAAGCAACGAACCAAACTAAGTCCCTGCTTATCCTAGTGAGGTGGACAAGCAATAAACAGATTATGAGTGTGTATACACACACAGTACATCGTTGTAATGACAGGTGATACCTGCTATTTAGAAAAACAAAACAGTAAAAATAAAGGATGATGTTGGTGGGGAGGAAGCATTTTATACATTGCCTATGGGTTGCTCGGGGAAGGCCTTTCTAAAGAACGGTATTTGAAAAGAGACTTACAAAACATGGAGAGAAAAGGTGACGGAATTGGCTTTCCAGATATCTGGGGACCCAGTCTTGCAGGCAGAAGAAGGAAAAAATGCAAACATTCTGGTAAAGAATCAAGCCTGTCCTGCTGGAAGACCAGCAGGGAGGCTAGTATGAAAGGAGTGAGGAAAGGGGAGAAGAAAGAGGAGACCGTGAGTAGGAATTGATAGGATTAGAGATCCAGCCCTTTCACCTGACATTCTTCCTAAGGGCCAACTGAAAAAATTTCATGCTGAGGGAGAGGATGACTAATTGTCGTAAATAATCATTGTGTTGGCAAATGCCTGGGAAGCTTTGAGACTTTGCTAGGAGTCGTAAACATCACGAGCGGTGATGAACTTGCCTGTATGATCGCTGCTGTATCTCCAACGCCTGGCACATATAGAAGCTCAATATATATTTGAGTGAATGTTTGAAGTTTATCTTTGCTTTTTCAACCTTTCAGAATATTAATGACTAAACTGTCTCGTGCAAACGGTCTAACGTGGTGGGGGGCCGCGGGGAGGAAGTGCAATTGAAACTCAACCTATAGGACATTATGCATACATATCATTAACAGACAAACAACAAACAAAGGATGCCTTGTGCTTTGTTAATGTCTGTTAGCTTCCAGCAGCCTGTCTCCAGGGTGGCACTCACTGTGCCATTTAGACTGGAGAGATTACAACCATTCTGTAATGTCTTAGCAAATACTGGCACCTGACCTGTCCAGATATTTCTGGCAACGTCTGAGATCTTTTTCCATCACATGACCAAAGCCATATTTGCAGAGGGTAGTGGTACTTCTCTACTTTTGCAACACCCTTGGGTATACTCAGTTATCTAAAAGACACCATGAACTCCAAATTACTCCAAAGTAATTGTTCATTTTAGGCTGTTTATAAACAGGCATGTTTCAGAAAGTGTTACAAAATCAACGTGGTCACTTCCAAGAGTGAAAGTGTTAGATGACCAATTTGCCCAAAAGGGGTTTGTAAATAACTAGATGGTAATTTACCAAAAAAAACCCAACCAAACAAACAAACAAAAAAAAAACAACAAATCCATCCCCCGGCCCCTGGCTACATTAGTTTCCTTCATTTTACTGCACCATGCAAAATCCGTTCGTGCCATAAAATCACTTCTCTTACTTTACACCTTGAACGGAAAGTCCCAGTGTATTTCATCACAATTAAACAAATCGCCTAGTACTTAATTAGTGGGAATTCAATTTGCAAAACTCCACGTGAGCCCAGTGAAAAGATGTAATGCCTCAGACAGCCGGTACTGCGACACCTCGTTTGCCCAGAACTCTCCTCTGGCACTTTCTCCCCACCCCCACCCACCACCTGGGGTTTTCCCCGCAAGTCCTGGCCCGGGGCCTGGACCTGCTGAGGTCCCGCCCGGCCGCGGCCCGCTCTAGACCGGAGTTCCCGCCCCAAGGCCCTTCTGAGGCGGGTGTCGACCTTCGCGTAACCCGCGCCCAGGAGGGCCGCTCGGAAACTGCTGTGTCAGAATGGTTTGAGGAGTCCCGAGTCAGAGCCAGCTTTAATTCGGGAGGGATGACTACCCAGGGCTGGCCCGCGGAGACGCAGCCGGGAAGGGTGTGGTGCAGCTGTCGGGAGAGCGCGCCCGGGCCCGGCCGCCTCGGCTCCGCCCTCGGCCCCACGGTCCCCCATCCCGCCGCCCGCCAGCGCCCCGGGGCCAGCGTCTGGAGAACTGTGGACGCGCACGCGCGTAGGACGGCGAGCAGGCCCCGCCCCTCCCCGGCCCCCTCTCACGTGCTGCTCAGCGTGCGCCCAGACATGTGCGGGCACACGTGACAGCGCCGCGTCCGGCCCCGGTTCCCTAACCCCGCGCGGCTGTACTTTGAACCCAGGCGTGGGAGACTGGAGCAGGGAAGGGAGGAAGGAAAACCAGGCGGGGAGGCCGGCCTCGGGGAGAATGATATCATCTGCAGCTTTATCGCTAGGCAACCTAAGAATGCTTTTCCTCTCTCTCCAATCCTAGAGCCCCTTGAAGAGCTCAAGGCTGATGACATTATTCCCCCCTCCTTTCCCTCCAACCCCCCATGCAGCGCTCAAACGGTGATTCAAGGAGCAAGGGTTGGTTTACTAGTTTTAAAATGAGGATCTTAGCAGGCACAGTTCAGAAATCGATCCATTATCGCGCCCACTTGGGTCTGCAGAGGCCTTCGGGGGTGCCTGCAGTCAGGTGCCTCTCTGGTCATACGCGGTTTACACAACCACGATATGGCTAGGCAGATAGATAAGCCTTGTTCAAGATAATATGTATTTGAAAACTAAGTCCTGCTTAAGGTGTCTTAGAATCCTGTGTCTTTATAATACTATAAGGGTTTTTCTGGTTGCTCTGAGTTACAGGTCGCCAGGAGTTGGGTCAGACTGAAGTCCCCCTGTTACAGCTAATTTTCGAATCACAGTGAGGAAGCCGCAAGGCCGCATATGGAAGCAACATGTATTAAACTATCTGGCAGATACTCAATATCTCTGTTGTGCAGCACATAATATTCTGTGTGCACACCCATATGGAAAAGGCTCCAAAATTGAAACCTTAGCTAAAGTTCACAGTGCCCTAAAAATACTCTATATAAAAACTGTAGCACATGGCCCTCTCTCCAGCTTGCTGGATTCTAGAGGTTCTCTCTGACCAGCTTCATAGGTTATTTTGGTCCTAGATCCCTTCTGTTATAGAGAACCTCTAGGGCACAACCAGGACCACACAGGTATAGAGGGGCAGAAAGCCCACCGTTATGTGGAGACTTCCAAACTAGGAAAGGCACATTTCTGGATGTCTCCAAAGTGAGTGGATGATGGAATAGTATGGTTATTTGTAGGAGACTTTGAAAATTATTTCCCTAGAATTTCATCTCTCTCAAAATTATTGCATGCTCTATGCCATAATTTAGCAAGATTATTATGGTGATAATCTTTCCTTCTCCACCAGCAAGTATACTCTGCCTTTGAGGATCGCACATGGGCTAGCTCAACTCATTCCATGAGAAAACCTTAGCCTGTCCCTCCCCATTACTAAAACTATGGCATAAAAGTATAAAGAGCACTAGACTCAGAACCAAAAATCCTGGTTCTCTTACTGAGCTCTATGACCTTGGACTAGTTCTTTGCCTCAGCTTCCTCCCAAAGGTTTTTGAAAATCAGGCCTTAGGATGCCATGTTTCCCTCTAGAACTGCTCAGTCTCTCTCACTCCCTTACTCGAAGGGAAAGAAGTCACCATTAGTTTCTTTTGTAAAACAGATAGATGGAGGAGGTGAGACAAAGAGCTGCTCATGAGGTACTGCTTTCGTTCCCCTACCACATGAGATATGATCATGCTCTGAATACTATCATATCTCACTTCGCAGCAGGAAATATCGTGACTCCCTAGTCCCAGCCCATGGTTCAAATCCTCAGGAGGCGATTTTGGTGAGAGCCAGCATAGCAGTCACGCTCTAAAGAGACTGGCAAGTTAGGAAATCCTTGCTTAGACCTCAAGTCAAATATAGCCAATTAAACTGTACTGCAGCTTATTGTAAATGGCACTTTTTAAAGTTTAATTTCCAGTTGTTCATTGCTAGTGTATAAAAATACAATGTATATTTGTTTATTGATGTTTTCTTCTGTAGCTTTTCTAAATTCTTGTATTTGTTCTAGTAGGATTTTTTTTTGGTAGATTGATTCCCTATGATTTATGTACCTGATAATGTCATCTCTAAATAAAGAAAATTTTACTATAAAAACGTAAATAAAGTGTAGTGCAGCTTAGCACGGGAGCAGGGTCGGCCAGAACCTTCTCTTTGGAGATGGCCTCATGCCCTTATTGTGCTGCCGTTCCTTCTGTAAAACCCAGCTACTTCTCACCTAGGCCTCCTCACTTGGATGTAATTAGTAGCTCCCACCCCCACCACAGCAGTGTATCCATCCCTGGATAACACTTACTGTGTTGCAATGTAATTTATTTTAGTATAGGTCTATCACCCACACTAGACTCTGAGATCTTCAGAGGTTAATCTTTGATTCTCTAGCACTTACCATGGCACCTCACATACAGCAAGCAAAACAAATATCTGAATCCCCACACCATTTATTGAATCCATAAACTCAAGAAGAAAAGGAATATGCTGTAATCGATGAGGAGTCTGAAACCTCTCACCATGGGTGTGTCTAAATTCAGAGGCAGCATCTGGACCTACACACCCATCCTGCCAGTTCCCCAGAATACTTTTGCATTCTGCCGGCTGCCCAAGAAGTCCAATACCCAGAGGCAGGGGAGGTTACATACTAGAAGCAGGAGCCAGAGTCATCCTTAAATCAAAATGCTGAGTCAGTTTCACTAGTGGCCCTCCCTCCCCTATTCTTAGCAACTAGAGAGAGGTGTTCATCTAATCAAATAACTTATTCCTGACATGCAAATTTGTTTATTTTGTGGTTAGTTGTGGGCTAAAACCATTAGCAAGTTGCTTTTATTTTTATGTAATAAAATGATGGCAAAATATATAACGTATTTGAAGGCATTTGCATAAGTAATCTTGAAGGCATTTGCATAAGAAGCATCGCTGAGAATCTGGAAGTTAAAGGAAATAAAAAAGCTGAGAATCTATCTGGAAGTTAAAGGAAATAAAAAAGGTCACAGATTCTACAAATTCACACAACTTACTTGTAGAACAAACCCTCAGGTCCTCTGTCAGAGCCTATTTACTCTAATTTTAGCACATTTCAAATGGGCGTGGTAGTGTTTAAATGGTTTCCCAGCCCACAGTAAGTCAGAGGTAGCAAATTAGATAAGAGATGGAGGAAGCACTCTGAGGCTTCAAGAAGTGACAGCTGACAGGCTAGCTGTGCGTAAAGAGACTGAAAAACCCTATAAAAAGCAGGTAGAACTCAAAAAAAAATTTGGTGCAGGTGCAATTACTCCCAGATGTCATGCATAGTGCAAAAATGATGTTTACAATGATGACCCTGAATTATTGAGAAAGGTTAAGTATGTCCAGGTTAAGACATTTAGAGGATATGTGTAATACATTTTAGTATGCTTTCCACTAAAAATTCAAAAATGAAAAACAGCACTGGCATTTGAACATAGAAGTTTTAGTTTTCTAAACCACTGACTGTCCCTCCTGTCGGACAAACTAGGCATCACTGAATTTAGAATTTTAAAATATCAACATTTAAAAAAGGTGGTTTTATATTTGTTTGGAGTTTTCAATATGGAATCTCTGAACGAGCATAAGAAACCCGATTTTAAGACAAACGTACAACTCCTAGAATAGCATATTTTTAAAGTACATGCTGCGCATGTTTTCTAGTATAAATCCCATCTTAATCACACAAAATATGTGATAATTTCCCACGTCAATCCCTTACTTAAATTCTTCTATGAAAAACTAGAACTTCCATGGGACTTTAGCATGCACTGTAAATCCATCTTGAACTTGTTTAAAATAACAGTGAGAACAATGGGTGGGTCTAAATATATTGAGCTGAGGGTCCAATAGGTTAAGAATTTTTGTTTAATGAAAAATATCAGGTTGCTACCTGAAGTAAAATACCATGATCACAACAGTACAGCCAGCTTTTGGCAATATAATGGTCTTAAGTCATTCATGAGAGCTCTGTTCATTTCTAGCTAATGTAAAAGTCCTTCGTGTGTTTGCCCAGCCATGTCTCTCCAGAGGCTCCACTGGCAATCACTTTCCATGGAAAGGTTAAGAATTGACCTGTGACATAGAAAGGAGTAGGCTGAGCCTCCTTTTACATAACTTTTGAACAAATCTCGGGTGGTGGGCAATAACCAAAGTCATCGCCTGGATGGCCAGAAACAGGGAACTAAATGAAAAATAGTTTCACAATGATAGGAACTAAAACTCCAAATTTTACATAGCTATTAAAGTGTTGTTTCTAGTGCCTTGAAAACGTGCTTAAGGTTAGCTCTTTGGAGGGGAGGGAAGGGCCATTTTTTTTCAATTCAATATAAAGTTTGCTAAGAAATGTGTTATATAAAATTAATCTTTTTAAAGATTATGTAAAATATATGTATGTAAAATTAAATTTTTATGAGTATAATACTATACTCATAAAAACATTGACTCAAGATTCATATTTGCCTGAAGTTGGAAAATCATTTTAGCTGAAATTTCACCACTACAAGTATAGAAGCCTCTTTAGTGAATTATGACTTCAGCCTTTTAATTCATTAAAATAAATCAATGACTAAAATAAAGTTTTTTCAGATTTTCAGATACAATATAGACAATATTATTTTTGCATTTCTGTTCTAACTTTATCTTACCATGTTACCATATGGGCACTTGGACTAAATAACTGACTTGTAAAATCTGGCCCAACTCTGAAGATTTTTTTATCTCATTATACCAAAATTATACACATGCTAAAAACACTGTATTATCCTCTGATTCACTTTTAATCCTTTTTGGTTATGAAACTAATATTACTACAGTAGTGGCATCAAAATATAGCTCAAAATATTTGAAATGCTGTTTTTCCCATTATTCTGATTCAGATAATTTTTCTAAAGTTCAATAAATTAACAATGCTGAAAAATCCTACATAGTTTTCTAGTGTTGATTTCAATTTCCTTTGTTCTATGGTTTGTTACGAAGCTTCATGGGGGCTGCTCAATCAAGTTCAGCTTACTTGGTCCAAGATACTGCAATGGGAAGTAGTTGAGTGACTGAGGGATATAATAGAGCTGGCCACTAGTGCTAGTGCTGACTCTAGGTAGCTCTGTGACCTTGGGAAGATACTTAATATCTCTGGGCTTCCTTTCTTTTTTTCCTATCACGAAATGCAGGGGACTGGATGAGCTGTGGCTCCTTCTGGCTTCATACTGTTATGACTTGCAGTTCAGTTGCCATAAAGTCAGCAGAGGGAGCACTTTTTCTACATCTTATACAATCTGACTCTCATTTAAACATTTTCAAAAATCAAGGGGTTTGTGAAGAACATTCCTGAAACTAAAAGCTGACAATCCTTCACTGTTTGTATCATATCACAGATTTGAATGGAAATTTGAGAAAAGTCTAGAAATTATTTCTGATCCTGGAATTCCATGATAAAGTCCCATGACAGAATTATTTTATAAAAAGAAGCCAAAACACTCTCATATTAAGCACCCCTTTGTGATCATCTATTTATACAAGACCCAGTGAAAGAGGAACACCTGACCATACTAGAGAGGCTATGTGATGTCACAGACGAAAACTGAAAAACTTGTCAATCATTAAAACAATAGAAAATTGGGTCTAACATAAACAAACCACACAAGTTAATTGGTAGGTTTTTCTTTTGCACTTTTCATTAAGATACATTGGGAACGAGCAGGTAGACAAAGCCAGAGCCTGGAGGCTTGCAAGAGATTGGAAATGTGTGACATCAAGCCAATGACAAAAAAAAGCTGTAAATCTGAGAACTGTAGTGATTTGTATCCCTATAGTTATAGATATCTTAAAACTAATTGAGCATCCATTATGTCTTTTTTAATTATTAGACAATATCATATCGTATATTAAAGTTTTTATTCCTTAGTAAGAATTTTTAAATCACAAAATAGTGTGGCAATATTTAGGTAATAGAATTTATGGAGTGCTGAAAATACTAGAATATAAAGGTAATTTCTAGTTTATCGTCACATACTAAACTTTTCTAAACCAGCTGGTTTCTCACAGACAGTATTTATTTTTTTAAAATAATTTAAGACAGCATAAGCTTGTACCAAGCATAAGCATTGTAACAAAAGTGCAACTTTTCAGCAAATCCTCCCCAAAAGATATTTTAACTCAAAATATCATTAGCACATATTTTCTCCCTACAAAAATAGCATGTCAGACATCATTAATTGGATGTATTAACAACTATGTACATAAGAGCCACCTTGTAGGCTAAGAGTTTAACGTTGTTTAAACACAGCGTTTGAGGCAAACAGTAGCAACAGCAGCAGCAAATGCACCAAACTGACGAAAAGACCCAGATATTTTCCTCACTCATAGTCAGACTGTTGTGTCTCACCCCTTACATAACATCCAAGTGAGATTTCTCACAGTGCTACCTTGGCAACAAACTAAAAATATCTAGACAAGGTCTTGGTTTAAGCCTTATTAAAAAAGCTTTCTTTGTGATTATCTGGTATCTGGTTTGGTCTCCAGAAAATACATAGACTTGGAGATAGGAAGGCCTCACAGGACTTCATTCTATATCTTTACAGCATTTGCAATCAAAACTGGCCAGTTAAATGCTTTCGTTCACTTTTGAATTTTAACAGAATATAGGATATATCAGTTTGGACTTGTTTTTTGTTGTTGTTGTTTTTTGTTTTGTTTTGAAGTTCAGTGCACTTTTTTTTACAGTAAGATTACAAAAATTTAGGAACATGATGGATTAATGAGAGTGGGAATAGATGCACTTGAGATGTGTATGTATAGATACCTATCTATGGATAAATAGAAATCTGTACAGATAGATATCTATCTATATATGGACTTAGAAGAAATTAAGATGAGTCCATTAATTCATGGTCAATTTCTCAATAAAGTGTTAGCAAATGTACTAGGAATGATTCTGGCCTTCTCATCCATCTCCTTCCCTGACTTAGTTCTGACGATGGCCCAGCTCCGTGTTTCTTTAACGAGTGCAAGTTACTAAGAGATACCATTTAAACCACTTCAGAATAGGTTGCAACGTGAGAAACTGCATCCTCACTTCTTTGAAAAATATATGCCTTTTAGAAAGCTGAACATTAGAAAATACTGAAGAGTAAATTCAATTCTAAAAGAGCCTCAATCTGTTTGTGGAACGCCTCCTAAAACAGGCAGGGCAGCTTTGAGAACTAGCTCTACATAACAACTACCTGCTGTTCCATGTCAACTCCAAAGACGTCAAAGGTGTTAACATCTTTCCCCTACCCCGGGGTTCACCTAGCTCAGCCACAGAACAGACCCTTCTTACTTCCTCTCGAATTAGGTTCCAATTTTAAGAGATAATGGAACATGGCCTAAAAGGGGGCAAAATTTATTTGGGGGATTAAAAAAAAGAGCCAGTGTCTTTCGCATAGGATCTTTTACAGCTGGTGGGGGGAAGAAAGGGATGTTAGTGTGTGGAGGGTGGGGTGGTGCGGGATGAGCAAAACAGGAACTCCGAATGTACACATAACACCTGTTTTGTTGTTCTTGTTTATGCCTGTCGTGCATCTATTACACTTCCTCCCTTAAAGACCTTAAGGGTATTTTAACTTCTCACTCTGCTTGAACCTCCTTAAGGGTATTTTAACTTCTCACTCTGCTTGAACCTCCGTCCTTCGGGACGCAAGGATTCAGGGAGCTTCCTTTCCTGGCTGCGAGGGATCTTCCTGAGCAGAGCTCTCCGGGTTCCCCGGCTCGCGGGGCCCGGCGAAGGGCAGGTGGGTGCGGCCGTGCGGGTGCTGGGGGTGCGGCGCCCCAAGGGGCGCCACCTCGTGCGGCAGGAGGGTCGCGGCGGCGGCGCCCGCCTTCTCGGGAGGGGGCGACAACACCGAGGACAGGCAGGGGAACGCGGCGGCGGCGGCGGCAGCGGCGGCGGCGGCTGCCGCGGCTGCCGCCGGGGCGGGGATGCCGGGGTATAGCAGCGGGAACGGGGCGGCAGCCGCCGCCGGGTACAGATACTTCTCCAGGCCGCTCTTGTCCAGGAAGGGCTGCACGTAGGCGGCAGCTGCAGAAGGCGAGAGGAAGCAGAAGGGCAGGCAGAAGGGGGCCGCGGCGGCCGCGGGCTGCGGGAAGGGCGCGCCTCCGCCTCCGCCGAACGCCACCAGCGAGCTGAGCAGGGCGGCGTCGGGTCTCAGCAGCGCGGCCGCGGCGGCAGGGTCGGGCCCCAGAAGCGCGGCTGCCGCCGCCGCCGCGCCGCCCCCCGGGCCGCCGCCGCTGCCGCCGCCGCGGGAATCCAGCTTCATCCTCTTGGGCGCCGGCGAGTCCTCCCCGGGAGGCTCCTGCTTGATGGTGACGCGGCTCGCCCCCGCGCCTTTGCCTTTCTCGCGGTCCGGCCGGGCCTCGGCTTCGCCGCCGTAGCCGCTGTCGGTGTCCGTGTCGTTCTCGGCGGCGAGCTCGGCGCTGGGCTGAGTCCGCTGGATGACGGGCACGCAGTAGGCGAGGGGCTCCAGCTTCTGCCCCGCGCGCTCCAGGCAGGGGGCGGCCGCGGACCCGGCGGCCGAGGGAGCGCCGGTGCCTTTGCTCAGAGGGACCTGTTGAGTCAACAGCTGCGGGGTGGGCAAGAACTGGGTGGCCACGGCGTGCAAGTGGTTGATCAGCTGGACACACCGCGGCTCCCTGGGTGTCCAGCTCTCAAACCGGGAGAGGTATTGCAAGACTTCTTTGGCGCATGTTTGAAATCCCGAGTGGAACGCATCCAAGTCGGACTGAATGGGCGATTTCAGAGATCGCTCCCCTAGGATGAGGAAGGGATGGGGGTGGGGGACGGAGGAGTGGAGGCAAGAAGAAACATACCCACGTTAAAACATCTGCTTATCACGTGGGCCCTGCATCGACTAAAGTGATCTCGGTTTTTCCCCAGTATTCAAGTGATATAATCCACCAGTTGACGAGAGAAGCGGGGTGGCGGAGGTGCGGAGCGGGGAGAGGGCGCTCTCCTCCCAGCTGAAAACCAAAGTGGAGCGGGTGCAACCGCCACTTTAAATCCTGATTCCTCCGAGTTCTGCTGAAAGCCTCTAGGATGCTTCGGGAAATGGGCTCGTTCCAATGAAGGGAAAGTATAAGCAATTTAACAAATGAGAGGGAACCCATGAGCCCACGGAAAGAGATGGGGTGCGGGTGAGGGAGTCCTGACACTGCTCCCCTGTGGGCTGCCCCGCTTCATCAGGGTAGGCTGGCCTCCCTGAACTGACTTACCATTCTGTAAAGCAATTATCTTCTGATGCTGTTGCTCGGTTAAGGCGGTTAAAGCTTTTAAGTGTTTCAAAGTTAATTCCAAGACTACAGCTTTCTCCAGATGTCCCAGAGTCTGCAGTGGTGCAAAAAAGAAACGGGCACTTGGTTACTTAAAAACACACATTTGGCTTAATTGGCTGTCCATTCAGCACAGCAATTTAAGCAAACACTTTGAAAGAAGTACTGTTCTTTTACTTCTTGAGCTTTCCACAAGACAGGTTATAAATGATTTCTTGCCTTCAGCTGGGAGCACCTACTCCAGTTTGCGGGAAACTCTGTACGGTATAGCACAAGTTTTAAGTCAGGAACTTATATTTACATTTATTCTTATATTTTCTGGGAGTCGCACCAGACTATTAACACGCCCTTGGAGAGCAGCAAAGAATGAAAATGTGCATCTTACTGTCAATTTCAGATGTTCAGGCAGTAAATCTTTCAGCTGAGCAATGCATTCATTAATTCGGTCTCTTCTTTTCTTTTCTATTAATCTGTGCGGTAATTTGTAGGTATCCTTAATATATGAGAGTCATGGAAAAGAGAAAACAGTAAGCGAAACATTCACTTATTGGATATTACCCTCGTCTGCCCCCCCCGCCCCCCCACCATAAAACATACTATGTGATAAACTACACCCAAGAAACCTCTTTCCTCTGGACTGTTCTGCAATGCAATTTAAATTCAGGTATGATGTTTAATATCCCCCTGAGAGTACCCAGCAAGCCACTTAAAATTCACAGTTGGGGAAGCTCAGGGGCTGGAATATATTTGCGGGCAGAGCTTCACTGTGAAATCAATGGCTCTAATTAACTACCCATGCAGGTTATGAGGAATATCGGGAACTTACACTTACCTTGGTGTCGTCTCGTTTCATGCTCCTTTTGGGTTTACACATATACAAAGAGGAATAGTCCAGTCTGCAAAACAGAAATCAGCATCAGGCACCCATTCGGGGAGGGGCTCTGCCCTCGCCAGCTCCATACCACTTTCTGGAGAAGAAAAAAATCAAACCAAAGCCTAGACAGATATTCGCAAGGGTGCGTGCACCTTACCCTATAAAATCTCTATGTTCCAGTAACTGTCTCTCTTGCAAATGAGGAATTCCTTCGTCCATGTTCAACTGCTGTTCGTTTCCTCTGTTTCGATTTTTGGGGCTCTGTACAATAATCTGTGGGACGGTAGGCTTGGGAGACCTTGGGGGGATCTGTGCGTCTCCAGTCTCTCTCTCGCTCTCCCTCTTCAGTGCAGTGTTGAAAGTGTGAAGCAGTTGGTCCCCCCCCTCCACCGCGCTCGCACACACACACGCACACACACGCACACTCGCGCCGGCCCCACTGCGCTGGTAGTTTGCTCTCACTCCAGGCAGTGTTTGGCCACAGGGCACGCGCGTCGCCGGCCAGACCAGCACCCAGCTCACGTGCGGAACGTACCATCCGCGGTCCAGCCCGGAGGGGGGCGGGGGAGGAGGGGCCGGGCCGGGCGGGGGCGTCGGGAGAAGGCGGCGAGAGAAGGCGAACGGCAGGAGGGGGCGGGGACACCTGATCAGGGCCACCGGAAAGGAAAAACAACTTCGGCCAAGCTATTCATCTTCCCAAAGGCGATGCAGTCGGCAGGAGGAGGGGGGAGTGGGGGTGCAGGGGTGCGGGGCAGCCTGAGCTTCCTTGGCTCCAAAATGCGACTCCCTGGGTTCGTCCGTTGTTACGGTGCAGGAATGTGAACGTGGCTTTTTGCTTTTCCACCGATTGTGCTGTTGGTTTGAACCATAGAAAGGAAGTGAAAAGAGAATTCGCGGTGGGTAAACTTGAGTCCCAAAGGAAATTTTGGAGACTTGTTTGCTCACTGATCAGTGGCCTGGAGGGACTCCTTGGCGCTGGGTGGAGAGGTTGCCTCGAGAAGAAGCAACTTGCAATCCGCTCCTTGAAGGATTTAAGATACATGAAAACGTTGTCACTGGGTCCGAATGTCGCAATCCAAGTGTCTTTCGGTGACACGGCGTCCCTGGGCCAACTAAACTTCCCCGCAGCAGCCGGAATTGCGGTGCCACTAATCACAGCAGCAGATGACGACGTTTGGGGCCGCGTGTGCTCCTGGAGGAACGCGGCGGGGAGCGAGCCGGGGTTGAGTGGGGGCTGGGAAGGGAGAAGGGGGTGGCACGAGAGGGGGTGGCACGAGAGGGGCTACCACAGAAAAGCTATGCAGCATTTATCACCCGCCCGCTCAACTCTGCCGCGTTCTGAGCCTCCGGTGACGCTACGTGCTTTCCCCATCCCCCCGCCCCCCCGCGCGATAAGAGACGCCCGGAGTGTGCAGAGCCCACGTTTACTACCGCTGGCACCTCCAAAGCCTCCCTCCTTAATCCGGTCTCAAACGGGTACCAGCACAGGGCCAGCAACGTGATCCGACCTGCCGCTGCTGCCACATCACTGCTCGGGGAACCCGTGCGCGCGCGCGCTCGCCCTGCAGCCGCGGCGCTCGGCGCCGGGAATCACAGGCCAGCAAGAGCCGGGTTACCTTTCCCCAGAGCCACCCTGGGAGCATGACTCACTGCTAGTGAGAGTTACCGGGAGGTGCCCGGGGATGCGCACTGCCCACGCCGCCCTGCCAGCCCAGGGGAAGGCATGTCCTGAGGGACTCCCAGGGGTGGGATGGAGGCTATATATATATTTCTCTAGATATACATAAAGACATAGAGAAAAAAACCAAGGTTTTTCCTGCACAGAGAGGGATATTTACATTCTCCCCGGGGTGATCTCTGAAACGTTGATTATTGCCGGTGATAAGTGAACCGAGGGGAGAAGAACGCCAAAGGTACATGCACCAGGGCGCAGCAGGGACTGGGGCGCCCGCTACGTGTCCCCCGGCCCGCCCCGCCGGGCACGGGTTCCGGGGACGGATCTGGGTCGCGGGAAGCGGCGGCTGGGAGGAGGTCACGTGTCTGCGGGAGTCGCGTCTCCTCCCCGACTCCAGGAGCAGCCCGGGCCGCGGCGGCCGCTCGCGCTGCTGCAGTCTCCGGAGTCCTGGGCGGAGACGCGCACTGCGTCTGGCTTCGTGACTCGGGCGGCGGCGGCGGCCCAGGATCACCCCGGCGTGAGGAGACGCTCGCGGTCCGTTCAGTTCATCTGTTTAGAGGGCCTTTTAAGGTCTCTCGACTTCCTCAAATAGAGGAACGTATTTTGCACCAAACAGGCAATTTAATCACGATGGTTCTTAATTTAAAAAGTATTTTTAAAATGCTGACTTTATTTTAAATCTCGGTCCGACCTCTCTCCTATTTCCAAAAGGTTAGGTAATTAAGACCCTTCGATGGGGAGGGCACGTTGGAGCCCTAAAAGCGACCTATTCCTGCAGTACTGTATCATTTTTACCTCTTTTTAATTGACTAAAAATGGGAATGCCGTTAGGTGAATAATTTAAAAATTAAAACACCAGGTCCCCTTCTAGATTTCTGAATGTTTGGAGTAGAAAGGGGATGTAAATATTTGCTCCAGAGCTAAATTTCACTTGAAAAGGATGACTGGTTAGGGAAAATGAAATAAAGACAAGATCATTGCATTTTGGCCTCGTCGGGCTAAAAACACAAGGCAGACATCTGACCAGGGCAAACCTTAGAAGCTAAGTCTGGGGCAGAGATTAAATGCAAGTTGAAATAGGAGGAACACGATCAGGAGCCTTGAGGCTCAAAGGTGGGTTAAATAAGCTTGCAGCACCCCATAATTTAAAGGGACAAAAAGCTGCAAATGACACATGAAGCTTTTTTCTGTTATCTCTTTGAGGCTCCTCTCTCCCCCCATCCTTTCTGCCCCAAGCTTCCCCACTTCCGTACCCTTTTCCCGTGATACCTACTCAAACTGCAAATGGGGTCTTTTCCCAATTTTTATCTCCTTTGTTGTTCTTGATCCCCTTTTCCTCTTCTTTTCTGTCTTTCCTTTACATATTCACCTTTTAACTCATGTTTCCCTTTTTCATTTCTTCTTTATCTTCCTTTCCCTTATGTTCTCTGTCTACCTTTTCCCTGTTAAATGCCAGCTTTTGCCATTTCTCTGTAGTTCTGTCAATCTCCTGTTTGCTTTTTGCCCTTTTTTTTCTTTGATCTTTCACCCTGGTGACTCTTCTTGGTTACCCACTTCCCTTAAACTTGAATCCCATTCCTGTTCTTTCTCAAACTCTTGGCTTCTGGAATATTGGGCATAGTTTGATGCCTCTGAATATCCCTTTGCGCAAGAAGGGTGTAACAATAGCTAACAACTATATAGCCTTTAAGATTAGAGTACCAGACTGCATTCAAAGAGCTTTTTATGTATTAAGTCATTAATCATTTCCACAACCCTCTAAGGTAGATACTATTATTGTTTCCATTCTACAGATGAGAAAATGCTTACAAAGTGAGATTGCAAAATATTTCCAAGGTCCCAGAGCCAGGATTTAAGCCCAGACAGTGGGTTCGAGAGTCTGGACCCTGGACGACTCTTACACCTCAATGTGAATAGTGAGTGGTAAGGTATAAGTGTTAACTAGCTGCTTCAGGGATGTTTTTCTATTTACCAGTATAAGTGTGCACATTTGTGTGTGTGTGTGAATGAAATTGTGTGGGGAGTTTTGCAAGAGAGATGGAAAAGGGAGAGGTGTTAGCATTGGAGCTGATGACAGAGATAAGAAAAGCTATGGCAAGAAGAGAGGCAGTCTTTTGCCATGTCAGTGAGTCATTCAGTTGGCATCTAGCTTCAAATTTATTGATTTAAATCCAAATATCCTAATTAACTCTTATAATTTTGTACAGATGGACAGATGGAAGTACAGTTTAGAAAAGGCTGATGGTGACCAGCTGTTCACCAGCTCTGCTGAGCAAACTGAGCCAAGCTCTAATGTGAAGACTTCAGGTTAGTAATAGGAAAAGTTCACCTGTGGTGAGGTTAGAAAGGGAAAAAAAGTACGCTAACAAAGGAACAGAAACTAGAATGCCATCTTTGGATATGTTTTAAAATAGGTTGAGTCTTATCTTTTTAGGAAAGCTTAATGCTATCCTGCTGAAAGCCAAGAAGATACAAGATGAGCTCAAAGCCCCTTTGAGCTTATAATTAAAGAATTTTGTGATGCTTTGCTTTCAATTAAAGATATCCATCTTTCTCCTTTTAATAGGCGAGGGGTAGCTGCTTCCATTGCTTTTCTTTGGTTAAGTAAGGAAATCATTACCTATAGAGACACTAATGAAAGGAAATACTTAGGCCAATTCTCCCCCCTGCCTAAATATCCTAAGTCCTGCACTCATTATATTCACCCTGTGACTTTAGAAGGCCTTATCCTGTTTGCAAAGTCTTGGATTTCCAACAGAAACAGAACTTGCCTGAAAGGATTAAAGTTTCCATGGGGAATAGAGGTTTTCTGCCTCTTTAGGGTTCTGCAAGCCCTACTGCCCTTCTGGAGAATTAACTCCAGGGTGTTTTAGGAACCCAAGTGTGATCCAAACTAACTGTACATCTCTGATGGCCCCAAAATCTGCTTAGGGGCGTAGAGTCTCCTGCCTGTGATACTGTGAAAATGGCCCATCTGAAGGGCAGAAGCCATTCTTGATCACCTCTGTTTTACAGAGCGGACAAGAATCTGCAGACGTTTTACATCAAAGTTAAGCAGAGTCCAAAACAATCTAAAAAAGTTTTGGGTTGATGCTAAAATCAAGGCCTGGAGGGGATAGCGGGGTGGGATCTGGACTTACAAAAGCTTCCCTAGGAATTTCGGCTCTTGGCATGCACACCTACTCTCAAGGGAGAAGAGTTAATGTTGTCAGGCACACCACAGAAAGAAGGGTGCCTCAGAGAAGGATTTAAGGAGGGACGGCAATTCCACTGCTACTCACCAGAAGCCAGTATGACTTTAAAATATTGATGATGTTATTTGCTGAAAGTACCGGATTTTAAATGCCAGAATAGAAGATTGGGTTTTCCAGTTGCATACTCAGCAAATGAGCAGAAACAGCACACGTGTCCCCGTTTAATTTGTAAAGGACCTTAAGTCTTTCTGAAGACTATCAATTAATGTGTCTGTAGCCATAAACATACCTATGAACCATGTTTTACATTTATGTAACACTGCTCAAGAAGTTTATGCACTTATTAGTCTTTGCATAGCTTCAAGGAGCAGATAATATTGAGTATTAGAAATAAATTTTATTTCTGCTGAAATCATTTGTATTTTCATATTTATGTGATGATCAAAACCATTCATGCAGGCTGTTCTGCATTTCACGTGTGCTCAAAATTCCTGGAGTTCTTAACATACAAAAGACAACTAGGAGAGAGCCAAGCCCAAAGACCACAATAGGAGGATTCCCTGGCCCTTCTGCCCCTACGTATCTGCCTGGTCCCTCATGGTGCCCATGTGCTTCTCATACTGATTGAGGTGGATCCATAATGAGACCGGAAAAGTAGCATGAGGAGGAGATGACAACCCCATTAAGGACTTTCACAAAGTGTTCTCTACCATTTCTCTGGAGTCTGGACTAGTTGGATGGTGGAAGTCTGCAGGAAGAGGGGCCTTTTAATGTCTGTGTTTCCTTTGTTACTGCTGATGAAAATTCTTGGAAAAATCTTCCAAGAAAAACATGTTTATGCAATGTGAAGCACATTCAAATATAAATAAGATGCACTAAATGTCCACTTCTCTCACCCACCCACTATGGGCTTCATACGGTCCTTACATCAATTGTCAGATGGTGTCCTCCTGGTGCAGAGAGTTGTCAGTAACAGATATTTCTTCTGACTTCAAAGGTACTCCTACTTTAAAAAAACAACAACAGAAAACTAGCTAAGGAGGGTTAAATCCAGACTTACAATCAAAACTATTGGTATAAAACTTTTTATTTAATAGCTAAAGCGAAAAATCATATATAACAATTACCCAACAAGTACTATGGTTCTGGTATTAACTTATAATCATCATTAGTAAGGAAACTGACTGAAATCCAGGCTGTGTATATTAGTTAAGGTCTGCATTTCAGCCAAAATAACAGCAACTGAAATTAGGAAGTTCTTTTTTGGTCACATAAAAGAAGTCTGAAGGTAAGCAGTCCAGGGGTAACGTGAAGTGGTAAAAGTGCCATCAGTGTCCCACACTTCTGCTTTTCCACTCTCCACCAGCGTCTATCTGCAAGATCACCCCATGGTCAGAAGATGGCTGCAGGAACTCCTGCAGGGAAGGATGAAAGGGTGCCTGCCAACTGAGCAAGGTCTCTTAAGGAGCTTTTTTTTTTTTGCAAGCTCCACCCATCTCATTGTCCAATCCCATTACAAGAGGTTACAAATGTAGTTTTCAAAGCTGAGGCTCCACAGCAATATAGGGGTTCTTTTAGTAAAGGGGAAGTGGAGACTAGATACTGGGTTGGCACTAGCCATCTCTGCAGTGATGTGACTAAAAGGAAATGGCTTGTCCACGTCCTCTTCTTTTTTCATCAGTGAGTCTCTTCCCCTCTATTATGCCATATGAGTTGGCAGCATCATTTTATTGTATTAGGGTATTTAATTCCAATTTCAGAAAAATGTCAATCTTCCTGTCTGCAATTGCACAAACTTAACTAACTCCTTAAGCACATGGTCCTTAACGTCTGTATTTTTAAGTTCTAATAATTGTAGAAATCTCCTTAGGGAGGAAATTTAATAGAGTTTGCTCTTCTTCCTGTAGAATGCAAATTTCAGCTGCATGTTTTCTTGGAAATGATTGTCTGTCTTTTTACGTAGCAGACCTGTCCTGTGGTTGTCCTGTCCCTGCAGCTGTGCCTTCTGCCTCTGGCAGTTGGCTTGAAGAGAGCAGCTTCCAGGAGAAAGGCATTCTCTGATAGTTCCTTGAATGCATCTAGGATTTTGCACTTCATTCACTTCTAGCCACACTTATGTAGCATACAATTGCTTTAGGGTCAGAAGATTGTGGGAGGGCTATGCTATCCAGTTGGGTTCTGGAATAAATGAGGGAGGAAAGAAGAGGTAAGTGAGTGCAGTGCAATGGGAGAAGAGGGACTAATTTCTAAGGCTGGGATTGGGAGGTGAATGCTGGAAGAGAATCTATCTTTGGAGCATTTTACTATGGACAGGTATTAAGGCAGGTGTCTTATAAACAATGTCCAGTGCTCTCAATTCTTAGAACTAGGCACCATCAACTCTACCTTACAGATGAACAAACTCAGGCTCAGAGACCTTAGGTAACTTGTCTGTTGTCATGTAGTAATGGCAAAGCCAGGCAATAGGGACCTAGGTGTGCTCCAGGGTGTCACTGGCAAGAGTCTTGAGTTTTAACAGTTAATTACCTTCTCCCCTCAGCCCCTGAGAGGATCTCCTATCCAAGCATTTCACCTTCCTTGGTGAAGCTCTGCTTCAGGTCATGGGAGCCCCTGCCAGAGGGTTGATGTTTAGAGGAGTTGTTGAGAGATGAGGAAGATGGTAGGAGGGGAAATTCTTAACCCCATTCTAGCTGACTTGGAATTTCTGATGTTTGAATGGGAATTTTGCATGTATTTCCCTACAGACAGACACAAGGGTAAGGGTGTGGTTAGCTCACTGAATAAAGCTGCCCTGTGTCTAGCATCTTGGGATCTCCTATCCAATCCTCATCCACTGAATGAATATTTACTGTGCTTATATGAACTGTGCACTGTGATGGGTTTTAGGGATTCAGTAGTGAACGTTGTCTTCAATAAGTTTACAATTTAATGGATTAAATTTCTCTTAAGAGAAAAGATCACTAAGAAAGTGGAATAATTATCCTAAAGCCATTTTATGTTCCAAAAAAGCCTGCTTTTTGGTACATTTGAGATACACTTAAACAGCTCTACTTCTCTAGTATTGCACGTTAGAAATCATTCCAGAAAATGTAGTCAGTGGCCTTGGTCTGTGGGTAAGGCTTGTCCTGTAAAGGCCACTAGCAAAGAAAATGCTTTCTCCCTTGCTTTCCTGAGCCATCTAGGCCTTCATTATATCTACCTCCCCAATTTGCCCTAGCTCCCTGATGGTGGGGATGCCTGTTCAACACCCACCCCTTCCAAGCATATACAATTTCACTGTATGGCTCCTGTTCGGCTCTCCACCCTCCCCTGGGATTCTCCCACCTCCCTTGACAAGTATGATCTTCTCATGGCTTAGTGTTTAAACTTTCTCTCTTTGGTGTTTGAAGCTAACTTTGCTCTGGATTGTAACTTGGTCTACTCCTTGGTGTTCCACATCTTCTGTAGTGTCTGTTAGGAAGCTTCTTCTCATCCCCAGCCCCTCAGCCCTCACCCTGACCCCAGTTGCTTGGTCATTGCCCTAGCAGGTTTCTTTTAGGGGGAGATTAGGACAGGGTTAGACTTAGCTAATTTCCTTTGTTCCAGAGAAGGCTGGAATGGTTTCATACAAGAATATAACTCATTACAATGACCCATAACCTCCAACACATAGATTTTCACATCCTGAAAAGGACAACTTCCTCATCATCATATACTTGACTCCCTCAGCTCTTTGACCTCAGCAGTTCAACCTGGAAAGGGACCTGACAGGGCTGGCGAATTTGGTCAGCTTAATGTCTACATCACTTTCAGGTGCAGGGACTGGATGGCAAATTTAGCAAGACAGCCTGACCTTTAAACGAAGAATGCGGTGATCATTCTCAACCCCTTCATCTCCCTCACTCCCCCATCCAATTAATAACAATATCTGAGAATTCCACCTCTTAAATATCTGTAACTCCATCCCCCTTTCATCCTAACTGCCCACACTCCAGACCAGGCCCCCATAATCTCTCACCCCAAATGTTGCAAGAGCTTCTTCCCTGCTTTTAACAGTTAGGGTCTAGTAAGGAAGATAAAAACCACCCTAGATATTTCAAGTAGGAGGAATTTGACAGAGGAGATTAAAGGCATAATCATAAACTTTGGAAAGGCTGGGATTATCAGTTTTGGGAAAAACTGTTACTGACTTCCAGAAAATCTTGACAATTGGTTCAGGGAAACCTGAATCCCATTGAGCTCAGCTGCCTGCCATGTGGAAGAGGCTGACTTGCAGGAGCTTGTCCAGAAGCTACTGTAAACCTCACATCTGCACACAGCTGCCAGGGGAGAAATATGGTGTGTCTCTGCCACTTTCCACATCTTGCACAAGGGCCTCTCAAAGGCAGAATCTAAGTTAGAAAGAGGTGGGGAGGGGATTCTGGAAAAATGTGGTTCCAAGTTTTTATTATGCAATGAGGACAGAGTGGAGAAGGCAGTGGAGCTGGTGCTGAGTTGGCATCAGGTATCTCACACTTGTATCCACTGTGTATGCCTTCTATCCCCCTCCACCACACTGAATTCAATCACTAAGTTATAGCCAGAGCAATTTTTCTGTTCGTGTCATTCTCTTGATCAAAACTCTTTAATAGCTTCCTATTTCCATTAAGTTAAAATCAAACTTGAAACTCTTCAGTGGCCTGAATATGACTTAGTTCTTGCCTACATCTCAGTCTCATCACTCATTTCTCTGCCCCCCTTTCTAGAATCCAGCATACCAGCTTTCTTTCAAAAAATATTTTTTAATGTACCCTGCTCTTGCTGTCTCAGGTCCTTCACTCACACTGTTTTGATTGATTAGAATGTTTTGTTCCCACTTCCCCAATGTCTTTCCCTTCTCTTCCTCCTACTCAACCTTCGGGTGTCATCTGAAACATCACTGTCTCCAAGAAGCCTTCTCTGAGTTCCTGGACCAGATTTGTCTCCTTCTATCAGCTCCCTTTGTGCCTGTCTTTCATAACTTCTGCTGACTGAAAGACTCATATGACTTTTCAGCATCTGTCTTCCCCACTAGTTTGTAAGCTCCATGAAGACAGACACCTGAATTGTTTACTGCTGTATCCCCAGTGTCTAGGACAGTGTTGAGCACAGAACAGACACACAACTCTTCTGAATGATTCCTAAATGTGCTCCACCAAATCATCTATACACTGAAGTTGGCTTTGTTCCAGGAAAACACTTGAATGACAAGTCATAACCAAGCCACATAACATTTGAAGTGTCCTTGTACCTGTTGAGGGTGGGGAATATAATGTTGGTTCCCACCCTCCCATCCCCCACTAGGACTTTCCTATATTGGTGTGGCTTTTATGGGCAGGGACACCCTCACTATACTTAGAGTACTGCATATTTACTTCTTGGCTTTACCAGGCACATGGAGATTAGAAAGTAGGTACCATGAAGGATCATAAAATGCTCCTGATATTGCAGGAAACTCAGTAGTCTGGCAGGGTCTTTAGTGAAGTAGTGGGAAGTTCTGTCAGGGGGTAGGGCCTGTGGCTGTGGAATTGCTGTTTGTCATTGTACCAGGATTGATGTGCTCGGTGCCCAGAAGGCAGTAAGCTCTGCTCCCTAGCAGCCTTGGTAAGTTGAGTTTCTCACTTGCAGAACTTTTACTTCCTTTCGCAGTGTGCATTAGCAAATCAGAGAGACTGTAAAAGCTGGAGCCAGTCCAGTCGAATTCCACAGGTGCTCCAGAGACCGTGGGTTGGTGAGGTAACATCCAGGGCATGGCTCTCAGAGGCCAGAAGTAGGGAGGGGCGCAGAGTTTGGCCTGGCAAGCTGTGTTTACAGGTTTGCTGGGCTGAGTGGATCACAGGAGGGGGTCCTGGGGCAGAGCCAAAGAGCTTGGTTACCAAGAGTGCAGAAAGAAACAAGCACTGTGCCAGGATGTAGGAGTCAAGCCTCAGACTCCGGAACAAAGTGGGAGGATTGAGAGCCAGTGAAGCCAGTCCATCAGAATGCCAAGCTGGTAGGCACAGAGGAGGCAAGGAGCAAAGGGTCAGTACAGACAAAAGAGAGCTGGGGCAAGATGCAGGAGGCAGGAACCAGGTCTGGAGGATGCGCTACGAATGTGGAGGAATTCTCCTGGAGGTGGTCAGTCAGTCGTGCCCTTGATAGGCTGGAAATAGGGTCAGAAACACATCAACCCTCACCCTCAAGCCAACTTTGCATTTCCTCCTGGCACTCGTACTTGCAAAAACACATAGCTCTCATTTCTCTAATTATGTATTCAAAAAGAAAGTTTTGATTTTTCTGGTCAAGGGCTTCTTGCAAAATCAAACTACGTTTGCCAAATATAGCCCCGGTGACCACAAGCCATCAGCAGGCCTGGGTCTGAGTTCACACCTGCTCAACATTCCTGCATTGCCAGTGGTGATCCAGCTGAGATACAATTCTGAGTCAATTTTGTCATTGGATAATGGCACTACTGATTTTTCCTAGGCTTTTTATTCTGTTTTAGAAATTCTGCTTCAGACATACCAAAGGTAATGAAATAGACATATCTCATATTTCTGTCCTTGTTTCATATTACAGTCCACCCTCCATATCTGTGGGCTCCCATCCATGGATTCAACCAACCTTAGGATATAAATATTTGAAAATAAATTGTGTCTGTACTGAACATGTACAGACATTTTCCCCTTGTCATTATTCTCTAAACAATACAGTTTATTTATATAGCACTTACATTGTATTAGGTGTCATAAGTAATCTAGAGATGTTTTAAAGTGTATGGGATGACGTGTGTAGGCTATGTGTAAAAGACTATGCCATTTTATATCAGGGGACTTGAGCACCCAAGGATTTTGGTATCCACCGGAGGTCCTGGTACCAATACCCTGCAGATACCAAGGGATAAGTGTGTTTCATGTTGCTGTGTATGGTGGCAGAGTTGGTATGGACTTAGGCTTTAAGATCAAGAGGACCTGAGTTTAAATGCTGTTTTCCCCTGAGTAGCTGTGTGACCTTGGACAAATTATGAATGAGTCGGTTATCTCAAATGTAACTACAGAGAAATAGCAGTACCTCCCTCTGTTTATTGCGTGTCCATGACAATGCGCAGAGAACACCCCCATCCTAGTAGGTGAGCAATAAATGATAGCTATTATTTTTCCCATTTGAGCTGCTTGGTTAAAATTATGAGTGTCATAGAAAATATGGGTGTATGAAAATAATTGATGAATTGAGTAACATTTTAAGTTCAAGAGGTAAACCTATTGCTTTCCATTACTCTTTCCTCTAGTAATGGGTGAATAACAATAAAACAGAAGGCCAGACCTGTCAACGTGATTTTCCATTAATGAGATATAGTTAAGAGTCCATGGTACTTCGTGTGCTACTTGGAAATAGGCAGTACTGGTCACAACCTTATCCTTTTAAATCATGCTATTTAGACAGCTCCTCTGAGAGCTGTCACATAGTTCCACATTTATGTGCAAATTGGGGGAAATCCTGTTAGTCCATGCTTTGTCGTAAGTTAAAGCCTTGGTCAGGTCTTAAATGAATGACATGGGTGAATTAAGTTTCAAACTTTGTTAGCTGGCCATGGGAGGCATCTTGACTTATTTCTTCTTTATTTCAGCCATTCTACTAATAAAAGCAAGACTTTTATGGCAGTTACTCTGTGCCATGCTCTCTTTTACTGTTTTGCAAGTCTTAACTCATTTAATTGCTCAACAACCCTTTGATATAGATAGTGTGATAATGCCATTCTGAAAAGGAAAAAACTGCGGCACAGGTTAAGTAATTTGTCCATGTCACACAAATAGTAAATGGCAGAGCCAGGATTTGAAGAAAACACTGCGGCTGCAGAGTCATTGCCCATAATCTTGACTGCCTGTGTGCACAATGGCCTCCCAAAAACCCAGACAAAAATTCAGCATTTCTATTTACCTCCATGATTTTTGTTTAGAGAAGCGAGGCTTCATTATGCCAGAAAGAGCATGGCTTTGGGGTCTGAAACTGTGAGCATAAGGTTAAGCTTTACGAATACCTGTTTGCCTAGTTGGGAGAGGCAAAGTTTGGAACTTCCCTAAACCTCAGTGTCCGCACTTATAGAATGAGGATCTTATATGCCTGTTGTGAGGTGACTAGTATTTCTGACACATAGAAGATGTCCAATAAATATGTCACTACCTTGAATATATATATACACATATACATATATATGTGTGTGTGTGTGTATGTATATATATATATATATATATTTTTTTTTTTTTTTTTTTTTTTTTTGAGATGGAGTCTTGCTCTGTTGCCTAGGCTGGAGTACAGTGGTGCAATCTTGGCTCATTGCAACTGCCACCTCCTCTTTTCAAGCGATTCTCCTACCTCAGCCTCCCGAGTAGCTGGGATTACAGGGGCCCCACCACCACGCCCGGCTAATTTTTTTGTATTTTAGTAGAGACGGGTTTCACCCTGTTGGCCAGGCTGGTCTCGAACTCCTGTCCTCAAGTGACCTACCCACCTCAGCCTCCCAAAGTGCTGGGATTATAGGCATGAGTCACCGCGTCTGGCCTACTATGTTGAATATTAACAGTTGTCCCTCAGTATCCACAGGGGACTGGTTCCAGGACCTCCCCCGACCCCATGATACTAAAATCTGTGGATGTTCAAGTCCCATGTAAATAAAGCATAGCATTTGCTTATAACCTATGCACATCCTCCCGTATATTTGAAATCATCTCTAGATTACTTATAATACCTAATATGACATAAACACTATATAAACACTGAATTTTTAAATTTGTATTGTTATTTATTTATTTCGTTTCACATATTTTTGATCCACGATTGGTTGAATCTGTGGATGTAGAACCTGTGGATACAGAGGGCCAACTGTATTTAAAGATATCCAAATATGCAATCATTTTGGTGGTTTATTTTCTCCTGAAAAACAAATTTTTGATTTTGTTAAACTTTTCACCTTTCCAAAATAGGGTAAAATTTGATCACTGAGTTAACAATAATAGAGTATCTTCTATGTGCAAGGCATTTTCTAGATAGGGGCTATCCAACAGAACTTTTTGCAGTGAAAGAAATATTCTATAATCTGGCCTGTCCAATGTGGTAGTGCTAGCCGCATGTGGTTATTGAGCAGTTAAAATTGCTTAGTTTAACTAAGGTACTGAATTTTAAATTTTATTTAATTTTAGTTAATTTACATTTAATTTTAAATAGCCACATGTTAGTGACTATCACATTGCACAAGGAAAGTCTAGATGCTTTTATTAGGCCCACATACTGATCAATCCATAAATAATTATTTTTAAAAAGCCAAGACATTTTTTTAACCTGTTCTTTTTTTAAGGTGCTTATGGTGCTCAGAATCCGTGTGGGAAGAAAAAAAAATCAATGATCGAGCATAAATTCAGGCCAATAAAGATAAACTATAGTCCATTTTAATTTTACTGGAACTCAAATGACATAACTTATCAATATTTTTAAACAGTGATCATGAATTTGCTATGAATATTTTAGTTACTTCCCATAAATAAATAGTAATATAATAATTTCAATTCTGCATATCATACCATATAGGGATTAGTTAGGTTTAGATGTAAGCAGTAGTGTGCTGGTAAATGTTTAACTGGTTCTTTATGAAAAATGTAGGTGTGTGCCTGTGTGCATGTGTGTGTATGGTTTATTATATACTATGTTATAAATGATGTGTAGCAAAAACACACACTTACACATAAGAATAAAATATATATTACTCCTGTGAATCCCATATAGCCAACTGATTTTCACTGAGTGCTTTTATTGATTTTTGCTAAATTCTTTTATCTCTTGCCAACCTATGAGTGCAATTAATTCCCAAGTGTAATTCTGACATTAATGTTGATTGAAATTTTCCTTTATGTTAATGATTAAGGTGAAAGTCATACAGTGAAGACATTTGTTAGAACCTCATTTATTCATCATTGATATGAGCAATGTTTTCACTAAATCAGGTAATAATTTTCACATACTGGAAAAATATTTCCCTATTTTTGTGTGCTATTCACAATGTGATAACTATAAATGTGACACTTTTAAATGGAATCTGCCTGATTAACATTTTCTCTATCTCTTTTTTGAGTCCAACAATTGGCAAAATAATAAATTTGTAGCACTTGCCAATTTCCATGGTGTAAATACTCCCACCACTACTAATGTGGCATCACTGACAGTGGAGTTAGGAAAGTATAATAGATGTAATAACTAATCTGAAAAGCAAATAGTAAAATGTGGTAAATAGTAAGATAATAGTAAAATGTGGTAAACAGTAAAATAATAGTAAAATGTTGTAAAATATCTAGGAACTGATGGGCTTTGATTATTTATTACCTTTGTTTTTACTATAATTTACTTAGTGGTAAATTTTTATAACTTAATTCGTCATAGTGTGGAGTCCCAGAATGTTGGTCCTGTGTTTATCAGCAATTTCTGAAGCGGACACTCTTTGCCAGCACTAGGTGCTAGGGCTATAAAAATGAATAAGGCCTGTCAAGATTTGAGTTTTCCTGGATATGCTCTTGCCCTCCTCTCTTGTCTCCTTTTCCTCACTGAATGATCTCATCCAGGCTCATGGCTTCAATATCATCTTTATGCTGATAATCCCAAATTTATGTTTCCATCTCTGCTTTTCTACTGCAAGCTCCAGTCTCATAAATTCAACTTCCTACCTGATAACTCCTTTTGGATTTCATGTAGTTATTTCATGAAATATAGTTGTTTTTATGAAATAACTGTATGAAATCATGACCATTCCAGCCTGGTACGTCGTAATGTCCATGTTTTGCTCCAAACCCATGTAGTCTTCCTCCAGTCTTCATCATTCTCAGTCAATGACACTACCATGTACCAGTTAATTGAGCTCTGATTTTAAGGATCATCCTTTGTCCTCTTCTTTTATTAATTTTCTACATTGAACCTATCAGCAAGTTCTGTTTCTTCTATTCCAAAATACTTCTCAAATCTGGACAGTCCTCACCATCTTCAGTGCTGTCACCCTAGTCAAAGCCACTATCTCTCATTGGGACTATTGAGAGAGTGGACCTGGTTTGGATTTGTGTCCCCGCCCAAATCTCATGTTGAATTGTAATCCCCAGTATTGGAAAAGGGGCCGCGGGGGAAGTGACTGGATCACGAGGGTGGATTTTCCCCTCGCTGTTTTCATGATATTGGGTGAGTTGTCATGAGATCTGGCTGTTTAAAATTGTGTAGCACCTTCCCCTTCACTCTCTTCCTCCTGCTACGGCCATGTAGGACGTGACTTCTTCCTCTTCACCTTCCGTCATGATTGTAAATTTCCTGAGGCCTCCCCAGCCATGCTGCTTGTACTGCCTGCAGAACAGTGAACCAATTAAACCCCTTTTCTTTATAAATTACCCAGTCTCAGGTAGTTCTTTATAGCAATGTGAGTACGAATGAATACATTCATATTTGGTCTTCCTGCCTTTCCTTTTTCATCACACAGATCTTTCACACAGGAACTCTTAAAATATAAAGCAGCTCCTGCCACTTTTTTGCTTAAAATCTCTCCACTAGTTAACGTATTTCAGTTAGATCAAAGTCCAATCTATAGTAGGCAGAATAATGGGCCTCCATAAATGTCCATGTCCTAATCCCTGGAACCTGTGAATATATTACCTTACATAGCACAAGAAACTTTGTAAATGTGACTATATTAAGGATCTTGGAAAGGAGAGATTATCCAGGATTATCCAGGTGGGAACAATGTAGTCAAAAGGATGTTTATAAGTGGAAGCAGGAGGCAGAAGAGAATTAGAGGGAGAGGTAACAATGGAACAGCCAGGTAGATGCAGCACTACTGTGTTTGGGGATGGAGGAAGGGAGGTAAAATCCAAGGACTGTGGGTGCCTCCAGAGACGGGAAAACGTAAGGAAATGGATTCTTCCCCAAAGCCTCCAAAAAGGAGTGCTCCCTTGCAAACATCTTGAGTTTAGCCCAATGAGAACCATGAAAGACTTCTATCTCAAAGAACTCTCAGATAATAAATTTGTGTTGTTTAAGCTGGTAAATTTATTGTAATTTGTTAGCATGGCCACAGAAAACTAATACAGTAGCCTGCAAGACCCTACAACTTTCTCCTCTAGATCCTCACAAAGCTGGTTATTCATCATTTGGATTACCAGAATCTCCTCAAAAAGGCACCACCACCACCTGGTCACTTTTTACTCTGTGCTTTATTTTCTGAATAGCTTCTGTGAGAATATGAAATTGTCTTACTAATTTGTTTTTGTCTTTATACCTTCTTACCAGACACATATCATTAACATATGAACTTCAGGAAGTCAGGTACCTAGTATATCATTTTCATTCAGTAAACGCTCAGTGAATGTATGTTTTTTAAAAAATGCATGAAAACAGGATGTCTTGCTCAGGATATGCACAGTCTATGGGAGAGAAGATGAGTAAAGCAATGATTACAGAACAGTATAATGAAGGCTATAAAAGGGACTCATATGGGGAGTCACAGGCACCCATAGGAAAAGCACCTTGGCAGGCTCTCCAGAGGAATTACTATTGGGCACAACCTTGAAGAGAAAGTAGGAAAGCAAAAGCCTGGTAAAAAGGAGCAGGTGGATTTTCAGGCAGAGGTTGTTGGAGGTTGTGAAAGAGAATACACAGGTATTAAATCAACTGCAGGTGATTTGGTTATGCTGGGCCTAAAATGAAAGTTAGGAAGGTGTCTTATCACTGGGACTTTGTATGACTTACCAAGAAATGTTTGATTTGTCTAGGTGGCATGAAAGGGTTTTAAGCAGTGCCAGTTTTGCATCGTAGAAAATGTATTCTGATGACACTGTTGATAGTATATTGAAGGGGAGGTAATGCTGGAGATGGGAAACCAGTTGGGACGATATGGCCATTTTCAAGATGAAAGGTTGTAGGACAGTAACAGTGAAAATGGAGAATGATAGGGAGATCTGGGAAAGTATTTTAGAGGTGCGTTCCATGGGATTGGTGACCAATTTATTGCGTGAGTGAGAGAGAAACAGTATTAGGAGTTGACACTCAGGGTTTGGTTTGGGTGACTGGACAGAGAGTAGTACCTTCAATAAGAATAAGGAATATGGGAGGAGGATATGAGACAGATTTCACTGTGACAAGTTTGTGACGTACCATGGGTGGAAGAGGCATCTCAGAGGAAGCTGGATTTAAGTCTGAATCTTGGGAAAGATCAGGGCTAGAGATTTATATCTGGAATGAATGGAATATGTGATATGAGTGGTTGAGCTATTTCAGGACATGGAGATTAGAAGAGAAGTGGGTTGAGGATGGAATCCTGGGGAATACTGACTTTTACACATTGGATGAAAGATGTGTGTCTAAGAGTGAGACCAAGAAGGAATAGTCAGAGAAGAAGGAAAGAATAAAGAATGTGCTGTCATCTACAGAAATGCCTGGCTCCTTCATCTGTACATGCAATTTAGTGAGATTTCCAATGTCACCTCTTCCAGGTCCTCTCAAATGGATTCAGTTGCTTTTCACTTTACTGTACCTGTATTATGATGATTGTCACATTGTATATACCTATTTTTTACACTGGTCTAATTATTCTACTCCTAGATAGTAAACTTCTTGAAAGCAAGGACTATGACTCACTTATAATTCTTTGTAGTTCTCAGTAGGATATCATACACATATTACATTTATGACAAATTAATATGGCCACTGAATATAGCAGATATTTTGGAAAGTAGCCTTTATTCATATTTTAAAGAAACAGTAGTCATTTGATTAAGTATAAAGTGGTACCAAACAGCTAAGCAAAATATTTCTTTAAGATGATGGTAGTGTATCATCTTAATATACTTGATCATCATAAGCTCCTGTGTAATCATAATAGAGAAATATTAATAGCGTGCTTATTATGTTCCAGGTGTTCTGTTGAATGCTTTATACACATGATTTCATTTAATATTCACAGTAACCTATGGCTGGGCATCATTATTCTTATTTCACAGATGGAAGATAGGAATCTCAGAGAGGCTAAGTAACTTGCGCAAGATTACACAGTCAGTAAAGAGCTAAGATTTAAACCCAGACAGCCTGCCTGCAGAGCTGGTGTTTTAAGTGCCTCTCTAGGGCCTCTTAGGTGACATTAGGGAAATCCTGAGCTGAGGCAGGTAGGATGCAGAATGGGTACTTCAGGGGCCTGTAAAATGACTTTGCTAATTTAATTGCCAGTAATCAGGTAGGCATTTTGAACAGTTAGAAAGAAATACTTGACATATTGGCATGTGAAACAAATAGTTACATTTTTGTGATGTACCTTAAAACAGGGGTCCCTAACCCCCACAGCAGGAGGTGGGCGGTGGACATGCAAGTAAAGCTTCATCTGTATTTACAGCTGCTCCCCTTTGCTTGCATTGCCGCCTGAGCTCCATCTCCTGTCAGATTCTCAGGGGAGTGCAAAACCCTATTGTGAACTGCGCATGTGAGGGATCTAGGTTGTGTGCTTTTTATGAGAATCTAATGCCTGATGATCCATCACTGTCTCCCATCACCCCCACATGGGACCATCCAGTTGCAGGAAAACAAGCTCAGGTCTCCCACTGATTCTATATTATGGTGAGTTGTATAATTATTTCATTCTATATTACAATGTAATAATAATAGAAATAAAGTACACAATAAATGTAATGCACTTGAATCATCCTGAAACCATCGCCACCACCCCAGTCTATGGAAAAATTGTCTTCCATGAAACTGGTCTCTGGTGCCAAAAAGGTTGGGGACTGCCGCCTTAAAACAAAGACTTGCTGATTTAAACAAATACTAGGGTAAGATCAATTCTTTCTGCAAGTGATTTAGAATGCAGAACTTTGCCATGGTTTACCATAGCATAAAAATCAAATGCTGGCCACCAGGCTGTAAGGCAGGAACAAGTGAATCGAATGGAGTAAAAGACCCAGAGGAGAGTTTGGTGCCTAAACTAGGAGAGTTTTAAGATGTCTTATGTTACTGTAGCCCTAGTAATATCCATCCCTCCTATTCTTTCCTGCTTATCAACAAGGTAAGGCGTGGTTTTCATTCCCCCTGGCATGGTAACATTGTAGCATGTAACATATACATTCTGCGTCTCTCTTGGACTGTGAGCCTCTCAAGAACAGAGCTCAGTTTTTCCATTTTTCTGTATCAAACACAGAACAAGAGCAGGCAATGAATAGGATACAACTTATGGCAATTATTGCAATATAAGGCAGATGTGAGCTCCAAGATAGTAGGAACTTTGCCATTTTTGTTTACCTCTGATTCTTCAAGACAGATACTGAGCTCGGTAAATATTTGTTGAAAGAATAGATGGTTTTGTAGCATGATTTTATATTATCCGACAAGTAGAATGGATTATCTACTAAATCTTTCTGTTTCTAGGGTCTCTGATTATATTATTCGTAGTCTAAATTCATATTAAAAGTTATGAGTTGGTCACTTTCCTCCGCCAATGCAGTATGAACTCTGTTTATTTTTAAGTCAAACTCTTATCACATCTACCTTTGTGTAACTGAAATAACTCAGACTTCACTGGCCAGATAGCATTGTTATATTACGACTTCACCCCACAACAAGTGGCAAAAACCAAATTCACATTAGCTGAAGCAGTGAGAGATTTTTGGTCTATGTAACCAGCTGAGGGAGGCAAGGTGACTGGACCTGCAGATGTGAACATCATTAGCTGTCTTTCTTTCCAGCTCTCAAGTCAGGTTCCCTCTGCAAACGAGCTTTATTTTCTCAAGCCAGTTCCTTCCTCAAGACTTAACTGAAGTCAGGGATGGGGGCCTGCAGCTTTAAGGCCCATCTTCACCACTTTGTAACCAGAGAGAAGGGTTGATCCTTCCACCTTCGGTTCAAGAAAGGCTGGGAAACGACTCTGCGCAGCTCCTCTTGGGGCACTTGGTCAATCACTGTGTCCTGGGAGGGCTGGTGAGGGGCTCTGATTCATCCAGTGTCAGGAATGGGCCCACCCTTATGGTTGGGGGTGAAGTGAAATGTGTGTCAATGGAATTGGGGAAAAGTACAGGGCAGACAACACAGTGGTGTCCGCTATGCCTGGGACATTAGCATTGGTACCCTGTTAGGAGATGGCAGGACGTTCTGTCTCATACAGAGCCTCTGCCACTAATACTTCTGGACATCCTCAAGGTGCCTCCAAGGATCCAAGGCTCAGTCTTGGTTTTCACTCTCGACTGTGAGTCCTGCAGTCTTGGACATGGGCATGCAGTTCCGCTTATGAGGCAAGAATGGCGCCACCACCATGGCCTCAGATTGGGTACTGGTGGAGATGAGTACAATTCCATGTAGACAGAACTGGTATTCCGCCCTCGTGCCCCTCTGAGTAATGCTTCTCTTAGGAGCTAGGATGGAGAAGGCATAACAAGACTCCTCATGCCCCGTAAACTCATGGTGCAGTTCACTGCTTTGGTGCTACAGCTGGCTGGGTCAGGACTTTGTGGACCCATGTACACATGTTCACCCATTGGCCACTTGGAGGCTGAAACCCTGTTCCTGTTCCTATGTCGACCATTGCCCTCTCACATTAGCTGACATTGACCTTTTGCTGTCCATGGAGCTGGAAGTTAGCCTTTCCTGATGTTGGCTAAATGACAACAGTGGTGCTGTACCGTAAATCCAGAGAAGCAATTGCCACCCTCAAGAGACAAGTGAAGAGAAGGGTGGTGCCTTTCACCCTGCATAGCAAAGTGGGGCAGGTGGTGGTGGTTCACCTTCTCCAAGTCAGACCTATCAAGTCTCCTCCAGAGTGTGCAACCTGCCGAGGCAGATGGCCTGAGATGGGATGGATTCATCATCACTTTCCAAGTTATGTGCAGATGGATGGTTACACTAGATACCCATGTTCTTAAGCTGATTTCTTGGAGCACCCTCAGTCTCACCCTCGTTCTGACTCCTGTTGTGCCCATTTCCATGTAAGAGCGGTAAGGGACATTTATGCTGTTAAATAGTACCACCTAGAAGTGATTCTTTCCTATCAGTTGATTTAGTCATCTAATTCCTCAAAATACAGATTCACCTAAACTTTAGCATTAGTAGGAACAATACCATCTCCACACCACAACTGGGACTCAACAGTTCAGTGTTTGAGTGATCCTTCAAACCTTGGCCTTCAGGCAAAGACAGGCAGATCACTTGAGGCCAGGAGTTCAAGACCAGCCTGGCCAACATAGCAAAATCCAGTCTCTACTAAGAATACAAAAATTAGCCAGGTGTGGTGGCATAGGCCTGTAATTTCAGCTACTTGGGAGGCTGAAGCAAGAGAATTGCTTGAACCAGGGAAGAGGAGGTTGCAGTTAGCCGAGATGGGCCACTGCACTCCAGCCTGGGCGACAGAGCAAGGCTGTCTAAAAAAAAAAAAGAAAGAAATCATTATTTCCCAACAATAAGGTCAATAAGCTTTAAACTTTAAGATTTGATTGATTCAACCAAAAAAGCAGTATGTATATTACATACTTTTACTTATAAACATACAAGGCTAAAATATAAGAATAAAGCTTCAATGTGCAGTGCAAGTTTATCCCACAGGTTTTAAAATGACTGATAACAAGGATTCGGGTGCCTGAACAAAGATTTCAGGTTGGTAGGGTTTGACTCTTTTTCCAAGGATGCTCTTCAAAACAAAAGCAAATTGGTAAATACAGGTGGATGGGTAGAAGTAAGAGTCTTGCTTAATTCCACTTTCTGGAAATATCCATATCTGAGCTTTAGCTCAGCCAGGACATCTTGTAACATATATAATAAAGCAATATGCAATGAAGCTAGGATCTGAGAAAATGAAAACGATAATTTTTGGGGTTTTTTTTGTGTTTTTTTTTTTTGAGACAGAGTCTTGCTCTGTAGCCTAGGCTGTAGTACAATGGCATGATCTTGGCTCACTGCAACCTCCGCCTCCCGGTTCAAGTGATTCCCCTGCCTCAGCCTCCTGAGTAGCTGGGATTGCAGGCACCTGCCATCATGCCCGGCTAATTTTTGTATTTTTGTAGAGATGGGGTTTTACCATGTTGGCCAGGTTGGTCTTGAACTCCTGACCTCAGGTGTTCCACCCGTCTTGGCCTCCCAAAGTGCTGAGATTACCAGCGTGAGCCACCACGCCCAGCCCAGCAATAATATTTACACATGAAAAAAGGCATGGAGGTATTTTTTGATTACTACTTAATGCAACACCAGAAATTTCTGTGTGAGCAGAAACAACTATGAAAGATGCAGAACTTTTTTCTCCCCACTCTTCCTCTGCAAGCCTGACAATAGAAGACTTTTAAGGGAGCAAGTGCTTGCTTTTCAATTATCAGCCCCTGTCTATCGTCAAGTGAATGTGTGCAGAGCCACAGGTTCTATGGGTAGGTGGTTAGGTTGGTGTAGTTTGGGGGCAACAGCAAGGCTCTCAAAATACATGTGGGAGGGGGCAGCTGCATGTTTGTACCTCTGCGTTTGCACTAATAGAATCTTCTTGTTAGAAATATTGTAGTTAAGACAACTTTTTGGAATTCTAGAATATATCTTAATATTTATTTAATGAATTTAATGCTTAATTTTATAAAACAGACATGGCCGGGGATTTTTAAGACAATTGGTAAGCTTATTCTATAGTCTGGAATTCTGTTTTATAAATTTCTGTCAAGGGAGGGACTCAAATAACTCATCTGTGTCTAGCAACCCATGAATTAACGTAGGGCTCTTATTGAGGACCTATCTGCACAGGCCCTGCTGTCTTCCCATCCTCCTGCCAGCTGAGTGCCAGGTCATCTCCATGGCTGCGTGCAGCCTTACATGGAGGCTATTTTGGGGTGACTAGCTTCTTCCCGAGATCTGAATTGGGTGATTGGCCTGGAGTTATGTTACTCTGAAGGAAATGAAGATGCTGCATTTTGTATTTTAGTTCTGGGCACCGATGGGGAGGAGATCTTAAATCGATTTGAATAAAATCTAGACAGTGAATAATCCTGTTGAATGCTTTAGAACTGAATTTTTGAGATAAAGATGAACAAGGCAGGCTTGTGTGATGATAAAGAACGGGCCAACATGATGTGCTGCTTTACAGAGTGGATGTAAGTGAAAAATTCAAGGCTTGGAGCAGGCCGTGATTCCTCTACTTAACGTTTTACGATTTTGGCATCTTGCATTCTATAATATTTTAACCCAGTTTCATCTCGTTTCAGGCATGGTTTTCTAAAACTATGTCTATATCAGGTGAAAACATGAACTCTAAAGACTGTAACATGGTGCATTTTTCTTTTTAAAAAAGCTTGCTTTATGATGAAATTCTCTCAGTTGTGCTTCTAGGTGACATTTCCATTCAGAAATGTCTTGAAAATAAATGAAGATGTTACGAGAATTACAGTGGACAAAATGCTGCATCTGACCCATCCTGACTGGCTAATCTAGCCCAATTACTGATCTCATCTGTATTATCACACTCTCAGATGTGCTAGGTGCCTCCCCCAACCTCCCCACGGCACACACACAAATGCCTGGATTTTTTAAAATCAGAAATTCTCTTTGTTCTCCATCACACATTATTCCTGTTTAAGGTTTTCAACTTGAAAAACTTCAAGCCATCTTGGATTTTAAAGTAATGGTAGATTTTTCTTCTGGAACATTTATCTTATGTGGAGAAGCACTTACTGTAAATTGGTGAATACAGAGCTTACTCCCTTTACCTGATGCAATAGATTTGATGAAGTTTCTATATTCCAACTCAACATCACTATGGCTTTTTGCTTGTGTTGCTGCGTTTGTAAACATTCAATAAAAGTCTACTTGTCTATAACTCTTGGGATTAGAAATGCTTAATTCCTTGTATTTGTATACATCTACCTTGTATTTGTATACATCTACAATTCCTTGTATTTGTATACATCTACCATACTGGTGATTTAGGGGCACTGTGAGAGCAAGAATTATTTTTAAAATTATCAAAGAAAGGTCAAATTCTGTCCCTAATGATTTCCATATTTAGCTCACTTTATTTGGGGGCAAAAAATCAGCTTCAGAGCAGCCAAATGCCAGACTTGAAGCCCAGCTTCCCCTTTCCCTAGTGCTCCCCTGTGGCAAGTGACTTCACCTTTCTCAGCTTCATTCTACCCATCTTTCTCTTATCAATAATCATATCCAGCTTATAGATTTCTTGTGAGAGTTGAACAAGAAATAAATGTACATGTCTGGTGCATAATTTGTACTCAGTACCTGTTGCCTGCTATCCACAACAGCAATGAAAACAATAATAATACCTTGGAAATAGTCTGCATGGAGCATGTGCTGTAATTTTTGTTAGCCAAATAATGGGAAAACCCATTACTCAATCACTACACCTTTTATTATACAGTTAACATATGTAGATTAGCACACATGTGCATACACACATCCACACATACTGCACCTGAAATTTTTTTTTTAATTTTAATTTTTTAGAGCCTTTAAGTGAACCATGATGCACCTGAAATTTTTAAGGAGAGGTTCTAGAATTTAAATCCTTTTGTACATGTACACATATACTCGCAAGGTCAATACTTCCTCACATCTTCTGAAAGGTAGGAAGAAACATGGGCACATAACTTTGCTATATGGGGTACTGTCTCAAACTTGCAGATGTTTCTGGCCGACTGAACACCATCCTAACCTAGGGCACCCATGGTTTATAGCTTCTTGTTGATTGTGTCAGGAAGTGCTCAAGGCCAAGCCGACATTAGCCACAAGAAAGGAAGCACTTTGGAGAAAGCAGAAATGGGTTTGACTCCGGAGCAGCTTGGGGGTGCTTTATTTTGCCTCCCAGGTCTCACACATCAGGCTTTCCACAAAACCTGGTAGCACCATCACACAGCTGGGTATTTTGACACTGAGAGCAAAGTTCAGTAAAAGGTTTCGCTAATGTGTATGCGATGCCCTCCCAAGTATGGCATCCTCACATTTCAGTCTCTTACCCAGTTAGAGTTTCACAGACTGATGCTATAAACTGGTTTAATTATTTTTTTCATTTAAGCTAATGATTTTATTTTCCCTGGAATGACTACATTGTTTCTTTGTCCTGTACATACAATTTATATATCCTTCAAAAAGAGCTCATTTACAAGTATGCTTTTAAAACAGAAGCCAAATGAAAAGCATTTTAAAATTTTTTGTGCAAATCCTTGTACATTTTTAATTTGGGGAGTCATCTGCATCATTATAATGTATTCACTTACTAAAAAATATTTTAAGGGAAACCTTTGAGACCCCACAGTTGAGAATATTTTGTCATAAACCAGCATAAAGCCAAATGCTGTGAGTGCTAGTGGATTTTGGAAGGAGGCATAAGGCTTTTGATTTTTTTAGCCCTCTCTTAAGACCTGGAAAGGGACAGTCCTTACTGGGATTTGTGATGTATTCTGCAGGAGGATAATTTTGCCTCTGGGAAAGTCAGAGCCAGGCCAGAATCACTCCTGGGATTTTGAAGTCTGAAGTCACTTGTTTGGCTCTGCTCACTGGAGAACTCAAGAATGCTATTCATCGGCCAGTGTGAACAGTGGTTGAGAAATGACTTGCTGTAACAATCATTTCCAGAATTTTTTGAGATACAGAAATTCTTCTGCATTGCTTTTCAGACACTGGAATGGCACATTTTGGTGGGATTTTCGGGTGGAACTTAGGGAAAAAAAGGGGCAAGTCTATATTTTAATATTTCTATGACTGTTCCTTCTCTCAGAGAACTCTTGAGTGCCCTGTTAGTCTTTTGAGCAGGTTTTCTTGGAAAAAAAAAATTGTGCTATAATGCCAGCATGAGATCAGCTTTTGTTAAAATACCCAGGCAAAACCACCAAACATTGCTAAATCCTTTTGGAGAGGCTAGAGAGAAACTGAAGGAAGTTACAGTTCATTCCAAAATATTTAGATTAGAACTGGCATTATTTCCCTATTTAGATCTCTTCTCAACCATAAAAAAAAAATCACATGCATTGTGTTATTTTTCTCTTGCTGTTACCCAGCACAACTGCCCCCTTAAAATCCTCAATTGGGTCCTAAGCTTTTCTGAGGCACCCTTTCACATACATTTTTTGCTATTGCAATGAAAAACAAATCATTTATTCATTCAACACTAAATACCTAGTGTGTGTCAGGCACTATTCAGAGTTCTTGGGAGTAAATCAGTGAACAAACAGACAAAGCTCCCTGCCCCCATGGAGCTTGCAGTTTAGCTCATGCAGAGGATCTAATTTACCTATGCATGACAAGACCTGACCCTCAGCATGCATAAAGGTTACCGTGGTCCAGGAGGATCTAGTACAAATTTTTTGTAACAGGGCTGCAGAATTTACTAACACACTATGCCACATGTGGAGAAAAAAAATATATCTTAAAATTTTGTCCATACCTGGTCTAATCTTCCTCATGTGCCCCTGCGTGGTAGAAAATAAAAACAAAACAAAGCAACTAGAATTTTTCTCATCCAATGCGGTAATTTAACCATTGCTTTTGGATAATGCTTAGTCCCTAGATTGAAAGAGAGAAGGAGGGGAAAGAGATGTCACACCAGATAATACTTTTGAATCCTGAAAGAAGAATTTCTCAATATTTTGTGCTATTCATAATTCAGTGACTACAAAGACAATACACTTTTAAGTCTAATCTGCATTATTGACATTTCCCTCATCATTTTCTTCATTCTAGGCAATCAACAAAACAGTAAGTGAAGAAGCCCTGATCTGTCACATTTGCTCTTTTCCATGGTGTAAATACTCCCACCGTGGCTAATTTAAAGCAACCGATGTGAGGCCACTGCTTGCAGGAAAGATATGCAGCAGCTTACCATTATGTAATATTTCCACCAAACAGATATGTAACCATCAATAACCTCAAGATCATAGATAACAATAAAAATGTAGTATAAGTAAAACAATTAGGAAGTGATAAGTTTTAGGCATGCGTTACTTTTGCCTAATATAATTTATTTAATTATAAATTTATAACATTTAATTTTTAATAATGGCTATGTTTAGCAACTGTCTTGCAAAATTCCTGAAAATTTAAGAACTGGCTCTTAGAAGTCACTATGTCAGGGTAAAACCATAGTAATTATAAATGCCATCTCTCTTTCCCTTATCACTGTATTTTAATCCAACAGCCAATCATGCAGACTCTACCTCCAAAACATATCTTGACCACTTCCCTACTGCAACAATTGTTCTCATCACCCTCACTGCTCACCTGTATCCCTGCAATAGCCTCTAGTTGTTCTCCCTGGTTCATTCCTTATCTGTGTCTCATAGTCCACTCTCCACACAGGAGGCAGTCATATTTTTAAAATGTATGTACCATATCACTTCCCATCTTAAACCCTTCAACGTCTTCCTGTTGTTCCTAGAAGAAGACTCAAGCTCTTACCATGCCCAGTAAGGGCCTATCTTATCTGGCTGCAGCCTCCCTTCCAACTTCATCTTGCCATTGTCTGACTTAGCACTTCATTCCAGCCATGCTGGCCATCTTTATTTTCCTAAAACACACCTGTTGTGTAGCTGCCTCTGGGCCGTAGCACTTGTTCCCTCTGCCAGGAGTGCTCTTCCCCCACAGCATTCCAAGGCTGGCTCCTTCTCATTGTTCAGGTTCTAGCTGAAGTATCATCCCCTAAAAGAAGTCTGTCCTGTTTTATCTAAAGTAAGCCCCATTGCCCATATCACCACTCTCCGTCATATTCCCTTGTTCTCAGAAACTCAGGCAAATTACTTAGCCTCTAAACCTCAGTTTTCTCATTTGTTAAATGGAAGTGCTGTAGTACACATTTCTCATAGGGTTGTGAGGATCAAACGAGTTAATATATGTAAAGCACTTTGAACCCTACTTGGATCTTATTAAGCACTATCTATGTAAGTTTCGCTGCTAATATTATCATCATCATTTTTATTGAAGTATTATTATAATCTTCATTATTATTGGAGTATTCAAAGTACCTATCACTGTCTAAGAGTATTTTATCTATTTGTTTTCTTATTTCCTTTCTCCTCTCCTGGAATTTGAGCTCCATGAGAGCAGTGACCTTGAATGACTCATGCCCTGCTGTGTTCCATCACCTAGAATAGTGCCTGCCACACACTAAGTACTTAAATATTTTTTGAATGAATGTGTGCATAAATGAATAATGAATAAACAGAAGAACTGGCGGTGACACCATTCTGAGCCTTGGTTTATTTTTAGAAAATGTGATTACAGAGGCTTGCAGTCAGTGTGGTTGGAAGGGCACAACCGTTTTTGTAGGTGGTGGAACTTCTGGACTCTTGTTGCATGTCTGCAAGGTCTTCCACGAATTCTGGGTTCTGGTCCTTCTTGAGTGCTGAGTAGCTGATATCCCAGTGGTCCCAATCATCAGGAATATTGTGGGTGTGCTTAGCTCTCATAGTAAAGTCTAAGTTGGGAGAACTAGTACCTTATGGTCCCTCCTGATGGATGAGCCCAGAAACAGAACTATGAGCTACGATTCCTGAAGCAGCCAAAGGCAAGGAAGTCCAGTGCCTCTGAACATTTGTTCTGCTCAATGAAAGAACTCAGTCATGGGGTACCCCTTGTGGAAAAACTTGGAGTAGCCTCAGAAAGACTTTCATCCTTTGCTTTTGTAGTGGTTACATTTAGAGCAGATATGTGCAAAAAAACCTATGGCAAAAACCTTATCTTGGGCATATTTCTCTTGAACCCGAGCAGTTGCTCAAAAAGGTACTATGAAAAGGCCCATTTCTATATTTTTCACTTTTCATTTAGGTCCCTGATATGTCAAAAGATGACAGGGTTCATGAAGATTTTCTGTAACTCACCCTCGGTTGATCTGGAATACCAAGCTGCTTTACTCTACAGTGAGCTTTTTGAGGACAGACCATGTGTGTTATTCACCATTGCACAGAGTACCTAGCTCAGAGCCTTGCACTGAGCAACAACCTATAGATGCAAGATAGATTTCCATGTTCAGATCAACACTGCATTAGAGTATGACACCTGAAATCTTAGCAGCAGGGCCTTGGTGAAACTCTGTAGAGTTTCAGGGGGATCCTCCCTGCCTCCTTCACCAATTCCTCTTAAGGGGCACTAAGCAGAAAGGAGACAGGCTTTGGAATCAGACAAATGTGGCTTCAGGTTCTGGCACTAGTTAAATGACTTAGGGAATGACTAATTAAGGGACTTTGGGGAAGTTACTTAACCTTTCTAATTTATAAAATGGGAATAAAATGGTACCTATAAAGATTAACTGAGATAAGTAGGTAAACATTTCAGCTGAGAACCCAGTATCTACTGTACATTCGATTATTGTTAATATGAATCTTCTGGAGTGTTTTCTGTTTGTGTATGATCAGAATGCAGATTAAGGGGCAGAGAGGTCTAGGGCAGAGTAGAATTGGGCCCAGTAACATGGTGCCACATCAGATCCTGGACCAGAATTATATGAGAAAGTAGTGGGGTTTGGGCCCAGGGTTTGAGGGATGGTGATGGTAGTGTATGGTGAGGAAGCTGGGCATGACAGTGTAATGACAGAGAAAACAATCTGTGGAGCTCAGGATAGATTAATTTTTATAATGGGAAACTGTATTAGGAGTGATATCTAGATCTCTATCAGACTACTAGAGGACATCTATTCTTTATTGAATATCGACTTTTTAGGGGAAAAAAAGCAAAACCATGTTCTATGAATATCAAATGAGAAGAACTTGTCAGTTGGCTGCTTTTAAAGTTACAACTAGTGTATTCGTGGTATACAGAAAGGCCATTGGGTAACACCTCTTTCTTCTTAAATTGGGTAAATGAAATAATAGTGAATCACAAGTTAAAGTTACTTGTCCAGACTAATCAGGGAAAGGTGAATTAGAAGATGAGAGGGTGAAAATTAAAGAAGAAACAATTACCAACACAGAAAGGAGGGCCGCAGATGACAAAGATGGGAGCACGTATCTGAAAATGGAAGGGGATGGTGTTGTGGACAGAGGAAAAGAGCGAAAGATCATCAAACCTTCAACAACATAAAAGTGACCCTCACGTTACCCTTAAATGGTAATGGCACACAACCTGAAAGCCTCAAAAGCAATAGGTATATTAACATTTAAAAAAGAGTCTTTAGGCACCTCAGTAATAGACTGATGACCACTGGTTGGTTTTGTTAATATGTGTGTAGGCCAGAGAGTAATTTGGCGGAAAGAGGAAGAGTTAATCTGAAAGAGGAAATTTGAAGTTAGAAGAACATGAAGGCAAATCATTCATGATAAATGTGAAGGAAAGAGCAAGATTTAATAATGAATCAGGGGGACAAAAAATAGAGCTAACATTAATGGCCACTTATTGCACATGAAGCCCACTTTGCTAAGCTTTTCCCAGGTACCATTGCATTGTTACCACAGCAACCTGTGCGGTGAGCCCTGTTGTTAGCCCCAGTGAACAGGGCAAGTCAGAAGTTTCCTTGTGATAGAGCTGGCAGGTAGAGGATCTGAGTTCTGAATCTCACCTCTCTCAGACAAAAGCTCCTGTGTGTAACCATTCAGCTGAAGTGCTTGCTCAAAGGGCTGAGAAAAGATGATGAAGAAGATTGGGAGGGGATTGAGAAAGAAAAGTTCAAAGAACTTTGATGGTAAAGAATCTTAGAATGAAAGTAAGACATGACAAAGAACAAAAGGAAGAAAGCATATCTAAAGGAGTAAGAAAATTAATATTTTTTGGCCACCTTATGTGATTAAGATGCACAAATATAATCTCCTTTAGTTCACACCAGAACTCCGTGAAGTAGACATGACTTCCGTTTACACAGATGAGGAGATACAAGTTCAGAGAAGTCACCGTTAATCACGTAGCTCACAAATACCAGAGCCAGGATTAGAACCGCTGTCTGCAGCGTTAGAAAGCCCACAGTATTTTCATTCGAACTTGGGAAAGGAAGTGCTAAGCCTGGGTGTGAGGGAGCAGAGATGGCATCTACCTCGAATGGTGGGGTAAAGATGCAAATAAAGCATGACTAGAAAGACAAAAAGGGGAAATGAGAAAGGGAGGACCACAGAGTGATAATTAGCCTCACACCACCTGTTTTTGCTTTGGCTGAAGAGGTCCCTCATCAAGGCTGAGTAACAAACAAAGCAACCGAGTAGCTCAGAAAGGCCCGCGGATTCTTCCACTGGTCATCGCCTGGAATGTTCACTGACAGTGAAACGTGATGTGGAGAAACCCCTGACAATGACAAGAAAGATTCCAGACAATTGACACATTGCTGACTGCGACGGAAGTTTCATAGAAAATGATTTTTAGAAGGGACAAATATAGAGAGCAGCTCAGGAAGACACACTCTGTAAAGGTGGTTGGCAGGAAGTACGGTTGCTGTAGAGGACACAGCGAGACATAGCTGGACGTGAAAAACAACCCTGTGAGGCTTATAGCATAGGTTTGTGTATCACCCTTTTGCATATGAGGAAACTGGCCCGTAGCATTTGAGGACTTGCCTGTGGTGCCTGAGTTTTAGAATCCAGGTGTCTGACTCCAAATCTAGTGTGTGGAACACTGTACCATTTTCATTTAAACAAATACATTTCTAATGGTAAATTTGAGGTATCATGTATTGGGGGAAAAGGTTTAGAGCAGGGATCTTTACTTTGTTCTATACAGGTAGCTCTTTTCAGATGTTTTTTCATGTTTAGTAAAAACAACTCTGGTCTCCAGATGAATGGCATTCAGCTCCGTCTTGTTAGTGCTGTTTTGTTTGTGGTAGGGTTTTCCGGGTGCAGATTCATAGCACCTTAACTTTGTATTGGCTAATAATTAACAAAAGCGGCTGCTGACTTCACTAAGTGATTGCAGATTTTACTGCAAGTTCTTTTGTTTGCAACTGTCTAGGATACAATGATCATGTGGAAGGCAGTTCTTTGATGGCTAATTCTATACCATTAATAAAGTAAACTGACTACTGGGAAATACATTCTCATTCTTGGACCCTGGAGTCTTGGTTTTATACATAAGCATTTCTGAGTAAATTGGAGTGAATTAACTTTGGTCCATTTAAATTGGGTCAACTCATCCTCAGGCCTACAAAAATTCACACTGGATATACTGTACTCACAATTATCAATGCCACACTGACACTCTCAGGATGTTCAGATGACTAAATTTTGCTTCTTTTAAAAAAAAATCTGGGAGAATTCTCACACATACCCAGACTTTTGCGCTAGGCTGAAAACACTAGAAATAATGGTCAAGGTGACTTTGAAGTTCCTGTTAATTGTGTCTAGACACTTCATGGCTATATTCTATACCCCTGCTTCATTCTGCTCTGACAAAATTAATATTTCCCAGCTTTTGATTAGATTTAAGTGACTCAGTGATACTATGGCAACCCTAAACTATGGGACAAAAATCAATGTCTTGACCATTATATGGCCTCTTTATGAAGAAATCAGCTATTTCTTGGTTCCAGATGGGCAATGTGCTCATTTCTCCTTTTAACATTTTATTTAGGATTCAAAGTATTTTTATAGGGAAAACCCCACAAATCTCATTATCTACCTTATGACCTGTGGTAAAGTAATCATAAAGAAGCAATTACTTTTGTCTTTTTTTTTTCCTTAGATTACCAAATCCAAGGCAACTAGAAATGGCGAATAGGTTTTGTTTTAGGAGGCAGAAAATATGTTGATTTTAATTATTTCAAAAGACACAAGTAGGATATTAATTCATGTAGCTTGATGTGATGATCTTAAATGCTAACTCCTATGCATTGTTCAGCTCTTTCCCACTTCATCATGTATTTTTCTTTTTTTCTGTTTTTCCTTTTTCCTTCCTTCTTTCTTTCTTTTCCTCCCTCCCATCCTTCCTTCCTTTCTTTTCTTTCTCTGTCTTCCTTTCCTCCTCCCTTCTTTCCTTTTCCTTTCTTTCTGATTCATTTGAATTTGTGAATCCTTACTTCCCACTATGGGCATTTCCTCCCCATAATATGTCAGCGTAGGGGCCTAGCCTGCCCAAGTTCTGTAAACAGACTCAACCTTCCTAGCCACATCCATCTCCCCAGACAACAACCTGGTAGGAACTGAGAAGGCTTGACTGCTTGGTCATGGCACCTCAGGCTCTGAGTGACGGGAACTCCTACCACCTGCATTACAGGATCTGCAGGAAGTCCCTCTGATTTTGCTGGTCGACTCTGAATAGTCTGCAGCAATTCTTTTGAAAACCAGAAGAGGCAGATGAGTCCTGGCTGGGGAAGGCTGGGTAGAGGGTTGCTGCACACACACAGCTGAGGTGCCTCAGGGCAGGGCTGCTCCTGCAGCAGACCCCTGGAACCCCTTTTAGCTTTGTGTCTAAGAGTCTCTGGCTTGCCAGCTGCACACAGTGGTTCCTTTAAAGCAAGGTGTTGTGAGTCTCAGCTGAATGCTAGTACAAGGTTGGCCTCATACCATGGGCAGGACATTGGCTACCTGCTCTTGCCAGTAGAGCCCATTGTGTGGTCAAGCTCAGAAGCACAGAGGAGGAGATCTGGGGTCAGGATACCTTCCAATGCGACTGACAGCAGCAGAGACAGCTGGTCAGGAGCTAGGTTAGGCCATGCTCTCCTTTGCCCTGTTGCTTTTCATTAAGACTCCTCATGGGCACAGCAGCCATGTGACCAGCTCTGGGGTCAGGAAAGGGACCTCTGCCCATGGCTGGAGCCTGGCTCTACTCAGCCCTGGCCAGGCTGGATGGGGAGAGGAGGTGGAGCTGCCTGGAGTGCAGAACCAGCCATGGGTTGTGACAGATTGACAGAGGGTGAAGGGCTGAGAGGTGTGACCCTGCTGGGACATGTCCTGGGCAGAAGAAGGGGTCATCTAAGGCCACAGAGGGGCCCCAAGGCAAACTCTCTGCCCAGCAAATTAATTTAGTCATGCAGGCAGGAGTTTGGTTAATACCCTAGAAACAATGGTGGGAAAAACGAGTAAACTGGAACAGGCAGGGAAGATGCCTAGGCAGCATGACCAGACTAAAGATTGGCCACCAGAAGAACATCAGGAGAGCCCATAGTGTCCTGGAGGTCTGGAAAGATGGGTTGTGTGCACTCAGATGAAGATCCCACAGGTGGGGCAGGTAGAACAGTGCAAGGGGGATGCCCCACTGAGCCATCACTGATTCTGTCTTTCTGGATGATGGCAGAAGCTGTTCCAGGGTGGCTCATGTTTTAAGAAGTAGAATTCAATCTGCACCCATTCATGAGAATGGTTATGTTTTCAAAGGCAGAAGGGCTGATGTGTGAATGCAGGAATAGGTATGATTTTTTAATATTCGTCTCCAGAGGACAGAATCCCAAATGGAAGCAGGACCTACAAAGAGGCAGATGTTGGCTGAATGAAAAAAAATAAAAATAAAAACAAAAAGCCCACCTCTAGCATTCGAGCGGCAGCAAATGCTCCCTGAGTGGCATCCTGAGTACCAAGCCCAGTGCCTGGGAGACAGTATCCATTCATTGAATGGGTAAATGAATGGATGGCCCTTGATCAGGATCCCTTGTTAGAGAAGGGATCCTCTCTGTAAGAGTCTGGACCATGAAGGGGATTGGCTGTGACATCTGCCTCTTGATGAGCATTTGTAGATGATTCTGCAGGTCTGGGTGAACCTGTTCCTTGAAGCACTATCAGCCACTGAGGGCAAGACTGGGAAATTTCAGCACAAAGGTCTGGGGAGTGGAGAAGGGGTGAGAAGCTGGAACCAGATCTGTCCTGGTTGGAGCAGGCACTGCACTGTTTGGTCCAGGCTACAAGAGATAGGTAGAACTCTATTTTCAAAGCGAGAATCCAATAACATAGGGTGACTCTGTCTATGATATTTAATATTTGATCAAGATAAAGAAAACAGGAAAATGCCCTTGTGTACAAATGAACACTTATTTTATATTCCTCATTTACCCCTGTCCCTCCAAATGGCCTTTTGCTCTTAAATGGGCTTCCAATTTATTTTTAAAGTCAATTTGCATTTTTTCTTTGCAGGTCAAAGTAATCACTGCAATCTGAACACACAAATAACATCAGTGTGTTAGGTTTCAAGAGAAATCACTCTGCTATTTTACAGTAACAGCCAGGGCAAACTTATCTTTACATCAAATGCTGTCAGTCACTTTGAAAAATTATGCAAGCAGCAATATTCAATATAAACAATATCAATATACGTGGAGTGTGTGAATTTTTCCTTTGTAGGATACAATTTGTCTCTGGTAGTTCTTGAACCATTTTTCTTCCTTACTCATAGCCTGCTATCACCCTAGTCTCCCTTATCTACTATCTTGACTGCTACCACCCATGTCAGAACCACTATTATCTTTCATCTTATCCTATGAGCCTCATGAAGCCCTCTTTCCTTCTTCAGCCTATTCCTAACACAGCAGTGTGAGTGAGCATTTAAAAAAATCAAAGTCGACTGGGCATGGTGGCTCACGCCTGCAATCCCAGCACTTTGGGAGGCCAAGGGGGGCAGATCACTTGAGGTCAGGAGTTCGAGACCAGCCTGGCCAGCATGGTGAAACCCTGTCTCTACTAAAAATACAAAAATTAGCTGGGCATGGTGGCATTCATCTGTAGTCTTAGCTACTCAGGAGGTCTAGGCAGGAGAATCGTTTGAACCCAGGAGGCAGAGGTTGCAGTGAGCTGAGACTGTGCCACTGCACTCCAGCCTGGGTGACAGAGAAAGACTCTGTCTCAAAAAAAAAAAAAAAAAAAAAATCAAAGTCATGTCTTGCCTGTCTTCCCTCTGCTTAAAACCTTGCATGGCTTCCGTTTTACTGACAGTAAAATTCAGAGTATTGACTGAGGTCTACACAGCCCTTCATGATCAGTTTCTACCCCTCTTACCTATAATCTCCTCCTCTGTTTCTTTACCCTCACTCCATTCTACCCATATGGCCTGCTTGCTGTTTCTTGAACCCACCAGGTACCTATGCCCGAGGGTCTTGGCTTTAGCTCTCTGCCTGGAGCAGTCTTCCCAATGGCATCCTCTGGGTTCACTCCATCTCTTCAAGTCTTTGCTCAACTCTTTCCCTGCCCTGCCCCATCGAATTCTGCAATTTAGCGCCCACCACTGTACTCCTGATCCCCATTAATTGGCTCTACTTTTTTCCTTCTTCCTCATTGCTTATCATTTCTTAACATGCTTTATGATTTACTTATTTATTACATTTATTATTTATTGTTAGCATCCCCAAATTAAATGTAAACTACACAAGGTCAGGGTCTCTCTTTTGCTCAGGTGCCTAGAACAGTGGTTCCCCAATCTTTTTGGTACCAGGGACCAGTTTCATGGAAGACAATTTTTCCAAAGACATGGTGTGGGGGATGGTTTTGGGATGAAACTGTTCCAACTCCCATCATGAGGTATTAGTTAGATTTTCATAAAGAGCACAACCTAGATTCCTCGCATGCGCAGTTCACAATAGGGTTCATGGTCCTATGAGAATCTAATGCCACCACTGATTTGACAGAAGTGGGAGCTCAGGCAGTAATGCTCACTCACCAGCCGCTCACCCCATGCTGTGCGGCCCAGTTCCTAACTGGCCATGGATGGGTACCAGTCCGTGGCCCGGGGGTTGGGGACCAGTGGTCTAGAATAGCATCTGGCACTTAATAGGTACCTAGTCCATATTATTGAATGAGGAAGTGAATAAATGAATGTTTTTGGTGCATATTTTGTCATCCAAACCTTTATCATTAATCTGTGAAACATATCACTGGCCAGTCCATTTGGTCAACTCCTCATTTATTCTTTGGGTACCTGTTGCTATCGAATTTGATCATTTTATATGCAAATAATATCAAAACTCCTTTTTTTGTTTTAACTTGAGAAAAATTATTACCAGATTCACCTATGCAGTTAAACATTTTTCTTTTTGTAGTTCATCCAGCTCAACAGGGCTTCAAGATAGCCCCTGAGCCAGTCTTTCTTTTAGGTCAATGAAGTTCCAAACTTTCTGACACATTTGCTATTCTTATCCTCAGTAGACTGTTAATAACATGAGCTCCTTCTGCTGATAAATTTGTGGCTCTCCTGCTTTAACTTAAGCCCTTATTTATTCTGTCTAGACATGGATAACTGGTTACTAGAGATCTCTTCCCCAGTAGCCCTTCATGGAGCTGAGGAAAGTAAAGCTAACCTTCAGCATTTTGGTCTATGAATGAAACCGCTCCAATATCATTTTCACCAGGGGACATACTTTTTATTTTGAAACCTGTAACTTTAGTGAGTAAACTTCAAAACACGGCATGCAAATGTGTACTACAACAATTTAATGAATGAAACAATTTACTAAAGCTCAAATTTAAAGTGGTGAGCAAGGATTGCCTTTATAAGGAAACCATAATATAACTTGGTTTAAAGAGTTTTGTTTGGTTAAAGGAGTAAAATTTTCATGACAGAAGGAGAAATCCCATTAAGATACAACTTCGAAACAATCTGAAAGCTTGGGAAGATAAGTTAATATGTTGCCTGAAAAAGTATATGAATATAGAGTAATACCCAAATTAAGTTGATGAATTGGTAGAAGGATGTTTAACTAGACCTGACGAGAAGTTAGGAGAAGAGGATTAGGCAGATTCAAACACAGTGTGCTTCAAGACGTGTGTGCTTCAAGACGTGTGTGTGTGTGTGTGTGTGTGTGTGTATGTGTGTGTGTGTGTCTGCTAATGAAGAGAACAAGAAAGCATGGGGTTTGAGACCTCAGAACTTTGCATGCAAATATGGCCACAGCTCACACCATGAAGAACTGAAAGCAGTCCTTTCTTGAAAGAGGGAAGGTGTAGACCTGAATGGACTAAGAGTTAAATGTGGCGTGGGGAGTAAGACACAATGTTTTTCTTAAGAAGGCAATTAATACCTTCTCTATAATAAGTACTAATCAATTGTTAAGGTAATCTGAAATGTCTCTGAAGCCTCAGAACCAGAACAGGTAAAATTGGGTGAATGTCTAGCACAAGAATAAGTGAGTAAACATTTTCCATTTGTTTTAGTCTGTTTGTGCTGCTCTAACAGATTACCTAAGATTGGGTAATTTATAAAGAATAGAAATTTATTTCTCACAGTTCTAGAGGCTGAGAAGTCCAAGATCAAGGTGCCAGCATCTTCTGAGGGCCTTCTTGCTGTGTCGTCACATGGCAGAAGGCAAAAAGGCAAGTGAGAACAGAAGAGTAAGGTAGTTAGGTAGCTGAATGCATCCTGAAGCCTCCTTTAAAAGGACATTAATCTCATTAAGAGGGAGCAGCAGTCATGGCTTATTCACCTCTTAAAGGCCCCACCTCTTAATATTATCACATTGGCAATACCTGAATTTTAGAGTAAATTAAGTTTCAACATGAATTTTGGAAGAGATAAAGACATTCAAACCATGGGTTTATAATTCTTTAAATACTGATATGTTATATCTTATATAATTTAGATTACAAATCAATAACATTATGTCTAGTATTCAACAAATTTAAATTACTAGTGAACTCCACTGTGCTAAACAGTAAGGCCACCAAGGTGAGCAAAAGCAGTCCCTGCTGTCAAGAAGCTTAGAGGACAGAGGAATGTTCAATCATAGTATATATCATTTGAATGTTTATCTTAATAAAGAAATAAAACTCAGAAGTAGATGGCCTGCACATTAATGTAGTTAATCTTAAATCTCAGGTCTGTGCAAAGCCCCGTAAGCAGATCACTCAACTGAAAGTCATTGCAGCATCACATACCACTGATAATCACCTGAACTGCAGACAGAGTGACTAAAAAGAATTGATCATTCTCGAGAGCAGTGTTTCTCAAAGCATGCTTCAGAGACCAACCTGCATATGAATCATGGCGCAAGCTTGTTTAAAATGGATTCTCAGGATCCTTCCCAAGAACTTATTATGTCATATTTACAGTGTTGGGTGCTAGAGTCTTTGTTTTAAAGAATCTCACCAGGTGATTCTTAGTCTGTTTCAGCACCATGCTGTTTGGGTCTGACACAGAATGACTTTCATACATCTAAACCTATGACATAATCCCAGCACTTTGGGAGGCCGAGGTGGAAGGATTGCTTGAGGCCATGTGTTCTAGGCTGCAGTGAGCTATGATCATGTCACTGTATTCCAGCCTAGGCGACAGAGCCAGACTCTTTCTCTAAACAAATAAACCTATGACGTGATGACAGACAACAAAATATCCTAAATTTATATTGGCTTATATTCCAGTGACATTTTTATTATTGATTTATTTACTTCATTGTCAAATATAAGCCAGCCCTTTTCTATATTGCATTTGTATTCTTGGCTGACTTTTCTTTTCCTTCTAGTTATACCATTTTATATTTGTAGCTATTAAATTTTACCCTGTTTTTGTAAAACAATTAAAAAACCTGGTCAAAGCTATTTTGAATTTACCTCTTTTCTCTGCAGTATTAACAGCCCCATGTAATTAGAACCAGTCACACATTTACTGAACCCACGTCTGTAAAGATAATGACAAGTAAACCTCCTCTCAATCCTCCTCTTCAGACTGATTTCTACTCTACCCATTAATGACTCTCAGCCGTGAATAGCATTGGCGTTAGCTTGTAGGACAGTCTCATAAAGAGAAATGACTATTTTCTTTGTATATAGTATATTGTTTGGTTTATACAAACATCTCATTTAAAAATGCTTAGAGCATTTTTTAATGGTGGGATATAAAGAAGAATTTTTGAACTAGTATTTTTAATCGAAAAATTCTGAACTTCTAGATGGAATAAGAACAGGAAGTATACCTTTTTCATATCCTAAAATTAAGAAATAATTTAGAAAAACTCTGGCAGATGATATGAGCCACATGCAAGGCTCGGGTCTCAAATTCCGTCTATACAGAGCTGGGGAAAGTATTTTCCTCTTTATAAGGAGTTCACTGCCCTTCCTGGTTCAAGTTCTCTGGCCATCAGAACTTCTGGTAAAATCTAAGCCTTCCAGATTTTAAGATTGCTAGCTGTGAAGCTGATATTTTAATGCACCGTGTTTTAACTGCTGCTGCTTTGTTCTGTGTGTCCTAATTGAATATTTTCGATTTTGCACTTATGGCCTGGAGCAATTTAATCATCCAGGATACAATTTAATACATTGAAGAAGTATGAAAAGTGTTCAGTAATGAGTGGGATTAATTGCTATTGTGCCTCACACAGTGGCATGCAACCAATAGATGCTTAACAAATATTAATTTATGATTGTGACAGGCAGCCCTAGGGGCAGGGAACATGAAATTTTGAGTTAGTTTTCCTTTTCTCTAGTCACCATCCAATCAGAGATGAGGCACTTTTATACTTTAGTTTTACAGTCCACAAAAGGAAATCATTTTTGTTCATCATTATCAACCTAGGATAGAGAAAGAAATGCAGAGGGATTAACGTAATAATTGTCTTTGTGTTTGAAGGTGGCAGCTGGCCAGTTGTTCTCAGGCTCACATGAAGAATTAGAATGAAATGTGTTTGACTGGGAAGGACTAAGGTTAGATGAAGAAATTCTGGAGAGCCCCTTCTGAACAGCTTTTAACTAGGCTCTCGCTTCAGATGGCCATGACAGAAGGTTGTACCAGATCACCTCTTGTACAGCCCTGTCACTCTAAACTGATTTTAAGAATATGGTTATCGCAAACACCGCATGTTCTCACTCCTAAGTGGGAGTTGAACAATGAGAACACATGAACACAGGGAGGGGAACATCACACACCAGGGCCTGTCAGGGATTGGGGAGCTAGGGGAGGGATAGCACTAGGAGAAATACCTAATGTAGATGACGGTTGATGAGTGTAGCAAACCACCATGGCACGTGTATACCTATGTAACAAACCTGCATGTTCTGCACATGTATCCCAGAACTTAAAGTATAATAATAATAAAAAAAAGTATATGGTTACTGGCCAAAGGTAACAGCAAGGGTAGTTCTTTTGCATAGTCCCTTAATAATTATGTGGTCTAGTAATCAAAACACTATATAAATGCCTGAACTCGGAAATGTAGCAACCAAGAGATATGGTTGAAAGGAACCATCAAAATTACCAGCTAAAAAACTGGCTGATTGTACATTGTACATTGAGAGCCATAGACTGCTCATGACCTTTGGCCCAGAGTAGGGGTCGGCAAACTGCAGACATCTGCCCTGTTGCCTATTTTTACATCTCTAAGAGTGGTTTTTACGTTTTTAAATGGTTGAAATAAAATGAAAACGAATTATATTTCATGACACATTGGAAACTAAACAAATTCAAATTTCATTGCACATATACCAAATTTTATTTGAACATAGACATGCCTGTTCATTTATGTACTGTTTGTGTCTGCTTTCATAATCCATCAGTAGAGCTGAGTAACTGAGACAGAGACCATATAGCCTGCAAAGCCAAAAGTATTTACTCTCTGCCCCTTTATAGGAAAAGTTTGCTGATCTCTGATCTTGATCTTGAGAATCTATCCAAAGCAAGTGGCTCATGAACTGTGGAATAAGCAATATGGCGAAAGAGTGTAAATGTAGTGTTATCTATTATGGAAGAATTAGAAAAACATTAAAGGTTTTCCAACTATATAGATATTTTTGAATCAATTTTGGAATATCCACTCAATGGAGCTTTTCAAAACCAATAAAACTGAGGGCAATAACTAGCTACCAATATTGAAAAATAAAATAGTTATGTTAATTAAAGTGGAAAAATAAATCAGAGCACCAACCTGTGTAACTGTATGATGATAGCCTTTAATTAGTCAATTAATTCGGTTATCCAACAAACAATTATTGAGAACTAGAATATTATTGAGGCATACACCACATACGTGAGGTTTTTTAAAAAAGCCTAGGAAATATTTATAGTGATTGCTTAAAAGTCATATATTTTGTTGATTTTTTTCATCTCAATTTTATTTTTTTCCCTCTTGTGATGTTTATGCTACCTACATATTAAAAACCTTATGGACAAAGATTGGAAAAAGCAGCAGAGTGTATAAAAGGACAATAAGCAGCTCTCTATAAGACTGAAACTGTCTGGTGGGGTTTGCCGAGGATTCCTGACACTGAGGATAGCAGCTTGTTCTGCCCCAGCAATTTCTGTCTCCTCCTTTACAACATTTATCTTTATGAAAGAGAAGAGCAGGCTTCCCTTTACAATCTCTCCTGCTTTCTTCCCCCACCAACCCAGGGAGCCAGCAGGCATGAAAAACTTTCCCTCCATTGAATAAATATAAACAAGCTTATTTACCGTCAGTTTACCATCTGCGTAGACCGCAACTCTCTCTCTCTCTGAAGAGATTTAAATGGTATTCCATGTCCTTCATGTGACTTAGTAACTCATACCTGAGCAAGGTTGAAGTGGGAGTTTTTCTGAAGTAGAATTGGTTCTAGAGCCTAGATACTGAACACCCTGTTCCTCCCCAGTCAGGAAAATGCCATCTGTTACATTACATTGCAGTCTTTAAAATAAAAGTACTACTTTTACTTGCCACTCACTTACCTTGCTTTTGAATATTTTAAGACATAGAAGGATGAAATTAATAACAAGGGCAGCTGGGCATGGTGGCTTACAGCTGTAATCCCAGCATTTTGGGAGGCTGAGGTGGGAGGACAGCTTGAGTCTGGTAGTTTGAGACCAGCCTGGGCAATGTGGTGAAACCCCATCTCTACAAAAAATACAAAATTAGCAGGATGTGATGGCGCAGGCTTGCAGTCCCACCTACTCGAGAGGCTGAGGTGGGAGGATCACTTGAGCCAGGGAGGTTGAGTCTGCAGTGAGCTGTGATCACACCACTGCACCCCAGCCTGGGCAACAGAGTGAGACCCTGTCTCAGAAAAAAAAAAAAAAAAAGGAATAACAAGGGCAACATATTTGTAAGATTACATATGTGATTGGCACAGACACTAAAGGGAAGGGCACTAAGAAATTGTTATGCACATAGGGCATCTAAGGAAAGATGAACAAAAGAAGTTTTAAAAATGCTAAAATGATCAAACGGGCAATCCACCCCGCCCAGTGTTCGGAGGTTGCAAGGCAGGGATAACCCCCGGTTGGGGATGGGGGATGGGGCAAGCGTGCAAGCATCAACTGTTGCTCCGTATGAATAAAATTGCATTGACTTTACAGACATCCTCTCACTTCTGGATACAGTTAGGCTGTTCAGAGACAACTGTGGGGATTGAAGAACTTGATTAAATCTAATAAGTATTTATTGAGCACCAACAATAGTGGGGTCAAGAAATAATGGAAGACATTGTTGCATTCTGGGCAGCAGGAAGAAGGTTTCGTGGAGGGGATGGCCATAATGCCACCACGGTTGTGATTCAGATATGAGATGGTGACAGCACAAAAGAGAGCCAAGAGGAAAACACGAGACACATTTCAAAGGAAAAATCCATACGACTTAGTGATTGGTTAGATGGAGGGCATTATTAGACATTCCCTGGGGGCAGAGTCTGTGCCCTTGACATGCCACAATGGTTAATGTGGTACCTACCATGTTTGTAGCCAATGTGCTTTGAATGAAATTGAGTTAAAGATGATTGTTATGCTGGGAGAAATGTGGTACTATTAATAAGATTACAGGGTAAAGACATAATGGTAGTGATTTTTTTTTATTTTTTTAAAGGAAGATTATGGGCCTCATTTTGAAAAAAAAAACACTTAAGGTAATGATGGTCATCCAACATTAATTATCTAGCTAGCTGACTGAAATTCTGGGGAGTGCTTGAAAAGCATTCCTGTATTCAGTGAGTATTTCTTTATTTCTTTAGTTTTGAAACTCCCAAAGAATTGATTCTGTTTTCTACTAACTTTTTTTTTTGTTCTGTCTTTGCTTCACTCTTTCAAAAGCAGTTGGAAGGCTCTCAGTTAGTATCCAAATTAATGTTGTCCATACAAATTGCCTGAATTTGGAGTAATGACAGCCACTCATAATGGGGGATATTTTTGAAATATCCTAATGAGATTGTCTCTGTTATATTTTCTTTATTTTTCCAGAAGCACTCATTTGCCTTGAGAAGATTTAGGAACATTATAGAAGGAATACAAAGGGATAGGAGGCTTAGTATTTAGCCTCTGATATCAAAATAGGATTTTCAAACAGACAACAGTCATGTAAGCCAGATTTTGCTGAGAAAGAGTTTTCTAAATCTCTTTACCATCAGCTACCAAGAGTAAGCTAGGAGGATTCAAATCATATATATATATATATTTTTTTTTCTTAGTGCAGAGAGAATAGCTCTTCCTTTCAGGACAGCCAGGCTATGGGGGTGGCTAATGAAGGAGAGAAGAGGATATGACATAGAGGAAGGAGTAGGTCTAAGCCTGGCCCTTCTGATCCAAGGAAAAGAAGACAAGGAGTTTGAGGATGTCAAATATCAAAGTTCTCACCCCTCTTTCCTATGCAAGTTTGAAAATTCAGCAGGTAAGGTTTTAGAAATATTTAGGTAGTTATGTGGAAGCAGAAGGATATTGGACTCATGCCTTCCTTTTCTGAGGGTTGCAGAGCAGGCTGTGGACCCTAGAAAATGCTCTAGCCTTTGAGCAACTGGTTCCTCCTCCCACGGATTTGACCTTAAAGACACAAATTCCCTATTGAGGGGTTCCAGAGGTGGAGAGAGAACTTGTAGAGAGGTGACTTCTGAGCACCAAGGATTCAAGCAAAAATCATCTGAAGAGACAGTGCAAAGGAATGGACAGGACTAACCTCCTCTGTAGATTAAACAAAATATAACCCAGTGGACTCCCTGCATTCCCCCAATTCTCAACAATTACGGGGACTCATGAGGAAATCTGAAAAGCTATAGTGAAATTAAAAACCTGCATTTATTTGTACACCTAAGTGTATACAATGTGAGTGAATATTCTTTGTACTATACAAAGTTAAAATTAGGAATTAAATGAGGATTGACTACAATAAATTATTCTGTTTCTCAGTGTAACTCTAGATCTAGAATAAAGCGGAACTAAGAAACTTGTCTTCAGATCTATGGCATTAATTCCGATGGCTCTAAGTAAGAACTGTCCTAAGCCCTTAATAGAACATCTTCCTCCAATGATATTAAAGTAGACTTCATAATATAGTGCTATTTTAAGAGTCTTCATGTATTTTCTGAGATCCAAACAATTGGATTGATTGCCACTATTGAAATCGTTTCAAGTAACAAAGCATTATAAAGAAAATCTATACAAACATCCTTGAATTATATGCTTCACCTCTTGTTCTTTAATCATCTATTGTCATTACTCTAATTTTTCCCTGTGGTATATGATTTGCTAATTCTAAGTAAGCTAGAGGAAATTTGCATTAATTCAGAATCTGATATTTTGTGTTTTGGAATTCATTGAATAAATACTTACTGAGCAAGTTCTTCTTCCCAGTTAGGTATTTCTCTCCCCATCCATAACCCTGCTTAGCAGTTGAATGGGGGAGATTGAGAGGAACAGCTTTGCCCATTCAATAATGCAAGTAATAATAAATGTAAGTGCTCATCATTTGTCAAGCATGGTATGTAATTATAATTACTTTGTATAAATTATCACATTTCACCATCATAGTAACTCTACAAATAGGGATTGTTTTAATCCTCATTTTATGAATGAGAAAACTGAGACTTAGAGAGATTAAGTAAATTGGTCAAAAATCATATAGTTAGTAAGTGATAGTGATGAGATTCAAACCCTTCCCTTTAACAGGGTTCTTTGCCTCCCTCTGCTATTTTGGGATGATGCTGTGGGCTCTCCTTCATGTCCTCTAGAATACAGAGGTCACTTTTAGCCTGAGTTTAGGTCTAGAAAGTAAGGTCAAATCAGAAGCAGAGGTGGGTTACTCAGTAAATGAGTATGTATATAAATAAATGTGTGTGTGTATACATTTTTGAATTTGCCATTGTAATAGCTATAACACTGCTGACATTTTCCTAATAGTTTTGGTTCATTAATTTCTAGTTACTTCAAACTTCATCAGGCAGCTGTCCTGTTGAACAACCGTTCTCAAACAATAGTTTGGTGACCCCTGGAGGTCCCTGAGACCCTTCTAGGGGGTTTACAAAGGCAAAACTGTATTCTTAATAATACTAAAAATTGTTTGCCCTTTTTAATGTGTACAGTGGAATTTTTCCAGAGACTGCTTGATATGTTCTACTAAACACAATGAATACTGAAGGAGTTATGAGAATCTAGCTATCTTCTAATCATTCTAGAGATTTACAAATATTTAGAATAATGCCCCTGTTTTCCCTATTTTTTTTTTTGTCAAAGAACTATAGTTATTTTTCATCAAAGTATTTATGTGGGTTTATAATTTTGTTTTTAAATGAATTAATAAATATTTTAAAAGATCTCAGTTTTAACTTTTAATACAATAAGTATCAATAGATATAATTCACATAAACAAAATATCTTTGAGCTCCTTAGTAATTCTTAAGAACATAAAGAGTTCCTAAAACCTAACTTTTTGGGACTGTTGGAATAGAGGAAGGAATCCTGGAATTGGCATCAGAAGCCAAGGCTTCACCTCTACCATTTGTCGCCTCTGTGATGTAGGGGAAGCCATCTAAACATGCCAACCTTAATTTTCTCACTGATAGCAGTGAGAGGATAGTAGCACATACCTGCCTCCTAGGTGTAGACCATATGCAATAATGTGTGCAAAGTCACCCCATTCATGAGAGTCTCTTATAATTTCATTTTATTTTTGTTATTATTTTTTGAAATGGGGGTCTCACTATTGTTGCTCAGGCTGGTATTGAACTCCTGGCTTCAAACCATCCTCCTGCCTCAGCCTCTCGAATGGATATAATATTTGATGGGTAATAGATTCTGCTTATTCAGCGTAAAGTATACATTCACCTTAGAATTTTTTAAATGTGTATGAAAATAATTCAAGCATATGGTAAAAATGTTGAATATTCCAGAAGGACTTTTTGTGGAAAAGTCTCCTAGCCTTTACCCCGTCACTCCCGCTCCCTGGAGGTAAATATCCACCCTTGCTCACTGCTGTTTTCAGTTCCTTAGGTAGTTACCATCACAACTCTGCATAATAGGCTCATTTCTCTGTTTCTCGATGAGCATTTTTAGACTGTGTCTAACAAGTCTCTGATGCGAAAGATGAGGATATAACTCATTTGTATTATATTATCTCCTATTAGATGCTAATCTATGATTTTTAATAGAAATAAAGTAATTTTCAATAAACGGCATTTGCATTGCTGTGACTTTGTAAATAATGTAGCCTGCATGTTCTTCTCTATTGGCTCTACGCCAAGATTAATCTTTGTGCCACTTGGAGACGGTTTCCCACATAAAATACAAATGTGTTTTCAGAATATCCTCAAAAACACTTGTTTTTAATCATTCTGTTACATGGAATCCACTTTCTCTCTCTTTTTTTTTTTTTGAAACGGAGTCTTGCTCTGTCGCCAGGCTGGAGTGCAGTGGCGCGATTAGAATCCACTTTCTTTACAGATCTCTCTCTCTCTCTGTCTGTCTTTCCCCATGAATCATCTATCTATTGTTCCAATCTCCTATGTTGATTAGCTTCCAATTTTTATTTTATAGATACAATATCTTTATCAACAGCCCTGAGGAGAGTAAAGACAATTTTTTAACTAGCTCTCTTCTGTTTGCTGAATTCTCCCCATTCCCTTTGAGGGCTCTTTGTTTTGATCCTTCTGTTTTGTGCTGTTGATTTGATTTATACATTTCGTGACCCTTCACTGCCTATTTGTACTTAGACACAGGGACAGGATATAATGGCTGACGGGCTTCTGGGTGATTTCCAACTTCCAGAACTGGGAAACTTTACTCTGGGGTGTGAACTGCCATTCTAGGAGTGTCTGTGTGTTTCCTTTCTTTAGAAAAGAGCGTGGGGACAAATGTCAGGGTGGCCTGTAAGGGTGTCGTTCTGCATTTAAGAGTGGAAGTAGTGGTGGTGGGTGCAACTGTTCTCTAAATAGATCTCTAATGAAGTCCCCAGGTTTCAGGTCCACCTTTGAACTTTGCCCTCTGTAACTACAGATTCAGCCACTCCTGGGAACCCTGGTGCATCCCTACTCTGGAGCCTTTCTTTTTGGGGATATCCAGGGCCTCTTCTGCTATCATGCTCTTTTTCTTTTTCCATTGTCCAGATATTTGCTGATCTCTTTCATATGCTGATATCTTCTTTGCTTTCTCCTTACTCTTATAGGTTTCTTCTTTTTTCTCTTCCTGTTTTACTACTTTATGACCATTTCTATAGGGTTTCAGGAAGGAAGGTAGGCAAATACATATGTTCAATCATCGTCTTTTATAAGAAGCCTGTGGTATTTCTCTTAGAAAGCTATTTTAATCATTGATTGACAAGCCATTGTATCTTCAAATTTTATATTTCAAGGAATTTGGAAAGTAAATCTCTATGCATTAAAATATATTGCCCTTACCATTTTTCTTATTTCGTTTATTACGTCAACTGTGGCTTACGTGGATGATTAAACTTAAATAGTGTCTTCAAGGATGAATGAAGCAATGAAGATTTATTTAAACAATACCATAAAACTACTAGACAAGGAAAAATTCATTTGCAGCCATCTCCAAAACTCAAAGAAATATGTGATACATGAGATTTCTATATTAAGTTTATAAATTTTTTAAGTGAACCATCCTATGACATGGAAGGCAAGCTTGCCTGGCTAAAAGCATCCCAGGGAGGAAATGGCCAGGGTTTCGTCAGTCACCAAGAAGATAAATACACCCTGCTTAAACCCAGTAAAGGTGAAAAATAAATCAGGAAACTTCTTTGCGGTAGCCATGAGAAATGTTAGGCATTATTTGAAGGTCAAACTCACACTTTCAAGGCATCATCACTAACTTATACAAGCCTGATCTCTAAAGACTATCTTGGTTAAATATTGATCATGCTTCAAGCTCCACTTAAACTGCAAATACTGACCACATCTACCTATTTTTCTCATTATCAGCTTTATTGAAGTATGATTGTCATGTAATACACTGCACATATTTAAAGTGTAAAGTTTGGTAAGTTTTCCCATCACCTTCTAAAATTTTCTTGTGTCCCTTAGTAATCCCTACCTCCTTCCCCATCCTGCTACCCACGCTTCCTTCCTTCCTTCCTTCCTTCCTTCCCTTCCTTCCTTCCTTCCTTCCTTCCTTTCTTTTTTTGACAGAATCTCACTCTATTGCCCATGCTGGAGTGCAGTGACAAAATCCCAGCTCGCTGCAACCTCCGCCTCCCAGGTTCAACTGATTCTCCTGCCTCAGCCTCCCAAGTAGCTAGGACTACAGGTGCATGCCACCACACCCGGCTCATTTTTGTATTTTTAGTAGAGACGGGGTTTCACCATGTTGGCCAGGCTGGTTTCGAACTCCTGATCTCAGGTGGTCCACCCACCTCGACCTCCCAAAGTGCTGGGATTACAGGCGTGAGCCACCGTGCCCGGCCTCCCCCTACCATTTCTAGAAACCATTGATCTACTTTCTGCCTCTATAGATTAGTTTGCGTTTTCTAGGATTTTATACAAATGGAATCACTAGATGTATTTTTTTGTTTGTTTTTGGTCTGGCTTTTTTCCCTCAGAATGATTATTTTGCAATCCAGCCATGGGTTTGTTTCCATGTTAGGGATATTACAAATAAAGTTGCTATGAACATTTGCCTACAAATCTTCATTTGTGGGTGTAGGCTTTTACTTATCCTGGGCGAGGTCATATGATAGACGTCTTTAACTTTTTAAGAAATTACCAAACTCTTTTCCGAAGTGGGTGTAGCATTTTGTATGCCTACTAGCAGCGTGTGACAACTGCAGTTTCTCTACATCCTCACCAACACTTGAAATGCCCAGTCTTTTCAATTTTAGCTATTCCCATACCTATGAAGTGACACCTCGTTGTGATTTAATTTGCATTTTCCTAATGACCAATGATACTGAACATTTTCTCAGGTGCTTATTTGCCATGTATCTTCTCTTGTGAAGTGTCTGTCCAAATCTTTTCCATTTTTTATTGGATTATTTGTGTTTTGATTACTGAGTTGGAGAGTTCTTTATATATTCTGGATACAAGTTCTTTATCAATATGTGATTTGTAAATATTTTCTCCCAGTCTATAGATCACCATTTCATTCTCTTGCCAGGTAGCTAATTTTATTTTTTTGTGATTTTTATGGGAATTTTTATGTTTTAAACAATGATAATAGTCATATTTATAATTAGCATATTCAGGAATCTATTTGTTTTAAAGAGCTATACAGAAAAGCTGAGGTGATGCCAAAATTTTAGCTCAATAAACCAACATTTGAAAAAAGCAGTTCACTTCAACTGTGAGATATGAATCTATAATGGGAAATACAATTCTATGGAATTCACAGAGCTTACTTGTTAAAAATAAAAAAAATTACAAAAACTGTAATTCTAATGGGCTTAAAAAGCAAATTCAATTCCGAGTATAAAAAATTTATTTTGAGTTTTTTTTTTTTTTTGAGACAAAGTTTTGCTCTGTCACCCAGGCTGGAGTGCAGTAGCATGATCTTGGCTCACTGCAACCTCTGCCTCCAAGGTGCAAGCAATTCTCCTGCCTCAGCCTCCCATGTAGCCGATATTACAGACATATGCCACCACGTCTGGCTAATTTTTGTAATTTTAGTAGAGACGGGGTTTCACCATGTTGACCAGGCTGGTCTCAAACCCTTGACCTCGAGCAATCTGCCCACCTTGGCCTCCTAAAGTGCTGGGATTACAGGCGTGAGCCTCAGTGCCTGGCCTATTCTGAGTTTCTTAAATTGCAAAAAATATTTCAAATGTAGTATTTCTTTTAGCTCTCTCGGTTTCTGTCTGTCTCTCTTCACGTAGATATTTTAGCCTGAATTATTCTAATGAAATAATTTATTCAGCCACGCTATCTTTCAACCTTTTATAGATAGAAGACTCATAATCATCAGATTGCCATAGAATATTTGATTATGTGAGTCACATTCAGTAGTAATGAAAGGGGAGACTATGAGAGATGGCCCTAAACCTTTTACAAGGCCCTCTAAATCCTTAAAGCGGTATCAAAAGTCTGCTAAATTTACTTCTGGAATTAAGACAAACTCTAAATAAAGATGTTCAAACACTGTGTGTTAAAGCCAGCAAGCACCCTAGACTTGCTTATGCCTTTTCTGCAGTCAATGGGAGGCTGTGCGTCACTGTACAGCTCCACTCACTAACTTCTTTATCAAAAATCTTCTCCCTTATTTCTTCTCTTCTCAAGTGCTTGCACCAATTAAAAATATTCTTCCAAAAATAGTTGAGATTTACATGTTCTAGATATTCTTTGGAAGTAGCGACTTTGTCCTCTAACATGGGAACATCGTCTCCCCCAGTTGCTGAAGTCAGATAGATACTTGGGCACAGTTTTCTTTCTTCTCTCATTCCCAATTCTACCCCCATTTCAAGCCATCATCGTGCCTCTGCTGGTTGAGTACAGCAACCTCCCTCTTGATGTACCTGCCTCCGTTCTCTTCCTCCATCAGTCCATTATTCACACTGTTGCCAAGTGATATTTTCAAAATATAAATCCAAACACATTACTTTCCTGATCAAATATTTGCCATAGCTTTTTATTACCTTAAGAATAAAGTCCAAATTTTTTAGTGGGACTTTGCAAGGTTTTCCTTGTTGGACTTTATTCTTAAGGTAATAACAATACGAGAAGAGAGGGAGATAGAAAGAAAAAAAGTTCAGAATACAAAATGAGCAAAGCTGAATGATTGAATGGATATAGGGTTGTGGTGAGGATCCAATGAGATGATTTAATTAAAAGGGATTTGTGAGACATAAAACACTATTTTAAGGCTACTATTATATTATTATTCCCACCTGTCTCTCAGTGAATCTCTGAGGATTACTGAATACCAGAATTTCACTTTTAAGTGTTGTGTTATTCCAGCCTAGGCTCCTGAAACCCTCGGACATGGTGCTGGTTGCTACATGGCTCTAGACACTCAGATAAATCTTGGACCCCTGGACACCTTCGTCTGCATCCCCAGTGCTTAGAGGTGTAACCTTGAACAGTCATGCTGCCCAGTGTTCAGTAAGTCAGGGTCATTCTGGGAGAGGAACTGTGAAGGTGGCGGAAGTTCCCCAGGCATCACACATGACTCAGACCCATTCTGCCCCACCCGTAGCTTCCCCTCCCATCAAGGAGCTCCTTATTTTTGCCTCCTCTTGTTGTACTTACTGTGGAGGGCCGTGGAAGCCTTTGAGGACCAGAAGTCTTGAGGCGATAGGTTCTACTCGTGAATCCTTTGAATGCAAGGAACAGAAATCCTAGAAACTGGGAACTAGAAAAATCAGCAGCTGGAGCTAGTCTGGAGATCCTAAGTGTCATATGATCTGTCTGACATCTGCATCTGACAGAGTGCTCTGATCTTCTGTGCCGGCTGGCTCTTTACACACTCATCATGCACAGGACCCTGCATGGCACCCTCCAGTTCTATATCTCTCACGTGTATCATGACTGCTCATCTCTAACGTCCACTAACGACAGCCCTAGTTGTTCATTTCCAATTCCATATATTCTCATATGAATGGTCCAAATTGTCATTTGACTAAGGCCCCCAAGTCTAAGCTCACTGACTGGCCTATGGGTCAGGTCACCTGGGTTAGGTATTCACCAGCTACCCAATTACTTGAGGCCGCAAAATACAAGGTCATGTGTTTTGATGCTCACTTAGTAGGCACTAGAGTGAGAATTCTTCAAGAAAGCAATGTGACTAGGGCAACCATAATTCACATCCCTAATAACTGAGAAGCAACAGAGTGTAGCACTGAAAAGCGTAGACTCTGAAGCCAGACCACGTTGTTCAGACTTGGCTTCACCAGGTAACCTTGGGTAAATTATTTAACTTCTCCGTGTGCTTTGGTTTCCTCATCTGTTGAATGGAGATTATAATAGTACCCATCTCATAGTGTTATTATAAGGACTAAATGTATGTGTGTGTGTGTGTGTATGTGTGTAAGCCCTTCATGTTTAGTAAAAAATATATATAAGTGCTAGTAATCATTATAGGGATGGAAATCTGAAGCACAGAATAAGGTAAATTAAGAAGGGTTGTAGATGACTGGTTGTATAATAGCTGCCTGGATAGAGGGTGAAATTCAGCTAAAGTAGAGAGGGGTGGGGAACAAAAGCAAATATGTGAACACAGTAAGAATGAATTCAGAATTCATCAGTTGAAATTTGGGGGGCAGAGATATGGGAGGGGTTAGGGACATAGGAGAGCAAAAAGGAACAGAGTGGGTCTGGCTTAGGTGCAGACACGTGCCTCAGCAGCACAGACACAAGAAGCTTGGATATGCCCTTGTGGTCACAGCATCTTCTAAATGGGTCTTCAGCAACTCTGGCCCCTGGTCTGTTCCCCCAGCAAGAGCAGCTGGTCTAGGATAAAAACCTGAAAGCTTCCTGAGGAGTTTAAAGATATATTCTCTTGAGATATGATGTTACTGTAGATATCTAGACTAGATTAATTCATTAAATCATTCACTTATAGAGTAGTCATTTGGCACTCACCATGGGCCAGTCTATGCTGGGGGGTACAGCAATAAACAGAGCTCAGCACCCCACAGCTTACAGTGTAGGAGGGAACATAATATCCCATGAAGGATGGACAATGACGGGAAGACTTGCAAAGGAGAAGCAAAGTTGAAGCCCTGGGAAAGGGCTGAAGGAGCAGAGCTGACCTAGGCTATGGGTCAATCAAGGTAGGCTTCCTGGAGGAAACTACAAAGGCTGAGTGGAGGAACACTGGGACGGGAAGAGGGGAGAAGAGCATCTCAGGCACAGAGAACTGTGTGTTCAAAGGCCTGACAGCAAGAAGGAGAGCAGTGCTTGAGGAATGAAAGGATCCTAGTGTGGCTGGACAGGAGAAGGTGAGGGCGGAGGGGCCAGCAGGGCCATGCTGAGAGGCTGGTGCTTTTATACTTTGGGCAATGAGACTGAGCTTGTCACCCGCAGACTGGATGACTGGATCTCACTCAAACTGATGGATTTGACCTCTCCTGTTTTGCTGGGGACAGGAGCCAGGCACTCTGAAGGGGGAGTAGGGGTCACGGTACCATCAGGGCAGAGGAGAATTCAAGAGCAAGGTGGGTCTGTATCAAGAGCAACTTCTTGAACTTCACAATTTTGCTTAGGGGCCTTGTATTCCTTAAACCACCACCAGGAAACCAAAGCTCTGCATGGATGTGTTTTCAGTTTTTCACAACTGCACCCCATACAGCCTCAGAAATCTCTATTTTACTGTCCCACCTTAGTTCCAAGTGCCTCCTAATAGGCCCTACAGAATGATGCCAGTGGACTACCTGAAAGTCATTAAAATGAAGCAAACACAATTTCATGTTTCTCTTAGTTTCAGGCTACCTCTTGAAGAGGCAACAGACACAACTGAGTAGTTTCTCTACAACCCTCACATATGTATACGGTGTTGCAGTATCTCTGATGATGCACATCACTTGGTAATTGAAACGCTCAAATGATAAATGATTGGCTTTTTATTTAGCTAGGCTTTTTTTTTTTTTTTTTTTTTTTTGCAGGGCCATAGTGAAATATTTACTTAGCCTGCTGTCTTTTTGTGTGAACAGGATACGGTTTGCCCTGGCTTGAGGATGTGCTCTGTGTTGTTTGCTCATGGCACTGTAGAGGACTGTTCCTCCAAGCACTTCCTTCTCTTCCACAACCCATCTTGAAACCAGAGAACCAGCAGGACTAAGGATGGAATTGAAAAAAGTTGATGAATTTATGTTTCATCTTCCATCTCTACTTCTTCTCCTGGAGGTGTGAACGAATAATGAAACTGCTAAGGAGAAAGGCAGCATGAAAGAAGGAGGCTGCACAATTGGACCTTGCAAATTCAAGATCTAGATCATTAGCTGCAAATCTGAGTTGGAGGTGCTGAATACTCATTCACACGGTCGTGCTCATAGCAGCAGCGAGATTTTTTTTCTTGTCACGATGAACAGAGTGTCCTGACACCTTGAGACATTAGGTGCTTGCAGAACATAGTGTGAGGTGACAAGGGAAGGGACTTGCCCTTCACCTCCACACCACTCCAAAAAGCCCTACCATCGTGCAAAATTACATACACAATCTCATGCCACAAAATATAAACCAACCACTACATTTAAGAAATTCGATTTCTCCCCCTTAACTGTCCCCTGTGCTTTCTGAGCACATAGCATATTTTTCCCTAATCTTAAAATTTAGCTTTAAAGTTCACTGTTAAGGAACTAAGCAGTTTTTTAGTCAAGAGATATATGCTGGTTTAAGATACACAAAAACTTGAACAGTACTTGAGATCTTTTGAGAGGAATGAGCAAGAAATCAGATATTTGCCTTTTCATCTTCTGTAGACTCATACAGCATCTTCTACATAGCTAGGGACTCAAGAATGTTGAATCTCCAAGCTAAAGCATCTATCAAATGTTATTTACATAAATAGAGCATATGGAGGGAAGCAAAAAAGTGGAGGGGTATTCAGAGAGGTGATAGCTCTGGAAAGGAAGAATAAAAAATTTCCAAGGAGGCAACAATTCCTACTGTCTGCCAGTCTGTCCAGGAGATTCACTAGACTGGCCACTCCAGTTCTCCCCAGTTCGGTTGTGCTCCAGGGAAGACAGTGTTAGAGGACAAGAAGCAGGCTGGAAAGAAAGTAGAATAATGCCCTTAGACTGCATGGAATCTCAAACAAGTTTTACTTTTGTGCTATGTATATAAGGAGATCTATTTTCTTTCTCACTGAGGTCGTATCAGTAGATAAACTGCGATCTCTGTGGAAATCTTTTTCCTTATTTTTAAAGTTTACTACTCATTTTTTTTTGTTCAAAGAAGCTGTTCTGAATAAAGTTACTCAATACAGTTGGAAAAACTGTCATTTGATCCACTTCTGTCTTTATCAGAATTCTGCGTTTTCTTCTCCTTGAACAGCAAAAATACTACTGTAAAACAAAATTATTATTTAGGAACAAAATCAGTTAACTTTCTGATTGTTGAAGGGAGATTGGTCAACAATGTTAGCTGTTTTCCACTGTCTTATTTTTAAGAACATGTAATATTATAGTTGTTTTCTCAGTGGTGGCTTAAAAAGGGAGCACGGTAAGAACTCATTCTAAAACCACAATTTCTCTTGGTGCTATAGATCAGTTTACAAAAGGCAGTTCTGTAGGCAATGTTATCTAAAAACATATGACTGTGAAAACAGACACCAATTATGAATCAAAGTTTAGGCACTTTTGTCTTTTTCTTTCTTTTCTTTTTTTGGCTTTGTAGAATAATCTTAGCTGAGCTTGTCTAGTGAGATAAATCGACTGACAGAAACCAGTAAACTAAATGCAGCACGTTGATGCCTGTCATTAGAACACCTGTGAGTGGAGGATAGCACTGTGCAACTTAAAAACAGGAGGTCAAAGATTGCTTTTTAAGAAATGGAAACGTATATGTAGAAATAAATGTTGTCCTTTTCAAAGTATTGATAGTTGCTTTGGAAGACCTTCCACTCATACAGTCTTGCTATTTCTCCATGTATTTTTGTTAGTTATTTTTTTTAGCATTGCTTTTAAACTCTGTGTGACACGTTATTTTGAATAGTCTATATGGGAGCCAATAGTATTCTTGAAGGATGGCTTTAGGCTTTGGAACAATTGACAGTTGTTTAGAGGTGAGTAAATCACGTGTCAGGATCAGAAGAGTTTAGAACTGGGAATGGGCTCTCCTGGATTTGAGTCCAGCACTGTCCTCTACTCGTAGTAAGACCACGGGTTAGTCAAACAACTGATGTGAGCCTCACTGGAGTCGTTACTCACTCATTCAGTCAGTCACTCAGTCATTCCATAGAGGTGTACTGAGCATTCACTATGGGGAGTGGATAACAGAAGATGAGGGATGGAGTGATTACCTCTGACTCCAAATTTCTGTCCTAGGTTGGTGATTAATCTTTTTTAAAAATAAAAATAACAGACTAAGTTTACACTAGCATTAAGTAATAAGAATGATATTATTTTGGATGGTTTTTAAATCATCATTGATGACATTTTCCAAAGAAAATGTTTTGAGCGACTATAGTTTTAGTAAGTAAAAATTCAACTTTTTTAATTGACAAAGGTGAAGGACCAGGCTCATTTCAGGTGCATTAGTTTGGTATCTGGACCCCGTCTCCCTTCCCCTTCCCCTTCCCCTTCCCTTCCCTTCCCTTCCCTTCCCTTCCCTTCCCTTCCCTTCCCTTCCCTTCCCTTCCCTTCCCTCCCCTCCAGTGGCTTGCAATCCTAGTCATGCAGCAAAATAATCTATGGCATCTTTGAAAAGTACTGAAAAATATGTAGAGGCTTTTAAATATGTGGAGTCTTTTAAAAGTACATACTTTTTTTTTTTTTTTTGAGATGGATCCTCTCAGTCACCCAGGCTGAAGTGAAGTAGGGCAATCTGTGCTCACTACAACCTCCGCCTCCCAGGTTCAAGTGATTCTCCAGCCTCAGCCTCCCGAGTAGCTGGGATTACAGGCACACGCCACCACGGCCGGCTAATTTTCGTATTTTTTTTAGTAGAGACAGAATTTTACCTTGTTGGCCAGGCTAGTCTCAAACTCTTGACCCCAAGTGATCCGCCTGCCTCAGCCTCCCAAAGTGCTTGGATTACAGGCGTGAGCCACTGTGCCCAGCCTAAAAGTACATACTTTAAAAAGTACATACAGGTGCTATATGCCAACCCTCTTCCTGACTTACAATTTCCTGAAGAAGGTCTAAGTCATAGGTATTTAAAAAGAGAAACATGGGTGATTTGGACACACAATTCAGAATAAGAACCGCATTTATGATAACCCCTTGTACTTTTAGAAATTTCTACCTTTATATTAGTATATCATACCTACCTTTTCTCATAAAACTTTCTTGTAGAAATGGGGTTTTGCTATTTTTCCCAGGCTGGTCTTGAACTCCTAGATTCAAACAATTGGCCCTCCTCAGCCTCTCAAAGTGTTAGGATTACTGGCATGAGCCACTGCGCCCGGTCCCAAACTTCCCTTTAAAAAATTTTATCTTAGCACATGTTATCAAAACTAAATTCAATGAATATATGGAAATCTGATCCAGAGAGAATTTCTCCATCTACTGAGTTGTAACATCTCTTTAATTGAGCATTTATTATGTAATTAATTCTGTGTTTGTTGTTTGGGTGACTGACTATAAAAGAAAATTAGAATTCAATCTCTAGCCAAAATGACCAATTTTAGAAATTAGGGAAGATGTTGATAGTATTATGAAAGGGGCATTCAGAATACTGAGATCTTCTGCAAGCCACAGCCACCCTTCCTCATGAATCCCTGAGGATATAAACAGGGAATGCCGCAAGTTGCTGGCTGGGCTTTGTAGCTGGACACCACTGCCAGTCGGAGGGTGATTCTGAACTGGATCACAAAGCCTGGGCTAGACACTCATAGTGAGCCTCTTCACAGTTCCTGGTCATCACCCCAAATTGTACTGCACTTTCGATGGCAACATGAAAGGAAGAAACCAGAAAAAAAGGAAATTGTCAGTGAATAAGAGCTCCAGAGAGCCATAAGCCTTCTAAGGGAGCAGCCCCTGACTCAGCCAGCTGCCTTTGGTTCTGCGTGGACACCTGAGGAGAAAAGGAGCAAGCAAGCTCACCCAGCTTCCAACCAATGAGCTAGAGGGTATGCTGGAATCCAATAAGCCCACAGTCACTTGTGAGGGGTGGCAGTCAAGGTGTGGGGTGGAAAATGGAACATTCCTACTCTAAAGCCTGCAGATGACAATCTGAATGGGCAAAGAGTAAGGAATTCCTTTTTGGGATTTGCAAAGCACTGTGTATATTTATACATTGAAGTTATTTACAACAACATATTTTAAGTGTCTGTTTTCTGCAATCCCTCCTACTCATTTTCCTTAGTGCTAACACAGTTCCTAGCATGCAGTAACCATAATGCCTTATAAATGAATGAAAACTATCATATAAAACAATTACAGAATCCAAAACTATATAAATAATAACTGATGTGACACATGCCACTTTATAGAAGTTCAAGAAAGACACAGTTCAATGGCCTCAATAGTTAGGAAAATCTTCACAGAGAAAGTGGGCTTGGGATAGACCCTTAGGCAGAGTAAACTTTTTATTTACATACATCTGACCTGGACTGTGGACTCCCTTTTTGGATGTTGGAGGAAAGTGAAAATCAACTGACACTTTGAAAATTAACATAAATTGGAAATCTGTCCAGAGAACTTTAGTGGTCTATATAGTCAATATATAGACCACTTAGTGGCATAATTAATTTCTCTTCTAGATGAGCATCCACAGAGGAAAGACTATTACAGAAAATGGTAAATAAAGTGAAAAAAACTTCTCTCATAGAGAGGAAGGGAGTAAAAACTTAGTTTTCAAAACTAAGGGGTTTTTTTTACATCATAATGTAATATGCTCATGAGAAGACAACAAAAATAGGGAGAAAAGGAAAATATCCATGTCCCATGAGCAACCATTTTTACATCTCAGTGAGTTTTTTTCTAGGTGCTGGAAACCTCAAGCAGCTTGCTTCAATAAACATTTCACATATCCTTCCTTTTCTTCTCTTGTGATACTTCCCCTGCTGTCTCTAAACAGAATGTACACTAAGATTAAATTATTTTAGATTTAAAATATGGATTGCTTAGGTCTTAGAAACAGAACTTAAGCTAATGCTTGAACTGAAAATAATCCATGATACTGAAAAAAATACTCCTCTCCAAAATTTACATGATGTAGTCAATATCTCAGTATGGGCTGCCTGTATAGCATTCTTTCTTTAGTTCATTCAATAAACATTTATTGAGTGCCTAATATTGCCAAGCAACCTGGTAGGCACTGGTGATGAAAAGGCAGGTTCCTGCCCGTGAGGAGCAACTTGCTTATGGACAAAAAAACATGTTAAGTAAAAAATAGTTGTTGAGGAAGATTGCAAATGATTGACAGGCATGGGATTCCTAAACTCTGGCCAGACTTTGCTTCTTTAGTATTGAGGTCTGCTGTCTTCTCAGGGGCCAAAAAAAGGGTTGGGTATTTAGTCGGTCAGCTCTTCCCCCACTCACACAGCACCTTGTACTGGTCTGATTATACCTCTACCCCCCTGGGCAGGGGAGAAAAGAAGTGACACTAGGAAGCATTGTTTCCAGGGACTAGGAATAGGGAAGGGGCTGTAGGCTGGGTGAAAAGTTGAGGTCAGTCTGAGATAATGACCTGACCGAACCAGTAGGCCCACCCTGACACATACCAGAGTTACCTCAGAGATAAATGACCACAAGCCATGAGTGACCACCTGCCGTGCCAAGTCTGTGAGTGATCAGTTCCCGGCACATTTCCTAACACAGACTGTGCCTGAGATTGACATGCTGTAGTAGAGCGACTTTGCCCTGTGTGCCTGTCTGTGCCTTACACACAATTCTGTCCCAGCGTGTGTCATCCTTTATGACACTTCCCTGATTATGTGTCTGTCTCCCTTCAGTTGAATGTGAGCTCCTTGAGGGCAGGAACCTGCCTTTTTATCACCAGTGCCTCCTAGGTTGCTTGGCAATATCAGGCACTCCATAAATGTTTCTTGAATGAACTAAAGAAAGAATGCTTTGTAAGCAGTCTACTACTGAGAAGAAATAAAATGAAAAGGCAAAAGTTAGTCTTTAGAAAATGAATGCTTCCTTTTGCCTTAAGGGACGGCAAGTGTTGAGCTTAGCTTGGGATGTGTCCTGGCAGGTTTTTAGAGGACTTAATCATGAGGGTACACCCCAAACATAACTGCATCAGGAATGTTAAAAAAAAAACAACAACCATTTTAAGTGCTTTGCAGGTGCTTGTGACCTGCATCCCTGGCTAAAAACTGGTGCCTATACGTATCTATTAACATACCACTTAATTTTATGATTTAGGTTAATAAAAGAGCAACAAAATTTCCAGGTATAATTAAATAGTTGAGCATGACACTTAACTGATACAAATACACCTCAGCTAAAAGTGGTACCGATTCTTAAAAGGCACCTGGCATTTCCTCATATGCCAAATTGCAAAAGCATTATAAATAGACACCATATAAAATATCTCTCCTGCCCTAGAATGGCTTCATGTCTTCCCACACAAGTTGACAAAAACATTCTGTTATTCAGTTTTCTTGTCTTTTTGGAAATGAACTCACTGCTCACTTGTCATTTCAACACACTTTCTTTTGCTTCTGCAGGTCTGTTATTGTAGAGATGAGGATGCCCATAGGCTGCGCTGAGTGAGATTCACCTGGGTTACTGCCTAAGTCAGGGAACCTTCACTTTTAAGAGATAGAAATAACTCACTTAAAGAAAAGGAATATTTACTGGCTTGGTTATGTATTAACCATTCAACAAGTATGGATTGAGCCTCTAAGTGTGTGTCAGCTATGGTGATGCAGTGGTAAACAAGACAGTCTCCTGCCTTGGGATGTTCAGGATGACCTTGCTTCAGCTGTAATTGTTTTCTGAGGCTAAATAATGTTATCAAGCCTCTCTCTCTCTTTCTTCCCCCTTCCCCACTCCATCTTTTTGGTTCTTTTAGCCTCTGTTTCTCTTCGTACATTGGCCTTATTCTCTCCTGTCCTAGAAAGACTGTCTTCAAGTAGTGGGAAAGGAAGCCCCCCACTGGTAGCTCCCCTTCCAAAAGGAAGAAAGGTCTGCACCCTTCACCCCAGAATCCTTGTCTCATGCCTAGTGGAAGGGTTCTGATTCATCCTGCTCTGGCTTAGTCCTCCCTGTGCCCAACCCTTAACCCCAGGGCAGAGATGCCAAGCTTGGCCAGGCCACGCCCCAGGGCCCCACTTACGGTCATGAAGTGGGCAGCAGTCCCACAGACCATGTTGGTGTGGGTGAGGGATCTTTCCACAATATAAAGAGAGAGTTTTAGGCCCCCAAAATGATGTCCAATACACCATGTGTGAGATTTTAGGGAGGAAAACGTTAGGGAAATGTGAACATTTTCTTGCCAAGATCTGACTAAATGTAGCTTAATGTTAGATTATTGAAACATTGTTTTTGATACACCAGGAATTCAGTAACTTCTATGAGATAATTTGAAATCAGTTGGGGAAATCCAGTGTGAATTTCCTACTTATTTTGATGTAACCGTCACGAGGTGCACGGCAAAAGATCAGAAATAGAACGGCAGACTTTTTATGATTGGCTGGGGTGAGCAACGTAGCATTTGAGTATAGTCACTTCTCTGCACCAGCAGGTGGGGTCAGAGGTAGAAGGAGGGGAATGGGCTAAAACAATGCACTTATAGAAGAAAAAGCACTGCACTGATTCCTCTAGGGGTCATTCTGGAAAAGTCTCAATTACAGAACTAGGTGTGAGTGCAGAGAGTGGTGGTGAGGAAAAATAAAATGATATTGTGAAGCAAAGCACTAATTCAGCAGTTGAAACTTCAGTGATACCAGGCAGTGAGTGTAAGAGAAGAACAGGGAGGATGATAGTTTTTGTGAAGGGTATAAGAAGAGAAAGAATGAGGACAAGATTGCCGAAGAGAAATTGCACAGAAAGATAATGCATGGGAAGGGAAAACTGAATAGGAAAAGACGACAGGGCTAGGATACTGGCTAACAGTGACTGATTATTGATCCACACCAGGAAATGTTCTCCATGTTTGCATCAACTATTGTACTTATAGTTCATAGCAACCTTCTGAGGTAGGTATTTGTAATATTCACATTTTGCAGAGAGGAAGCCAAGGCTTAGAGAGGTTAAGGAACATGTCCACAGTCACACAGCTGGTAAGAATTAGAGCTGAGATTGGGACTCAGGCAGTCTGGGCTCAGCATCTGTACTCATAACCACATAAAAATGAAAGAATTCATAGAAGTGTAGGGGAAAAAGAACACGACCCACAAGGCTTTGTCATAGGGCCAAAGATGTCTTTAAAGGTGGTGATGACTAGATATGGAACCAAATACAGGGAGGTAAGTCCATGGAAACATGCATATTATACAAATGATCAAAGATGTCAGTCTGGCTTGCAGTCAGACAATGACTCAGCTGTTCTAACTAAAGAAGAGGATTACTGGTCAAAATGAAAATCTTATAGTTTATGTATGACACAGGGTGTTTAATGTTATTACTTAGAAAACCTAATTATAATTCATCCCTGTGTCCTGGTTGAGTTATTCCTAAAGACAACTCTCCAAACAAAATAAAAATGGACAGACAAAATATGCAGTTCAAGGATTTTAAAGAAATGTTGTTTGTATCAGAAATATCTGAATCCAGATCACACCATGACTATTTAGGATTTATAAATATTTATTAAAGCCATATTATAACCTTTGCACTGTGCTAGGCACTGTAGGACCAATGGTGATTAAGGAAGCATTGTTTCTGCACTCATGGGACTTATGGTCAGGACTCTAGACAGCCTTTGTTCTCACTAACCTGGTATGTGGCGGGGATGTCTGTCCACACAGCACTGTATTCTCGTAACCTGTCTGATTGCCTATAAGTGCAATGTACTTATGCAATTTTTTTGAACAATAAAAAAATCTAAGTCATTCAGCTAAGATAAAATGTAAGTGGAAAGGGCACTGACTTTAGAGAAAGAAGATCTAGGTGTTTTTTTGTTTTTGTTTTTGTTTTTTTTAATGTAACCTGAAAAGGTTACTTAGCCACTCTGAAGAAATTCTAACTTCACATGGTTTTGGTCAGATTTAAAGAGATAATATGTAAGAGTACTTCATAGCCTATAAAGATACATAAACCTTTCTGTAAATAAGTTGTCATTTTAATTATAATTTACAGAAAATATGTTTTTGCCTATTTTAAAGGAATTGTTCAGAAAATGTTTTATTAAAACTCACCTGTGCTTTCAAGATATAGCAGTAAAATACGCTGTGGGATAGGATATGGAAGTAGAATGTCTCTATATCCCAAAACTGCATTATTAAGAAGAAAAAATACTGATCCTACATTCATACGTACATATCTAGGAACTCTCAGCTGTCTTTCTCCCACCCTGCAAACTCAACTGCATTCTTTATAGTCTTACATTCTTTCCTCCTACCTCAGCCTATGAAGGACTTTCCTCTAAAACTTTCCCATCTCAAGGAACTTATCTGATCAAATGTCCCCTCCTTCAGGCATCCCTATCACTTTCTGCCTCAGCACACAAGCATACTCAAGTGTCTTCCATTAAATAAAAAAAAAGGCAAACCATTCCTTGACTTTATATTGTCCCTTTAGCTGCAGCTTTTTCTCTTTCCTTCCCTTCACAGCTAAGTGTCTCGATAGATTCCTTTACGTATATTCTCCTCCTTTTTCACCTCCTGTTCATTCTTAAACTCATCAAAATCTTGAAACTGCCAGATTATTCTGGAAAAGGTAACCAATGACCACCTTGTCATTAAAGTCTGTGGATACCTTATATTTACTTCATGTGATTTCTCTGTGGAGTTCAAGGACAGAGTGAATTTGAGGCACTTTTGGAACTTTTATATGGAGATGTGGATAGGTATTTGCATTTGCAGACCTAGAGCTAAGAAGAGAAGTCTGGCCTCCTAAGATAGATAGATTTGGGAGTCTTCAGTGAAGCCATGGAACATGTAGTACAAGAAGAAAAAGGCTGAAGAAAGGAATCATGAGGTTTACCAACGTTTAAGAGATCAGCAAAGGAAGAACAATCCATGAACAAACTTGAGAAGGAGGATATGATGATTTAAAAATACACCTTTAATACCCTTTGATATTTTGGTATGCTTCCTTTCAATAGATGGATCTTACTCTCCCCTTGCATGTGGGCTGGACTTTGTGACTTGATTTTAAACAGCTGAATAACTCAAGTGTTGCTAAGTGACTTCAGGGGCTGTACATGTAAAGAATTGCATTTGCCTTGCTTTCTCAATCTCAGAATCAGTTAGTCTAAAGCCAGCCACCATGTTGTGAGGATACTCAAGCAGCCCTGTGGATAGGCCATCTGGAAAGGAAACAACACGCTTTCAAGATGCATTAGCCGCCTGGGAAGCAGATCTTCCTGCTTCAGCTAAGACTGGAACCTCCTGATCCCAGGCCTCCAGTCTTTAAGTCTTTCAGCTGAGAGTCGAGAGATAACAGGAAGAAACAAACCATCCCTGCTGTGTGCTGTTTGAATATTTGACCCACAGAAACCATGAAATAATAATTACTGTTTCAAATCACTGAATGTTGGGGTGATTTGTTATTGTAGCAATAGATAATTAAAACAGAGGATCTAGAATGGCAGTAGAGGCATTAGGAGAGTTTGGTGAGATGAATTTATAAAAAACCTACTTGTTCTATTATTAATTACTGAGGGACATCCAGTGACTCCCTGTATTTCTCTTTTTATTACACTTTTAAAAATTGAGATGTCATTGTATACAATAACATGCACAGATCATAAGTGTTGTTCAATGACTTTTGACAACTAAGACCCATATGATCACCAAAGATACAGAAGACTTACTTCCATCACCCAGAAAGTCACCTCTTACTCCTTTCGAGACAATTCTCTCATCCCAACTCCTCAATCACTTTTTAAATTACCATAGATTCATTTTGCCTTCTAAAACTTTTATACAAATGGAATTATGCAGTATGTATTATTTTGTGTCTGGTTTCTTTCACTCAGCACACTGTTAATGAGATTTATCCAAGTCATTGCCTGCATCAATAGTTCACCCCTTTTCTTATTAGCAAGTGGTATTCCACTGTATGGATATGCCACAATTTGTTTATCCATTCTTCTCCTGTATTTCTCAATTAAAATAAATTTAGTTATTTCTACAGTATCATATGCAGTGGAAAAATCAAAATTACATGTAGAAAAATTTGGTATTATAAAAAGCACCTTAAAAATAGGTGAAATGCATGATTAAATGATTGAAATTTATCACCTCTATAGCCCTCCAGAGAATGAAAAAGTTAAGCCAGGTATGGTGGCATGTGCCTATAGTCCTAGCTGCTCAGGAAGCTGAGCTGGGAGGTTTGTTTGAGCACAGGTTTGAGTCCAGCCTGTGCAACATAGTGAGACCCCATCTCCAGGGAAGAAAGAGAGAGAGAGAGAATGAGAAAGTCATAAGCCCTTTGTTGACCATAAAGATTGCATTGTCCATATGATATTTAACTTGAAAATACAAACTTGCAAGCAAAAATTATAAATGGGTCAATTCTGCTGAGAAAAAAATTAAGCCCAAAGGCACATTTAGAATTAATGACATAGGAATAAAGAAAATAAAAAAAATAGGAGTTGCTTTAATTTGTTCTACACACACACACACACACACACACACACACACACACACACAAATACACACACAGAGGTCAGCAATATCCCTAGAGTCATTTTAGGTATGGCGGCCAGCAAGGCATATGGGGGCAGTGGTCCTGCATATCACAAATGAATTCCCAATTGTTTTCTGCAGAGTATTTGATACTTCTTTAAATCAAATCTAATTGAACATTTCAGATAGATTTAGTTACATATGAAAAAGACTTGATATAGACCTTGGAAATGTAATAATTTTTTTCTGAAATCCTTTTTTGTTCTTGGGGAATGTAAGATCATGTGTTTGAGAATATGTTGGTTTAAAGATTATTTCTAGTTGGGTTTCCTAAGACATTTTGTTAATCACACTAGTTTTAAAGAGTTATCATCTTCCCCGTTCTGAACTTCTGATGCATAAATACTTCAAAATAATGTTAAGTTTGAGATAGTCTGCAAAGATAGAGATACTGGCTTGATTTTGTTTTCTCCCCCAAGAGGATCAAAATAATCTAAACCATATATTAACTACTGTCCTGCAATTTCTAATTTACAATCTTTGTCAGTTTTGAATTATGGAAGCAGCCAAGAGTATCCAAAAACATTTTGTTTCTACTGCGCCTTTTTTCCCGGTAATATAAATATCTGAAGAGGTTATTGCTTAACCTATAAAATAGTGACATCATAATTTATGAATACTGAAAAACCCAGTTCATTTCTGTTAAACTCTATGATGAGCTAGACGTGATGATTTTTTCTCAGTGGAAAGGACATGTAAAAGGAAGAGTTTTCTTTGTTGTATCCTTAATGACAGTCTTATCTATTTTAGCCTTGATTACTCTCTATCACTATTTGACAGTAACTTTTCTTTGTTTCTACTTTCAAATATCAATTAAGTGAAAATGACATCCTCGTCACTATCATCTTATGTTATTACCAAAGACCAGGCCTCCTCAAACACAGATTCAACCATGCTGTTGGGAAGCTGAGCAGGTGTGAGTTTCCCTAGACCACCAAAGGCTGAAAATTGTAGTCTGCAGTTGTAATCAGACTAGAAGAATTTCAGTGCGTCTGGGATGTTGTTCATTTACATTGCTTTCATTTGTAATGTGTCTCAGTGAGGCAATCAAAAGTAAGCTTTTTTAAAAAGTATATATGTACAACTGTTTTACAACTGTAAGCCACTAGTCTGAAACTCAGAAGACAAATGTATAGCAATATCCTACTATCTTGTTTGACTATTTAAACTTACATATAATTTAAGGTTTTGAGGAAAAGGCTAAAAATGTTTCACTTTTAATTGCATGACAATTTGGCAGTATGGTCAGCAAATAGAACTTGTATCTAGTTATAAACTAGTACTAATAGGAATAATGGTCTCCACTGACTATTAAATATATACTATGGTGATGAATCAAGATATTTTTGTAAAGTACTCATCTCTAGGTCTAAGTTTGTAATTCACTGTATTATAGATACTATGCTACCCATGATAATTAAATTGTTTAAAATCACAATTTAAACAGTCTAGCCACTTGTTTGCCTATAGGCAATATACATACAGGAAGTAATTAATAAAGCAGTTAATCCTTTAGACCATTGGCTTTGGAGTTCACATCTGGTTCCACTTACCCCCATTCATAAGTAGGCTAGTGACTTTAATCCAATTACTTAATAATTCTGATACTCAAATTTTTTCATCTTTAAAAGTGGAAACTATAATTATAAGGTGGTTATAAGGGGTGACAATAAAATATGTAAAGCACCTGTCATGTGTTTGTTACAGAATACTCAGTAATAGGTAGCTATATTGTTAATAACAATACATACTTGATTCCAGGTAGTCAATTGACTTTCTATAAATATTTACCATATTTCCATAGGAAAACCAAGCATTTTGTTGTTTTGTCATTTGGGTTCTTCTCAGTCAGGCCCAAGTCAGGTGGGTGTCCTGGTATAACGCCAGTTTTTATTTGTCTGTTCACAATAGAAAGCCCTTGTGGTGTGATGGCCCCAAAGCTGACCATAAACTTGCCTCAGCCACTCTGTTTTTCTGGTAAGAGTGAGTGCTATTTCTACTGCCTCTGCATGGAACTGGGATGTGTGGTTTAGATTCTGTTTTCTAAGCAAATGTATTTGTTCCCTGAACCATTATTTTTCTCACTGGTCCAGATGGAAGGCATAAGGAGAACACCTAAGTTCATAAAATAAGTAAGGGTGAAGTACATACTTTTTGTCTTCAAAGTTACTTTTGTGGGGACTTGGCAGTTTACAAAAAGAGCTGATGATGATTAGTTTCTAATTCTAAAGCAAACAGCAGGGAATTGGATTTTCTTTAAATTTTCCAATAGCAAACAAGCTAGGAGTAGCCTTTATCCTAACATCTTGGCAACATCACTTATTTTTGAATATAGCTTTCTGAATGTTACAATGACCATACCAAAGGAGATATAAATACCCCCAAAGTGATGGGATCATTTTTTAGTGGTTTCGCTGAAATTTGCTCTAAGTGCTACTGAGTAGAGGTATGCGGGAATAAGAATAATCAGTTTTATTGATTTCTTCTGTGACTCTGGGCCAGGACCAAGTCTATTTTGAACATCTTTATATCCTAGCACATTGTAGGTGCTTTAAAAATAACTCTTAAATATTGACTGAGTAAAAGCGTCTATCTCTAAGATGGTCAATCCAATCCCCCTAAGCACTGTTGTGGAGATGAGTGAAGACTAACTAGGAGTCTTGCTCTGTCGCCCAGGCTGGAGTGCAGTGCCATGATCACGGCTCACTACAACCTCTGCCTCCCAGGTTCAAGCGATTCTCCTGCCTCAGCCTCCCGAGTAGCTGAGACTACAGGTGCGTGCCACCACGCCTGTCTAATTTTTGTAGTTTTAGTGGAGACGGGGTTTCACCATGTTGGCCAGGCTAGTCTTGAACTCCTGACCTTGTGATCCGCCCACCTCGGCCTCCCAAAGTGTTGGGATTACAGGCGTGAGCCAACAGAGCTTTTAAAAACAAATACACGTGAGAGGCCGGGTGCATGGTGGCTCACGCCTGTAATTCCAGCACTTTGGGAAGCTGAAGCAGCAGGATCCCTTGAAGCCAGGAGTTCAAGACCAGTTTGGACAACATAATGAGATCCCATCTCTATGAAAAAAATTTTAAAAAATTAGCCAGATGTGGTGGTGATTGCCTGTAGTCCCAGCCACTTGGAGACTGAGGAGAGAGAAGCTGTTGAGTCCAGGAGTCTGAGGCTGCAGTGAGCTAGGATGGTGACAATGCACTCCAGCCTGGGCAACACAGTGAGCCCCTGTTTGGAAAATAATAATAATAATTAATAACATATGTGAAAGAGAGTTCACAATTAGTCCAATATCTTTAGAAAGATTCAAAAACACCTAAATGCGAAAAATGCCTTTATTCATTTGTCAGCTGGATTACAGAAAGTAGGAAGAAAAGAGCCTGTGCCTCTGTAGGAAAGTAACAACGACTTAACTTCTGGAAATGACTTCGCAGCTTAGAGCCCAGCAGTGCCTATTTTGGATTAAACTGTGTATTAATTAAGCTCAAACGATTTCAACATTCATCACCTTGCATTGCACTTCACAGAAAGCAAAACCAAAACAATCCTGGAGTTTTGAGTGAGGAAAACAGACGCCCCGCACTCGCACACGCGCGCACTCGCAGCCTGTCTGAAGTGCAGAGGTTCAGGCGGCCAAGGGACCCGCGCCGGTTTCCGCGGGCGACCTGCAAATCCTGCCCGGGGCCCGGCAGGCGCTGCGTCCCGGCGCGTTGGCAGTTGGCGACCCCCCTCGAATCCCCCCTCTGCTGCGGGCTCCCCGTGGCCTTTGGAGGCTCGGTGAGTCGGCTCCAAATGTTTTCCATATTTGTTCAGCCTCCATAATTCGAATACCAGGGCAGGCCGAGCCAGCCGTGCGCCGCGCTCCAGGGCCCAGGGCGCCGCACACGCACCCACCCACCCACCCAGCCTCGCAGCGCCATGGGCAAGAACAAGCAGCCACGCGGCCAGCAGAGGCAGGGGGGCCCGCCGGCCGCGGACGCCGCTGGGCCCGACGACATGGAGCCGAAGAAGGGCACGGGGGCCCCCAAGGAGTGCGGGGAGGAGGAGCCCCGGACCTGCTGCGGCTGCCGGTTCCCGCTGCTGCTCGCCCTGCTGCAGCTGGCCCTGGGCATCGCCGTGACCGTGGTGGGCTTCCTCATGGCGAGCATCAGCTCCTCCCTGCTAGTCAGGGACACTCCATTTTGGGCTGGGATCATTGTAAGCATCAAGTCTGTTTTGCCTAAGCGCGTTTGCCAAACAGGAATGCGAAGTCGCATGGTCGAGTTGAGACTAACCCAGCTGCATGTGCCCTTCCCCGGGTTCACTCTTCTAACTCGCGCTCTGCTCGGTGACTGATGCGTGGGGCACTGGGTTTTCCCGGGCGGGGCAGGGCTGGACGCGATAGGGCTCCTGCCCCTCTCCTGCTCGCGGCTCCCAGCGCCTCCACGGGGCCTGACTCTGACGCTCTGGAGCTGGGGAGTTCATTTCAAAAGCTGCTTATTTTGGTCAGACTGAACAGCCTCAATAACAACAGCGGATTCATTCGGGCTTTTTCCTTATCCTGTTACCCAGACCCCACCCCTGTCCTTAAACAAGTGGCAAAAAGTGAATTAAGTTCATCTAGTGAAAGCAGGAGAGGAGAAAGCCTGTACTTGGAGTTGCCACATTGAGTAGCATTCATTTTATGTTTTAAACTGAGGCTCCATTAGTAAGTTTCCTGAAATGATGGGCTAAGGCAGGAAATGCGAATACAGCAAGCACAGCCTTAATCCACTGGAGTCTAAAGTGGGATAAACCCAGGGCGCTGGCCATGGCAGAAGTATATTTGGGACTCCACCGATGGATGTACTGTTCTAAGTTGAACAGTACTCAGCTGTTGTGAGTGTTGAAACATGTAGCATACTTGGCTTGATTAAATGAATTCTTTAATGTAAAACGGGTGCCACTTACTGAATACCTACTGTGTGCTCGCCCTGCTAGAGGCCTGACACATATTATTTCTAATCCCCACATCGTCCTGATGGGATCGTTTTAATCATTCTCACTTCTCAAATGAGGGAACCCAGGCCAGACTCACCCAGGGTCATGAGTGGGTAAAGCATTCAGCCATGCTGATTCCTCTTTATGCTAGACTATATCTGCGTTTTCCTCATTGAACCACACTGCCACCACATTTGGTTTGTAACTTTAATATTATGTTATATTACAGTGTCTTGTAGCATATTAAACTCTTTCACATGCATTATTTCATTTGAGCCACGAAACAACACTTTGAAGTGGGAACTGTTATTCCTTTTGGATGTGAGGAAATAGGCTAAGAGAAGTTAGATGACATTCTCAAGCCCAGAGATTGAATGTGGTCGAATCAAGAGAGACTAGAAATGACATTTTTGACTCCTTGTCTCATATTGCATCCTTACTGCTATTACTGACCACAGGAACTGTAACTCACAAAACGTCCCTCAAAATAATTTTGTATCAGGGACAGACATTAGAGAGACCTGATATATATGCATCGATGGAGGTATTTCCTAATTAAGATTATTTGAATACACAATTTTTGCATAGTAATTTAAAACTTTAATTTTTGTACTAAGAATTCCCATGAAATTACCATGATTGGAGTTTTCTAAATCAAGTGATTTTAAAAATAGCTTTTCAGTAAGATATACTGGGTATTTCAGGCACCTCAATGACGATCCACATACCCAGGGGGAAAATATGTCTGTCCTTTAATGCCAGGGGAATTAAAACAAACAAAGAATGAAGCTCTTTCATTCAGTGTTTTTAAATATCATTTGCAAATGTGTTCCCCATCCTTCCTTTATTGCAGCTTCAAAAGCTCAGCACCAAAGAGGCAAATTAGATGGAGAAAAAACTTATTTTAGGGTTTAAGGCATGAACATAAAAACCATGCAACTCAGAAATTTTATGAACTAAAGCTCCTGTGGGAGATGATGTTCCTAATTGCCCTGGAAGCTCCCTGGGTGTTGCACAAAGGGCATTATATACAGCCAGGTCTCTGCTCTTTCTGGTTTTCTTTTTTATCATCTAGGATTCATTTGAAGTTTGCTCTCAGTACATAGCCCTGATGAAATCTGTCATCTTAGATTTTCTTTCAACTGAGAATCTATGTAGAGGAGAGCAGCTAGTAGAGATGTCCTGAGACTAGTGAGGAGGGTCTCTGAGGAGCCAGGCCAGGAACAACTCTCATCCTAGCAGGGCCAGAATTTGGGCATGTGTCACTGTCTCACACAGACACCATGCTCTGCTTGTCCTCACTACTCTGTCTGTGGTTGGTCACAGGGCACTCTTCCAAGCTTTCAGGGAAGGGAAAAGATAACGAGGCAGATGGCAAAGTGCAGATGTGTACACACCACACCTGGTGTTGAGCACCAGCTCAGCCACTGTGTGCTGAATAACTTTGAGTTTTGGGGGGGGGTTTTTGGAGACAGAGACTTGCTCTGTCGCCCAGGCTAGAATGCAGTGGCACGATTTTGGTTCACTGCAACCTCCCCCTCCCAGGTTCAAGACGTTCTCGTGCCTCAGCCTCCTAAGTAGCTGGAATTACAGGCGTGCACCGCCACACCTAACTTGTGTGCCAAATAACTTGTATGCTAACTTGTGTGCCGAATAACTTTGGACAAGTTACTTAACTTCTCTAGGTTTCCATTTCTTTACTAACAAAATCAGAATGATAATAATTCCTACCTTTTCGGGTTGCCCTGAGGATGAAATAAATTAATACATGTAAAGCACTTAAAATAGTGCCAACGAATGGCATGATTCAATGAGTTAGCTTTACTTATTAGCTGCTTGGGAAGCAGTCACAGGCAGTGTCACTCTTCAGAGGAAAGGTGGCTTTATTTCATCTCTAGACTTGCAAAACTATCATTTTTGACTCGCTACATTTCCAAGACTAGTTTGAACCCTGAAGAAAATATCAGTTTTGCCGTCTCACCTTTCTCTGTTCTCAGCCAAGTTACTCTTTAGCAATCACAGTGGTATTTGATTGGTCCAGTACTTTCTGAATCTTTCTGGAGGTTTATAAAAATGAACTTGGAGGAGAGTGGCCTCCCCAAGGTCATTTTTCCTTTGGGATATGCAGTGATTCAGGGCTGGTATATCCTGCCGGGTTATATCAGTTTTCCCTGTTCAGGAGCCCCACCAAACCGAAGCAATCCAGGCCCATCCCTGGGGCTGAGGCTGAGTCACACTGGCTCCGGGATATAGGCTGAAGCCAAGCTGAGTGAGGCACCCACGCTGTCTACAACTTTCCATGCTTCATTCTTCTGTTTCCCTTTATTCTGGTTGCCTCTTCTCATGTGGTCATCACTTCATTTTACAGGGGCCACTATCCCATTAACTTGGAATTTGGGGATTGCCATTTCCTTAACAGAACCTGGATATATGGGTAAATCCACTTAGGTGACTTCTCTTTGACCAATGCCTGGGTGACTTGATGAATATTCAAGGTGTGGTTACAGACTAAAGAGGCCCTTGGTGATCTATGATCAGAAATTTATGTCCAGTGGGATTTTAGGAAAACAAATAGGTCATTTTTTATCTATCCATAAATGTGACTCCAATCCCCAATCAAAAGATGATTGAAGTCTTTTTACTTTGATTACAAAAGATTCCTGTAAGGGGGGAAAAAAACCCAGAATGGAGTCACTGTGGAGACTACGTAACCTGTAAAAGTGCTGTTCATGTATTATAATTCTTTATAGATGGTTTGAGGGTTGTAAGTCATACCGCAATGACAAAACAAAGTGAAATAGCAACTTTTGAGGATGCACTTGGCTGGGTACAGAGGATCCTAGGACAGAGAAGTGTGTTCTGCATTTTATTCTGTTAATGGCTTTAGTAGCTAAGTCAGATGGGAATTCAAGCTTGCTCATTTTTCTGGAATTCTTATTGATGAAAAATGTGTAAGGATTGAAGTAATCTAAGGACTTTGGGGATTTTACTTCTCACTCAAATGAATACAGGTTTAGTTTAGGTAAAGCATTGCATGCTTAACGTTTGGTTTTCCCTTCCTCATTCAGTAACATCTGTGGAGGGTGTCTGCTGTGCTACGCATTGGCCTAAAAATAATGAATCAACTACCTGGAGGAGATCTCCAGATCCTGATGGACATGTGCCCTTATTATATCTGACAGTAATGAATACTTCCGATTAGAAAATTTAACGTACACAAATATTTTTAAGATCCATTTACCTTTCAAAGTATTCCACTTGCAGTGATTTATTTGCTTTGGCATCTCTACTCTGAAGTCAATTTAAGTGCAAACTCTTGCTTCTCATCCCCAGTGAATATGTTTAGTATTCGATATTCTCCTGGCCCTTGTAGGGAATATTCCCATGGAAAGTGAGAATTTCTTTGCCTTATTATGCTTTTTAGCTTCCCCCACTCTCCCTCCATTGCTCCCATACCCCACTCAGTGGAGTAAAAACCCTGAGATAAATACTGCATTAATCACATTGGAAAGTTTAAGGCAAGGGCTTAAAAGAAAGGGAAGAATATTTCCTTTATTTAATGTCATTTGTAAAACTCATCACATGAATCTGTAATGATTAAAAGTCATGTCAAAAATTTCAGTAACAGTTTTCGTATGTTAACTTATCCTAAGAAATTCAAGTTGCAGGTTTATTCAGGTTTTAAAAACCGATTTTAAGTCTTGCCTTAATGGAAGGGAAAATTGGGTGGTTATTTATTTTAAAGCAGAATATACCATGAAACTCACAAGCAGACATATCACATATAGCAAATAAGGAACAAATATAGTTGTTATTCAGAATTTATAAGTAGGGAAAGTAAGATAATAATTTAGCTAAATGGTTTGATCATGGTTATGAAAAGTAACTGGAAGAGAGAAAGGTTTGGCATTAGGGTATAGGATAAACCCTCAAGTCAAGAAGCTAAATGTGGTGTTAACTTTCTATAGAGTTGTATTGACATTTGAAAATTTTAATCTGGAATTATACTTTTAGGAGTATACTGCATAGTAATACATTATTCATCATATTGGGACTTTAATATGCTTCCAAAATATAATGTCGCATCCCTGGTATCCCTGGGAAATAATTTTTATTATGGCAACTGCCACAGGATTGTTAGGAACTGAGGAGAGATAATTACATGGCCCAACTCAATCTCCACTGAATACATAGAACAATAATGACAGGAAAATTATTGTATAGGCATAGGAAGTTCTCATAGTAAGTATAAAAATGGAATGCAATTGAATTATTCTGGCAAAAGAAGTTAATTTGTGTATATATATATATATATATATATATATATATATATTATATATATATATTTGGAAATAAAATGGAATATTCAAGAATTTGGTGAGGCCGGGCATGGTGTCTTACACCTGTAATCCTGGCACTTTGGGAGGCCAAGGCAGGCAAATTGCATGAGCTCAGGATTTTGAGACCAGCCTGGTCAACATGGCAATATCCCATCTCTACCAAAAATACAAAAATTTAGCTGGGTGTGGTGGCACCCACCTGTAGTCCCAGCTACTCGGGAGGCTGAGGTGGGAGGATCACTTCAGCCTGGGAGGCAGAGGTTGCAGTGAGCTGAGATTGCACCACTGCACTCCAGCCTGGGCAACAGAGTGAGACCCCATAACAGAAAAAAAAAAAAAGAATTTGGCGAATTTGGCGAAATGTTTCCTGAAATAATTTCAGTAATAGAATAAAGAATAAGATAGGTTAAGATTGAACAAAATCATTAGATGTTCAGAATCAGCAGGAGAAATGTGTTTTCGCCTCTACTTACAGCCTTCTACTAAGCCTGATGTGCAAAGGCCAAGAGAGTGTTTATATAATGAGGAAATTGTCCCTAAATCTTCTTTTTTAAAAAAAAAAATGAGGAGAAGCAGCAGGTTCTAATATTTTTTTTAATCCTGTATTGTGGATATATTCAACTCAGAAAGTTAGTCTCTGGAAGCTTTTGAGATGTCAGTCATCATTTTGGATTTAATTTTTTGATAGAAATACTGGTACATAGAATTTTGGGATAATCAAATGAAAAATAAAATAATTTATTCTCTTACTTTAAGTAATATTCTCAGGGCCACTATATATCCCCTGACACATAATGGATAATTAATAAATGTTGAACTGAAATCTATTTATTCCATACTTGCCATTATCAGAGCTTCTGTTTGAACATGCATATGCCCATTTTTAAGCTATATTCAGTCATCCCTTAGTATCTGCAGGGGATTGGTACTGGGACTCCTGATACCAAAATTCACAGATACTCAAGTCCCTGCTATAAAATGGTGTAGTATTTGCATATAATTTATGCACATCCTACATATGCTTTAAATCATTTCTAGATTACTTATAATACCTAATACAATATAAATACTATGTAAACAGTTGACACACTATATTATTGAGGGAATAATGACATGAAAAGGTCTGTACATGTTCAGTACAGACACAACCATCCTTTTTTTATCCAAATGTTTTTGATCCGTGGTTGATTATATTCATGGATATGGAACCCATTGATACAGAGGGCTGACTGTAGTTGTATATTCAAACACAGACAAATTTATTTATGACATTTAAGACAACTATGAGGTAATAGTAAGGAATGTGTTATTACTCCATTTTGGCTTCTGGATTCTAGAAGAATTCAGAACATATTAACTTAACATTACTTAGATTTTTTATTTCATGTTATAAAATGGCAGGACTCAGGAAGGTCATTTGACTTATATGCACTCTCCTAACTAGAATAGGACATATTAGGATTGATGTGGCTGAATGCTAGATGTTGATATTACCACTCTTAACCTTTTACGAAGAAAACAATGGCATAGGTTTCTCTAATGTTTGGTCTAACAGTTGAATAGATAGATTGCCAATATGATGCCCTCTTTCAGTGTGGTCTGAGAAAATGGGTGTTTTCTAGATTTGCTCTTGCCTTTAGCTGTATCTGAGACATTTCTATTAAGGATGGTCTTTCACTGGATCCACTTGGTTGTATTGTGGCCTGAAGGGTTAATGATAACATTAAAAGGAAACACATAAGGTTATGTTGAAGAGTTCAGCATATATGTTTCTATGTTACTGTAGGATAGTGTATTAGTCTGTTCTCACGCTGCTATAAAGATACTACGTGAGACTAATTTATAAAGAAAGGAGGTTTAATTGACTGACAATTCCACATGGCTGAGGAGGCCTCAGGAAACTTACAATCATGGCAGAAGGCAAAGGAGAAGCAAATCATATCTTACAGGGCTGCAGGAGAGAGAGCACTGGGGAAACTGCCACTTATAAGCCATCAGATCTCATGAGAACTCACTATCTCATCTTCTCATGAGAAGAGCATAGGGGGAACCACCCCCATGATCAAACCACCTTCCACCAGGTTTCCCCCTCAACACATGGGGATTACAATTCAAGAGAGATTTGGGTGGGGACACAGAATCAAACCATATCAGACAGGAATGTAATCTAGTCATTAAACTTTAATTAGGTATAATTCACTGCAAAATGCAGTTCATTTTTAGGTCTTCCATCCTGGCAAACTAAGGAAGTACTGGTCAAAAAATGTCCATCAAAATCCAGAGCTGGATGGGACCTCATGATGTCATAGTTTAACCTTCCAGTTATTATTTGCTGTAAATGTTCAAGTCTAGGTTTATCACGATGAGTTCATAAGCTTACAGTGAACTTCTTTTAAAAAAATAGATGCTAGGAACAGGCTTTACAGCATAAGCTATATAAAAACCTATTCCATAGGCACACCCTCTTTCAGATGCTTTGGATGCAGTCTCAGATCTCTGTGTATTGAGATAAAACTTGGCAAGAGTAACTGTCAGATGCCTGAGTGAAGCAGCTCACTCCATCACCCTGGTTAATTTTAAAATTCATATGTGTACACCTACACATATGGCATTAACTAAAATACATTTTTCTTTCTGTCTTAGTCGGCTCAGGCTGCTATAACAAAATACCGTAGACTGGGTGACTTAAACAGCAAACATTCATTTTCTCACAGTTCTGGAGACGGGAAGTCCAAGATCAGGGTGTCAACATGGTCAGGGGCTAGGGAGGGTTCTCTTCCTGGCTTGCAGGCGGCTGCCTTCTTGCTGTGTGCTCACATGGTCTTTTCTCAGTTCATGCATGTGAAGAGAAGAAGAGATCTCTTTCTCTTCCTCTTCTCATGAATCCTCCAGTCCTGTTGGATTAGGACCCCATGCTTAGGATCTTATTTAACCTTAATTACCTCCTAAAAGCCCTATCTCCAAATATAGTTACTTTTGAGGTTACAGCTTCAACATATGACTTACGGGGACACAATTCAGTCCATAGCATTTCCGGTGAGGGTTATACATTTGCACAGCAACCTCAGTGACTCTTAAGCTCGTTTTACAGCTTATTATTGAAAGCCCTACGGCTTTCTTGGAACAGCTAGAAGTCTGAGTGTTTCCGAGGGGTATTCTGAGCCCGTAATCTGACACACGGAGGTACGATGGGGTGGCGCGGCTCCGTGCTCATGCCAGTAGTGAGACATATGGAGGAAGCTGTTTTCATTGCATTTACAGATTGCTTCTTTTGTCAAATTTCTGTAAAAATAAAATCAAGTAAATCTAGCTAGTGAATACAATTCTAAGGTTAACTTAGGCATTTCCTTTGCTGCATTAACTCTTTAAGGCTTAGGAACCTCCACGCTGTAAATTCCTGCATTTCTTTATGCTCCAGGGAGTATCCTGATGTCAAGATGTAGCTCAAGGATACTTTGGCTTCTGATGCAAAGGTGGCTGGCTGAGTGGTACCATTGGGGAATGCTTATATGTTCAGCCATTGACCAAGCCTGCTGTCCTGTGGGGGGTGGTGATTGCATACTGTGGGCACCCCCCACCCGCCCTTTGAGCCTTATGAGGTAATAGCCTTTAGTAGGTGCCTTCACTCTTTGGTAGATCTTCATTTTGACACACATTTAAGGGCTTCTCATTGGATTCTGTTCCCTCACTTAAGAAGTCCTGAGCTGGGCTCTGCTTTTCCTTCACTAAGTACTGTATTGCACAAACCCAAGCCACCCAAGAGGGAAAGACCAGGGAAGACTAAAACATGCAGCCTTTCATAACAATTGGTCCAATCTCAGTTCCAAAACGAAAAGGGATGGCCACGATGGGATACTGTAAGCTCTCCAGTTTGATTTTTGAGCATATTTAAAGTTGATGCTCTCTGAGCTAATGTTGCTAGAGCCACGGTCCCTAATTGTGAATTTCATAAATGTGAGTGTTTCATTATGGTGTTTCCTGGGGCTGGCAAAAGTCCAGTAAGTGACGGGACGTTGGAAAGCAGACAGTTTGTTCACAAATGAGCATTCTCAGATTCTGCTGAAGAAGTTCTGTTGGACCTGCTTCTAATCTTTGCAGAAATGAGCAACTCTCCCCTGGCTGGGAGTGCCGTGGTACTGAGAGAGGTGGTGAGAAACCTGGAGGAAGCGCTTTTAAGTGGCATTCTACTCAGTTGTTTTTAAAGCGTTAGATTCAGCATTCACTGTAAGGAGCAATTAAAAACCCCTTTAAGATATGTTATTATCAAGCCCTCTCTCTTGTATGGAAGATAATGACAGGAGACCAGAAAAGGGGGAGGGGGCTGCTAATGTGTTAACTAGACTTTGACGAGCGAGAGAATTTTAGCTTTATTACTAAGTGGGGGAAAAAACACTTCCTTGGCTGGCTTCCTTCTAAAGTATCAGGTGTGGCATGCATATCAGGCCATTAGCCTGATCTCACAGGCTTAGCCCTATCTCACATTTAGCTATGCCAGGAAAGCTATGAAGGAGGCATTTTCTAAGACAAGGGCAACAGCATTTCAGTCCTCATCAATTCTGTTGGAGGTTGGAGGTGCTCTTCTCTCAGGGAGAAACTTGCAGGAGGACTGTGCCTACCTCAGGAAGATAGTGGGGCACCCAAGGCAGTGAAGAGGGCAAACTCGGACTCCCTAAGGCAAATGTATGATCATAAATGAGAAGGGATTTCTTCATGACCGCATACAGAATTCTGTGTACAGAGTTTGAATCTTTTAGTTTATGAGTTACATGTTCAATAAGTTTATGTACTTCTCCCAGGCTCTTTGGTAGTCAGGTTCTGAAACAGAAGGACCAAACCCACACAGGTTGGCTTTGTCTCATAATCTTTCCATGAACAAGTAGTTTGAGAAGCCTCTTAAAGGGCTTCGGTGTGCATTAAGGGCTTGAGACCAACTAGGAATTTTTAAATGCACATAGGGTGACCGTAACTATTGTGTTATAGAACCCTCAAGAAAGAATTCTTCTTCAGTCACCAAATCGTGTGCGTCACAAATTTTTCCACCTCAAGACCTCCCTGAAGCTTTGCTCCCCTTCTCTCTGTCCTCACACACACATCACAAAAAGCTCAGTGTCTGGCTAACCCGTGTTGCCATGGGAGGCGAGGGGGAAATGTAGGAGAGGCTGCAGGCTGCTTGGGGACACTGACCTCCTCATGTTGAAAAGGACAAAACACTTTCAAAGGAGAAGTAATATTATAATATATATTACTTTATGTTCCCTCATACTGTTTTTCATAAAGTACTCTCAATTAGAAAAGCCACTTGATAATATTTTTAAAGGTTGAACAAGATGGTTCTCTCATTTACAATCCCATTCCAATGTTACATAATTCAATTTATATTGATTTACTGTATAATTTCTATGCACTGTGCTATTTAATATGTTTATATTTATTGTACTATTCAACATATATGAACCCAGGAGTTTAATATAGAATTATCTCTGCAGTCATTTCTAGAATGGGACCTAATTTGAGAACTGACTTAATTATGGCTAAGTAATGAAATCCAGCCCATGACTATACCACCGGAGTAGGCTCAATCCACATCAGCAAGATTCCTTTCCCTCTTCTGAGGGCTTGAAAATCCCCAAGTGAAACAAATAAACTATAGGTTGTTTATTTCTTCCCACAAATACTGTTTGTAACAATTCTGCCCCTCCTGTTGATTCATGAGAAAGGCTGGAACACAATCTTTGATTCTCTTACATTCTTTGGAAATTGATTATTTTGCAAGAATAAGTATTTATAGAACTTGGTGATTAGTTTTTGGTAAGTCATCACAAGAGTTAGTTAGGAGTAGAAGCCACACCCTAGCCACTCTCCCTCTGTATTTTCATATACCAGGTATGGTGCCCCCAAGAGCTTAGTCTCTGGGTGAGGAAACACAGGTACAACTAACTGCAATTTAGTTTTAAAAACAAAATGCCAAGGTGGTGCCTTAAACAATGTACCGTGCTAGCGCAGAGAAGAACATGATGAACCCTCAGGGTAAGATCAGAAAAAGAAAGGAGAGGGGGTCTGAAATTTGAGGAATGACTCCAGCTTTGGAGTAAGGGTAGAATTCTGGCTCTACTAATGTAGAATCATTTTCCAAAAAATATTTGGTAATGATTTTTAAATTTTCATTTCTATGTGAATTTGAACAAATGTCAGTAATTCTGTGCAATTCTATGCTTTTTAAAATTATAAACATTTCAATTGCATAATAACATAGAAAATAATGCATAATAACATAGAAAAAAATGCCCACTTATCCATTCCTAGCTTTGCTAAATTTTAGTATTTTGTAATAATTGCTTTTTTATTATTTTTTAAGAAAGGAAACATTACATTGTATTGAAGTCTCCCATGTTTCATTTCTTAATCAAATTCCCCTACCCCTCCCATCTTCCCCAGAGATATGTACTATCCTGAATTTGGTATTTTTTATGCATAAGCCTGTTTTCATACTTTGAAAATTTGTATATATCCATAACCAACATGTCATATTTTAATTTTTATACAGATGGTATCATATCATTTCTGCTCAACATCGTTTTTGAGATTTATTTATAATAGTACACAGATATCATTCATTCATGTTTGCTATACTGAATTTCACTGTTAGGAATATACAACATTGGCCAGGTACAGTGGCTCACACCTGTAATCCCAGCACTTTGGGAGGCCAAGGCGGGAGGATTGCTTGAGCCTAGGAGTTCAAGCCTGGGCAACATGGCAAAACCCCGTCTCTACAAAAAATACTTTTTGTAGAGAAATTAGCTGGGTGTGGTGGCAGATGCCTGTTGTTCCAGCTACTCAGGAGGCTGAGGTGGGAGGATCATTTGAACCTGGGAGGTTGAGACAGTGGTGAGCCATGATCGCACCACCGCACTTCAGCCTGGGCAACAGAGCAAGACCCTGTCTCAAAAGAAAGTGGTGGTGGTGGGGGGGGGGGATATATAACAGTTAATTCATTCTCTTGTTGAAGAAAATTTGTTTTCAAAAATGATTTTTTATTTTGCATTTACGGTGTTACAGTGGATATTCTTGTCTATAACTCCCTGTGCACATAAAGTCTTGTTAAGGCATATTCCTAGAAGTCAAATTGTTGGGTCATAAGATATAGACATCGTCAAATTACTAGCTATTGCCAAGTCACTACCACAAATCCAAATTGGACTAACTTACACCTCACCTCCACCAGTGGTAAATCAGAGTTCTTTACCTATCTTATTTGTGTGCAATGGTATCTTGTTTTAATTTGCATTTTGGTGTTGCTACTGGAATTGAACATATTTTATGTTGATTGGCCATTTTATTTTGTGTTCTATCATTTATTTATTCAAAAAATATTTTCTATGGGTTGTTCGTTTCTTATTTATTTATAGGATTTGTTACTTTTGTTACTTAATCTTTATGGTTTTAGGTACTACAAATATCTTTTTCTGGTTGGTATCATATCTTTTATTTATGGTGTTTTGTTATGAAAAAAGATTTAATCTTCATATATTTATATTTATCAGTTCTTTTTTTTATGGATTTGATGTAGTTTAAAGAAATTTTTCCCTACTCCAAGGCCATAAAAATATTTTTCTATACCATTTTCTAAAAATGTTAAAGGTTTGCTTTTGGGTATTCATATCTTTATTATAAGTGGTTTCTTTTTGCAATGATGTGAAGGGTCCATACATTTTTTCTCACATGGATTGATAATTGTTTTAGCACCGTTTAATAAATAATCGGTCCCTTTCATAGTGATCTGTTACACCCATTTATCATCTGTCAAGTTTCCATATTAGATTTGCTTTGTGATTTTCCTTAGTTCTATTGTTTTATTTGGCTATCACTATGCCAATACCATTGTCTAAATTAAAATGATGCTATAATGCATCTTGTTATAAAGATGATGGATAAGCAGCCCACCCCCAACCCACCCTCCTTCATTTTATTCTTCTTCAAAATTTTCTCAGTGAATCTTAGCCATTTTCTCTTGCATATACACTTTAGAATAGGCTTTTCAAGTTCCAAGAAAAATACTTTTGGTAATTTCCTGGGATTTGTACTTTCTATACATGACCAAAGATGATCTCACCATTTATTTGAGTCTTCTCTAATGTCTTTTATCTGGTCTTTTGATTATTGAGTTCACTTTAGTTGCTTTGTGCTCAGTTCATGTGTTTTTCATATCAATTATTTGATATTTGATTAGACTTATTTTGTGACCAATCTTCATAAACAGTTCTTGAATGCTTGGGAAAAATGTGGATTCTCTCATTTTGGGGTTTAGGGTTCTATACTCAATTTTAAAATTAAGTTTGTTCCCTTTGCCTGGAATTGCTGTCAGATGTATATTTAGAATCTTCTTATTCTCCCTCCATATTTCTTATCCTGTCTAGTATGTTTCATCTCTCTTTATCTCTCTGTGCTGTATCTTGGGTTATTTTCTCAGATTTTCTGGTTCACTTTTCCCTTCTTCATTTAGGTTTAATCTGCCTTTTACTTGTCCTTTGAGTTTTTACTGCCAGCAATTTTAATTTTTCATTCTAGAACTCACTGATGTTGTTACTGATGTTATTTTCACATATCCCTGGTGCTTTAAAAACTGTCCTGTTCTTTATGTTTTCAGTTCCTTCCTTCATGTGTTTGTTTTGAATGTACTTTTTATAGGCTCTGCTCATTACTTCCATTATTTGGAATTCTTATAGCTCTGATTCTTAGAGCGTGTGTGTGTGTGTGTGTGTGTGTGTGTGTGTGTGTGTGTGTGTACATGCATGTAAGAGCTAGCCTTCACTAATAATTAATTCTTCAAGTGTTTGCTAATTTTGGTTTGTGAGTTCATCTTCCAAGAGGCTTTATGTATGATAACTTGATATAGCCTATTTGAGAGTACAACCCTTCCAGATGGGTTTGTCTTGCCATATGTCCCAGTGATGTTACAGGCCTAGAACCACTTTGTTTCCTTAACTTACTTATTATGAAAAATTTCAAGCATACACAAGAGTAGATACAATTGTATAATGAACCTCTATATTCTCATCACCGAGCCTTGATAACTATCAACTCATGCTCAATCTTGTCTTATCTGTATGCTCCTATATTTCCTCCACACCCACACACTACACACACTACACAGTGGATTATTTTGCACTAAATCCCAGACTTTATATCATTTTATTTATAAATATTTTGCTATGTAAGTCGAAAGATGAAGACTAAAAAATAATCAATATACTAATAATACACCTAACAAGTTAATTTCTTAATAGAATCAAACCACTGTTTAAATATCCATGATTAACTCATTAATAGTTCCTCCTAGATTTGTCAAAATCAGGATCTCAATAAGATCTATACACTGCAGTTGACTCATATATTTCTAACATTTCCTTTACTCAAAAATTTACCCTTTGTCTCTCCTTTCTATTCTCTCTCTCTGTGTCTCTCTCTCTCTGTCTCTGTCTCTCTCCCCCTTACAATTTATTTATTGAAATAGCCAGGTTTTGGTTTATTTTTTCAGGATCACTTTCATGTTACTTTCTCATCTTAATAGGTTCCAGGACTAGGAAAGTAGTAGAAAAACCTCAAACTGCCCCCCTGCATCTGTTGAGACAGAACAATTTTCTTGATGACTTCCAGTGCTAGTGGGCTAATTGTTTTTTCATTTTATAAGGGATGCTACGTTTTATCCAGCATTTTACAGTGTTTTATAGGGAGAGAGTTTTCCTATAATTTAGTCCTTAATATTATGCAGAAATGAAACCTTTTGATGCTTTTTAGAAATTTATTTTGGATCAACTTGCAAGTTTCTTATCCTTTCTGAGCTGCAAGTTTCTATAAAATAGAGTAATATTTTTTACTTTATTGCATTGTTTGGGGGAAAATGAGCTAATGTATAAAAAGTAAGGAATACGAAAAAGGTACACTTTGTGGGTAGTGGGAATAGCTGAGCAGGATTTGACGAATAAGTGTGAGTGAATTCAAGATGGTTGAAAGAGTAGTACCATTACACTGGGTAGATAAGGAAAGAAAAGCACATTTTAGGTCAAAGGAACAAGTCATGTCCTATGACTGTTCAGCCCAGTTTTCATCCATAATCAACTTTATTGCTTCACAATTCTGTTGGTTATGCTTATTTTGTCTTTTGAGGATATAACTGCAAGAATTCCCAGCAGTTCCTATCAAATATGAATCTTAACCCACATACACAAATTTGTGTTATAATATGAAAATGAGACCCAAACCAAAGTGATTCTATTTGAAGATCTCCATGGTAAGTCATACACTGGGATAGCTGTCAGATTTCTCTTCTTGGTTTTCTGTAAATTGATGAAACACTCAGCCTTGGGTTCACTGGTTTAAAATGATGAGCTATTTGCAATTGTTTCAAGCAAGGTTTTTGGAACTTTTGAATTGTAGTCACTTTGTGCTGGCACACGTCTTACAGATCTTCCTAGCTTTCCAGCCTCACTTTGGCAGGAACATCAAAGAAAGCACACTATATCCATAAGATTTGGGGGATTCACACTCCTCTCATCCAGCTGCTGGTCACAAGTTCCAACTCATTTTTATCAGTTCCATTGGGTGGTTTTCTAATATCCTATAAAGCAACATAGGAGATACAAGTGAACATCTGCAAAGCACAGTGTGTGCTGAGAAACAGGGCAGTCACTTAACAAGCACATTTTTCTTCCCACTCTTTCTGTGCTTGGACAACAGATCTGGCTAAACTACACAGCAATGCAAATTACAATGTAACTTTGGTGGGAAAAATTATATAAAATTCTAGTTATCAAGTAGTTTCAAACAATGACAAAACCTACCACTTTGAATTAGAAAGCATGTATCTAGCCATACAAAGCGCTTTGGCTTGGCACATAAGTATTCCATACTTCTTTACCAACCAATCAGAACTTTTATCACAAAGTACTGGTGAATCCATTCTCATTTCTGGCAAATGCATGAGCAAAATTTTCTTAAGAAAATTGCCCATAAATTCTTAGATATTTTGTTTTTACAATGTGTTTTCCAAAGAGATCTAAATTTAACAAAGTTGTAGGTGAGGAAGCCCTGCTTTTGCATTATAATTTAATTAATTAGCATTTATTTTTGTTTACTTTGAATGTCTTTGCATGCTCATATGAAAATACATACATTTACAATAATTCAGATGTAGACCTGTCAGATATCAACTCCTCAGGTAGAATGACAGTTAAAATAATAAAGGGGTGGATGTTAAACATGAGCTAGACTTAGGTGTGATTGAGCAAGTGTCTTTTCTCTTTAGATCCTGAAAGGAAATACTTTTCTGTGATAGAATTTCTTGTCTAGAATTGACTTTTCCCTGAGAAATTTTGACCTGGATTTTTACCATCTTCTTTTAAAAATAATCTCGCATGTCATCTTTGCAAAGTCAGTATTACAAATTGTTTCCCCCAACTCCCTGGAAAGATGTGGAAATGACCAGATGAGGCTCTGTGTCGAAACCCAAACCCCTCGTGGGCAGGCAGAACTTAGTTCTTCCATAAATAGGATTTCTACACTAGAGCTTTTCATCGGCAACTTTTACTCTAATGAAAAAAAAAAAGTAAAATCAGTGAAGCTCTGGGGTTGGCAATACCTAAGACAAATGAAAAGGCATTGAAAATCTTCCAGATATATCATAGGCCAAATAAAGTAGTCATTCGCAAAGCTTCCTAGACATAAAAAGTTGTTGCTAGCTACGATTTTGTTCACAGTGAAAAAGAAGCTTCTATTTTGAGCTTGGTTAGATAAAATGAAGAAAAAACTTTTTTTTCAAGGTTATAATTAGTGCTCTGAGTTTTAACGCTGGTCCACTAATGTTAGTGTTTAGAGACAGATTGTTACAATGCTTCCCTCCTCTTGGTGGTCAGTTCTGCCGTAAACTCTTCGCTTTATATTTGCGCCCCTATTACTTCTGGAATTCGCCATGGATATCTGCACACTAAGTTTGGCTGAAACAATTGTGTTTTTTAAAAAAGTAATATTAACTTGAGGATCTCATATGGCCAGAAAAATAGTTTTAATTGAAAAGCATTTTTTTTTCCAGAAATTAAATGATTGTCATTGTAAAACCACAGTAGTGTAATCAGAGAAACATGCAGCTGGGCATGGGACATAGTTCCTAAGATTGGCATTTCCTGGGTAGTAGATTATATATAGGTTTGTAACAGAAATAAAAAGAGTCAGGAAAAGAAGTTTTATAACTCTTAGGTATTTGCAAACTATGTTAACATTGTTGGAAAGATTTTTGAAAAGTGGGTCCTTGCTATGAAAGCAAAATATCATCCTAGAGATGATGAAACCGAGGCTCCAAGGGTTAACTTCATCAGTCAGCTAGAAAGTGGTGGAGGTGGGTTTTGAACCATTTCACTAGACCCAGAGCTAACATGCATGCACCACCTTGTTCTCTGTCTTTAGGTATGTGGCCCATTTTGCTGTAATACTTCACAGTTCCCTTTTGTTGTCCTTTCTCGGGGGCATTCATAGGTTGTCTATGAATCCTGTGAATTCTTAGATACTTATAGTGGATGCATGTTGTTGAAATAACAGAGCCAGCAAGGCTCTCAAACATCTACTTTTTTTTAAAGGGTTGCTGGGCATTACCAATTCATTTTTTAAGGGAGAACATATCACTTTAAGGATTTATTATTTGTATTTTACTAATCACTGTATGTCATGTTTGTTGGGAAAAGAAGCTATGATGATAATTGCTACATTCTCCATAGCTCTTCTCAACAGCTGACAGGTTATCTATCTACTTATTTGTTTATGGTCTGCCTCTCCACTTTAGCCCCATCAAGGTAGGGATTTTTCTCTCTTCTTTTCACTGTAGTATCTCCAAGCCTCAAAGAGTACCTGGCACATGGTAGTTACACAAGGAATATTTGTTAAATGAGCAGAATGAGACGATTTCTAAGTTGTGACTGAGTGCTTATATTTACATCTGTTATTCATTTTCAGCTTGAATTTGAGCACAGTTTGAGTTCCTGTGAGATGGGGGAAAACACCTACTACAATTCCAGGCACGTTATTTATGATATTTAAAAGCCAATTATTAACTGTCATTTTCTCCATTTTGTATGTGATAAGACTGAGTCTCAATGACTAAGTCACGGTCCCCCAGCCTGCATGGTCATTTGGACCTCAAAGACTTTCTTTTTCACACTGCCTTAGGATTGGTGCTTCAGCAATTCAGGAGAGGAGCAGATGGTAGAATGTTCTTCAGATCTCTGCAGTTCTTGCTTATAGTGCTGTCAGGATTCCTTCAGGCAGGTGGCTGTACCATGCAGTGGCTAAGAGCCAGGCTCTGCACTCTGACAGCACAGCCATCAATTCTGTGATATACAGTATATTTGCTATGTGACCATGACATTATTGTCTCCATTTTATAGGTAGGGAAACTGAGGCTAAAAACAATTAAACAGCTTTGTCCAAGATCATTTAGCTAGCAAAGTAATTTGAGTCAAGATGCAAACTTTAATGCCCATGTTCTTACCACTGTGTAACCCTGTCTCCTTAATTATGTGTATAGTTCTATACTTGATTTTACAGAATCAAATAAGCAGTTATCATTTATTGAATGAACTGTTACTTGATGTTTCATGCTTTGCGCCATTTTCACCTTTCTCACTTTATCCAATTAGGGAAAGAGTACATTTTGTGTTCCTTTATCTTGCTTTTACCTAAAAATATAATGAAAAAGAATTAATAATAATAATAACAAATATAGGAAGGGGATATCATTCATAATTCTACCATATTTAAGCCCTATGTGATTAACACCAAAAATTTTGCCTTTAAAAAAAAACACATTGGGGGAAGCTGATTCAATGCTTCTTACATTATAAAATGGATGAGGGATTTTGATAAGTGATCAGCAAGGTGGGGGTTGTATAAGCTGCTGTCAGCTGCTCATATTCACATCTGGCATGGACTGGTCAAATGACATTACCCTTGGCAATACATTTTCCTGTGCCTCAGTTCCTCTGGGGATTAAACTGTGATTTTCTAAAGGGCAAAGACCATATCTTCTTCTTTATACTCCCGGTCCCTACCACAGTAAAGGTTGAGCTAAATTCTGTTGGAGAGTGATACCTAGATTAGGGTGGCCATTGATAGCAAGATCTCAAAGATTATGCTGTAACCATTCTTCCTCTATTCCCACAAATCAGGAAATAAGTACTATGATTTCTCCTTGGCACTCTCCTCTGTATCTTTATACAGATTCTGTAGGCTGATTGTAGGGATTCCAAGCAATTAGTAATGAGTAATGTGCCAAACTTAGATACAAACCAATCTCACTTGTTAATGAGATACTTCTGTCAAAAGAGGGACCCAGAAAAGGCAGAAATGGGGTGGAGGTGCAGAAGCATGCTGGAGCATTGCTGATGGACTTGTGACAGCTGATTGCATGCATCTCTTCACAACTTTGCTCAGTGACTTTGTGTTGGTTATCTTGAAATCAGCCATGGTAGAAGTAGTCACACCATGGAAATTAGCAAATGCTACAAATAGCCTTTCTCTAACTGGTTGTTAGACATTTACCATCACACCACTGGAGAGGTGGTGCAATTTTAGAGGTGATTGTTTTGCTTTGGGTTAGAGTGGCTGATGCCCCTTAACAATAGCAGAATGCCACATCACACTGAATGATTTAGAGATGTTCCTCAAACCACCAGTCAGATACATTGAGGAAACAGGCTCTGCAATGAGGTCATATTTAAATAGCAATGAAGACATGGGGATTTCTCCCCCAATTTGAAGGACTCCTATGATAGCAGAGACTAAATTTCTTTATGGGGAAACAAATGGAGCCAACACCTTTATAACACAATAGTAATACAAACAATTCAGGGGCAATGAATGTATATCTAGCCTTTTACATTTCTAAAACATCAGTTTTCTCTCCCTTGAAAAATGCATTCTTGAGATGATTAAATGCAAGAATACATGTCAAGTGTTCAGCACGGGGCTTAACACTCTGTAAATATTCATAAATGGTATATTAGTAGTAGTAGTATATTATTGTTTATAATAAATGACTCTCTATAAGAAATTCTACTAGTCAGTGTGTCACTCTGGACCCCTAACCATTTCGATAAACCCTACACCAGACATCAGCATTTAGAACACTGGGCTTACAGCTTAGCCTAGTGGTTCTCAAAAGGTTCATCCCAGCACCGGCAGCATCAGCATTTCCTGGGAATTTGTTAGAAATGCGAATTGTCAGTGATGATGAGCATTTTTTCATGTGTTTTTTGGCTGCATAAATGTCTTCTTTTGAGAAGTGTCTGTTCATGTCCTTCGCCCACTTTTTGATGGGGTTGTTTGTTTTTTTCTTATAAATTTGTTTGAGTTCATTGTAGATTCTGGATATTAGCCCTTTGTCAGATGAGTAGCTTGCAAAAATTTTCTCCCATTCTGTAGGTTGCCTGTTCACTCTGATGGTAGTTTCTTTTGCTGTGCAGAAGCTCTTTAGTTTAATTAGATCCCATTTGTCAATTTTGGCTTTTGTTGCCATTGCTTTTGGTGTTTTAGACATGAAGTCCTTGCCCATGCCTATGTCCTGAATGGTAATGCCTAGGTTTTCTTCTAGGGTTTTTATGGTTTTAGGTCTAACATTTAAGTCTTTAATCCATCTTGAATTGATTTTTGTATAAGGTGTAAGGAAGGGATCCAGCTTCAGCTTTCTACATATGGCTAGCCAGTTTTCCCAGCACCATTTATTAAATAGGGAATCCTTTCCCCATTGCTTGTTTTTCTCAGGTTTGTCAAAGATCAGATAGTTGTAGATATGCGGCGTTATTTCTGAGGGCTCTGTTCTGTTCCATTGATCTATATCTCTGTTTTGGTACCAGTACCATGCTGTTTTGGTTACTGTAGCCTTGTAGTATAGTTTGAAGTCAGGTAGTGTGATGCCTCCAGCTTTGTTCTTTTGGCTTAGGATTGACTTGGTGATGCGAGCTCTTTTTTGGTTCCATATGAACTTTAAAGTAGTTTTTTCCAATTCTGTGAAGAAAGGCATTGGTAGCTTGATGGGGATGGCATTGAATCTGTAAATTACCTTGGGCAGTATGGCCATTTTCACGATATTGATTCTTCCTACCCATGAGCATGGAATGTTCTTCCATTTGTTTGTATCCTCTTTTATTTCCTTGAGCAGTGGTTTGTAGTTCTCCTTGAAGAGGTCCTTCACGTCCCTTATAAGTTGGATTCCTAGGTATTTTATTCTCTTTGAAGCAATTGTGAATGGGAGTTCACTCATGATTTGGCTCTCTGTTTGTCTGTTGTTGGTGTATAAGAATGCTTGTGATTTTTGTACATTGATTTTGTATCCTGAGACTTTGCTGAAGTTGCTTATCAGCTTAAGGAGATTTTGGGCTGAGACAATGGGGTTTTCTAGATATACAATCATGTCGTCTGCAAACAGGGACAATTTGACTTCCTCTTTTCCTAATTGAATACCCTTTATTTCCTTCTCCTGCCTAATTGCCCTGGCCAGAACTTCCAACACTATGTTGAATAGGAGTGGTGAGAGAGGGCATCCCTGTCTTGTGCCAGTTTTCAAAGGGAATGCTTCCAGTTTTTGCCCATTCAGTATGATATTGGCTGTGGGTTTGTCATAGATAGCTCTTATTATTTTGAAATGCGTCCCATCAATACCTAATTTATTGAGAGTTTTTAGCATGAAAGGTTGTTGAATTTTGCCAAAGGCTTTTTCTGCATCTATTGAGATAATCATGTGGAGAAATAGGAACTTTTACACTGTTGGTGGGACTGTAAACTAGTTCAACCATTGTGGAAGTCAGTATGGCGATTCCTCAGGGATCTAGAACTGGAAATACCATTTGACCCAGCCATCCCATTACTGGGTATATACTCAAAGGACTATAAATCATGCTGCTATAAAGACACATGCACACGTATGTTTATTGTGGCATTATTCACAATAGCAAAGACTTGGAACCAACCCAAATGTCCAACAATGATAGACTGGATTAAGAAAATGTGGCACATATACACCATGGAATACTATGCAGCCATTAAAAATGATGAGTTCATGTCCTTTGTAGGGACATGGATGAAATTGGAAATCATCATTCTCAGTAAACTATCGCAAGAACAAAAAACCAAACACCGCATATTCTCACTCATAGGTGGGAATTGAACAATGAGATCACATGGACACAGGAAGGGGAATATCACACTCTGGGGACTGTTGTGGGGTGGGGGGAGGGGGGAGGGGGGAGGGGGGAGGGGGGAGGGATAGCATCGGGAGATATACCTAATGCTAGATGACGAGTTAGTGGGTGCAGCGCACCAGCATGGCACCTGTATACATATGTAACTAACCTGCACAATGTGCACATGTACCCTAAAACTTAAAGTATAATTAAAAAAAAAAAAGAAATGCAAATTGTCAGTCCTCACCCCAGACCTATTGGATCAAAAATTCTGAGGATAAGACCAATATTTACCCACCTTTTCAAGTGATCCTGAACCACTCTTAGGCTTTGTCTTACCATAAGGCAGTGGCAATGAGAATCCAGTAAAAATGTTTAAGTCATGCTAAAATATTCTCTCCAGTCTTTCTGGAATCTTGATTGGATAAGCAGCCTTTAATTGATCCGTGTGAAATGTTCTGTTGCATGTCATTTAATTTTCTGGTCTATTATGTGTTAACAGTCCTCCTAAGACTATCCTCAATTAACAGACTGTAACATATTTATCATTTGTTGAAAATCACTTCTAATACTTTATCTTAATGTATATTAAATAGATGACAATCCATAGAAATTCTCTTAAGAAATATCTGGAGAAACATTTACAGTTCTGCTACTTCTCTTGGTGATCAATTGATTTTGTAAACATGAGAAGAGAGTTCATCTTGTTACTATATTGATTGGATTAAAGCACTTTAAATACAAAGGTGAAAGTTGATTAACTTACAGAAATAGAGTCCCATTGCAGGTACACGATGAAACGGGGGTAAGGAAGGAGAAGAAAAACATTGAAAGGCATTTGACAGGGTAAGGTTGTATTCCCCAGACAACCCTGTCAAGCAGCTCTGTTGACAACAAAAAGAAGAAAACAAATAAATTGGAGGTTGTGTGAATGTCACAAGACCAGAATATAAATACATATGACATGGAGAGAGTAAATACCAATAATTCTCATTCTCACAAAATGTTTTAGGATGATACCTTCCAGCTATGACAAGACCAAAAGGGAAAAAAAATAATAAGCAGGTAAATCTCCGAGACACTGGTCCAGTATCTACCTTTTATTCATAATACAAACCCTCAAAAGACACCACTGCAGTTATAATAGGCCAAATAACAAAGACAAAGACAATGTGTGACAAGACTCAGGACTCGCACATCCACAAAAAATGGATTTAACATTCAGAGACCATTTCAGCCCTGTCTAACTTTCTAGCTCACAAGAGAGAATGCAGACTTCACTCTGCATGGACAAAAAGATATCTTCAGGCAGAATGTGGAATTTAGGACTTCAGTTTTCTCTTCACGCTAAACCAATTGTAGAAACACACATCCAAAAATAAAGTGATGATTACCGTCTTTCTTTTTTCCATTAAAAATCACTTTAAGCTTTTCTTATCGACTTAATTATTTACATGCACATTGACTAAATCTTAACAAGCTCTTAAATGCTAGTTGCCCTGTTGCCTCTCAGCACTAGCCTTCCCAGTGCCACACACGTGCCATTTGCCTTTGTGCTCTGTGACACCACCATCTGGGTGTCTGGTCCAACAAGCGCCTTCTTGAAAACCTTACATAACTCCCCTTTTCCTGTGCCATGGGCTTCACCTCACCATATCTAATGGGAGCTCTGGCCTGGACTCTAGGAATGTCATTCCAGATAGGCCTGACGGGTCTCACTGCCCATTAACATGAGCTCCCCCTTCCCTGCTGGGAAGCCAGAATGCCGTGTCTTCCTGGCACGTCCACGTCCTGCCAACTCAGGAGACAAAACCATTAGTCTACCATGAGAAATCTGGTTTTCTCTCCATGGCCAGAAAACCTTCAGTTTTCAGTACCAGTAAAGCCTACCCTTCTAAAACATGCTTACACTGAACATCAATAAACTCTTTGATAAAGAAGTCTTGTTACAACATGCAAAGCTGTAGGCAAAAAAAAAAAAAAAAAAAATGACAGTCCCCTCTCACCTTAGAACATATCAAGCCCTATCAGAAGGCCAAGAAATTAAAATATGTTGAATACATTTAAGCTTTATAGCAAATACCCTGTACAAGAACCTAAATTGAAGCTTTCAAAAATCTAAAAGGACAAATCTAAAAGGATAATCCATTTCATGATTTTTAGATATGACATGACATAGAACTATAATTATAAGAAATATACCCGAGATGCTTTCTGTTCAAAAAATTCAAAGATTCTTCATAACTGGGTAACTAACTAACATAACTGGGCCCTTTTCTGTTTTCAGACTCTCTCTGGATGGGCCACTGTTTCCTATGGTGTCAATTGCTTCACATATGGTGATGACTAACAAATCCTTGTCTCCAACCCAGGCCTCGTTCCTGAGCTCTAAGCCCATATAGTTGTGATTTGTGTCCACGTGGGATCATCATTCCCCACTCCCATTCTGCCCCTCCTTTTCTATCTTATCTCATTAAATGTCCACACCACCCACCTGGCAGCACCTTCCTGATCTCTCCCTCTCTTCAGCTCTTACATCTTTACCTTAATCAGTCTTCAAAGCCTATGGATTCAGCTTTTTTACTGTCACTCAAACACACCCACTCCCTATCCCTACCTCTACCTGAGCTCAGACACTTATCATTTCTCAGGTGAAGAATGGCCTCTAGGTGATCTTCTCTTCCCAAGAATTGCTCCCATCCAATCCATTCTTCATAGCCAGAAGGACCATTCTAAAAGGCAAAGTCAGCCATGCCCTTCTGCTGCTGAAAATGTCCTAGTTGAAATCAAAGTCCTTTGTGATCTACTTCCTGCCTATTGCTGCAAACACATCTTTTGCCTTTTATTTTTTTTCTCTGCACTGGACCTAGAGGAATCCTCAAATGTTTACTCTGCCTTTCTTCATGCCTTTGCACGTACTATTACTCTCTCTGCACAGAATACCTTTCCTCACACTCTCCTTTTAGCCACTTTCTGCATATCCTCAAAACTCATCTTTCTCCAGGAAGTTTTCATCAGGGTAGTCATTCCTTCTGGGTATTCCTATAGCAGATGTAGTCCTAGTACTTTTACAATATTCCAACTCATTATCCTCTCTTTTCCCACTGGACTGGGAGATCCTTAGATGCTGGATAGTCCTTGGTGTAAGGGCCTGTTTTGCCATCTCTCATTTCCCAGGATCATACAATAACACAGGGCCTGCTTATTGTATGTCCTCCATAAAATTCTGTGAATTGAATAAGTCAAATGCTCTAGAATGAGGTCATGTGTTCCTATGCAACTTCTTTCTGGAAGCCAGGGTAAATGAAGGCTACAAAGAAGTAGCTACTGCTGAAATTAGAAATTTTGTTCAAGTAGACGCACTGAATCAGATTTTTAAGGTGCTAGTTAGGCCTTATTACTGGAATGTGTCTCTTATGGAGACAAAGAGGAAAGTCTTGGTAATTGCCAACTTCAGCTGGTAGTCTCTAGCGAAGAAGGCAGTTACGTGGGAGAGCCTGACCCTGTGCACCTACAGACAGAAACTCACAGGCATGTGCCTAGGGATATAAGCAGGATTACAAACCTCAATCTGGTGTGTCACCAATAAACAAAAAGTAGGTCTTTCTTTGATTGTTTCAAGTTTTATAAATTCTTAATGTGAGAATAAATAGTAAACCCCTACAGTTCTTATCAAACTTATCCTTCAATTTAGTATTTTTTACAAATGAGCTTTACAAAAAAGCTTCATCCTGACTTGAAAATGCCATGTTAGGGGCTACATGAATAACTTCAGTATCTTTACTTTTGTATGTGCCAGTCTTCTGCTGAAAAGCTGCCTCCCTGGGTCCTATCTGTTTTCTTTTCTCTCCAGATCTCTCCAGTCCATGCCATGCTCACATGTTTTAATGCTGTGTCTCTCCACTGCAAATATTCCATCCTGCTATTAAACCAGGCAGCCATTTCCATTCAATGATGGAAAACCCTGGAAACAGTCTATAGTAAGAGAAGGCTTGGCTTTTGACTTCATGGTCCAGTAGAAATCTGAACAACCTACAACTTGGCAGTGGATGAGGGCATAGGCAGCTTATTGATTATGTAACCGAAGGGAGAAGAGGATAGAAGTTTTACCTGAAAATGCCATGTTGCCTTTGCAAACAGTTTCTCCACCCTAACAGGGTTTGAAGCTGGCCCTGGGGTAGGAAATATGGTTTGAATCTGGCCTATGGTTTGAAGCTGGCCCTGGGGTAGGAACTATGAATATGTGCAAACCAGTTGTTTAATGACTTGCTAGGTGACTCTCAGCTGCTCTTTCAACTTCTGTCTCTAGGATAATTGTGCTTATCAGGAAATGCAATTCTGTTGCTTATGTTTTCTATTTTGAAAGTGTGGAACTTTATCAATGTTTTAAGCTTTCCAAAATTGAATGTGAATAGATATACTTTGATTAGAAACTCTAAATCCTAGTTCTAAAAAGTCTAGTTCATGAAAAATAAAATGCGGTTTAAATAACAGGTTGAGTATATTTTGCCTCAAAGCTGCTGTTTCTCTGGCCAGCCTTCTTTCAGCAGGCATGTCCACCGTCTTTTTGTCACTGATACACCAAAGCTTGGAGGTCACTTCTGGTTTCTCCCTCTCCAGGTCCTCCCATCAGTTATGCAATAGCCAAGATGTATAGATTCAGCTTTTACTATGCCTGTCCTCCCCATCTCTTTCTCTGAATTTGCATGCTACTATCTGAGCTCTGGTTCACCTGATATATTGATCTTGCTCAGATTAGCAAAATAATACCCTGATGTTCTCACTGCCAACCCACCCAACATCACTGCTAATTTTCCTGAAATGTGTCTCTCAAATCATGTCATTCCCTGCTCAGAAATTTTCAAGGGAGTACCGCTACTTACTAAATCCATCCCGTATCCCCAGATATTCATCCTACCCTTTTTGCTCTATATGTTTTTTGTTTTTTTGAGATGGAGTTTCGCTCTTGTTACCCAGACTGGAGTGCAATGGCACAATCTCAGCTCACTGCAACCTCTGCCTCCCAGATTCAAGCGATTCTCCTGCCTCAGCCTCCCGAGTACCTGGGATTACAGGTGTGCACCACCACGCCTGGCTAATTTTTGTATTTTCAGTAAAGACGGGTTTCACCATGTTGGCCAGGCTGGTCTCAAACTCCTGACCTCAGGTGATCCACCCGCCTCGGCCTCCCGAAGTGTTGGGATGACAGGCATGAGGCACCGCACCCGCTTATATGTCATTGTTTTAAACTATGGGTGTGCATTTGCTGTTCTTTCAGCACATTCTTTGTGCAGCCCTTCCTCTGTGCTATTGCTTATGGTGCTGCTTTATCCCAAGCTACCTGATTTGAATCCGGGTTCCAAAGAAAAGGCTTTGTGCCTTTTCTTTCTTACTTACAATATGAGAATCATAATATCACCTACCTTATAGGATTTTGTAGCAATTATAGGAGGGAATACAATATAAAACAATTACAGGAGGAATACAATATAAAGCCCTTAGAAGAGCTCTAGCATGTAGTAAATATTCAGCTAATGTTAGTAATCATGTTTCATTTCTTTCAAGGACCATTTCAAATCCGTGTCGTAATGGAAGCCTTTTATATCGCCCAACTCAATGTAATTTCTTCCTCTTTTTGTACTTCTTTGAATAATATTTAACATGAAATGTCCTGCCTTAGAATTTGGTGTGCATTCATTTTGGCTTTCACCGGATTGTAAACTGATGAACACTGAGTAAACTTTATTCATCGTCATATACTCTGAAGGATCTTGTATAGCACCTGGCATATCAAAAGAACTTAGTAAATGCTGGCTAAGTGGAAATCAATTGATTTTTACTAATTTTAAAGTGGTTTTCCACCAGTTGAAAGAAAAACACAGTACATAAAGATAAGTAAAAGAAACGGACAGCTTTATAACATGGATGTGACTGCAGGAAGATACTGAGACTGATGTCATTTGAACGCACAACGTACCCTGATAACATCCTTTCTTCTGTGTTCTCCCTTGCAGGTCTGCTTAGTGGCCTATCTTGGCTTGTTTATGCTTTGTGTCTCATATCAGGTTGACGAACGGACATGTATTCAATTTTCTATGAAAGTAAGTTGTGATTGTTCTTTCTCTTTTATCATCACATAGAAAGAAATCCAAGTACAAAATAAAGGAGTGCCTTCTTAAGGGGTTGCATATCTGATTAGTCTAGAAATTGCATTTTTAGGCAGGCCAAAAAATGTTTTAAGAGGGCATTGATCCAGACCTCAAAGGTAATGCTGATTTTTTTTTTAAGTCTTAATTTCCATGAACTGGGTTGGCCTGGAGGATATGAAGTCTGTCCTTCAGTGCCCTTAAAAGGAATATTGAAAATTCATCAGTTCAACAAAACACTTGGCCAGAAAAAAGGTATCTCTTTCAGTGCCCACTTCCATATCTCGGGGGTTATTTGGGATATTTTAATAATGAAGCAGTCTAAGTGTATTTCCTCTTGTAGGTGGGATCACTGAGACAGAAAAAGTACATTGGGCGCATCCAAATGCTCTGTGCCAAGACTCTCAGGGCAAAGTGGGGGACGGGTGATGGGATATGCGTGGTTTGGCAAGCGTGTGTGTCTTTCATTTGTGTGTATCTTTTTTCTGTTAGGGACAGTGCATTTGGCTGGAGCCAATTCAAGTACACAGCATTTTCACTGCACAACAGAATCTACTCCAAAGGGAAGCAAAGACACTACCTTTCAGAGTATAAGGACATAGACATAGAACTTAGCAATCAGAGCTAGTAGAAAGCAAATTCCTTCATTTTCTCTCAACTACTATAGCAAATAATACAAAGCTATCTTTAATCTTTTTTTTTTTAATTTGGTCCACTAACATTGTTTTTTCTTCTACAAGAAAACATATAAAAACTGGATTTTTTTGTTCACTACAATGAGAAAACATCAGACATAAAAGTAAGTGAATGACATTATTTGAAAGTTACTAAGGTGAAAAAAATAAGGTGTGTTGGAAGATTCCAGTATAATTGAAGCTGTTGACATAAAAAAGCAAAGGGATGATATCTTTTAAAATCATGCTATAAAAAGTAATTAATAGATACAAACATTTACATTATAATAACTAATTTTAAAAAGCTGGTTACACAAAATGTATGATATTATCCTACAGAAAAAATAAAAGCTCTTAATGAGCATAGAAAATACAATTATCTATGAGTGGTGGGATTATATTTGCATTTTGCAGTTTTTCTCTAATTTTGAAATGTTCTCCAATAGTTATAACTTTTCTAAGTAAACAGTTAATAGATACTACTTTTTTAAATGATGAAGTTAGAATTTTGGTGGATATGCCTTCATTTGGAAATTATACTTTTCTGTCTGAGGACTTTCCTTGAAAGAAGGCCAGATAGAGTAGACATCAGTCTATGTTTACTATTTGTTTGGAGAGGTTTGACTAAACAGCAAGGCTTGGTGATTAAAAAAAAAAAAAAAAAAAAAGCCAGAAAGCTTAGTAAGAAATGGCCTGTTAAATTACAAGAACTTCATCCAGTAGCTGAAGAACACCCCAAACTAGGTTTTTATTAGTTTATGTGAAATACCCTCATTTTCCCCCCAGATGATCCCAGAAAACAGCAGAGTCAAAAGCATCAGCTTAAGAGAGACCCCAATGCCATCTCAGCATCTGCACCTTAGTTAAAATAGGGAGTAAGAGAAAAAAAATAGAAAAAAAAAAAAGTCACTGCCAATGTCAGCCAGGTTGAGGATTCCCCACTAGGAAGATCTCATTAGCTACCTCTTTTTTTCCACCCGTGACAGGCATTGGCAAATACTGAGGCACTTTCCTCTTCTCCTGAACGTGACCTTTCTTGATGCTTGCTGCTAGCTCTCTAAGGTTGCATGCTACATTATCTTCAGGTTGAAAGTGAGCTTCAGCCCATCTCCAGATTTTCCAATGACACAACAGGGGACAGCTGACTTCCCTTATGCTTCTCACACTACTGGGGGGGCGAAGGCATAACATGCATCTTCATAGGGCGTTTCTCATCAGCATAGCCGCATTTTGGTGCCCCCATCTCGGGACCCTGGCCTAAGCTTTGTTAGAGGATTTATTTCCTCCTGTTGAATGCCCAGATAGCCAGGACAAGCAAACGGGCCATGATGACAGTCTCATTGTAGTCCACACGTGCACACACACGCACCCTCCCTTTCGCTTAGAGAAAATAGCCACGGGCTCTTTTTTTTTTCTCAAGCTGGGACAGCCCTCTGGGGGTTCGGGGATTGGGGGTAGGGTCCCTTCGCAGGCCCTCGATGCCACCAGCGCGTTCCTTTTTCCTCCCTGGGCTTTGCCTCTCTGCCTCTGGGCTTGGCTGGGCATCGGCTGCAGGTCGCGCTTCCTGCCTTTCCTAGTGGCCTGACTTTCTCAGGGCTCCCCTGGAGGTTCGGAAACGTGTCGGGGGCATGTGCCTGCGGAAACATTCCAGGGCACGTTCCCTCCTGCCCACATCCAGGAGGCCCCTGGGCTGCTTGCGGCAGCCTCCTCCCGAGCAGTGCGCTGCAGAAGGGCCCTTCCCGTTCAGGCCACCGGGGAAGGTAATTAAATTGGAGCAGAAACACCCTCCTCCCGAGGTCACCGAACGTGAAAGCTGCAGGCCGGGTACCAATTAAAGGCAGCGAGCGAGCGGAGACGCGCCCGGGCGCTGCTGTTACATAAGCGCCCGGGGCCACCGCGCCTCCGCCCGCTGCGCAGCGCCGGGCTGATGGGCTGACACCCGCAAGACAGATGCCTCCCGCGCCGGGCTTTTATCAAGATATATTTGCTCGGATTCTCAAGGTCATCGTAAACACTCTTCCTTATAGTGTATTCGTGCCATGTAGGTAAAACAAGCCACTTGATTTTAAATTACAGATTCTAACCCAGAAGCTTGTTGCTGTCAGATGAGTTAAAAGCCATGAAGGAAAAATGCCACAGCGCTGCAGATAAAGCCTGCAGGCTTTAGGGGGGATCGAGTATATATTTATGTCTTAAAATGGATAAGAAACTTGATTCCGTGGCTTTCTCTAGTTTACTTGGCCTGATGCTTTCCGGAGTGGGAGAAGCCGAGTCACTAAAGTGTGAGATAGATACGCACGATATAAATTTATTCATACTCAGAGAAGCTAAGGGGCATGGTTTTTCTTTATGTTCTCTTTGGGTTCTAGCATAAACGGTTTAATTAAAATTGAGCAACCACTGTGTTTGTGTAAATGTTTACATCCTTCCTACAAGCCAAGAATGCATTGTTACTCCCACATGACAAAATAAGACAAAAGCAGTCGAATTAATATCCTCAGTCCTCAGAACTGGCAGCTCTTTCCATCCCTACTAATTTGCTTATTATTTCACAAATACTTAAATAGGCTCCTGTATACCAGACGCTGTTCTAAGTTCTTTACAGACATCAACTCTTTTGATCCTTGTAATTATCCTGTGAAGTAGGTGCTATTATGATCATCATGCCAAGTTTACAGATGAAGAAGTACAGGTGCACAGGGATTGATGAATTTGCCCAGGGACCATGGCTAGTGAGGGGAGAACCTGACTCCCTGGTTCACGCTGTTAATCATCAGCCAGTACTGCTGCGCACTTGTTAAATGGTCTTGGGCACATCTTTTAATCTCTGAGCCAAAAAGTCATCTTTTAAAAATAGACAAAATTCCCATTTTCAGCAAATGGATTTTTGTGACTATCATGAATGAGTAAAATCTTTTTCAACTATTTGAATTATTTGCAGATTGAGAATGAGGGATTATTGTCATTGCTTCAAGATATTGCCCAACAAATGTTACAGAAAATTGCTATCTAAGGAGCTTGGTGCGGTGGCTCATGCCTGTAATCTCAGCACTTTGGGAGGCTGAGTCAGGAGGATCACTTGAGGTCAGGAGTTCAAGACCAGCCTGGGCAAAATGGTGAAACCCTGTCTCTATCAAAAAAAATACAAAAATTAGCTGGGTGTGGTGGCACACACCTGTAGTCCCAGTTACTCAGGAGGCTGAGGCATGAGAATCGCTTCAACCCAGGAGGCAGAAGTTGCAGTGAGCTGAGATCAAGCCACTGCACTCTGTCTCAAAAAAAAAAAAAAAGAAATTGCTATTTAAGGATGTATGTATGTTAGAGGTAGGAAGGTTATCACAAGACCCCCGCCCCCAACTTCCATCCATTGTTGGTGATAAAACAGGTAGAGAAAACTCCATTTGGGGCCATTCTACTAAGCAGATGACTACCAGGTGGGAAATGATCACTTTAACCTGGGCCTTCCCTGGTTAAAATCATAGATATACCATTGTTCCCAGAGCAAACTGTTCCCAGTTCTCTGCTGGCTGTACTGGGAATACAGCTACGATGGGTACACACACACACACACACACAGAACATGGTCAAGACAGTTTAATTTGGCTCTTGGCACCAAGAGTTTGAAGTCAGTAATCAAGCCTGAATATTTCAGAACAACCCAGAATTGTTCAAATATTCTTCCCCATTGGTTCTACAAAATAAATCCATATTTTTAGGCTAAAAACTCCAATTTTTGCATAAAATGTAGTCACTGAAAATATTGAGGGCCAGACGAAGTGGTTCACGGCTCTAATCTCAATACTTTGGGAGGCTGAGGTGGGAGGATCACTTGAGGCTTGGAGTTTGAGACCAGCCTGGGCCACATAGCAAGACTCCATCTCTTAAAAAAAATTTTTTTTATGATGGTACCACTTTGTATATATCTGGTTCCCTTCCTCCAAGGAACACTAATATTGAGTATAATCATTGTTATGTCCCTGAGATATAAGATGTTTCTATAAACTGTTTCACAGATGAAGATACTTAGGTTACATCTGACAATCCTTTAAATGATTTGAAGAGGAAAAAGAATGTGTGTTTAAGATCTCTTTGATGAAAAGATCTAAAGAATCCATGATACTAATTAAGATGTATTAAGAAAAAAATGGCTTTAACTAATTCTACGCTCTTCCAGTGACCTTAGATAGACAGTCAAGCTGTATGTAATCCCTGATGGATTCCCTTACAGGCAAACCAGAGATAAGCTTAGGGCACCAGCAACCAGTATGTACACCCACACCCACACATACATGCACACATACCACTCAAGAAAAAGAAAAAGTAAAAATGTAAATACAGCATTCCAAATTTAAGACTTGAAAACACTTGAAATCATCACTGTGTGGAACACACTCATTTGGAGGACTTTTGTACACATATTTTGTAGTGTCACATATATGTTTTAATTTTGAATTATATATAAGGGAAGGTGGGGGAAGGGCATCATCTTCTCAGAGCTACTTTCCTCTGAACCTGGAAATGACTGGAACTAATATTACTTTGTGAAGTGTCCATTTACCAGAATTGTTCTCTGTAGAGAGCAACTTTTGACTGTGGTAATGTAATTCTTGCACTAAGAACTATGTGTACTAGTCTCAAAAGCTGGGGACTCTGAGCCTTACCTAGAGTCTCAGCAGGTGGACCATTAAGATTAACATTTCTAGTAGGTGAGTTCAATCACAAAAATATTTCTTGTTCCATAGATTTTATTGTGGCCATGTCAGTGAACACCCACAAGTTTTGCTCAGAATATTTTAGGTGTAAGCTAAATCCCTAAATTGTTCAGAGTTCCCACAGCCCTGTAGCAGCAGAGCGAGAACTTTAACCAGACTTTTTCAATCCCAAAGCTAATCTGGAGGCCAACAGTGTTCAAAACCTTGGTGACTGAGGAACCATTTAGAGTTTTTTCAGGCTCAGGAATCACATGGTCGTTGTTGGGCTTGGGGTAAGTTTCACAGGCGATGAAGCTGACGTTGAGTCACTTGACTTCTGGAGCCATAATTTATTTTCTCCCAGCAACCTCCTACTGGGGATTCTCATGTTTATGGATACAGTTTGGCAATCACTACATTGAATGTAGTCTTTTAAAAAAATTAACTTATGCTATTAGTTGACCCATCATTGCTAATTTTGGCCCACACAGTGTTTGCATTACAAAAACCTGTTCTTTACTTCCTAGTCTTGTTTCAGTCTTAATATCAGAAGTTCTTGAGTTCAAAATAAGCACAACATGTCATCCAGGGATGGCTAGCTTGTTTGGGATTCATCTAAACTGCTGGCAATATCTAGACAAAAACATTCCACAGTCCAGCTAATATGGTTGTCACAACTCTTGAAAAGGGCCCAACATCTGGATGGCAAGTGAAAATGTGATCAGGGTTTAAGAACTACCCACTAATAAATAAACATGGAGCTATTTCCATGTCTTGGGTGTTGTGTTTCTAAGAAGAGACAGCCTTTCCATCAGAAAATTTCTGGGAGGGAAGAAAAAGAACAGTTTTGATGAATTCGCTTTGCAAATCATCATCCAATGTTCTTTGTAACCAGAAAGGTTTTCTTCTGCTTTCTTGCAGCTGTTATACTTTCTGCTGAGTGCCCTGGGCCTGACGGTCTGTGTGCTGGCCGTGGCCTTTGCCGCCCACCACTATTCGCAGCTCACACAGTTTACCTGTGAGACCACACTCGACTCTTGCCAGTGCAAACTGCCCTCCTCGGAGCCGCTCAGCAGGACCTTTGTTTACCGGGATGTGACGGACTGTACCAGCGTCACTGGCACTTTCAAACTGTTCTTACTCATCCAGATGATTCTTAATTTGGTCTGCGGCCTTGTGTGCTTGTTGGCCTGCTTTGTGATGTGGAAACATAGGTACCAGGTCTTCTATGTGGGTGTCAGGATATGCTCCCTCACGGCTTCCGAAGGCCCCCAGCAAAAGATCTAACATTCTTGCTCAAAGTTGCGAGAGAAAGTAGCACATGGAGTAGCTGAGGTTAAACAAACAAAAAAAAATTTTAAACAAAGAAAGGAAAAAAATTGACAATAAAAGTCACTCTTCTAATTGAATATTTTTATATTTTTATGAAACAAAAGAGCATTTCTTCAGGTTTCTATTGTATTTTTTTTAACATTCTTGCAGAGAAAGCAAGATCCAAATTGATTTTGGGATATTAAAAGTTAACAGAACACTGAACAAGGAAAGAATGGCATAGATCTATCTTTACAGTCTGGAGTTAATTCCTGTTAACTCATTTTATCCATTCCTTACATAATCTTCTTTCCTGTTAGTCCAGTTTGATGGTGTGAATGGTGAATTTCAGGCCCAGTTGCTAAATTTTGTGGCATCTTCCTCTAGTCCTTCCCACCTCCAGTCATCAGCCCCACTCTGTCTTGGAGACAGGCAGGAGGTGGGGGAAGAGCTGAATCTCTTTATTTTCCCTGGTAGAGACATCTTCAAGGCATGAAATAGCTTAAAGAGCAGAGTAGAAACGGAAGAGGCTTTGCAAAAGGCTAGATAACTAACAACACCTGGGTTGGGGCGGCGGCCTCTTCTCTTCAGCTCCCTTAGCTTGGCTCCGTAAGTGGATCACTTGCCAAATGCTTTAGATGATTGCCTCTCAATAATTGAAAGGTGGTGGTAGTTGTATTCTAAATGATGTAGAAGGTTTAAAAATAATTACATTATGCTTCTATTCTATCATCTAAAACAAATCATTAAAACTAATTTCTAGCTAATTGTTAATTATAATTATGCTCAGAAGTCTATTTAATGAGCTCTGACTGTACTTACGCTGCACTGTCGGTGTTAAGAGAAATTACTCTCACAAGAGCAGAGGCCTGAAGATTCTTTCTTCTGAAAGCCAAGCACCACAAGGAAAAAAAAAATTATTAATAGCTCAGGTTAAAAACACCCATTTAAACAAAAACAAGAGCATTTGTAATAGGAAGTGTTTATACAAACAGCACATTTGTGATATGTTGAAAAGCATCTCTCTTGGCAACCAATCTATGTTTGAGGAAGATTGGGTAATGCTGATGTGTTCCATTCATGAAACTGTATTTGATACATAATCCTATTATTAATTCGTATGCTTAGTCAACCTAGGAAATCAAAATAATGTTTTGAAGTTCTTATTTGAGCAATATGGCCTTGACTTGGAGGGTAGTTTTAGTTGTTTTGTTTTTAAGTGACTGTGGTTTAAAGCACAAATGCCCCAAGGTGGGGAGACTTCTCTCTGTGATTATTGTTGCTATTAAATTCTGAACTGTATCCATATTTTAAGGAAGGAGCTAAAAATGGAAATTCATGAAACATAAATGGTATCAAGAACTTTATCAGTATGCTTTGTTGAAAGCAGAAATTAAGATAATAATTGAGTTCAATTCGCCTCTCCGCATTGCCTATTGATACACTTTACTAATCATGAAATTCTAACCTAAAAGGAAAACATTTTCCTGCTTGTCTTAGAAGAAAGTGGAATAATTCCACTGATTGTGATAATGGTTTCAATTTCTACACAATATAAATATCCAGTATAAAGGAAAGCGTTAAGTCGGTAAGCTAGAGGATTGTAAATATCTTTTATGTCCTCTAGATAAAACACCCGATTAACAGATGTTAAACCTTTTAATGTTTTGATTTGCTTTAAAAATGGCCTTCCTACACATTAGCTCCAGCTAAAAAGACACATTGGAGAGCTTAGAGGATAAGTCTCTGGAGCAGAATTTATCACACACAAAAGTTACACCAACAGAATACCAAGCAGAATGATGAGGACCTGTAAAATACCTTGTGCCCTATTAAAAAAAAAAAAAAAAAAAAAGCCAGTAACTGAATCCATTTTGATTTTTGGTTGAGTTTCCTACACAAAGAAGAAAATAACTGAGAATCTGGAATGTTGTAGTCCATCCTTTAAAGAGTAAGAAAGTAGCAGTTAATGCTAGTAACCGTGAATTAGGCACCACTGAAAGCACATCCCGAATTTCTTTAACAACAACATTTTATAGTGAACACTACAAGTTTTTATATTTAAAAATTAAGACTCTGTATATCCTTAAGGTGCTCTATGCTTTACCAGTAATTCACAGGGTATTTCAAATGGTAGAATCATTTTAGCTTCTGTGCTTCCTTTTTCTAAATAATGCAACTTGTAAGAGTTGACATTGTAATAAGCTTTATAATAGTATAACCGTCAGGAGATATATATATATATATATACACATACACACACACACACACATATATACTATACATATATAAAATGGGGATATTACTATTGTATGATTAAATCATTCTTAAGTCCCCAAGGAAAAAAAATCATAAACAAATAGAAAGAACTAAACAGAAAAGAAAGAAAGAAAAGATCCCTTTGCTATGAGCTCGCTGTATATTGATAAGTGTAAGAATTGTGTTGCATGAATAACCGCTTTGGGCTGGATTTGAAGTATTTTGATGTTGTGTTTTGCAAATATTGAAGTTACAATAATGGCAACAGAAAAGGAACAGATACACAGCTTTACACTTAGCAGAATGTTACATTTAAAATCTGACAAGGCGCCAAGATGGTGACTGTCTCCTCTAAACCACGAAAGAGTAAGATTTGTGCAACCCTCCTCCTCTTCCACCTCCTTCAGGAGAATTAAATGAATCAAGACTTTGGAAAGACGGGGAAGAGCCGGGACTTGGCAGTACTTGAAACAGGAGGAATACACCAGCCTAAATGTACAGACTTTGTAGCCGAGCCCACTCGATCGGTCTGTGCCTTCACGTGACCACCATCTGTGCCTCCCTCGCTCCATCCAAATTTGTGTAGGCTGCTCCTTGGAGCTATGCCTAAAATATAGCTACACCAGAGCCCTGGAAACTGTAGTCAAGTAACAGGCCTCACTGTTTTTTTTCTTTGGATTAAAAGTGTATATCTCTCTACTGAGGGGTTTCCAGCTTTACACTTCTATAGGTTGTTCTGACAGTGAGAACACATTATGTACATGTTTTCTATTCATGTCCAGGGCATGAGAATCTTAATATTCTTATACTTCCCTTTTTGCATGCAGTATGTCTGGAATATGTTTATAAAATTTTAGCAAGGGGTGAGATCAAGGGACAAAGGTAGAGTGGTTATTTAAAGACAATCAGAAATGAACTTAAAAGCTGCCCTGCAAAACCAATCCTTTCCTATCATGAAGAGTACCTTCATATTTTCTAGAGATTGTCTCTGAACCGTTGCTACATAGCCATAAATTTCTGTAAATCATGTTGGCTATCAGTTCTTGCTATTCTCAGAGCACTCTATCATGTTTTTAGGTGTATATTGTGTATTCAGGATAGCATTAAAAAGAACTGATGGCAAATGTATTGACTCACAGTGGAAACATTCATTTGGATGAAGAATTAGTGGTTTAGCCTTTGAAATGAATACCTTGAATCATTTCTTCTGATTTTCTAGTAGTTTATTATCTCAAATGATTATTATCCCCTTCAAAAATACTGGTCTGTACTTTGGTGTTGTGGATTCATTTTTCTGGCATTGATCAAATAGCAAATACAAAATAAAGCATTTCTACATGTTTGAGGTGGTTGTTTTTAAAGGGGATATGTGTAATGCAGATTTTCTTTATTAATAAAATTTTCATAATCTCTGAAAACACTGTTTGGACGTGCTTTAAAGTAACTTATGTTACAGATGAACTGGTACACATAAAATCTCTCAAGTTAGTGTTTATTTCAAAAATCTGTTTTTGGAAAGACAAAAACCAATATTCACTGTGACTCCTTTGTTCCAGTGACTGTCTCTGCTTTGCTACTCTGTATCCATCGTAGAAGTCAAGGTTGTAATTGTTCCCAAGGCAAAGAGAGTCTGGCTGGAAAAAGTCTTGTAAAACGTACCTGGAATGCTGATTCTTACTTTATATCTACCAATAGCAACTAAAGTTTGTCCTGAAGAATGGGATTCACAAGTCATATTCTCTATTTTATTATAAAGAAAAACAGACAGCCTTTTCCATTTCAGATCAGAACCCAAGTCTGAGGCAATTTAAACAGTTGATTATACTGTAAAATACAGTGGTTCTTTTTATGTTCTTAGTAAAGCCCAGGACTCACAAGCCCAGAACACACTCTCTGATCTAAATTTTCTTTTCTTTTCTTTTTCTTTCTTTCTTTCTTTTTTTTTTTTTTTTTTAATTATACTTTAAGTTCTGGGATACATGTGCAGAATGTTCAGGTTTGTTACATAGGTGTACACATGCCATGGTGGTTTGCTGCACCGATCAACCCGTCATCTACATTAGGTGTTTCTCTTAATGCTATCCCTCCCCTAGCCCCCCACTCCCCGACAGTCCCCGGTGTGTGATGTTCCCCTCTCTGTGTCCATGTGTTCTCATTGTTCAACTCCCATTTATTAGTGAGAACATGTGGTGTTTGGTTTTCTGTTCCTGTGTTAGTTTGCTGAGAATGATGGTTTCCAGTTTCATCCATGTCCCTGCAAAGGACATGAACTCATCCTTTTTAATGGCTGCATAGTATTCCATGGTGTCTATGTGCCACATTTGCTTTATCCAGTCTATCATTGATGGGCATTTGGGTTGGTTCCAAGTCTTTGCTATTGTGAGTAGTGCTGCAATAAACATACATGTGCATGTGTCTTTATAGTAGAATGATTCATAACTCTTTGGGTATATACCCAGTAATGGGATTGCTGGGTGAAATGATATTTCTGGTTCTAGATCCTTGGGGAATTGACACACTGCCTTCCACAATGGTTTAACTAATTTACACTTCCACCAACATTGTAAAAGCGTTCCTATTTCTCCACATCCTCTCCAGCATCTGTTGTTTCCTGACTTTTTAATGATCGCCATTCTAACTGGTGTAAGATGGTATCTCATTGTTGTTTTGATTTGCATGATGAGCTTTTTTTCATATGTTTTTTGGCTGTATAAATTGACAAATGGGATCTAATTAAACTAAAAAGCATCTGCACAGCAAAAGAAACTATTATTAGAGTGAACAGGCAACCTACAGAATGGGAGAAAATTTTTGCAATCTATCCGTCTGACAAAGGGCTAATATCCAGAATCTACAAGGAACTTAAACAAATTTACAAGAAAAAAACAACCCCATCAAAAAGTGGATGAAGGATATGAACAGACACTTCTCAATGATCTGGACTTTCTATCATTCATGTTAAGGTGGTAGGGCCTCGAGTTGCAAGTCTGGCTGCCACTTACTGCTGTGTGACTTTGGGCAAAGCATTCCATCTGCAGTTTCCTCATGTGTAAAGTGGAGAAAAATATAACTACCTCACAGCAACATGGGGAAGGTTCAATGAAACAGCACTTAGCAAAGCAACTGGCTTCTAGATGCTGCTTAATACACATTTGGTTTCTTCCTACCTTAGCCCAGTTCCACATAGCCTGGGACTTGTCTCCTCATTACTGCAGGCTCCTGTCCGCACATCAAAGTAGAAAAGGAGCGCTGCTTTACTGTGTGACTTCCTTGTTGTAAACCAGAAACATGAAATGGGCCTCAAACAGAAATCCTGCTTTTAAAATAAGATAGCACCAACTTTTGTAGCTAGACATATAGCACACAAAATTATGTATTGGTTGGATCCCTTTGTTGTTTTACATATTTGGATGTGTCTTGAATGTGACTGTCTTCTCTCAATTCTTCTCCCAGGAAGAAGTAGAACTGGAGATATTTCTCCTGTGTTTCATATAACTTCTAACTTAATGTAATAGAAGCGTATTTTCCCCCAACTTTTAGAAACCAATCTTTTGTACATTATCAGTCCACCATATATTAGGTTATAATGTACAATTCCTCATTTATTTTAAAAGCAACCATTAAGCACCTTTGGTATGCTTGACCCTGTGGGTCACTGATTCTCATTTAAGAATCATACAAGGTTTACTTTTGAGCACAATCAGAAAATACCAAATGGAGCTTCATTCTGCAAACTGGATATGAAAACATTTACATGAACCTTCAAATTTGTGGCAGATTTAGTTATTGAAATTAAACAGCCATTAATTGACCTTTTCCCTTGATAGAGCCTATCTATCTTAATAGTTCATGATATGTTATTTTATTTTTCACTTAGCACATTCATATATTTTATAAGTTAAACTTTGTAAAGCATAAGACTAATATTAGATATTATATATTTTAAAATTCATATTGTAAGTGAAAATAAAACTAATATATGGGGATGCCAGCTCAGAGACAACAACTCATTATTTCCAGCAAACATTTATTTATATATGTTTATTGATCCCTTCCAAAGCATGGGTACTTAGAGGAAGTTTTTTTGTTGTTGTTTGAGGGTGTCATTAGACAGGTCCTTTAATCAAAGGGATGGGGGAGATATATTCATGTCTACATGAACATACTATAACATAATATTAAAACATACTACAACAGTAATACTAAAACACAGATTTTATCTGAGACATGAAGTCTTCTGTTTAACAAGACTCTCTGACTGAGGGATGAGGAAGCCTGGAGTCACTTTTGTGGGACAAGGGCTGGTCCTTCCTCTCCCACAGGAAAGCCTGCTGGAGAGGAAGGCAGGGCCCAGAATGGGACTGAGACCCACCTGGTGCTGCCAGGAATTGTGGAGGAGACTTAGACAATACCCAACGAGGCAACTGAACAAGGAGAGGTCAGTGGGCGCTTTAGAGACCCCAAACCTAGAGACTTTGGACAGCACCTCTCTCTAGGCAGGGTGCCTTGTTTACTCTGTTTGATTTCCTACCCAGACATTTCCCCCCAGAAATTCTCACTGTGTTGTCTTTGCTTGGCCAGGTGTGATTGTAGAGAGCAGGAGGAGGACTCTCAAGGACCACAGGGGACAGTGGCACTGTGACCAGAGAAGATGAGAATAATCTTGTGAAATCCACCCCCAAGTGGTCTCTCTACGTTTTCCTAGACATGTGTTTGTTAGAGCACGGTTACCCAGGGAGGGCCTGAAAGTGGTGCGCCAGCCATAGTGAATTATCATAAGCAGAGGAAGCAGAGTCTGAAAATTATGTGATTAAAGCTGTCACTAACCTCAGTGGATTAGTTTTCATTCTTTCACTCAGGTATTTTTACAAAATAGATAACGTTCCTTCCTCAGATACTTTTGCTCGCAAGAGTAGACTTAATTTTTTATTAATTTTTCCCTAGATTGCAACAAAGTGACAAAAGGATGGTTATAAGATTGTAAAAGGAGAGATCACTGCTTCATTTTAATATGGGGAAGCTTAGGACTTGGGACATTGAGCATGGCTATTTAACCAGTGGCAGGGAATGTGCACTCTGGCAAATGCAGGGAGGAGTGACATCATGAGTGTACTTGGTGGCTGGACAAGGTGCCCACAAGTGAAAACGTGGATTCCATTTGGCCTGGCTTGAATTACAAGTAAAAGCATTGCTCCTGGTACAATTCACGCCCACCCACCACTAGATTTTAATATTGTTCCAGACATTCCGGGAGAAACTATTAGAAAGGCTCTCTCCACCTGATTCATCTCTCTGTCCCCTCCTGGGATCCCTCTGCTCCTCCAGATAAGAAACTTCCTCCCCCAACCTTATTCCACAGCAAAATCTGCCCCTCCTTCATTTCCTGTCCCATTTCTATGGGACTCTATTAAGATATTATTGACTCAAGTGCTCATGCTGAATACAGAGATTTCTTCATAAATATGGTTTTCATTTTAACAGGCTATTTCTAACAATCAGAAAAACTTTCAGATCCAGAGAAATGCGGCACCCTGCCAAGGAGTGGAGACCCACCCAGTCATCCTTCAAACTCACCATGTAGGTGGCCACCCACTCTGTCTGACCAGAATTATCAGACTTTCAGGGCTCATGGGACTTGGAGAACATGGACCATCAGCCCCAGCCCTGGCTGTGGCTTGGAAACCTGTGTGGATCTGTGGCTAAACAGGTTGCTGGTTACAACTCTGTGCTCAGACTGGTGGAAGGGAGGTATCCAGAAGAAGCTGGCAGGAAGGGATTTTTCCTCCCATGATTTCAGAGGACATTTTACTGTGGAAGACAGGATGAGTGAAAGGGAAGAATTCATGCAGAACCTCTTTGCTCCCAGGGCCCGGCTCCCTAAGCATTCCTTGTGACAACTCACCAAGGTTGACTGGCTTTGCTCAGACCCCTGAGCTTCTCTATTCATTCCACACAGAACACCCTCAGATACTGGCTGGGCTTCACAGTGCTGCCCAGAGGAGGACATGTCAGCCAATCAGCAGGAAAGATGCTCATTTCTTGTTGAAAAAGTCCCAAATTGTAACTTAACAGGGTGATCTCTCTCTCACTCTCTCTCTCTCTTTTTTTTTTTAATTTCCAGAATGTGTTTTTCCCCTAGAGTCCTTGAGCACAGACCTGCGGTTTTCTCTCTCCTGGTTTTACAGTCTATCTGCCTCAAGCCAAGAGACTTGGCTCTGCTCCCCCCTGACTCAGAGTCTCGGCTGGTAGCTGAACCCAGGAAGCCCTGGCCCCACGTCTCTCCCTGGAACCACCAGACCACACAGCCTCCTGTGCTCAACCCTTTGGCTGGGTGTCCTGCCTCCTCTTTGTTTGGAAAGAGATGTCTTACGTAACTCCACAACCTTCTAAAGGCTCCATTGTCTTCCACTTGGGAGAGCTCAAAACAACCCATTAGTGACTTATGACTTATCACAAAGAGAATCTATTGCCCACATATCCACAGCCCCCATGGAGCTAGCCTCACCTATCTTACTTAGATCAATAATCAACAATGAGACTTAATGACTTGTGGTCTTTGGGAAATTATAAGTTCAGTACAAGGTGCAGGAAATACAAAGGCTAGTTCATCTATAGGTCACGGTACTTCGCCCAGGCAGCACATGAAAGTCATTTGTAATTCAAGATTGAGACAGGCATAAACAATTCTGATCTGATTATTCTTTTACTAATCTGATTTTGATAAACAGCTGATGAAAATGGAAGGTGTCTGGTCATCAGAGGAGAGATACTCAGGCAGTGAAATAAGTTTTCCTTATCTCACTGGATAGGGATTTATTTCAAGGCTCCTATTAATAGCCCCTAATGCCAAGAACTGTGATCGCTGCCCTGGACTGCAAGAGCCTTCTGAGCAAAATGACAGAAACCCATTGGGTAGGGCATTCTCCTTCATTTTTATTTTCTATAAGTCTCTGATTAGCCCTGTTGGGAATTCTAGTAATTATTTTAAGCTGGCACCTTTAGGAAAAAAAATATATCTCTTAGGATTTAATTAAAAATGAAAAGAACCTCTGCATGATGTTGCCAAGGAGCTTTCACTGTTTAAGGTGGGGTGTAGACCAGGAAGAATAAAACACTCTGCACTAGGTGACATTTCCATCTGGTTCTGCTGCCAGAGCAGCCCTGGGGAGAGGAGCAGGAGAAAGAGAGGGGACAGCCTGCTCCAGCCTGCTCTCTCCTCCCCATGGACCTCATGGTCTTTCAAGGATCCTGCAAGTCCTTTGCTTCTTTCTTTCTGCAGCAGACATTTTCTCATCTGGGACCAGCTATGTGACTTGTTTCAGGTGGAGGCACATTTCTTTCCCTGCTCAGTGACATGTGAGTCCTCGACAAGCTTTCAGAAGGGATTCCTGAACTTGGTGAGGCACAGCCCTCTCCAACTGCCTTGTGGAGCATCCCTGGGCAGCATGCAGAGGAGAGGTGAGAGGCTGCCTACCCGTGCTGTGGCTGTCCCTCCCACCTCCCTTAAAGCCTCCACGTCAGGCGCCAGTCCACCAGGTTCACTGCGTGCATCTTTGGACAGCAGTTGCAAAACTGAGAGTTCCAGAAATTGTGCTACACTCAGTTTTGTGTATACATGTGGCTCAGGTCTCATCATCTTCAGCTCATCACATTTCAAAATGCTGAGAGTAGAAAGCGTTTCTCATTCTGGCTTTAAAAGAGAGATTTCCCCAAGGATCACACCTCTTCAGTCTTTGGGCCCAAGCTTCTTGAAGGAGCTACTTGCCTACTTTACAGGGCAAAATTTTAGAACACATAATTTGAAAACCCCACCAACTTTAATGTGAAAAAAAAAAAATCAATTCCTTTTGATTTATTATCCCCAGGAGACAAGGTGAAGTTCAAGTCCACCTCAGATAAGAAAATGAAATTGCTTCCGTTTTATGTGAATACAATCTGCATCCAAAATGGGTGGGGCTACCTATACTGCAAGGACAAGAACTCAAAAGGCAGTGCTCGAAATGCTCATGGAAGTGTCATTACAAATCCATTTTCTTTTTCAACACTAACTGACTAGGAATAATTTAGAATAGACATTAGGATGAAAGTCCTAACTATGAATCTGTAAGAAATGGAAGAAATTACCAAGGGATCTTTGTATAAGCCCTATTTCTGCAGTATATTAAGTAAATCTTCTCTGAAGATTATTAATAAAATAGTATAAAACACTCTTTCTAGAGTGTCTTCATTCAAATGCTACCCAAAAATTATAAGGAAAAAAGTTTTCCAACTGGAAATTATGGGAATTTACCAAGCCAATAGAGACTTCTAATAGAGTCATTTTCCCTTCTTATTTGTCCCCTGGCCTCTTCTGGCTCTAAAAATACTTCTAGTTTAGGAAATTTTAGAGACAAGATCAAAAATGGGGAAGTTAAAGGACTGAAGCAAGGAGTAGAATTGAAATATCAATACATTATCACTTCAAGATCACAATAACAATAAAACTTAAAGCAAAAACTCCTTAAGAATCGTCTACATAGTTTAAGTACATAAAAATAACATGCAAACCATGCTCTTTAACTAGACTTGAGAAATCCCACGGAGTAATATTTTAAAGAGCTCTTGAATTAGTATTTATATGTATCGGAGAGGCCACATATTATGGTCACTAAGAGAATAGTTCTGGAACAAGTTTGCCTGTGTTTGAATTCCAGTGAGGCCTCAGACAAGCCACCAAATCTGTTTGTGCCTCCTTGCCTCAGTTTCCTCATCTGAAGGATAATAAACAGGGGCTTGTGAAGAATGAATGATAATTATTTTATATAATAGATATAGAACAATGCTATGCAAGTGTTTGATGATGGTGGTGATGATGATGGTGATGGTGAGAAACTGTCAATAAATAGAAATTCATAGGAATATCAGGAAATCAGGAAAATAACTGTAGCACCTAAAATTCCTATAGCAAAACACTTTGCAGAAACATAAGACAATAGTTTGTATCCGCTGGAGCCTAAGTACAAAACAGCAATCCCTCTGCCCTCTGCAAACATTAGAAAGTGCAACAGAGAAGATTTTCTTGTGTTTGTTCCCAAGCCATAATCTGTACTCCATGGGCAAACTGGGTCAGGCTTCCAAGTCCTGGCATCTAGGAATCCTGAGGCTCACTGACCTGGGAGAATGATGCTAGGGACAGAATAAGACTTTTAGAGCCCAGAGCCATCCCATTGGCCACTCCCCTACTTCCATAACTGCAGGTAACTTTAGATTATAAGAAATACCTTATACAACCTTTCAGGGAGTAAAAAAGTAACAAAAGCTTAGGGTAATGAGCAGTGTACTTTGGAAAGGAAAATCCCACCATCTTTGTTTTTGAGACTCTGGTAGGTTTTATGAATTAAGTGTTTGCACAGATATATATGACTACTTTCTTCAATGCAGCTGGCCAAGTTATTTTCTTCCTGCCCCTCCATTAAGCTCTGTCCCTGAGCCCTGCCCAGCACCAGTAGTAACTCAGGTTCCATATAAGAGCTGGACTTTGGCAAAGCCCTGGTAGGGACTTTTGTGTGACAGTAGGAAGGTGCAGAGCAAACTGGTTTCCTCAAATTTTATAGATTCATGTCCAGACAGTCAAGGTCAGCCCTGGAATCCAAGAAACAACACCTTCAGGGGCCTTTTCCAAAGCTGTTCTTACCAGGCCACATTGCCTGCCCCAGGCTCCATGGGGTGGTGTCAGAAGTGGGCTTAAAATGCAAGGCTATTCTGTTCAAACCTAAATGTAGAGTTCTATAAATTGTCATTTTGGGTACCCTTAAGAGCTAAGATAGATGAGATTTAGATTTGTAGCCTCCTGGTGAATTAAAAATAGACATGAAATATAGACAGGACCAAACAATCTTGCTGGGGGAGAGATGCCTTCCTGCCTTTGGGAGAAATGTCACAGGATCTGATCAGACCATGAACAAACACTCCAAGCCACAGTCATTGCTCCAAAAGTAGTGGATCTATGAGGTCAAAAGAAGGGCATAGCCAACACGACGCTTGACCCCAAGCCACCTCCCCTCCTACTCCAAGTTCACTCTTTCTCTGCTTTTCTTTCATGCAGAGGAAGAAGAAACAAAACTAGGGTGAGGGACCAAGGAGACGTCAGCATGGAAACCCTTGGATAGCTGCCCACAGAGCTTTGCATTCATTCCTCGTATAACACAAAAGAGTTTCTGGATGAAAAAGAGTTGAAGGTCAGAGTGAATGAACATGTGAGGTACTTAAAGATAGGCACTAAGGTTTTCACGCTGTGTTCTGGCAAACTTAGGATTTATTGAAGGTCATGGACTCTTTTGTAAGAGGAATTAGGCTTCAGGTGGGGTTTTTATGAAATTACTGGATTTTAGTGTACTTTTGAGGGATACTTCTCTTCTTCCACCCCCAGATTATACCCTCATCCACACTCTACCTCTGGGCATTGTTGTCCCAGTGCAGTCATGGCCCTTGACATTAGCAAAGGTGAGAAATCTTCTGCTCTTTAGTTTAGGTCTTGTTACTTAGAGTCAAATGTTACCTATTTATTATAATATATTAAAATCTTCTGCCCTTAATTTTAGGTCTTGTTACTTGTAGTCAAAAGTTATCTATTATACTTGTTTTCCTGTAATAAGGAAAAGTATGAAAAGGGAAAAGGAAATATCATTACAACCTCTTTTAGTTTACTCCCAATTCGATCACCTTTGCAGTTACTTCTTATCTTAAAATCACTATGTTAGGGCTGGACAGATTCCTTCCAGTCCAGCTTGTGTATTTTACAGAAAAGCAAACTGAGGCCAGATGAGGTTAGATGACTCGTTTAGGCTCACTCACCTCAACTCTTTTTCTTATTAACATAAACTCTTGGCTTAAAACTGGCATATGTTTTTCTCCCCCTCCTTTTCCCCCCTTTACTCTTTGTCTTATGATTTATCTTCTTTTTCCTATTTGATTGGGATCTGCAAATGTATAAACCCTAATTTCAACAGGTTTGAAACCCCTGCCCAGTATTCTCAAGGATATTAGGCAATAACTCATTATTTTTTCTTTTTTTCTGGGACAGGGCAAAATGTTGACATTTATTTTGCTAATATACCCAGGATTTTTCTTCTATATTTATTTTTTAGAATAAAAGAAGTAAATAAAATGGAAGTTACTCATATTCTCCGAGAATGAAGAAAGGGAAAAGGTGATGTGGGGGACCCAAGACCTATTTGAAGAAGGGTAGCTGTAAGCGTGACTAGAAAACAGTAAGGGGCAGACCAAACAGCCTCTTTCCTTAAGAATGAGCCCTTGGTGTTGATTATGTAACACTGGCGACTGCAATCCCCGAGGAAGCTGCCCGCCTGCCACAGTGTGGTTCAGTGGTTAAAAACAGACTTGAGACCAGTCATATTGCCTCGTGTCCAAGCCTAGGTTTTGCTACCATTTACTAGCTATATATATACGTGGACAAATTCCTCAACTACTCTATACCCAAGTTCGTTCCCTCATCCATAAAACGGGGGTAATAAGAGCACCCATCTCATAGGGTCATTGTGAGGCATACATGGGTTTGTCTCTGTAATGCGCTGGGAAGAGTGCCTGGAACATTCTAAGGGCGCAATCTGTGCTTATCATTATCATTACCTGTTATCAACCCTGTTTCCCAGCTCATCTTTGAATCTGAAAATATGGGCTAGAGATGGAAGAGGAGGGGAATTATTTTATTATACTTGACTAGGTGCTCAGGAACACTAGAGTTACAGCTTGATGAGAGCGCGAGGAATCCTTTTTCCTGTACCTAAACTCAGCTGTAACCATGAAGGCATGCATGCTTGCAGTTAACACTGAAATAGAGAGCAGTTTCCAGAGTGTGCTTTCCTAGAGAAATCCCTGATAGGCTTCAGACTTTTACATTAAAGTCTAGTTTCTGGCTAATATAATGAGTCCTCTCTGAAACTAGCCTAGTATGCACTGTGCTTTCTCATTGTGTCATCAGATCTACAACAGGAAGTGGCGCTCCTGCCACCAAGTCTTCAGCAGTGGAATTGGGTTTTAGACTCTGTTGCTAATGCCCCTATTGCCAATAAGCATTCAATATTTCTGCTTAGCCTTCTTCTTGTGCCATTGGTGATGCCCTTCTCAAAGATGGGCTGGTCCTCCAGGGGAGATACATGCTGGGACTTCTAAAAAGCCCCAGGATTTCAGAGCCAGCCCCACTATGATGCATGAAAAGGGATAGTGGGCAAGTAATGGGACTTTCTGTTTTCCATCAGATCCTCAGTCCTTCCGGTTCCGTGTCAGTGCTTTTGCCTTCAGTGAGTTTGCAGTGGAAGTCTCAGGAGATATCACATAATTACTAGCACACAAGGAAGAAGTGGAAAGTAGAGAGGGAATCTAAAGACAATTTCCAATGGCAATTAATTGGCTTGACGCCAAAACCTTCTGAAGGCCGTTTTATGCTGGAAAGAAAAAGAGTGATCTGGGAGTCCCTGATCCTGCTAATGAAATCATGCGGCAGGAAAACCTTCCCATGTTTCTGATTTTTTTTTCTTTGTCTTTCCTACAACCACCAGTGCAAACACACAACACCCATAATGAATGGAGAACCTGGTTAATTGTGTAAACTCCTTCCAAAACAATCAGGTCTTAGCCCTCCCCACTGCATTTGAGAGAGCGACCAAATATGCAACTTAAAGCTAACACACATTGGACGTGGGAGTCCGTAGGTACAACAGAAATAAGCACCATCATCGGCCATGCCGCCGGAACAGTTAGAAACATTCTTCACCTGCTCAACCTGAAAAAAGGACCCGGCTCCAGCTTATCTTGGTAAGTGGCTAATGTGAAGTGAGCTCGGGGAAGCCTTCCATGGCCTCAGAACCATCTCCTGCACTCTGAGCAGTGCCCTTGGCAACACAACAGAAGACTGGAGGAAGGGGGCGAGGCCCACCCCAGGAGAAGGAAAGGACAGCATGAAACATGATGCAGCTGCTGAACTTTCTTTTCATTACCTTTAAATTATATCAATTTCTAGACTTTGCGATATCTACTGAAAAGAGAAAAGAGACTTAAAAATAATCTATCTGCTTTTAACCTAATTCAAATTGAGCAATAATGAAAGTAATTCTGCCTGTGCAAAGACTGGACCACCACTTTCACAGCTCCCTGCCTCCCAGTTCTGTGTGGCTAGGAGTTTCCATTTCAACTCTCCTGCTCTGAAGCAAGAAAAACACAGGCCTCACTGCTGTCGCCTCTGGCCCTGTGTTACCCCTTACCTGGAGTGACTCACCACATCAGCCCAGGGTGTGAGCGAGGGCAGGGCTTGTGTACCAAAGCTGGAGGAATGTGCACCATCTCTCCAGCTTCCTTAATCACCTGTGCCTGAAGGGCCTCTGTTAGAAATGCCCAGTACCTCCTGGATCATTAAATCATTGATGTGCTCCATAGTCCAAGTGGAATTGGGGGAAGAGGTGACCAAGATGTTGCTTGGTCAGCTGAGGTTGGAGTGGTAGAGTGGGAACGTGGTGGGTAGAGGAGGAGGTGTTTGCGTCACCAACCCCCAAGCCTTTGTCAAGATCCTAGCACTCCAAGCCCTTCCTTGATCTTCTGCCATGAGGTATATTTTATTATCACTGGATCTATAGATCTTTGAGTCATCTGAGCTTCTCCTCTTGGTCACAGGATAAGAAATGAGGGCAAGAGGGAAAGGAAATGTAAAAGCTTTAATATACCTATTTTGTGCTAGTCATTGTTCTAGGAGCTGGATATATAGGACCAATAAAACAGACAAGCTCACTACATCCAGAAGGAGAGACAGACAATGAAAAGACAAATAAATAGAACATTTTAGATAGTGGGCAAGTGCTATGAAGAGGGTGCTCTTACAGAAGAGAGAAAAGAGGTAGGGCAATATTGGGAAGGATGGTGAGGGAAGGACATGCCATTTGATCCTTAACCTGAATAATAAATGATAGCCAGCCAACAATATGGGGAAAAAGCATTATAGGTAGAAGGAACGGCAAATGCCAATCCCAGGAATGAGGCTGGGCAATCAGAGCAACAGAAAGAAGACATGGGTCCCTTGATCAGAGTGTCTGTGGGGCCAGCTACTACCGCACGGGAATGAAGTGGTCAGTTGCTGTCAGATTGCAGAGGGGCTTACAAGCCACTGTAAGGAAGTTGGGAGCCATTGGAGTGTTTGCAAGCAGTAGAGTGACATGAAGTTTATCACCTGTGTTTCCCACTCACACATGTGACACACACATATATACCCAGACATAAACACAGGGAAGATATATGAGTGGGCAGAGACACAGTTTGAGTTGTCAAAATATTTTATGTTTTTATAATTGACTGTTACTACAAATTGGATATTTAGAAAGATGAACAATTTCTCAGAAGTATAAAAGGAAGGGCTAGATTAGAAAATAAGTTAAGTATTTCTTGGAAACCGTTTTATAAAATTAATACCTGAAATGAAACAGCACCATTCACACAGAAGTCATGCTGGACATTGACTTTTGAAAGCCAACATTTAAGACATTTCTTCGTGACCAGAACAGGGTCACAATAGGGAAGAAAAAGCTGGATGGCTTTTTCACTAAGCCCCTTGGACTTACATATCCATTAAGAGAAGGCACAACTTGGTTTAAGGAACAAAAAACCAGTAATTTACAAGTGGCGTGGTTTATCCATATTTACTCAGAGCACCAAGCCTCCCTCTGAGACCCAGAGGAGAACTTTCAGTTTTACCCTCGTGCTTAACCACAGTGGTCTCTCTTTGTCCAAAGACATTGCACCACCCTGGAAGACACAGTCAATGAAAGTTCTTGGAGCAAGTAAACGTTTTGGGGTGTTGACCTATGAAATTCCTTCAAATACTTCTTTTATTTTGACTGACTGACTTCCTTCCTTCCTTCCTTCCTTCCTTCTTTCCTCCCTCCCACCCTCCCTCTCTTCCTTCCTTCCATCTTTATTTTCTTTCAAAAACTTTAAACAGGAGAGGCGGACAAATCTGAAAGAAAAGGGAGGATTATTTTTATTACAAACTGTGAGTATATCCAATATGGCTAAAATTACATAATACTGTTCTTCTGAAAGGATGGAGTTTTAAAAACCTGGTATTCTCTGAGACTACAAGTAAACAGACTTCATAGCCACAGAGCTTCTTGTTGTTGAAAGCAAATATGTACAGAAGGCAAACAAATATCTTTTTTAAAAAACCAAAGTTAATGTTGAAGAAAATTATGATGGTCTTGAACAGAGTAGTTATTAGCAAAGAATACATGAAAACATGAATTACTTGTAGGTATATTCAGTTCATCTTATTTGCTCTTTACCAACTTAAAAGAAAGATATAATGAAACAAAATATTTTAAGAGTAAAAAACAGAAGTCAAATAGTAAATAAAATAGGGAGATCTACATAAAATAGGAGAATCTACTATAAACAAGACAAATAAAATACTTAACTCTGAAAAATACGGACACTTCCCATTATCATGTATTTTCCTTTCATAGTGTTTCCAGAGCTCCAAATAAATTAGATTTTAAAATTTCATTTTCACCTCAGATATATTTCCTTCATCTGAACAGACATTGGAAGCTAGCTCAATGATTAAAAATGTAAAAAATAATGGTAGACTGAAGTCCTACAACAATATCCGTGTTCCAATCCTTAGGATCCTGTAAATCAGTGGGCCCCAACCTTTTTGGCACCAGGGATCAGTTTTGTGGAAGACAGTTTTTCCATGGAGGGGGTAGAAGGGTCATGGTTTTGGGATGATTCTAACATACTATATTTATTGTGCACTTTATTTCTATTGTTATTACACTATAATAGATAATGAAATAATTATACCACTCAGCATAATGTAGAATCAGTGAGAGTGCTGAGCTTGTTTTCCTGCAACTAGATGGTCCCACCTGGGGGTGATGGGAGAGAGTGACAGATCATCAGGCATTAGATTCTCAAAAGGAGCACACAACCTAGATCCCTCACATGCACAGTTCACCATAAGGTTGGCGCTCCTATGAGAATCTAATGGTGCCACTGATCTGACATGAGGCAGAGCTCAGGCAGTAATGTGAGCAATGGGTAGCAGCTGTAAATACAGACGAAGCTTTGCTAGCTTGACTGCCGCTCACCTCCTTCTATGTGGCCTGGTTCCTAACAGGCCTAGGACCTGTACTGGTTTGTGGTCTGGGGGTTAGGGGCACCTGTAATGTTACCTTATGCTGTAAATGTTACCTTATATGGAAAAAAGGGACTTTGCAGACATGATTAAGTGAAGGATCTTGAAGTGGGGAGGTTATCCTGGACTACCCAGGAGGGCTCTAAGTGCAATCACATGTATCCTCATAAGAGAGACACAGAGGGAGTTTGACGCAGAAGAGGAGAAGGCAATCTGACCAGAGATTGGTGTGATGTGGCCACCAACCAAGGAATGCTGGCAGCCACCAGGAGCTGGAAGGGGCAAGAAGTGGATTTACCCCTAGAGGCTTTGGAAGATCTGCAGCCCTGTCAACTCACACCTGGTTTTCAGGGTGGTGAAATGAATTTCAGATTTGTGGACTATCAAACTACTACAGATAATTTCTGTTGTTTTTGGACATCCAGTTTGTGGTATTTGTTACAGCAATAGGAAATGCATACAAAAGCTATTCTGAATTAATGCTTACTGACACAGGAAGTGAAAAGGGTGGCGAGGGGGCAGAATTTTTAAAAAATGAGATAGCATGAAAATTATGTGCATTTCTACACCAAAGGAACAAACCCCAGTACTTGTTTCATTAGGTTTAGGGCATGTGTTTTTAAAGAAAAGCACATAATAGCTAGGTCATATTGGCTGGTAAGGTTTTAGTGCTAATCATATAGGAAGTGTTGACTTTTCACTTGTTGAAGGGACTACAAGCTCTGAAACCTTTTTTTTCTTTTTCCTTTTTTTTTTTTTTTTTTTTTGAGGCAGGGTCTCGCTCTCTTGCCAGGCTGTAGTGCAGTAGTGCAATCATGGCTCACTGCAGCCTCAACCTCCTTGGCTCAAGCTGTCTTCCCACCTCAGCCTCTCGAGTAGCTGGGACTACAGGTGCGTGTCATGATGCCAGGCTAACTTCTGTATTTTTTTGTAGAGATGAGGTCTTGCCATGTTGCCCAGGCTGGTCTTGAACTCATGAAGTCAAGCAATCTGACCACCTCAGCCTCCCAAAGTACTAGAATTATAGGCATGAGCCACTGCACCCACCTGAAATATTTTTTAAATAAGTCAACATAATACATGCAGATGATTAAAAAAAAATAGTGCAGGCAGATTTGGACTGAGCACTAATTGGCTAATTCTACGCTCCCAAACTTCCCAGCCCCACTCTTCATTGGAGGTAGTGCTTCTGATGGTTGTTTTCACAATTCCAAATAACATGATTATATCTCTATTATCAACTTTAGGTTGGGGGGAATTCCAATGACCTCTCTATTAAGAAAGATGAAGATTCAGCTCTGAGGTTTTCTAGCTGGATGCAGATTAAAATCACCTGAAGAGCTTTTAAAACATATCTATAACTTGTCCCCACCCCTATAAATTCTGACTTATTTTGTCTTGGGCGGGTTCTAAGTTATTAGTCATTTTTCAAGATATTCAGATGATTCTGCTGTGAAATCAAGGCTGAGAACTAACTTGGCTCGCATTCAACCCCTGAATTCCTTCCTTCCTTCCTCCTAACATTTACTAGTATTACATACTTTCTTCTTTTTTTGTCATTCTTACAAGTAGGTGTTTTTATGGTATTAATCTTTATTCAATTAATCTTTATTTTAGAAATATAGGCTGGGTGCGGTGGCTTATGCCTGTAATCCCAGCACTTTGGGAGGCCGAGGCAGGCAGATCACTTGAGGTCAGGAGATTGAGACCATCCTGGCCAAAATGGTGAAACCCTGTCTTTACTAAAAATACAAAAATTAGCTGGGCATGGTGGTGCGCACCTGTAGTCCCAGCTACTCGGGAGGCTGAAGCAGGAGAATTGCTTGAATTCAGGAGGTGGAGGTTGCAGTGAGCTGAGATCGCGCCACTGCACTCCAGCCTGGCGACAGAGTGATACTCTGTCTCAAAAAAAAAAAAAGAATATCATTAAATATCTATTTCTTGTCTGTAAACCTTGGATGCCATTTTCCTGATTCCTAACTGTAGTAGGCAGAATTCTAAGATGATCCCCCAAGTTTCTATCCCTTGATGTGCATACCTTGTGTAATCCTTTTCCTTTAAGTGTGGGCAGGGTCCGTTACTAATCAATTAAGTTTGAGTTAATCAACGGGAGGTGTCCTGGGTGGGCCTGACCTAATCAGGCGAGTCATTTAAAAGAAAGTGAAGCAACAGAGATGCTTTCCAGCTGGCCTGGAAGAAAGCAAACAGCCATGTCATGAACTGCCTCTGGAATATTCCATGAGGAACACCAATCTTACAACAACAAGGAGCTGAAAATCTACCACAGTCAGTGGGCTGGGAAGAGGGCCCCCACCTACGATTAGAGTGCAGCCCTGGCTGACTCCTTGATTGCAGCTTGGCAAGACATTGAGCAGAAAACCCAGCTGGTTCATGCCAAGACGTCTGACCCACGAAAACTAGGAGATAATGAGTGTTGTTTTAGGCTGCTAAGTTTGTGGTAATTTGTTATGTAGCAAGAGAAAGCTAAAATACTAGCCAAACAAGATGAAGATATCGTGACTCTTACTGTTCCCTTAATATCACTTCTCTGTTTCCTGAATCCTAGTTTCTATCCACTACACGTTTATTTTTATATTTTCAAGGATAATAATATTTACATTAGCCGGATGCGGTGTCTCACACCTATAATCCCAGCACATTGGGAGGCCAAGGCAGGCGGTTCACTTAAGGTCAGGAGTTCGAAACCAGCCTAGCCAACATGGTGAAGCCCTGTGTCTACTAAAAATACAAAAAAGTTAGCAGGGCGTGGTGGTGGGCAACTGTAATCCCAGCTACTAGGGAGGCTGAGGCAGGAGAATCTCTTGAACCTGGGAGGTGGAGGTTGCAGTGAGCAGAGATCATACCACTGCACTCCAGCCTGGGCGACATAGCAAGACTCCGTCTCAAAAAAAAAAAAATTTACATTCTGTTCTAAGATATGATAGTGCCATGGTTATGAGAAGGGTCTGTAGCAGACTGGCTTTGTTTGAACCTGGTTCTACTCACTTTAGCTGATTAAATTTGGTCAAGCAAGATACTCTATCTGTAGCTCAGTTTGTTCATCTGTATTTTACAGATGAAGAAAAATAGGTCCTACTTCATGGTGTTGTTGTGAGAAACAAATGAGTCCATGCATGTAAAGTGGTTAGAAGAGTGACTAGCCCATAATATTAATAGTAACTTAAGATTATGTTTATGCTTTTCATGATTGGACTATTAGTTTATTCTAAAACTTAAAAAGTAATAAATTGCGTTTACTTAAATGAGACTAAGTAAATTTCTTTATAGCAGTGCCAAATGGTGTGCTCATATTTAGTATCTTTATCTGCAGATCCATTGTCATGACTTCTGAGCTGTTTGAAAGAGAATGTTCTCAGAATCAAGGTAAAATGGATACTATTTTTTTCTTATACTTCATCAATCCTCAAAAATTTGCCATATTTTAGCTTATTTCAGATAGAACAATAACTTTTGTGTACAGATTTAAAATTTTATCTTCCTAACAAAAAATTATTTTATAATGCTTAAAAATCATCCAGTCTTTTAAGAATTCAAAAAATTCCAGGAATCTCCTCTCTCTCCGGAAATATCCCTCAGCTCCAATCTGGACTAGTTCTCTAAGCTGTGAAATGGCAGCCAACCTGAGATATTCTGGTAAATACTTGAACACTTTTTTTCTAGTGATCAGAAAAAAAAAAAAAAAGATAGTGGTATAAAGTACATTTTCCTGAAAACTTCTGTCAGTATGATAATCACAGATTGGAATAGTCTCATGAGGAAGTGGACCAGCTTTGAGGTCAAACACTCCTGAGTTCTAACCCCACCTCATCATTTCCTCACCAGGAGATCTTAGGCAAATAATGAACTTTTCAGAGCCTCAGTGTCATCTTTAGAATGATGATAACAGCACATGGCTGATAATTCTGAAGATGGCAAATTAAATGAGATAGTGAATGTAAGCCCTGTGCATGGTACCTGGTACATAGTAAATGCTTACTAAATGGGAGCTATAATCATTATTAGTCAATGACTGAAGCTAATCACCCTTTCAGCATTTACTTAACCCATTCAATAAGAATTATTTATTTTTAACTGGAATATAAAACACAAAAGAAAAAGCATACAAAATGCAAACATTCTGTTTAACCAATAATAGTAAAATGAACACATAGATGACAAATAAACAGGTTTAAAAAATCCATTGCTATCATCCCTCACTACCTCCCAACCCTTTACTTCTTCCCCATCAGAAATACTTCCTTGTACCTTAAGAGTGACAGTTATTTAATTCTGATTTTCTTAAACTTATATGGTAAATACTTCCATGCTATGTTTTTAGTTTTATTACCTAAAGATAAGCCATAGATGACTTATGAGTTGCCTAAGAAAGTTTGGTGTATTGATTTCATATTTATTGAGGGACATAGTGTGCAAAAACTGCACAGAAACTAATAAAGTGATATACTGTTTGCTCTTCAGCAGCTTATAGTGATGAAAAATAAAGCCATGCTCTGTTTCCAGCTTGTCTGATTCCCTTTTATGACATTTTCTTATGGAGCATACCAATATTTACTGAAAGCAAAAGTACGATTAGAAATTGTTCTTTTTAGAACTGTTTTCAAAGCCAACTTTGTGCTCACATCCCATGGCATGAAGAGAGAGGGAAATGGAAAGGGGCTTAACATTTATTTAGTACCTGCTACATGCTCAGCAATGTGCTAAAGTTTTTTTCCATTTTACTTGTTTGTTAACAACCATCTAATACGGTGGATATGATAAAGGAGAAAAAAATAGGTTTCTCTCTACCCTTAATAATTCTTAACTGGAACTCTCCATAACAAAATATACAGATTAACAAGACAAAAACAAACAGAAGCTTACTAACATGTATATCTCATATATACATTGGAGAAATCCAGATAAATGAGTAAATAAATCTCTAGAGTAGATCTCAAAGAAAGAGACTACTCCTGTGTCTTTAGTTTCTCTAAATAACCAGCTCAAAATAATCAATTTTCCAAATAGGCATATTTTGGGGGCTACAGTCATATTTTGGGGTCATGTGTCCTGAACCCCACCAATATCATTAACCCTATTTAACTTGTGAGGAAATTGAGATAATGAATAGAAAGTTGATACAATACAATCTTAAAAATGGTAATGGTAATTGGTGAGACCTCCATGTCACTACATCAGAAAAGTATAATAATTATAAATGTAAATGCACCTAACAATAGAGCCCCAACATGCATGAAAAAAATCTAATAGAATTAAAATAGAATTAGAAAACTCAACAATTATAGTTGGAGATTTCAATACCATTCTCAATAATTAATAGAAATGTTGAACAAAAAATTATCAGAAATATAGAAAACCTTATACTATCAACTAACTCAACCCAAGTGGCATATAGAAACATTCTATCCAACAACTGCGAATACACATTCTTTTCAAGCACACATGGTTAGACCATAATAGGCCATATGCTTGGCCCTAAAACAAGTCTCAATAAACTTAAGAGAATTAAGATTATACAAAGTATGCTCTCCAATCACAACAAAATTAGAAATCAACAACAAAAAGAAATCTCAGAAATTCCTAAATATTGGAAAATTACATAACATGCTTCTAAATAACTCATGGTTCAAAGAAGAAATCACAACGAAAATTAGAAAATATTTTAGCCAAAATATGCCAAAATTAAAGCAGTGCTTAGAGGCAAATTTATAGTTTTAAATGCCTGTATCAAGAAAGAAGAAAGCTGCAAATCAATAACCTAAGTTTTCACTTAAAGAAACTAAAAAATGAAAGGCAGTTGTGTTTTCTTTTAGTAATCAAGAAAACTGACAAACTATCAGCTAGACTGAACAAGAAAAAAAGAGAGAAGACACAAATTAACAGGTGAGGCCAAGATGGCTGACTAGAATTAGCGCCGCTTGGAGGTTCCCATAAAAAAAAAAAAACATGATAAGCATGTGAATCCTTCACCAGCAACCGAGGTATCCAGGTTCTCTCATCAAAATTGACTACAAGGCTGGCATGACCCATGGAGAGAAGGAGGAGCAGTGTGGTGCCACTTGAGACCCACATGGGGAAGAGGAACCCCCAACCCTAGTCAAGGGAGGTGGCAAGAGAGCTCATACCCAGCTGGGGAAACTGCTTTTTCCATGGAGCTGCACAACCCACAGATTGGAAGATCCCACTTGCAAACCCACACCTTTGGGGCCTAGTGTCCCAACCCTGGAATGCACAGATTCTTACAGCTTCTCAGCTGGAATCTGCTTAAGCCTACCAAATTCCCAGGGGAAGGGGTGACCATCACCAGATGGGGCTGCCTGCTGTCTAAGCCCTTTGAGCTTGGGGGAGGAGCAACAACCAGCACTGGGACTGGGAACTGCCTAACATGCTAAGCTCCCTGGGCAGGTGAAGGGCAGCACCCATTTCTATAGCTCCAGGCTGCGCTTTTCTCCTGCTGGAGCCAGGGAGGCTGGATGGCTTGTTCCCAGGACTTGTCCCTACAGTCCAACACATGGACTGTGGCAGTCTGTGGCCAGAGTGCCTCTTCAGGTCTAACCTTAACCCATCCTTTCTCAGTGGGTGGGGCTTCCCTGCAAGATCTCCAATAACTCTAGCCAGAGGCTCAGGGACAGAATTCAGATCTCCCTAGGCCTGAATCCCTAGCGGGAGGGGTTGTAGATCGGTCAGGGTGGTGGGAAAATTGTAGAAAGATGCAAACCTTCTTGGAAGGCTGGAAGGTTTTGCAAAAGCTTCAGAAGAGGGTTTGGCTGAAGGCAGCTGAATTATCTCAGAGTAGATAACAAGGAAGTGTAAGGGACTTGATCTAGATAAGTTAGTTTACTTAGGCCTCAGGCCTCAGAACTGACTACTCTCTGGGGGCAGGGGTGACCATGTGAATTGCCCACAAGTGTGTTGACTCAAGGCCTTTGTCATTAAATCTATACTGAATAAATGCCCGCAGCGCCAGCTGGTTGAGATGCGGCTGCTGACTGTTTACAGCACCCTCATCAGGGTCTGTGGGTGGCCAGGTCCCCTAGCCCACTCTTTCACTGGATATCTATGTCTGAGTGCTCTGTTCATCTGTCATTCGGCCAAGGTCTGTGGGTTGGACCTGGAAAGGGGTGGCCAAAGTCTTTGTGGACCAGCTGACTTAGCCTCTCCTCCTGGTAGTTCTGAGGAATCTGGGCAGCCCAAATGAGTGGGCTCCCCCCCAGCAAAACACACCCTCTCCACCAAGGGACAAAGAGCTTTGTTAAATGGGTCCTGGTCCCCATGCCACCCAACTGGATGAGACCCTCCAACAGGGGTTTTCAGACACCCTATATAGGAGTGATCCTACTGGCATCAGATTGGGGTCCCTCGAGGTCAGAGGTCCCAGAAGAAGGAGAAGGCACTCACCTTTGCTGCTCTCCAGCCTCCTTGAGTAACATCTCCAGGCATGGGAGTGAATCAGATGAATAAGGCCTGAAGTGAACCCCCAGTAAACTGCAGCAGCCCTACAGAAGACGGACCTGACTATTGAAAGAAAAACAAACAAGCAGAAGGTGACAACAGCAGCAGCAACAACAACAACAACAAAAAGGCCCCCACAAAAATCCCATCCAAGGGTCAGCAGCCTCAAAGACTGAAACTAGACAAACTCACGAAGCTGAGAAAGAATCAACATAAAAATTCTGAAAACCCAAAAGGCCAGACTGCCTCTTCTCCTCCAAATGATTGCAGTATCTCTCCATCAAGGGTGCAGAACTGGACGGAGGATCAGATGGATGAATTGACAGATGTAGGCCTCAGAAGATGAGTAATAAAAAACTATGATGAACTAAAGGAGCATGTTCTAACCCAATACAAAGAAGGTAAGAACCTTGATGAAAGTTTAGAGGAATTGCTAACAAGAATAACCAGTTTAGAGAGAAACATAAATGATCTGATGGAGCTGAAAAACACAGCATGAGAACTTCGTGAAGCTTACACAAGTATCAACAGCCGAATCCACTAAGTGGAAGAAAGGATATCAGAGTTTGAAGACAACCTTACTGAAATAAGACATGCAGACAAGAATAGAGAAAAAAGAATTAAAAGGAATGGAGAAAGCCTCCAAGAAACATGGGACTTTATAAAAAGACTGAACCTACGATTGGTTGGAGTACCAGAGGAGATGGGAGGAATGGAAACAAGCTGGAAAACACACTTCAGGATATTACCCTGGAGAACTTCCCCAACCTAGCAACACAGGCCAAAATGCAAATTCAGGAAATACAGAGAACACCATTGAGATACTCCACGAGACACATAATAATGAGATTCTCCAAGGTCAAAATGAGGGAAAAACTAAGGGCAGCCAGAGGGAAAGGCCAGGCCACCTACAAAGGGAAGCCCAACAAACAAACAGTGGACCTCTCAGCAGAAACCCTCAAGCCATAAGAGATTGGGGTATCAATATTCAACATTCTTAAAGAAAAGAATTTACAACCCAGAATTTCATATCCAGCCAAACTAAGCTTCATAAGCAAAGGAGAAATAAAATCCTTTCCAGACAAGCAAATGCTGAGGATTTTGTTACCACCAGGCCTGCCTTGCAAGAGCTCCTGAAAGAAGCACTAAATATGGAAAGGAAAAGCTGGTATTAGCCACTGCAAAAACACAAAATATAAAGACCAATGACACTATGAAGAAGCTGCATCAACTAGTGTGCAAAATAACCAAACAACATCATGACGACACGATCAAATTCACACATAACAATATCAACCTTAAATGTAAATGGGCTAAATGCCCAAATTAAAGACACAGACTGGCAAATTGGATTAAAGAGTCAAGACCCATCAGTGTGCTGTATTCAGCAGACCCATCTTACATGCAAAGACTCACACAGGCTCAAAATAAAGGGAGGGAGGAAAATTTAACAAGCAAATGGAAAGCAAAAAAAGCAGGGGTTGCAATCCTAGTCTCTGACAAAACAGACTTTAAACCAACAAAGATCAAAAAAGACGAAGAAGGGCATTACGTAATGGTAAAGGGATCAATGCAACAAGAAGAGCTAACTATTCTGAATATAAATGCATCCAATACAGCAGCACCCAGATTCATAAAACAGGTTCTTAGAGACCAACAAAGAGACAGACTCCCACACAATAATAGTGGGAGACTTTAACACCCCACTGTCAGTATTAGATCAATGAGACAGGAAATTAACAAGGATATTCAGGACTTGAATGTCGCTCTGGATCATGTGGACCTACTAGATGTCTACAGAACTCTCTACCCCAAATCAACAGAATATACATTCTTCTCAGTGCCACATGACACTTATTCTAAAATAGACCACATAATTGGAAGTAAAACACTCCTCAGCAAATGCAAAAGAACTGAAATAATAACAATCAGTCTCTCGGACCACAGTGCAATCAAATTAGAATTCAGGATTAAGACACTCACTCAAAACCACATAATTTCATGGAAATTGAGCAACCTGCTCCTGAATGACTCCTGGGTAAATAATGAAATTAAGGCAGAAATCAAGAAGTTCTTTGAAACCAATGAAAACAAAGAGACAAGTACCAGAATCTCTGGGACACAGGTAAAGCAGTGTTAAGAGGGAAATTTATAGCACTAAATGCCTACATCAGAAAGCTAGAAAGATCTCAAACTGACACCCTAACATCACTATTAAAAGACCTAGAAAGGCAAGAACAAATGAATCCAAAAGCTAGCAGAAGAGAAGAAATAAGCTAAGATCAGAGAATAATTGAAGGAGATAGAAACACGAAAAATCCTCCAAAAAATCAACGAATCCAGGAGCTGGGTTGTTTGTTAACAAACATGTTTGTTTGTTTGTTTGAGACGGAGTCTCATTCTGTCACCCAGGCTGGAGTGTAGTAGCATGATCTTGGCTTACCGCAACCTCGCCTCCTGAGTTCAAGCGATTCTCCTGCCTCAGCCTCCCGAGTAGCTGGGACTACAGGCGCAAGCCACCATGCCCAGCTAATTTTTTTGTATTTTTAGTAGAGACAGGGTTTCACTGTGTTAGCCAGGATGGTCTCAATCTCCTGATCTCGTGATCTGCCCGCCTTGGCCTCCCAAAATGCTGGGATTACAGGCATGAGCCACCGCGCCTGGCTGTTCTTTGTTTTTGTTTTTTTTTTAATTAACAAAATAGACCATTAGCTAGACTAATAAAGAGGAAGAAGGAGAAGAATCAAACAGAAACAATAAAAAATGATAAAGGGGATATCACACTGACCCCACAGAAATACAAACTACCATCAGAGAATACTATAAACACCTCTATGTAAATAAATTAGAAAATCTAGAACAAATGGATAAACTCCTGGACGCATACGCCCTACCAAGACTAAACCAGGAAGTAGCTGAATCCCTGAACAGAATAATAACAATCTCTGAAATTGAGGCAGTAATTAATAGCCTACCAACCAAAGAAAGCCCAGGACCAGATGGATTCACAGCTGAATTCTACCAGGAATACAAAGAGGAGCTGGTAACATTCCTTCTGAAACTATTCCAAACAATTGAAAAGGAGGGGCTTCTCCCTAACTCATTTTATGAAGACAGCATCATCCTGATACCAAAATTGGGAAGAGACACAACAAAAAAAGAAAACTTCAGGGCAATATCCCTGATGAACATTGATGCAAAAATCCTCAATAAAATACTGGCAAACTGAATCCAGCAGCACATCAAAAAACTTATCCACCATGATCAAGTCAGCTTCATCCCTGGGATTCAAGGCTGGTTCAACTTAGGCACATCAATAAAAGTAATCCATCACATAAATGGAACCAATGACAAAAACCACATGATTATCTCAATAGATGCACAAAAGGCCTTTGATAAACTTCAGCATCCCTTCCTGTTAAAAACTCTCAATAAACTAGGTATTGATGGAACATATCTCAAAATAATAAGAGCTATTGATGACAAACCCACAGCCAATATCATATTGAGTGGGCAAAAGCTGGGGGCATTCCCTTTGAAACTGGTATAAGACAAGGATGCCCTCTCTCACCACACCTATTCAACATCATAGTATTGGAAGTTCTGGCCAGGGTAATCAGGCAAGAGAAAGAAATAAAGCATATTCAAATAGGAATAGAGGAAGTAAAACTGTCTGTTTGCAGACAACATGATCCTATATCTAGAAAACCCCATTGTCTCGGCCCAAAAACTCCTTAAGCTGATAAGCAAATTTAGCAAAGTCTCAGGATACAAAATCAATGTGCAAAAATCACAAGCATTCCTATATACCAACAATAGAGACGCACAGAGCCAAATCATAATGAACTCCCATTCACAATCACTACAAAGACAATAAAATACCTAGGAATACACCTAACAAGGGATGTGAAGGACCTCTTCAAGGAGAACAACAAACTACTGCTCAAGGAAATAAGAGAGGACACAAACAAATGGAAAAACATTCCATCCTCATGGATAGGAAAAATCAAAATTATGAAAATTGCCATACTGCCCAAAGTAATTTATAGATTCAATGCTATACCCATCAAACTACCGTTGACATTCTTCACAGAATTAGAAAAAACTACTTTAAATTTCATATGGAATCAAAGAAGACCCTGTATAGCCAAGACAATTCTAAGCAAAAAGAACAAAGCTGGAGGCATCATGCTACCTGACTTCAGACTATACTACAAGGCGACAGTAACCAAAATAGCATGATACTGGTACCAAAACAGACATATAGACCAATGGAGTAGAACAGACACCTCAGAAATAACAGCACACATCTACAACCATCTAATCTTCAACAAACCTGACAAAAACAAGCAATGGGGAAAGGATCTCCTATTCAGTAAATGGTGCTGGGAAAACTGGCTAGCTATATGCAGAAAATAGAAACTGGACCCTTTCCTTACACCCTATACATTAACTCAAGATGGATTAAAGAGTTATATGTAAACCCCAAAACCATAAAAAACCCTAGAAGAAAACCTAGGCAATACCATTCAGGACACAGCTATAGGCAAAGACTTCATGAGAAAAATGTGAAAAGCAATTGCAAAAAAAGCCAAAATTGACAAATCGGATCTAATTAAACTAAAAAGCTTCTGCACAGCAAAATAAACTATCATTAGAGTGAACAGGCAACCTACAGAATGGGAGAAAATTTTGGCAATCTACCCATCTGAGAAGGGTCTAATATCCAGAATTTACAAGGAACTTAAATATATTTACAAGAAAAAGACAAACAACCCCATCAAAAAGCAGGCAAAAGATATGAACAGACACTTCTTAAAAGAAGACATTTATGCAGCTAATAAGCATGAAAAAAAGCTCAACATCACGGATAATCACAGAAATGTAAATAAAAACCACAATGAGATACCAAATCACACCAGTCAGAATGATGATTATTAAAACGTCAGGAAATAATAAATGCTGGTGAGGCTATGGAGAAATAGGAACGCTTTTACACTGTTGGTGGGAATGTAAATTAGTTCAATCATTGTGGAAGACAGTATGGAGATTCCTTAAGGATCTAGAACCAGAAATACCACTTGACCCAGCAATCCCATTACTGGGGATATACCCAAAGGAATATAAATCATTCTGCTATAAAGACACATGCACACATATGTTTATTGCAGCACTATTTACAACAGCAAAGACATGGAGCCAACCCAAATGCCCATCAATGATAGACTGGATAAAGAAAATATGGTACAGATATACCATGGCATACTATGCAGCCATAAAAAGGAATGAGATCATGGCCTTTGCAGGGATATGGATGAAGCTGGAAGCCATCATCCTTAGCAAACTAACACAGGAACAGAAAACCAAACACTGCATGCTCTCACTCATAAGTGGGAGTTGAACATAGAACACATGGGCACAGAGAGGGGAACAACACACACCAGGGCCTATTGGGGGGTGGGGGGTAAGGTGTGAGGGGAAGGAACTTAGAGGATGGGTCAATAGGTGCAGTAAACCACCAAGGCTCACATATACCTATGTAACAAACCTGCACATTCTGCCCATGTATCCTTTTTTTTTTAGAATAAATAAAGAAAAAAATTTAAAAAGACACAAATTACCAAAATAAAAAATCAAAGGATTGTAAGGGATATTATTAATAACTTTATTCCAATAACTTAGGAAACTTATATGAAAAGAACACATTTCCAAAAAGTCGCAATTAACACATTTGACCCAGGAAGAAATAGAAAATTTGAGTAGGCATATAATAAATAAATAAAGTAAATTAGTTATTAAAAATCCTCCCACAAAGACAAACCCAGGCCCAGATAGCTTTACTGGTGAATTCTATCTAATATTTAAAGACGTATTGTCAGTCCTTAACAAATTTGTTTAGGAAGTAAAGGAGGGAACACTTCCTAATTCATTCTATGAGACCAGTATTTCCCTAGTACCAAAGCCAAACAAAGACCTCACAAGAAAAGGAAACTATAGACAAATAGCCTTCATGAACACAGACATAATAATTACTACCACAATATTATCAAATTAAATCCAGCAACATATAAAATGAATTATACACCAAGACAAAGTATCCCAGAGTTATCAAAAGTTTATCCCAGGAATGCAAAGTTGCTTTCTGATCTGAAAATCAACCTAAAACAGGAAGGACAAATACCACAATGCCCATCTCGATAGATACATAAAAAGCATTTGACAAAATCTAATATCCATTTATGATTAAAAACTCTCAACAAATTAAGAATAAACAAGAAAAAACAAACAATTCCATGAAAAACAAAACAACCCCATTAAAAAGTGGGAAAAGGACATGAACAGGCACTTCTCAAAAGAAGACATTCATGCAGCCAACAAACATATGAAAAAAGCTCAACATCACTGATCATTTGATTGCAAATCAAAACCAGTGAGATACCATCTCACACCAGTCAGAATGGCGATTATTAAAAAGTCAAGAAACAACAGATGCTGGCAAGGTTGCAGAGAAATAGGAATGCTTTTACACTGTTTGTGGGAATGTAAATTAGTTCAGCCATTGTGGAAGATGGCATGGTGATTCCTCAAGGAACTAAAACCAGAAATACCATTTGACCCAGCAATCCCATTACTGGGGATATACCCAAAGGAATATAAATCATTCTATTACAAAGATATATGGGCACATATGTTCATTGCAGCACTATTCACAATAGCAAAGACATGGAATCAACCCAAATGCCCATCAATGACAGACTGGATAAAGAAAATGTGGTACATATACACCATGACATAGTATGCAGCCATAAAAAGGAATGAGATCATGTCCTTTGCAGGGACATGGGTGGAGCTGGAAACCATTGTCCTTAGCAAACTAACGCAGGAACAGAAAACAAGACACCCTATGTTCTCACTTATAAGTGGGAGCTGAACAATGAGAACACATGGGAAGGGGAACAACACACACTGGGTCCTGTTGGCGGGTGGGTTGCAGGGAAGGAGAGCATTAGGAAAAATAGCTAATGCATGCTGGGCTTAATACCTAGGTGATGGGTTGATAGGTGCAGCAAATCACCATGGCACATGTTTAGCTAAGTAAAAAATCTGCACATCCTGCACATGTGCCCTAGAACTTAAAAGAAAAATTAAAAGAAAAAACAAAAGAGTAGAAGGGAACTTCTTCAACTTGTGGATTTGGTGGCTTTTGTACAATTCTCTAAATTTACTACAATAATTTAAGTTTAGATTTACAATGGGTACATTTTATTATATGTAAATTACACATCTGTATAGCTATTCAAAAAATTAAACATGGCTAAATTTCCTCATTCTTATCAGTAGGAGCTGTTATGAGCAAGAAGTAGATCTTTATTATGTTCTCTTTGGAGCACAGCTCATTAGGATTGCTCAATCATTTTTTAGTCAATTACTCAACTGAGCTTTAAAAAACTAATCATGTTCCATGGACTATGACATTCAAGTAGCTACATGTCCTTGCCATACTAATTATCTTTTAACTACTCTTTTTTTTTTTTTTCCTAAAAGCAGCTTTTTGTACCTGCTTTCTCATCTCTGTGCCTTTGCATACACTGTACCCTTCAGCCACTACATGGTGCTTTTGGCCTGTGTAGCCTGGTTGCTGTCCAGAATGACTTCAGGGTAGTTTAAGAGAGGGAGACACAAGATGTGAACAATGTTAGATGGGTAAGTCAAAAGCTGGCAACGGTCTTTATCAGAAACAATTAGACAACTTTAACTCACACTCATAGGATAGATCTTTTCTCTCTCTCTCTCTCTTTCTCGGCAAAAATTGAGTATGAAGTATCTTATGGCTCAGAATTTTTCTGAAATGTGTGTTCCTTGGGCTGTGTGCACACAAAAGCCAACCTTATGAGGGAGCAAGTGGGTAGGTACACAGGCAATGGGGCTTCATGTATTAATTCTTCAACCAATATTTATTCAGTGTCTGCTCTGTCCCAAGTGCTGATCTGGGTATTGGAGACCCAGCACTGTACAAAACCAAGTCTCTGCCCTCATGGGGCATACATTGTATTGGGAGAGAAACAAACAATAAGCAAAGAGACACTGATATTTAAGCTGTGAGAGTTTTGGAAAGCCTTGAAAAGAGAAAAGGAGAATGTGGGAATGTGGAAGTGGCAGTTACAATTGGATAGGAGTGGCCAGCCAAGGCCTTCCTAACAAGATGACATTTGAATGTGTCTGAAGGAAATGAGGGAGGGAACTGTGCAGCTAACTTGGAAAAAAGCAACCCAGGCAGAGAGAACAGGAAATACAAAGGATTGTAGGCAGGAGGATTCTCGGCATATTCAAGCATGAAAAAGGAGGAAATGCATGTAGCTGTAGCACAGAATATAAGGGGTACATGGTAGAGATAAGTTCAAAGAAGCAGAGGTGATGTGGCTTGTAGATCATGAAGGACCTTGCAGGGCATTTTAAGGCCTTTGGATTTTAGTCTGAGTGAAGAAGGAGCTATTGAAGGACTTTGAGCAAAGAAGTGACATAATCTGACTTTTTAAATAAAGGGATTACTCTGGCTACTGTGTTGAGGTTGGCTATAGTAGGGTAGAGGTAGAAGTGGGGAGACCAGTTAAGATGCTATTGCAGTAATCCAGGTGAGAGGTGGTTGTGGCTTAGATCAGGGTGTTAGCAGTGAGAAGTGACCATGTTTTGTATATGTTTTTAAGGAAGAGCCAACAAGAGTAGCTGATGATTAGATACAGGGTGTGAGAAAGAAAGAGAAGGGTCAAAAATTAGTACTTACTTTAGTCATTTAACAAAAGTTTATCTAATACTAATTATATGCCAGGCACTGTTCCAGGTTCTTGACAAATATTGACTCAATCTTTGCAATAGCCCTATGCAATAGGTACTATTTCTTTATCCTCATTTTCCTGCCTTCAAGGTTTTGGCTCTGAGAAGCTAGGAGGATGGAGTTGTCATTTACTTAGAGAAGACAGTATAAAGAAGAGGTTCAAGGTGATATGTTAAGGCTGATGTTAATGTTGAGATGGCTGAAACAACTTCATGGAGATGTCAAGTGGGCAGTTGGTTAAAGAAGTCTGGAGTTAAGGAGTGTGGTCTTGGCTGGAGACATACATTCAGTGGTCATCTATGTAAAGATGGTATTTGAAGATGAAACTGATGAGATCTCCAAGCGAGAACAGATACAGAAGAGGAGAGGACCAATGACCAAGCTTGAGGCCATGCAATATTTAAATATGGAGACAAACTATCAGCAAAGACAGAGAAATGGCCAAAGAGCTTGACATCCTGAAAGCCAAGTAAAGAAACTGTTTGAAGGAGGAGGAAGTGGGCAACTGTGTTAAATGCCATAATTGGTCACATAAGAAAGAATTGGGAATTTATATATTGGTTACTTCAAGAAACAGGAGGAGGAGAATAGAAGATGGGAGTGAAGATAACTCTTTTGAGGCATTTTCTGTAAAAAGAAGTAGAGAAATATGGCAGCAGCCAGAGAATAATATAGGAGCAGGAGGGTTGTTCTTTTTTTATTTTGTTTTAAGGATGAGTAAAATGGCACATTTGCATGCTGGTGGAAATGGTCCAGTAGAAAAGGAAAAAAAATATTGATACAGGAGAGAGAAAATTAAAGGATGTGAATGAGAAACTGAGAGAGGATGATCAAGTAGAGGGCTTAGACTTGGATAGAAGCAGAGACAAGTCATCCTCAGTTCGTGGAGAGAAAGTAGGATGTATGGAGACAGATGCCTCTTTGGAGGGAGATGTGGCTGACACTGGGACTCCCTCCAGATTGTTTCTATTTTTCAGTGGACTAGAAAAAAGGTCATAAGTTGAGAATGAAGATCAGAGGAAGCATTGGAATTTTGAGAAGAGAGGTGTGAAATGAATATCCAGAAAAATGATGACTGTCAGCCAAAGCATTTGCCCAACCACAGGTCACTCCATCCTTCCAGTCTCAGTACTTGGGTCTGGAAAAGTTTGGTTTTCAAGGGGTCCCTATTAGAATGCAAATATTTGGGAACCCAGGTGTTCTTCAGCTGATTTTCTTGATTAACACATTTGTGTCAGAGGATGTCTGAGCTGTGAGGCAGTGTGAGTCAGATCCCTCAGGTCCTGATGGTTTTACTTGATTGTTCCTAGGAAATCTAAATTTCACCTTCTCTTATCTATTTCAAGGAAAGTAATTTATTAAATGTAAACTGAATGTAATTCATTTGAAAAGATTTGCAAGATTTAATATAGTGAAATCCACATATCAGAAAAATAATTTATCAAGCCATTTTTCCCAATTTTTTCCTGTAGAAATCAGACGTAAGACCAAGCCTTTGGTGAGCATCAAGTAAGTGGTGGTAGGAGAGACATCTATTCTTACAAAGGAGGAAAGGGGTCTCCTACTGAAGGAGAGGCATTGTTTCAGACTAATAGTTACTTTACAATTATGGAGATTTTCTCTGTGTCTGTCAAAGCTAAGCATCATTGAATTAATACCCCATCCCAAATTAACAAATACTGAGCAGGAACATACTAACTTGTCCTGTCTTCTACTATTAGGGCCAAAGAATTTCTACAGAATTTTCTTTTTTTCTTTTTTAAATTAAATTAAATTAATTAATTTATTTATTTATTTATTTATTTATTTATTTATTTATTGAGATGGAGTCTTGTTCTATCTCCCAGGCTGGAGTGCGGTGGCACTGTTTCGGCTCACTGCACCCTCCACCTCCTGGATTCAAGCAATTCTCCTGCCTCAGCCTCCCGAGTAGCTGGGATTACAGGTGTCCGCCACCACGCCTGGCTAATTTTTGTATTTTCAGTAGAGACAGGGTTTCACCATGTTGACCAGGCTGGTCTCGAACTCCTGACCTCAAAGTGATCCACCCGCCTTGGCCTCCCAAAGTGCTGGGATTACAGGCATGAGCCATCGTGCCCAGCCCAGAATTTTCTTTTTTAAAAAGTGTGTTTTCTTACCTCTAGGATAGCAAAAAAATGCTTGACATAAGGCACATGGGCTCTGGCATATCGCTGAAGCTTGCTTTAGAATCCAAGTTCTCTTGCATTCTAACTTTGTGATACTGGGAAAATGTCCTAATCTCACTGAGACACTTTCCTCTTCTCTAAATCACAGGCTACTGATGAAGGTTGTTATGAAATTCAATGAAACAACATGTCATAGTAAGTGTGCAGGCCTGTGTCTGGCATATTGAAAGGGCTATCATTATGAATTGCGTGTTGCTAGACACTTAGGTGTTATCTTCCCTTATACCTGGAGAAGCATCTAGAGCTCCCTCTGAAGATTTCTGCTTAAACTTGTATTGGGAAATCCAGCTTTATACACACACACACATTTTATATATACATATATATATATATACACACACACACACACACACACAGTTTTTCACTATACTGTCACTCAAAACACTCAGTACTTCATTTCTGACCATTAAAATGTATGGGCTTTTTTTTCCCACATCAAGCAATTCTCTAATTCTCTGCAGATACCAACTGGGTGTCCTATAGTTCAATACAATCCTGATACCAATCCAAGTTAGCACAGACACCACAGGTTAAGGGTTCAGTCCCACCAGACTGCCCCCCACTTCAGATGCCAGTCATAAGAAGTAGGTCCCTATGTTACCCACAACTTCTGTTCCACTTGGCTACAAATCAGAAGTTCTCATGATCCTCCTCTTGGGTTCAATAATTTGCTACAGCTGCTTGCTCACAGACCCAAGAAAACAGTTTACTTACTAGATTACTGGTTGATTACAAAGGCTATATTAAAGGATACAACTGAACAGCCAGATACATAGAGCAAGGTATGGGAGATGTGGCATGGAGCTACATGCCCTCTCTGGGTGGACAGCCCTCCCAGCACCTCCAAGTGTTCAGCAACCAGGAAGCTCTGTGAACCCCAACCCTTTGAGTTTTTCTGGAGGCCTCATTACATAAGCATGATTGATCGTTGATCATTAATGATTAACTCAATCTCCCACCCCTTTTCCCTCCCCAGAGGTTGAGAGGTGGGGCTGAAAGTTGCAATCCTCTAATCACAAGGTTGGTTTCCCTGGCAACCAGCCTCCCATCCTTCAGGGCTTTCCAAAAGTCATCTCATTATTAAACTCAGGTGTGTTTGAAAGGAGCTTGTTATGAATAACAAAATATCTTTATTGCTATTATCAAGATTCCTGGCCAGAAACCAGATATGAAGATCAAAATATATATTTCCTATTACATCATAATATTACAATACACAACCCAAAGACCCACATACCACTAAAACAGGGAAATAAAAGAAGAGTTGGAAAGTGGGGAATGTACAGGCTATGTTTTTAATTATCTCCTTGGTAATATAAACACGTCAGAGACTGCTGTATATTTTGCTCATCTCTAGCTGGCCTAAGACTCTGGGAATCCTTAGCCAGTAGATGAGGAGGACATCTTTGTTTTACCATAATATTGTAAAAGTTCCAGAAGGGTGGGGACCATGTGTCTAACTGAACTCAGTAAAGCTGCTTAATAACTCATTAAATGAAAGGATAATAATAAAAAAAAATGTGTGCCTGTCCTCAGCAGTTGGGTTTCAAAGGACTGCAGCCACAAGGTCCATCTCACATGGCTTGGCCCCGGGAAGTGAGTGGGTGTGCTGGCGGCTGCACTTGAAGCTGGTTTTAATGATACCCTCCAACAACTGCATCCTTTGCTGATACAGCTGTTTCAATCTTGCAGCTGTTGTGCTCTTGCTTATATGTCACTGTTTAAAATGAGGATAGCAGGAAAAACTCTTGGGGCCACATATAGAACCCCCATGGGCAGAGTCCTCAAACTGGGATGTTCCGGAAGCAAGAGAGCCAAGGCTCTGTGTTATGCAGAAAGCCTGGGCTTCTGTGACCTCTGTGTATCAATCAGCCCAGATTCTAGACACTCTGTCCTGGATAGGGCCCCAGGATAGGCCCACTGGGCAAAGCACGAGCCGATAACTCAAACTGTTATCCGTGAACCTGACCAGGCGGGAGGGAGTCAGTGTGTGTAGTTTATAGGCCACAGCCATGAGGCCATATGTCTTTTACAGCCAGCTGGAGTGTCAGGCTGATCCCATGCTTGTCACCTGGCCCTTTTCTTCCCTGGCAAGTGACTGCTGATTCCTCTTGTAGGCCCTCCAGAATCTGGGACTATCAGTGCAGGTTGCAGGTTATGCTGTGCAAGGGTTTTTAGTTTCTTTATTTAGCCATGGAATCTCATCTCCCAACAAACTCTCAGGCCAAAGCCGGATATATAAAAACAGTTAGTTCTGGAAGTATTTGGCATGAAGTGGTAGTAGATGAACCAAAGCTGGCTATCTCTGCCACACCAAAATTCACTACACACACACACACACACACACACACACTCACAGACACTCATTGAGTTACCTCTATAGAATTCTTAGGACTCTAAGCAGAGGCAGTTAGAAAACCCCTGATAGTGCCATTTTTTTCATTTTTATAGATGAGAAAGCAACTCTAGGTCTTTCCTGCCTAATGTAGAAGCTACTAGTCCCAGGTAGCCACTGAGCATTTGAATGGCTAGTCTGAACCGGGGTGTGCTGTGGTTGTAAAACACATGCAGGATTTCAAAGACTTGGTACCAAAAAAAAAAGAATGTAAAAAATCTCATTAATACATTTTTTATTGAGGGCATGCTGAAGTAATAATAGTTTGGATAGATCAGGTCCAATAAAAAATACTATTAAAAGTAATCCCATTTGTTTTGTTTTACTTTTTAAAATATGACTATAAGAAAATTCAGAATTACGCAGTGGCGTACATTCATGACTTTCTAAATTATAATTGTATTGAACAGCAATGGTTTCTATTGTTTTGCTAAATGCCTTTTCAAGGCTATCTGGATCATTGGAGACAGGTCAGAACTCCTAACTAAGTGCTCTCTCCTTTCCACCATCCCCACATGATTCATTTACATGGAGAGGTAATTGACAGATAGAAGCTTACATTAACATCCTTGGGGAGTTTCCTTTAATTTAATGGGATAAGAGGAAAGAACTTGCAGACAAAGGTAAAGGTGGGGTAGGATTAGGCCCATGGATGATCTTCCTAATGACTTTTGTTATCTAGAGCATTGACTTAGAAGCACCAACTTAGAAACAAGAAGGGCTGAGTCTAGAGCCTTTGACAATTACTCTCTCTCCTTGCGTAAGTCACTAGACTTCCTGGGTCTCATTTTTCTTATCTGTAAAGTGAGGAGATAAGTTCACAGCACCCAAAGTCGTCTTCAGCTCTGGAATTCCATGACTCACCATTTTTGTCTTCACCCATATTCTTCAGTGCTAGCAAATACTTTTTGATATAGTGTTCCTGCATTTATTTCTTTTAACTTCTTGATCACCCTCTTCTCCTAAAACCCAACTTCAGCTAAGATAAGTAGGATTGGGAAGGGAAGATTATTTCGAAGACAACTGCAAGTCACTCCTCTTTACTCTTGACCCCAACAGCAGTGAAAGATGAGCTGTGTGCTCTTACCTCTAGCTCAGTAAAGGAGGACCAGGAGGAGGAAGACGGCAAGGAGGGAATGAAGGGGGAGGAAGCAGAGAGATGGGGAAAGAAGAGGAAAAAGATGAAGAAATAAGAAGAAAATGGGTTTTAGCAATGCATACCTGAAGGGATGATGAGCCTGGACTCTCTGGACTCCTAGATTATGAACTCCTGCAGTGGACCATGTCCTATTTTTTGGAGGCGTTGGGGGGAATTGTCTTACGCAGCACCCAAGCACACTGCTATGCAATGGACCACAGATAGGAAGCAAGCACTGCATTTGGCTCACTGAGTTTGTAGCCCCTGCCTTTTATAGCCAGCAAGTTGATAATAATTGTGAGAGTGAAGGCAGATGAAACACACAGTACTCAGAGTGAGATGTCAAACAACAAATTTACTGAGCTTTTTACCTTCCTTCTGAGCCCCTATGAAGCAGAAAACACCCAGACATTGTTTTAAGTTAGGGAGTTTCCAGCTTTGCAAGTGAACTCCCTGGCGGAGGGCCAGGCCTGCCGTCAGCTCGTGGGAGCGAGCAGCATTCTCGGGGTTGTGTTGGAAGTTCCAAGCGTATGATGCATTTATGGCAGGATGGAGCTGGTACCTATAGGTTTAGGGTTTAATTTTTGTTCTAGAACGTACTTCCTCTCTGAATTGCCGCATGTGCTGAGACGCTGGTTGTGCTGTTTCCTTCTGAAGCCCTCTCTGTTTTAAGTGTTGCCTCGAAAGGAATGATGAGGCGAGAAGCTTGTCTCAGGCCCCAACCACACCTGGCAGCCCTGAGGGGAGAGCAGTGTGAGGGGACATGGCTCTGTGGCCCACAGTAACCCATTGTCTTCCCTTCACGTGGGCTTCGCAGAGGGCAGAAGGGACTGGCACTGCTTTGAAAGGCAGTGTGAACTCAACCTCTCCCGCCCACACCAGGGACACCAACCTTTGGGGTTAGCTTAGCCAGCAACCAAAGAACATTTAATTAAAACATACTTTTTAGAAAGGAAGAAAAGAGGCCAACACAAAATAGCTATTTAAAATGCCAGATTTCTGGAAAATCAGAAGAGAGTAAAGCTGGAGCAAATTCTCCGGTGGTGGTGGTCAGGGGGTTGCAGTCAGGACTCCTTCAGGGCCATTATCCTGCTGCTTCTGGTGTCCAGTACCTGCCTCTCAGAAGACAGAACACAAAACCAAGCTCTACCAAAGCCAATAACCAAGTATCAAATACTGTGAATCAGGGTTCCTTTTGGAAGTGTCCACTGAGGCCCTCTCAGCCAGAACACAAAATTCATTTCCCTTAATATCCTGCAGGCATATGGATAAACTGCTCCTTTGGCAGTTTCTTAACTGAATGGGGGCTGATGGAGCCCAGCCAGGCTCCAGGTAAATGAGACTGTAAAGTGGGGCTCAAAGAAAATGTCCTCTGGGTTGCGCATGCTCTGTTGACACAGGGCTGGTTAAAATGTCCTGGAGTGGGAGGTCCAGGTCCAGGTCACTTCCTTACTAGTGCCTCAGGGAGACTCTCCCTTCTCACCAGGGCTTATGGTCCTTTGTATTTTTCTCACAGAACTGAGGATCCCAGCCCTCCCATCTCCATCCATGCTCAGGGATTGTAGTGGGGGAAGAAGGACCTCCCTTTCTGCGTGTCCCCTCACTTGTCTTCTGAGAGCTACCTGTAAAAGAGACAGGCTTTGAGCTACAAACAAAAGCCAAGCACTCCAAATCTAGGGAATTGCAGGGTCACCTTGTACATTACTCAACTTGGACTGCCGTAACAAAGTATTAATACAATAGACTGGGTGGCTTAAACAGCAGAAATTTATTTTCTCATGGTTCTAGATGTTAGAAGTCCAAGATCAAGGTGCTGGCAGAGTTGGTTTCTTTTGAAGCCTCTCTCCTCTGCTTGCAGATGGTTGTCTCTTCCCTTTATCTTCGCAGGGTCTTCCTTCTATGGTATCTTCTCTCTTTATAAGGACACCAATCGCCTTGGATTAGGGACCACCTTATGACCTCATTTTAACTCAATTACCCCTTCAAAGGCTCCGTCTTCAAATACATTTTGTAGTACTGTAACTCAAATGTGTAGTGCTGTAACTCAAATCTCTTCAAATATATTTTGTAGTACTGTACTCAACATGTGAGTTTTGGGAAGACACAATTCAGCCCATACACCATGTCTGTGACTTTCAAGAAGGCTGGGAACCATAGCAACACACCACATTTAAATCATCCAATAATGCCATTCCATTTCCTCTTCTTCCCCAAATGCCCCAGTTTTATTGGCCTTTCTGAGCTCCTTAGGCCAGTTTTCTCCAGGATTTCAGTTCTCTGTGGTGCTGAGGACATTCCCTGGAACATTTCCCTTGGGGACAGCAGCATTGCCAAGGTGGAGGCCAATGTGCTCCCTCACCCGCGACTCCTCCCTTGCTGGCCGTTCCCAGCTCAGCCAAAGCAGAAAGTGAGGCCCAGTTAGAGGGTTGTGGTCTTGCCCGAGGAGCCAGGGCTAGCAGACCTCCCAGTCCCCCAGGGGCAACGTTCAAAAAGATAGCCTTCTCCTCATCAGCTTGTACGTCCTGTTGTGTTTACAAGCAGGCCTTCTCTGCATGAAACAGGTTCCAGATAAGGATGTTCAGAATTTGTTTGGCTTCCCACCACTCCTGAAAAGTAATTGCCTGGTAGTGCAGGCTGGGAAAGAAGACAGGATTACTGAGCCCAGAGATGATCTCTTTTAACCCCTCTGTTTTTTTTTTTCAGATCAATTTAAAGTTACTTTTCCTACCCCTGAACCAGATCAACAACCATCCCCTTTACTCTGGGCTTTGCAATTCAACTCTATTTTCTATGATTGCAGTGCTGAGCTTATTAAACAAAAGCAGCTCTTGTGAATCCTCTCCCTAAGATGATCGTTCCTGGGTGGTCCTTCTTGGGTGGGTCCCTGGGCACAGAAACCCCAGGCCACGTTTCCTCCTCTGCTCAGCACGCTGGGCAGATTCTGCCTCCCGCAGCTCAGCTCTGGCTCATCAGGAGATAAGATCAGAGACACTACGGAAGGGCCAGGTTTTAACAAGGCAGAAAATACAAGCTATTCCAAACATGAGGCCTACTGTGCAAAAAACAAACCCCCTGGCTTTGGGGGCCCTCTCCTGGAGAGGGTTTCTCTGCTCATAAAGATTGGTATCAAGGGGTGAGGAGGGAGTCATGCCATCCCAGCAGGACCTCCAGTTGAGGGCTTCACTTTCAATTACCCAAGAGCAGCTGTAGACTGCTGCTTATGTAATGGGCTCTGCGCCTCCTTCTCGGGAGGAGGATGTGGAACCGTTTTGTGTTTGCTGAATAATGAGTCATGGTCAGAGTTAGGGAGCAGAAACAGTGACTCTCTCCCCTGCATTGCTTCATCCGGAACTTCTAGTAAAGAATGATAAGCCCTGAGTCAGTGCCCAGTGGGGCCTGCCCTGGAAGGGGAAGCACCACAGGAGGCTCTGAAATGCAGGCCCCACAGAGCCCACGCACCAGGCTGAAGGAGACTCTGGGGGCATTTGAAGCCCAGATGGGCTGCTTGCAAGAAGATTCACTGTTTATTTAGGCCTGTAGCTGAGCTGCCAGGGTTTTCCTATCTCGGGTAATCACAGCTCCTCCAGCCAGGATCCAGGAGTGTTGGGGTGAAGACTGAGGCTTCAAAATGAACAGAGCTTTCTCCAAACCTCATTTTAGCTCTAAGAAATGAAACAAGTCAGCCGTACACGGTGGCCCTGCTGTAATCCCAGCATTTTGGGAGGCTGAGGCGGGCGGATCACGAGGTCAGGAGTTTGAGACCAGACTGGCCAACATGGTGAAACACCATCTCTACTAAAGATACAAAAAAATTAGCCAGGCATGGTGGCGAGCGCCTATAATCCCAGCTACTCCGTAGGCTGAGGCAGGAGAATCACTTGAACCCAGGAGGCGGAGGTTGCAGTGAGTCAAGATTGCGCCATTGCACTCCAGCCTGGGTGACAGGGTGAGACTCCATCTTAAAAAAAAAAAAAAAGAAAGAACAAGTCTGAGGGGCGGGAGAAAGGGCACGTTTATATCAACTGAGAAGTCAAAAGGTTTGGTTTTAGCCAGAAAGGGAAAAAAAAGACACATTATTGCTCACATTCTGAGGTCAAACAAACAAACAAAACCCCTGAGAAAACAATATGAAGCCCTGTAAGAAAAGGCTTAATGGACCAGAAATTATTTGTTCCTCTTCATGTTTCTGAGAAATGTGGTTCAAACTTTATAGACTTTCCACATCAGCAAACAATTAATCATGGCTTGCACTCCCACCCCACCATGCTTTTCAACATACCTAGCAAGAAGCCACAGGCCATTTCTTGTCTTTCTGTAGCAAATCACAGACCAGATCTGGGTGCATAAGCGAGGTTTCCTATGGAGTTGGTGGGTTATTCTATGGTGGGTGCTGCAGGAAGTTCAGGGCAGCTTGCCTAATGCACAAGGAAGGGAACATTTCCTTCCCTGTGCAAGGCTTCAGGAGACTGACCCCTGCCTATGACAGCATAACACAAAGCTCAAGGTCAAACTGCCTGGGTTTGAATCCCAGCTCTGCTACGGGCCACCAGCTATGTGAGTCTGGCACACAACTGATTTCTCTGCTTGGATCCCTCATCTGTAAAATGAAGGCAACAAAAGCTGCTACCTCGTAGGGTGGTTGTGAAGACTAAAGTAAAACTTGTAAAGCATTTTGAGTGTTTTTCTTTTTCTCCATCATTATCTTTTAAGGTTAGCCTAATGTTCATCTCTAGTGACTTCTATCTAAAAATTTGTTAGTGAGACAGAATAGCATAAACAGGTCTTATGGCCAAGCAGATATGGCCTTTTTACAACTAGTAAAATTTTTCTTTAGAATTTTCATTTGCAAAATGGAGAAAATATAAATTTATAGTAAGGATTCGATAAAGTATATAAAGTCGTTTAGCTTAGAAAGTGCTCAATAAGCGGTACTTTGGTTATAATTCTCAATAGACCTGAATCTCTGCTCAAATAAGTTCCGTATTTCATTATCCCATGTAGCAAGATGAAATCCCAACACCCAGATCACAGACATCCCTTTAGAGTATTTCTACACATATTTATAATATAAAATTTCAGAGAGGAAGGACATTCATAAAATTCTAATTTAAAACAAAATCCTTAAGGCATCTAATTCTTAAGGCAAAACATTTTGTTGTTTGGTTGAGAAAAGGAAGGAGGAAAGATGAGGCAATTCTTTAGATTCTTTAAAGAAGGGCTCTTTCAGCTTGAGTTATATTGATTGACTTCCTGGCTTGAATCACTTCATGGTATTTTGTTCAACTCAGCTGACCATAGGAAGCAGATGACATACCTCCTCTGAGACTGGCTCTTTAGCACCAGATGGACAAGATAAGTGCTATAAGATGAGGGGCAGCCACATGGCTGACATCGTCATCGTCATCATCATCATCATCATCATCATATCATCCCATGTAGTGTCCACATGTAGGGAGGAGCACTTCTTGTGTGTTGAGCACAGCACTAAAGGACTTTACATATTAACTCAGTTTTATCCTTACAACAACCTTGTTGGCTTAATATTATTATCTCTATCTTTTTTATTTTTATTTATTTATTTATCTATTTAGAGACAGGGTCTCATTCTGTCACCCAGGCTGGAGTGCACTGGCATGATCATAGCTCACTGTAGCCTTGAACTCCTTGGCTCAAGCAATCCACCTGCCTCATTCTCCTGAGCTAGGACAATAGGCATGTGCCACCACATCTGGCTCTTTTTTGTTGTTGAGAAGGGCAGTGGGGGGTTCTTGCTATGTTGCCCAGGCTTGTCTCAAACTCCTGGCCTTAAGTTATCCTCCTGCATCGGCCTCCCAAAGTGCTGGGATTACAGGTGTGAGCCACCGCACCCAGGCTGTTTCCATCCTAAGAATGAGAAAATCATGTTCTTTAGAGTCTTTCAATCTGTTCATGGTTCTGCCGCTAAGTGGTACAGCAGGGGTGAGAATCCAGGATCCCAATCATGGAAGCTTTTTCCATTAGGCTTTATGGCCACTGCTGCTGAGGGTGGGGCCTTCCCGGAAGCCACTCTCACCCATGCCATTGTGGTTTATAAATCATGCTAAATGTCCCTGCTAAGCAGCCCAAGCTGACCTGCTGGGCTAGTGGCCCTGTCCCGGGAGCGCTCACAGGCAGTGTTGGGAGAGACTGCAACCATTGCTGACAGGCCGGAAGAGGCATTGCCATCCTCAGACTCTTGGTGCAACTGAGATGAACTTGACAGAAATGATTTGGTTCCACAGGAAAATATAATTCCCCCTAAGTTATTTTGTGGAGTCAGCGGTAAGGGAGGCAGGGGCGTCCCCAGTGTCTTGGTGCAGATATTGGTGCCCCCTGAGAGGGCAGACCTGATGGCCCGGACAAGTTTCCTTTCTTGAAACAACGTTAATTTGTCCAGTTTTGTGGCTTTTTTATGTGGAACAACATTAGCTCATCCAAGCTTGTGGTTTATTTGAAAACGAAATTCCGGTAAATCTTTCGCACCATCTGGCAGTGTGGTGATTGGCCGCGAGTTAGGAACAAGCCACTGAGCACACAAGAAAACAAAGCAGTGAAAACCCACCACCCCAAACAGAAAGGCTTTCTGTAAATTTTGTGCCTCAGCAACCCCACGGGGCTCTCTGAGGACGGGTCTCCCTGTGAGCAGAGCTGTAACCTGTCACTCTTGGGTGGGAATCTGTTTCCTTCAATAGCTAAGGCCTAGTGGAATTTCTTAGGGTAAGCTTTAGCCAGGGTCTTACATTCTTTCTTTAGACACAGATTAGCAAGGACCCTCTGAGGGCACATTCAGAGGATCTAGAAACCAACATGAGTGATCAGGAGAAAAGGGAAATTGAAACATCAGTGGTTGACTCTGGTGTGTGGAAAAATGAGTGGGCCTGAGTCCCCGAGGGACATAGAAGATGGCATTCTCACTTATCTGTCTGCCACACCCAAAAATCCTTCCCTGGTATTCATTGCACACATAATAAATGTTTATCCAGTGCCAGCTACATGCCTTGCACTGCTTTGGGCACAGGGGAGAGAACTATGAACAAGACAGTCAGAGCCCTTGCCTTTAAAGAGCTTATATCCTAATAGCATAGGCAATTTAAAACACATGATTTGAAATACTAATTTTGGCTGGGCACAATGGCTCATGCCTGTAATCCCAGCATTTTGAGAGGCTGAAGTGAGAGGATCGCTTGAGCTCAGGAGTTTGAGACCAGCCTGGGCAACAGAGTGGAACATTGTCTCTACAAAAAATGAAAAATTAGCTGGGCGTGGTGCCATGCACCTGTGATCCCAGCTACTCGGAAGGCTGAGGTGGGAGGATTGCCTGAAGCCAAGAATTTGAAGCCGTGATTATGCCACTGCACTCTAGCCTGGGTGACAGAGTGAGGTTCTGTCTCAAAAAAAAAACAAAAAACAAAACAATGTAATAATTTCAAATACGTTAAGTGCTATGCTGGGGACACACAAGGGGCTGAGGAGAATGAATGCAGGGAATGAGTGATCTTTAGCTAGATGGCTCAGGGAAGGCTCTTGGAGTCAGTGTTTCAGCAAAGAACCCATGTGAGATGCTGGTGACTGTGCAAGGTGTGGAAAGGCCTCTGTGCTGCAGGAACTGAAGGGCCAGCCTGAAGAGGTATGCAGAAGAAGGAAGAGTGCATGACAGGAGGAGGGGGAGGCAGGCAAGGGCCATGCTCACAAGGCTGTGAGAAGTCATTTCTCCCTTTCATGCAGGGGAAGGGCATGATCCAGCTCACATGAACAGAAAAGCACTTTGCCACTATGAGGAGGATGGATTGTAGGAGGCCAATAGTGGAAGCAGAGCAACCACTGAATAGGTTATCTCAGTTGTCCAGGCAAGAGACAATGGTGGCTTGAGTCAAAGGGATAGCAGCAGAGAGGGAGAGAAAAGACATTTGAGCTTGAATCAGGAGAATTTGCTGATGGGTTTGATATCAGGGAGTAAAGGAAGGGTTCCAATAAGTATGAAGCTGGTATTTGAAACCATGAGAACTGATGAGCTGACCTAGCTGATGGGAAGAGAAAAGCATTCCAGAAAAGAAATATGTGGGGTTTCTCACCCTGTGACCTGCATGGGCATCTGGGCAGGAGTACACACAGAGGCTGTAACCCACATCATGGGGGCCTCATGCACAGATGTTGGACACTTCAGCCCACTGGTACACAGCCCCCAACCCCTACCACCTGCCTCTCACAAAGCACTCATTGGCTATTACCCCAGGACGAACATGGGAAAAGGCATCAGGCAAGTCCTAGAATTTGGCCTTGAGCTTTTTGGGTGGAAATTACAGGGCCCCAGGACTCCAAAGAGTGGTCTAGAAGAGAGAGTGTGTAGACTGGGCAAGCGTGCCCCTCAAACCTGTGGGCTCCTCACTCATCTGGCTAGGATCAGAGCAGGCCAGGTCAGGGCAGAAACCTCCAAAGCATGAGACACGGGGCAGGGCCCTGGCTGCCAGATCTAAGGGAGGTACTGCGCTGGTTGTAGTTATCAGAGTAATCAAGGCCATTTCTCCAGGAAGCTGAGGTACAGGCCCTAGGAAGGGAGTGTGTGTAACTCGCCCTGCCAATCCCTAGACTACTGCTACAGATTACCCAAAGAACTAAGCGTAGAACTACATTTGATCCAGAAATCCCACTACTGGGTATCTACTTCTTGTCTTGAAAAAGAAATAATTATACCAGAAAGATGGCTGCACTCGTGTGTTTATCATAGCACTATTCTCAATAGCAAAGTCATGAAATCAACCTAAATGTCCATCAATGGATGACCAGATAAAGAAAATATGGCATATATACACAATGGCATACTATTAAACCATAAAGAGAATAAAATCATGTCTTTTGCAAAAACATGGATGGAACTGGAGGTCATTATTTTAAGTGAAACAGCTCATAAACAGGGTGACAAATACTACATGTTCTCATTTATGAGTGGGAGCTAAATAATGTGTACACAGGGATGTAGGGTGTAGAAGGATAGACACTGGAGACTTGGAAGGATAAGGGAGGGAGGTGAACGATGAGATATTCCTTAATGGATACAATGTATGTTATTCAGGTGATGGATATACTAAAAGCCCTGACTTTCCCATTACTCAATATATTCATGTAACAAAATTACACTTGTACCCCATGCATTTATACCGAAAAAAAAGATCCCTTACTACTTCTACAGTTTCTAATACATGGTCCCGCACCTAACTCCACCCTGACCATGTATGTCATAATGGGAGTTGGCACCCTTGCTGCACTTGCCAAAACTTATACTGGTGGGAAGAAGAAAAAATCTGAGATACAGACTTAGGTGAGATGAAAACCCCAGTTGCAGAGGCTACTTCAGCCAGGTTAGCCAGAAGATCTGAGGACAGGTTCCAATGGGCATCTGATGTGTGTTCGAACATCAGGTGTGGTTTTCATAGGTGCTGGGGAGAGGCCACCCCCCAGGCTGTGGTCAAGATGGGAATTCCAGACATGAGTGGTGTGCAGGGAAGTGTAGAGAAGCATAGCTTCTGTTGGTCTGTTCGTTCAAGGCTTGGATCCAGCCAGGTACTGACCAGCTGAAGCACAGGATCCGTCCAGTGCCCTGTGACCCCAAAGGTTGGGAGTTAGCAAGAGTTGGTTAAGGAACTTGAGGCTCAGGGCTGCCTTCCCATATTAGTGAATTACAAGAGTGCTAGGTAAGACAATTCATATTCATTTCCTGAAGTTGGTCAGTATTTTGGGATGGTGAGGGTACTGAGGCTGAGATACATTTGAGCATTCACAGTGCATCGTTCACATCTCCACTCTTGGGACTGCTGACCTTGAGTTAATTTCCTGCTCTATAGTACACGGCTAAGTTGCTTGCCTTTGACATGGTTGGCTCAAGCTGAGGCAGGGCTGGAGGCGAAGCCCATCAGCATTCCCTTTTCAAAGTCTCAAGGACTGGCTGCCCTCCCATAAATTCCAGGACTGGTGACCAGACCTTATTCGCTGTCCAAATGATGAAATCCTTAGCTTTCTTCATCTACAGAGCAAATTCACAACAGGCAGATGTCACATACAATAGGACTATAAAAATAATACAGCTGCATGACACTTTCTAATTTGTTCCTTTTTGTCTTCATGGCAGCCCCGGTACCCGTGTAGTCAAAGAGAGGTAGGACTGTGAGGAAAAGGTACTGCGAGCCAGGAACGACATGTCTCATTCCAAACCTTGGTTGTGGCATATTTTGTGGCCTTGGGCAAGTCACCCAATCTGTCTGCTCCTTCTTTCCAAAATGTGAAACAAACTGAAAAGGGGCTGGGAGAATGCATTAGTTTGGTGGAAGGGTCTGGGCCACTTGTTTCCATCAGTGCAATAATGACCTCTTTCTATTTACAAGAATGGCTGCTCTCCTCATTTCACTTTTGGTAGTCAAGTGGATTTGCAAGTAAATGGGAGCTCTGGTGACAATCTGTGGAGCATTCTAAAAGCCCCTGGTTTGCATTATCCAGAGAAAATGTCAGGGATTCTTGACAGTGTTCCTTAAAGGGGCTTTCAACAGGACTCACTTCAAGACTCCCATGAAGCAAGTTTTACACAGAAATGAAATTATGCTCCATTCCTGTTGAAAATTAAGGCAACAGGAAATTTGTGCTTTGAAGTGTGGCCTTGAACTTTATATGTTCATTTATCTCAAATGACTGACTGTTGCCTAGTGCATTGCTCTGTGATCCATTTAAATGCTTAACAAACATTGGTGGCCAGGTAGATGGATGAATGGGGGGCTAAATCATAGTTAGTAAAAAGTCACCAATTGTTAAGTTTTCCCCTAGCTCTGGAATTCTCACCATTTGGGGTTCAGGATTCTCAGGCATACTTGATATTAACTTCCATCCATCCTCTTTTACTTCAGAAGGGTTCAGGTTGCATTTGGATTGAGGCAAAACCGAAAGTAGATTCACTGTACTTCTCTGCAGCTAAGGGAGGACAGTAAAAAGTACTACCATGAGATATGGCTTACAGAAAAAGAAACTGAGGTCTGGAGATGCCAAGCATCTTAGCTCAACCTTACCCCTGGATGGAATACACAGCTTCATGTGATGTGAGAGTCACTGGAAATCCCCTGTCCCCAAATACCAGGCTGCCATTGTGCTTAGAATTCTCTGGATGCTCATAGATTTTCTGTGTTGACACGAGAAGTCAATGTCATTTATTAATATCTTCACAAGATCACTCTTTCAGATTAACTTCCTAGTCTGGACACAGGCCCAGAGAGGAGCCTGGTGGTAACTTAGTGGTCACCAGACCACGAAGCAGCCCAGACCTGCCACGGGGTGACCCTGGAGACTCCATGTAGACTCATGGATACCCTCTCCCCATTCTGCCACGGAGGTACTGAAGACACACTCCTTCCTCATATACCCAGACACCATCCCTGAGAGGAGCAAGGGGAGGGAACAGAACTCTGAACAACTAAGTATTGTATGTAAGAGAGACTAAAGAGTTTCATAAGGAGACTATTTAAATTATGATACCAGACTAGGCTTCTCATAGTGTCTAAAAGCCTTACTACTCAAAGTATGAGCCCCAAACCAACAGCTTCAGGTGGAAGCTCATTAGAAACAGACTCTGAGGTCCCAGACCTGAGACTCCAGACCTAAGGAAACAGAATCTGCATATTGACCAGGCCCCTAGGGGGTTCACAGTCACATTCAGGTTTGAGCAGTGCTGATCTAAAGTACAGAACCCTTCCTTGTCCCCTCCCCATTGTCCAGTAAGGGCAACAGAGAGCAGTTATGGGGCAATACCAAAGTACTTTATCTAGACATCTTCGTGGCCTGAAGTTAATTTGTGACCCTGCCATGGTTGAATGTAAATAAAGAGCAAACTGAAGAGATGGGTGAAAGCTTCCAGCACCCTTCTGAATCGAAAGCAGCAGGTGAAAAAAAAAAAACAAGCTGGCAACTGGGTGTTGGTTCACATGTCAACTCCCTCTTGAGTGCTGTGTTGAGAGGGATTCTGAATCACATCAAAGATCAGTGGGAAAGAGGCCACACATGCCAGGTTAGCTATGACTGCATTGGTGAGGGATGGGAGACTCCCATCATACCTTCTGTGATGGTTAATATGAAGTGTCAGCTTGATCAGATTGAAGGATGCCTAGATGGCTTGTAAAGTGTTGTTTCTGGGTGTGTCTGTGTGGATGCTTCCTGAGAAGACTCACATTTGAGTTGGTGGACTGGAGGAGGAAGACCCACCCTCAATGTGGGTGGCAGTGCGGCTAGAACAAAGCAGGCAGAAGCAGGCAAAAGTTTGCTTGCTCAGTCTTCTGACTCTCTTTATCTTCCTATGCCAGAGGCTTGCTTCCTCCCCTCCTGCCCTTGGACATCAGACTCCAGGTTCCTCTGCTTTTGGATTCTGGGACTTGCCCCAGCAGCTTCGCAGGGACTCCTGCACCTTCAGCCACAGACTGAAGGCTGCACTGTTGCCTTCCCTGGTTTTAAGGCTTTCGGACTTGGACTAAGCCACTACTGACTTCTCTCTTTCCCTAGCTTGCAGACAGCCTATAGTGAGATGTCATCTTGTAATCATGTGAGCCAATTCTCCCTAGTAAACTCATATATATATAGTAAACTCATATATAGAAAGAGTAAACTCATCTATATATATTAAACTCATATATACATAGTAAACTCATATATATATACACATACACATAGTAAACTCATACATACACACACACACACACATATTATATATATATATATATCCTATTGGTTTTGTCCCCCTGGAGAGCCCTAACACATCTTCCCCAATTTGCCATCCTTGAGGGAGCAGGTGTGCCGAGAAGGAACAATTTGATCTCATCTGACAGAAGTAGCAACAGGAGAAGTTTTAAGTGCTCTCTGGCTTTTAAAGAAAGTTTGTGAGGGGACCAAATGGCCACATGGTGAGCCTGCCTCACCTTAGGAGAGTCATGGCCCTCATTCTCTAAGCCTGCTCCTTGCTTGGGGCCTCACTTATTTGACTTTGTACTCATTAAGATGGGGGCGGCCAAAAGGAAGGGTTTTGCTAAGCATGGTGTCAGAAATCAAATTATCAGGGCCATGCTTACCCTGCTAGTGAAAACCTTGCTTTCATAAGTAGTGTTTTTTTTTTCTAAAGAGATGGGGTCTCACTGTCTTGTCCAAGCTTGTCTTGAACTCCAGGGCTCAAGCAATCCTCCTGCCTCAGTCTCCCAAGTAGCTGGGATTACAGGTATGAGCAACCAAGCCTGGCTCCTCATAAATCTTAGAATCACCTGATTATATAGGATTTGGGTCCCTCTTGAATTTTGCCAGCAAAGATATTTTTGCCGAGTCACAAATACGTTTTCTTGAAAATGTACTGTTTAAAAGAAATTCCATAATTAAAGTTTTTATTGTTTAAATCAGATTTCCTGTTTCCTTCCCTTCCTTATGGCATTATAGTAAGGGTACTGAAGTGGGAGTGGAGAAGATGTGTGTCCTAACCCTGATCCTCCTATGTATTAGCTAGGTCTATGGGGAGTTACTAAATCCCTCCAACCCTCAGTTTCACTGGTGACTGATATATACTAAGCAATCAATACTTTTTTAAGGAAATCAATCCTAGCCTGCTCTATAAATTTTGTTTAGTTTGAGTACTTATCATTGTTAATGGAGCCATTTCTTTCGTCTGTGAAATTTTCAGAGCATCTGGCAGATGCTGGAGGTGGGAGGAAAATGGATCTTTGCAGCTAGGATCATTCTTCTTCTGCCTTGAATGATTTCATGGCACAGAGCTACCCAGAAGCAAGCGACCACGCCAGAAGACCCCTCAAGGTCCCTAGCATCTTTAAGATTATGTGATTTCCTAAATAAATGTGTGTGGTTGAAGAATATTAATAGAAGTAGAAGCACAACAGGAATTTGCCTCTAACCCTCCCCCCCAACCACCAAGTAGAAAAATAAGCAAGCCAACAATAAAGGCTCTTTCAGATGGCCATGCCGATGCCCCATCCCCAGCCAGATCACAAGAGCAGATGAGGCACACTGGATGCCTTATGTGCTGACAGGGCTGAGGTGCTAGTTCTGAAGTTCCCAGACAAACTGTTTGCTTCCTGATTCCAAGGAATCCATTCCAGCACCCCTCATAAGCAATTACACTTGCTGGGGCACCATAAGGGAGCAAATAGTGTCCTCCTCCCCAAATTCATATGTTGAAGCCCTAACTCTAAATGTGACTGTATTTGGAGACAGGACCTTTAAGAGGTAATTAAGGTTAAATGAGGTCACAAGGATGGGTCCCTCATCCAATATGATGGGTGGCCTTATAAGAAGAGAGGTACCAGGGGTACTTTGCACAGAGGAAAAATTATGTGAGGACACAGCCAGAAGATGAGTGTCTGCAAGCCATGAAGAGGGGTCTCACTAGAAACCAAGCCTGTTGGCACTTGAACTTGGACCTCTAGCCTCCAGAACAGTGAGGAAATACATTTCTGTTATTTGAGCCACTCCATCTGCAGTATTTCATATGGCAGCCCAAGCCGGCCAATACAGAGGTCTCTAGCAGGCTGGGGGTTGGGCCCCACAGCTACAACAGGCCCACCCTGGACAGCCAGGGAGTCTCAAGGTTAATGACTTAAGGCTGACTCCCTTCCCAGTGAGTGGGGCAGGAAAGAGGGAGAAGGCTGAGGTCCCTGGGCCCATTTCCTGCTTCCAACTCGATTTGGATGCTGAGAGCAGGGATGGCAGATGGGAGAGTGACGAGCTCCTCCTGCTGCAGGTGATTCATAGGGCATCTGGGCACGCGGCCCACCTCCAGCACCAGTGGGAGCTGATTTCAAAGCCCTCCGCTAGCCTGCACTCAGCACATGAGAATCACATGAGGCTGGGAGGCAGCAGGAGAAAGGGGCTATTCTCATGGCCCAGGGAATCCAGTGGCGAAACTCATTGCATCTTGCTTTTGCCCTCTGTGGCCTTTGGTCCATTTCTCCATTAGCCTACTTAGGGCAGCCGTGTTTATAGCCCTATTTGCCTTCAACTTGTACTAGCTGAATTCCTGCCTCACTTTCACAGGCATCCTGAATCTCTGCCTCTTTTGGGTGACTTCTATACCTTCCCCATGGATACCTTCTCTTCACCAAAAGGAGCCCCACACCTTCCAGCAGGACCCTGGGAAGTTTCTCCCTTACAGCAGAGCTACATTCTGGCCACATCTTCTGGCACCTTATGGCCTATTCAGTTGGGTGAGGCTGGGGCTCCCTGCTTTGTACTTTAAGGATTCAGACTACATGAAGATAGAATAACTCGGCTCTTTGGCTCTTTCCCCAAAGACAGTCTACACTGGGGTTTTTGACCCATTTCCTCCTGTCTTTTATCTTTGCCACAAAATACTTGGTCAGGACACTTGGCACTGGAAATCTATCATGTTTCAAGCAGGAAGTGAAGGGCCCCTTTCCTTGGGGCTCCGGATGTTACCAGCATCATCTGAGGCAGATGGAGATTTGATTTCCTCATTGTCCAAGGGCTTCTCTTTCTTCTGGGCACCCTGAAGGCATTATAACCACTCTTCCCTTCCCTTTCTTGCTCCTTTCTTTTCTCAGGGAAGGAAACTGAGATTTCTCTCCTCATGAGATTTCTTGTTACACACATAACCCTGATGGCAACAATGGTTTACCAGAACTTGTTTCTGTGCTGCCTGGTACCCGTCCCTCTCCGCCTGGTCGGGCATTATAGCAGCAGGAGTCTGGAGAGACTTCCCAGCCCCCAGCAAGCTACCCGCACATGTCCAGAAGCATGAGGAGCAACATTAACCTTTTAGGAGAGTTTCCAGGGCAAATGAGACAGTCCATGGAGTGTTATTTATGTCTCTTCTTTTCTTCTTCTTTTTCCCCCTTTTGGAAGCAGCCATTTGGAATGGACAGAATGAAACAGAAGTCAAAGAGCTGTCTACACGTCCTTCCCAAGCTATAATTAAGATGGAAGCTCATTTGCCATTCTGAGGATTGGTGCAATCAAGCATATGACAGCAAGATTTTGGAACATTTTTATCAGTTTTGGAACCACAGCTCCTCCATGGCCAAATTTCTCTTTATGTCTCAGGTTTCAGAGCATGGCCTAATATTTCCCGTACAGACAGGCCGCTCCGCTGCCCTTCTGATTCAGCTGACCACTGTGCACTGTAGCGACGTGCAAGGGGTAGGAGTGGACACATTCCAGCTCGCTGGGGTTTGGAACGGCACCTCTCATTCCCAGAGAAGGGATTCTCTGTGGAGGCTGAGTTGGCAGTGCTCAAGCTTGCCTTGCGGTTGGCACGTAGGCCATCAGCAATCATCTGAGTATCAACCTGCCAAGCTGAGGCCGTCCTGGGGCACAGAGATTTATTGCTAACAGAGGAAAGAAAAGAAACCATTTCCTTAATTCTGCTTTGCAGGCCACTCTCATGGAAAGGAACTCCCCTGCTGCCCTGATCAGTTCAATATCTAACTCATCATGCCTGTGTTCTTCCCCAGCAGCTCAGGCCGGTCTGCTACCAGGAACAGGTGCCAAATCAGAGTGTGGAATTTTCCCAGCAGGCCCCAGGGTGTGTTGCTGCCAAGGCAACTGTGGTAGGGTTGGGGAATAACTAGCGAACCACAAATCCAGAAAAGGAAGAGGAGGCCTCCTTTTCGGCTTGGGCCAACTCAGGTACAGGCTGTCCCTTGAGGAAAGCTGTGGGACACCCCCAACACCAAGTGCCAAGGCCAGACAAGGCCAGGGCAGGCCAGGCTGGACCCTACGGGCAGCTTGCCAGACCTAGGTTAACCAGACCAGGTAAAGACAACTGAGAATGGCTGCCTGCTAAGGCCACGCAGGCTCTGCCCAGGAGGAGTAACAAAAAACAGCTGATTGCTAGGCAAGACCTAGAGACCTGTGTTCAGTGAACAATAGCGGTGAGGATCTGAAGTGAGGCTTAAATCTAACTGGGTACCAGGGAGGAAGCAGAGCTGTGTGCTACATGGAAGCAGGCCTGGTATTCAGAAAAGCAGGAACAAAGCTAGTAATATACAAAGAGCAGAGAGTAGAAACAGAGAGGCTAGTTGGGGCCAATCAGTGGTCAATATCCATTGGCATTATCTAAGAGAACACATTCCTCCTCCTCCTTGTGAAGGGAGCTCTGCCCATGGCCAACACAGCACGCAGTAGCCCTAGACAAATGGAGCCCTGTCATCAGAGTTCTCACCTGCCTTTACTTGTTCTGGGCCCCAAAATCTTAACTGCAAATCTGACAGCACAGCCCATGTGAGTGGGAATGAGCGCCGTGGGGTGAGTTTGCCACAGAAACAGGAAGAGGAGAGTTAGGGCACACTGGCAGTGGCCAGGGTTTTGCTCTTCCTGAGGTTTTGCTTAACTTGGAGATTTCTTTAACTTCACAAAGACAATTAAATGTTTTGTTGGGAATGACTGAGGTCATAATTTGAAATGAGAACCATAGTTTTAAAACCTTGCTCTACGTTAATTTAGACAACAAAATTGTCCACAGCAAATTAAGACACAGAAGTCCGGGTCTTCATCACTAAACAAATCAGGTGCTCTTCTTCAGTGCACCAGATTATTCTGTTCTCATCGAGTTTTGACTTACCAACTTCTATTGTTCCTCTTCCATGTATACACTTTTTGATAGAATTAAGATTTCTCTGGTTTGAAGTCTATGTTGAAATTCCCACTGGGCTGAAACATGGATACCATGACACTCCCTGCATTCCAATATCAAACATCCCTTTGGTAGCAAAGCTTGAGGTTTTCCTTTCTAACCGTTATTAAGTAGGTATGGAAGGATGTTGTTCTGGCCAATGGCCTTTTAAGAAGGTTGAACAAAGCTATTTCCTCTTACTTTTTAAAGGGGCACAGCAAGGAGTGTCTAATGTTTGTATGGGGTCTAAAATCTCAGAGTTTGGGATGGCCACCTAGTAAAAAGAACAGTAAACTCACACTTCTTGAGTACTCAGGTGCCAAGCACCATGCTGGTGCTATCCTGTGTACTATGTCATTACATCCTTAGAATAACCTGGAAAGGAATCTTCACTCCCATTTTTACATAGGATTATGGTAACATCCAGAGATTAAATGTTATAGAGCGCATATCTGAGAGAGCTGACATTGGAACCTAGGTTTCATTCTAAACCATGGGGATTCTGGATTGCCCTGCTGGATTCTGTCCTCTTGGTGGTGGCTGTTTTGAACTACCTGTTTCTTCGACCACTTCGTGCTCCAGCTTTGCAACTTGAAGCATTAGCTACATTCATAATTACATAAATAAACTGGGCAATCCATTTGGAAAAGAGCTTTATGTTCTCATTTTCCGGTAGTTATTGTTGTTTAATATTGGATCTATAACTTAAATGTGGAAGGTACTCCAGCAAAAATTCTGATTATTCTACAAAGTTTATGGCCCATGATGAGAGGCAAAAAATTGCAACATAAGGTGACCTCATCAACTCCTCCTTTTCCATTGGCAGGTTTTAGAAGTTCTCATGTATCCGTGGGCATCATAGTTCTTGCCAGGAACTGAGTCCATTTTTCCTCTACTATCTCCTTTTTGTTTTCAGCTACCCATTCTTTTTCATGTGGGACACACAGATCTCTTGACTCTGGGATTTCATCTCCATATGGAACTATATTTTTAAGGCACGAATAGTTTCAATATATCTAATAGAAAGAGCTCTAGGTATACGGAAATATGAGAACAAAGAGATTATTGGCTGATATCAGAAATGATTGTAAAGAGACCTTCAAAACCCCGACCTGTCCACAGGAAACCTGATTGTTGCAGAGGGAAAACAGAACCAGTATTTGGGTCTGAAATCAGACAATTAGAGGCCCTCAGGAAAGTATCTTTGGAGAATATTAACTCTTGAATAAAAACACCAAATGACTTGGGGCACAGGTGCTGTTTTCTATCACTTAATACTACTGAGAATCTGGATTTGAGATGAAAGGGAAAGAGCTGGGAGATCGATGACTGCCTGCCCAGGTGGTGTTGACAAACTGGATTTGGATTTGGGGCCCATTGGCTTAAAATCCTGGAATACTAGGTTCTTGGCCATGGGTGGTTTACATTTTGCATGCACAGAAAGAATGTGCCTGGGGAGAGGCTAGACTTTAAACTCAACATAGTGTGTTGTGGGGAGGAAAACAGTCAGATAAATCTGGGAACACAGTTGCCATAGAGCATGGCAGATAAAAACATGGAAAGAAGAAATTGAGTGGAAAAGTCACAAGTGAAAGTGATACTGAAACTGTCTTCAGTATCAGTGCACATTGTATGGAAAATTCACAAGCGGAGATGGGATGATGATGCAGGCACCTGGTCCTCTGTTACTGATGCCTGAGGAAACTTCAAAGCAAGGGCATGCCCTATGTGGGGGAATAAAGCAGGAGGCCAGGAGGCTGACAGGCAGGAACAGGTTATGAAATTGGTCCCAGAGTGGTTTGCATTGATTACATTCAAGAAGGAAGCTGAGATCTTCTCCAGGTTGCCAGGGGTTATTGAGAACTGGCTAATGTATGAGAGTGGGAGGTGGTGAGTCGAGCGTGGCTTCTTAAAAGGCTCAGGACTGGGCCATAAACACATTATTGGGTTTAATTTCACACGTAGCAATAAAATTTTGGTGGAGAGAGGCTCAAGCACCAGGTGAAGGGGTTTCTTATTGACTCATTTCTTTACTCTACAAATATGAATTGAGTGACTATTTTATTGGGGTGCAGAGGATAGAGCACTGATTGAGAGAGGCAAGAGCCTTTCAGCGATGGAGCTCACTGAGAAATGGGAGAGGGAGAGACAAAATAGAAACAGAATAGCAATTTAAATACATAACATTTCATGTAGTGATATGTGCTGTGAAAAAAAGTGATAAGGTGGACTGACAGTGGAGGCAAGTGCAGTCAATCTTAGATGGGGAGGTTGTCAGGGCAGGCACCTCTGAGAAGGTGACATAGGAGGTGAGTTCCGAATTGTAAGATGAATCCACAGTGTTAAGGGATTGGGGGTTGGGGGGCGGGGGGCAGAAATTATCCAAGCAGAGGGAGCCACACATGATGGCACTGAGGGAGAACCCTACCTCCACTGTTTCAAATAGGAAGTAAGCCAGAGTGACGGGAGGGTGGTCAGTGAAAGGGAGGTGGGAAGAAATAAGGTTAGAAAGGTAGACAGGGCCAGATGATGTGGAAACTTGAAAGTAACAGTGAGAGTTTGGATTTCTTTCTAAGTGCAACAGGAAGGCATTGGAAGGTTTTCAGCAGATGAGTGGCTTGAATTAAACTTATGCTTTGGAAAGATCATTTGCTGCATGTTGAATGGATTGTGCAAATGGGAAGATCGAAACAGGAGCACTAGTTAGGAGGTTGCTGACAGTGGCACCAGGAGCTAGGATGGCAGGAATGTAGATGGAGATAACTAGGCAGAGTTTGGAATACACTTCCTCCATTCACTCACATGCCTTAGTTCTCCACCTGAGGTATGTCTCTACCTAAATGTCACCTTTTCAAAGAGACCTGTCCTGGCCACCCTATCTACAAAAGCAAACCCCACTCCACTCCACTGCCACTCCCTGCCCCCGATCATGCTCCAGCCTCTTATCCCAATTTATTCTCCTTCATGGTGCTTGTCATCTGATATTGTGTTACATGTTTACCTATTCATATATGTGGTCTGCATAACTCACTAAAATATATGCAACATGGAGCCTGGGGTTTTTCTCTTTACTTCTGTAATCCTAAGCACCTAGAATAGAAAGGCTAAGTGGGCCAGGCATGGTGGCTCACGCTTGTAATCCCAGCACTTAGGGAGGCCAAGGCAGGTGGATCATAAGGTAAGGAGTTCGAGACCAGCCTGACCAACATGGTGAAACCCCGTCTCTACTAAAAATACAAAAATGATCTGGGTGTGGTGGTGGGCGCCTGTAATCCCAGCTACTTTGGAAGCTGAGGCAGGAGAATTGCTTGAAACCAGAAAGCAGAGGTTGCAGTGAGCCGAGATCGCGCCACTGCACTCCAGCCTGGGCAACAAGAGCAAAACTCTGTCTAAAAAAAAAAAGAAAGAAAGGCTAAATGAACACCTTGGAGATGAAGCCAACAGACTTGCTGAAAGATTGGAAGTAAAGACTGAAGGGAACAAAGAAGGTAAGTTCATGACTCAGTTTCTGGTCTGAACTAGTTTTCAGACACAGATCCCATTATAAGAAGGAGATGCTTTCCTGGGAGACAGGACACTGCAACACCACAGCAAACAGTTGGTAATGAGTCACGCAGTCCTTCCCAAAAGGGTCCTACCATCACTTACTCTGGTAGCCATGCACTGGAGAAAGGATTAACTAGGCATTGTGAGGATGGGAGAATGCTAATACAACTCATTTAATGGGTGACATAGGCTTCCAGCTCTGAGACAGGCCCAGAGCAAGTAAGAGCTCTGTAGCAGGTCCAGACTGTGGTCCAGGCCACCCTGCTTTTTGGACAATATGACCCAGCAGACTTTATAATATCAGAGACATCCATGGTAAGAAAAGCTGTCATGTGGTGTTTAAGGCAAGACTAGTAGGAGAATCACAATATAGACTCCAAGGGTTTTAGATCGAGGCCTACCATGTACAGCAGAGAATCATACACCTTTCAAAAGATAACAACTTGAATGCTACTCGCCCTTGGTAGAGATGAAATCCCTGACAATGGAACAGCAAGTGAACATGTGGTCAGAATTGCCCATGATCTGGTTCCTAACAGACTCACCAAGTCATAAAGTCAGGTGGATCAGCCACAGTCCATTGTAAGATGGAAATAGCACATCCAGGATAGGTCACAAGCAAGGCCAGAAGGAACAAGGAAGCCACACAAGCAGGTGACTTGGACTCCCATGTCACCCCCCACTGTCTGGCCACATCTTCTCTCAGCTCACACCTGTGGCTGCATGAGAGTCCCTTATAACCAAGTGATGGAGGGAAAAAAAAAAAAGGCTGAGCTTGTGGATGCGAGCCAAAAGTGAATGCTGCTACCTTACTCAGAGAACACCTTGAAAGACAGCAGTAAATAGAAATCCTCCCAACAGGCAGAGCCTCAGGTGGTATACCTCGCCAGCTACTTCATGTGGAAAAGGAAGTGGCCTGCAGTAAGAATACAAGTGGGTTTATAGACACTAGTAAACGGTTCAGCTGGTTGGTCAAGGGTCTGGAAAGAGAAAGATTGAAAGATTGGACAATGAAATCTGAGAAAGAGGCATGTGAATGGTCTTATTGGAATGCACACAATGTGAAAATCATTGTATCCATACTATCCACCTACCAGAGAGCATTAACCACAAACAAAGCACTAAAATATCAAGCAGACAGAATGACTTAGCCAGTTGACACCAGCAAGCCTCTCTCATTGGTGAGAGTGCTGGCACAATGGGTGTGTGAATGAAGTACTGTAGTAGCATGATTGGAAGCTACTCATGGGTTCAACAGCATAGGCTGCCACCCACAAAAGCTGATCTAGATACTCCCACTGACAATTGTCAGTCTGCCATCGCCAGGCCCCTGATATGACCCAGTCCTTCCAGGAGTTCAACCAATCACTTGATGGTAAGTTGATTACATTTGATCCCCTCCACTTGGAAGGAACAGTGGCATATATTCTGGGTATGGGTTTGTCTTTCCTGCCTGCAGGGCTATAGCCTGCAGTACTGTCCAAAGGCTTATAGAGTGTCTGATGCATTGACTTAGCATCTTGTGTAATAATGCATTGGACAAAGGAACCCAAGCAGTGGTTCTCAAAGTGTGGTCTCTGGACCAGTGGCATCAGCATCACTTGGGAACTTTTTAGAAATGCAAGTTCTTGGGTCCCACCCCAGACTTACTGAATGAGACTCTGAGGCAGAGCCCAGAAATCTTTTTTTAACAAGCCCATCAGTTGATTTAAAAAAAAATTGTGGGTACATAGTAGGTATATATATTAATGGGTTACATGAGATACTTTGATATAGGCATACAACAAGCAATAATCACATCATGGAAAATGGGGTATCCATTCTCTCAAGCATTTATCCTTTGTGTTATAAACAACCCAATTGTACTCTTTATTTTAAAATGTACGATTAAATAATTATTGATTATAGTCACCCTGTTGTGTTATCAAATACTAGGTCTTATTCATTCTTTTTAACTGTATATATTTTTCTGTACCCATTAACCATGCCCCCTATCCCCACTCAGTCCTTCTTACACCAATGCTAGAGAATGACTGTTTTATAGCAAAGAAGATGTGACAGTGGACATACAATCATAAAATCTCCTGGCCTTATCACATAACGCATCATCAAGAAGTTAGTTACTAGCCAGGTAGAATGGTGAAATGGTCTTTCAGAAGCATAGTACCTGCTTGGAGATATTACCTTGTATAGATGAGATGCTGCCTTGTAGGATATGGGATACAACTTCTATCTTTTTAAATCAGAATTCCATGAGAGATTTAAGGCATACCGAAAATGATTTGCATAACTGTTTTCTCCATTATCCTATTTCTTCCAAGGATGGTCCACAGCTAATACTACCCTAGACTCTTAGGCAGAAAGTTAATCCGTTTTGTAGAGTGGATGCCTTAGGGCATTCGGGATTAATCATCTTGGAGAATCCTTGCTAAGAATAGCAGCCATAAATCAATGACCATCGTATTGTGCTGTGGCCCCAGTAGGTAGAATAAATGGATCTGGGAAACACAGTGTGGCTGTAAGAATGGCCTTGCTTCCCATCACTCCCAGTGACCCACTTGGGAGACCTCTGCTTCTTGTCCCTATAACTCTGGGCTCTGTGAGTTTATGGAGAGGGCTTCTTTCCTTAAACCTCATGAGCAAACCTCTGCAAAATTCAACGTTTTCTTCTGTAGCTTCCTCATTCTTCTCAGCCTTCACAGAATTGAAGTGAGTTAGGGCCTTGCTCTGGATTAGGCTTTGGTTTAAAGGAACGTTGTGGCTGCTTTGATCTTCTCTCCAGACCACTCCAATATTCTCCATATCAGCAATAGGGCTGTTTCAATTTATCATAATTTGTGTGTTCGCTGGAGTAGCACTTTTAATTTCCTTCAAGAACCTTTCTTCTGCATTCACATATTGGCTAAATGTTTGATATAAGAAGCCTAGCTTTTGACCCATCTTGATTTTTGACATGCTTTCCTCACCAAATTTCGTTGTTTCTGGTTTTGATTTAAAGTAAGAGATGTGTGACTCTTCCTTTCACTTTAACAGCTAGAGGCCATTGCAGGGTCATTAATTGACCTAATTTCAATATTTTTGTGTCTCAGGGAATAGAGGGAAAGGTAGAGAAATGGGAGAACAGCCGGTTGGTGGAGTAGGCAGAACACACACAACATTTATTAAGTTTGCTGTCTTAAATGGGTCCAGTTTGTGATGCCCCAAAACAACTGCAATAGTAAAAATTTTTTTTAAAAAAATCATAGATCACAGATCACCATAACAAATATAATAATAATGAAAAGTTTGAAATATTGTGAGAATTACCAAAATATGACACAGAGACAGGAAGTGAGCACATGGCTGGAAAAATGGTGCTGATAGACTTGCTCCATGCAGGGCTGCCACACATCTTCCACTTGGGAAAATGTGGTACTTGTGAAGCAAGTAAAGTGGTGTGCAATAAGATGAGGTATGCCTATATATGTAAAGAACTTGAAATCACACCTATCACCCAGTAAGCACTAGACAAATCTAAGCCATCATTATTCCCCATGTAAATCTTTCCATGTCAACTGACAACAGCACCAAATGACTGTGATGGCGTATAATATTCTGTAATTTATTCAGTCTCTCTTCTTTTGAAGAGTTTTCTCTTTTTTCCCCATTTCTTCCCCCTCATACAGGCAGCATTGCAATATATATCTGTGTACTTATGTCTTGTTGTATTGCTGTTTGATTTCTATAACATTAAAACCGAGGTGGATGGTTGGCGTGAAGGCTATATGTATTTTTAATTTTAAGAAACGTTGTCATTTTGCCTCCACTAAATAAGGCTGCAAGTAAGTCTTCATATTTTCTCCAGTAATATATAAAAGTACAGTTTTCCCTACATGCTCACCAATACTAGGTAGTAGAGTTCTTTTTAACTTTTGCCATAGAAATTGACATTTCACTAATTTTTTTTTTTTTTTTTTTTTTTTAGATGGAGTCTTGCTCTGTTGCCAAGCTGGAGTACAGTGCCACGATCTCGGCTCACTGCAACCTCTGCCCCCCGGGTTCAAACAATTCTCCTGCCTCAGCCTCCTGAGTAGCTGGGACTACAGGCGTGCACCACCACGCTCAGCTAATTTTTGTATTTTTAATAGAGACGGGGTTTCACCATGTTGGCCAGAATGGTCTTGATCTCTTGACCTTGTGATCTGCCCTCCTCAGCCTCCCAAAGTGCTGGGATTACAGGCGTGAGCCACCATGCCCGGCCTCACTGATTCTTTAATTTGCAGCTCCATAATTTTAGGGAATTCAAGCACCCTTTCATGATGGTTAACCATTTACTCCATTTTTCTATTGGGTTGCTTGCATTTTTCTTGTCAACTTCAAACAGCTCTTTGTATAGCATATATATCAACCTCTTATTTGACTTCCCTTAAAACAACCTCAGTGCTAACCATGGGGTATAGCCATTGCTGAAGTTTGGGTGTTTGTCCCCTCAAACCTCATGTTAAAATTTGATCCCCTAAAGCCTTCCTGCCTAAATAGAAAGGTTCCAGGTACTTTCATGTGGTAAGAGTTCAAGGTCTTTTCTGACACTGCCTTCCCAGCTCTGCACTCCCTACTCCTTTTCTGCTCCTAAAACTCCCTCCATCTTCTGATTTTTGACTGGAATGCTTTTCTCCTGCCGCTTCCTCTGTACAAACCCTATTCATTCTTAACGCGTCTGTTTCTCTGAATGCTGTCCTGACCACTCTAGCCTGATGTGAACTCTTCTCATTCTGGACTCTCACAGTAATTATTATCTGCCCACGCATTTGGCAATTGGTCATTGTCTCCTCAAGATCCTACTGGAAACAAATCCCCCACCAAACCACCTTAAGCAAGAAGGGAAATTTATTATCTCGCACAGCAAGAGCTCTGAGTTAGGACATGCTCCGAGGTTGATTTGAGTTAGGACATGCTCCATGTTTTCTCCACACTGCCATCCTATGTCTGCTTTCTTCATGGGCATAAGATGGCTGTCAAAAGCAGCTAGGGCAACATACTTCTTTGTTTATACCTAGTGGCAGAGAGCAGGAACTCTCTCCCCAGGCAGTGACTCAGTCTCTCCTTTCAGTCTGATTGAGCCAACATCAGTCGCATGCCCATTGCTGGCAGTAGCATTGCAACCGTTACTGGTCCAGCAGTGGGCATGTCACCAATGTTGGCTCAATCAGAATGAACATGCTAAGTCTTATACTAATTAGGACCTACACCTGAACCTCCCCCACATCACCTAGGAGGAGTGGATACTTTAATAAAGTTGGGGTCTGGTAGGAATCAAGAAAAGGGGAGATGAATGTCATATGTTGCCCTGTGACAAGTATTTATTAGCTTGAATTGCTATTAACAGCTTTTATTGTCATCTTTTCATATTTTTCATATCTGTTCCTCCCAGGTAGATTAAAACACGTGAGGCAAAGCCTATACCTTGTAACTCTTCAATTACTTTCTTATAGATGTGCCAGTAAATATGAATTGGTTGGATTTGACTTCTCAATGATACACAATGATTCTCTACCTGGACTAACACCACAGAGGATGCCATAGAAACTTCTGAGATTTCGATGATAAATATAAAAAGTTGAAGCTTTGGGGAGCCCAAGCCAGGAAGCTGGAGGTCTGTTTGAAATCCTGTTGAGCTCCTCCCCTACCTCTGCTCCAGAAACTACATGGATATTAGCATCAACACTAATCAAAAGAATAAGATCAAGGATACTGAAGAGCTGCAATGCAATAGATTTCTTTATCCTTGATACTTAGATCTGAGCACAGTTCACTGTTGAGAACTGCACAGTTTGCCTTAACTAGAAAGTGTGCATTTTCTTATTTCCTCTCTGGGATGACAGTGATCACCAAAAAATTGTTATTTAAGATACTTCATTTATTCAATCATTTAACAAACATCTGCTTTGAATATCTATTACCAAGTTCTGTGCTAGGAACAGAAAATACAAAATTTCATAAGAAATGATTTCTACCCTTCAATTGCTCATTAAAAGAGCTGCTACCACTTCTTCAAATTTGGTAGTAGTTATTTCTGTGAGGTCACTGGGTTCAGACCTTAACCTATCAACTGGAGTGTCTGCTCTAGAGCTAAGTGCTTTGCTGTGGACACTTGCTATTTTGGGGATAAGAAGTATGATCTCATCTTCTCTTCGATGTTTAGCCTAAGGTGATTCACTTCATTCAGCTTTAACATCACTAAAATGTGAATTCATACTATTAGCGTACTTCTAGTACAAGCTATAAAACCCATTACCCATGTGTAAGGCATAATTCTGACAGCCTAAGCTGGAGAATATCATTAGCTAAAGTAGAGTAAGATTGGGTGAGGTGGTTGTTAAGAGGTTTCTGAATGAGTCTGAGTCAGGCCTCCAGGGCTAAATTTATTAATGAGTCATTTTCCTTGCCTAGCAGACACTGTGGCAGAAAGTGAAAGAGGAAGAAGCCATTCGACGTCTGTTTTTAAAAATGTGTTCTGTCCCTCAGTCCGCCAAAGTAGGTTTCAACATATTTTAGCATTTTAGGCTAATACTTGTAACCAAAATGTTTTCCTGGTTCCTCTCAGTTTGCAAAAAACAAGTGAGGTCTTTTTTCCAGGAATGGGGAGACTGGTTTTCATCTCCTCCCAGAGGGGGCAGATTGTAAATTCCTAGTGGCCAGATATAGCATCTACTACCTTGCTCTGTGCAGAACCTGAAATTCAAATCTGATTATTCCAGGCTTTACTAAAAGCATCTTGATGACAATGATGGTGACATTCCTCACATTCTCTTGCCTTATGTAATTTTAACAGCTTTCATCTCGGATCTATACCAACTTTCCACCTGCATAGCTTTATCCTGGGTCTTTTCATGGGAGATGTCCCAATCAAGATCTCAAATTTGTCCTTTCATCTTTCTCTTGAAACCTCCCCATCTGTTCTCTCTTCCACTCACTCATAAGAACTAAAAATCCTCTTCTACCCTTCTGCTAGATTAAATCACTTATCATTTCTTTCTGTCACACCAGGACATAGGAGCCCTTCTGACTCCATTCAATGCCCCATTCAACTTAAAGTCCGTGGTCAGCAATTACAACAATGTCCCCATCATCCTAGACACATTTATCCATTTGGCACTTAGCCACATCTATCATGCCACCCCCAAACCATGGTGTGCACCCACTATGTTCTCTGGACCTGCCTTTGACAATATGAGGCTGTGAGATAAAGACCAAAATCTTATGGGACTGGCCTTCTGTAAATTTACACTATAAAGTCCAACTGATCTGCAACATTAGGGAGATTTTAAAATTCTGTCAGAAGGCTTAAAACATTTCTCCTGGCCAGTATGTCCAAATACTTTGTTTTCTTCAAATATCCAGCCACATAATCCTTGATCTTTGCAAATTAATCTTCTAGATTTATAAGTAATATTAATGTTATTCCATAATTTCTTTTCTCCTTCTCCCCCTCCTCCTTCCTCTTCTCTCTGGTCTGCAAGTATACATATGTGTGTGTATATATATATGCATACACACATCTCTATATCCATTTGTCAATCTGTCTGTCTATCAACTATCATCTCCTGATTGCGTTCTGTCTTAGCTCAGGCCTATGGTACGTTGTCCAGATCCCCCTTCAAGGAATGACCTGCCACCCAATTGTGGACAGTGTGATCAGCTGATATTGTCCAGCTGTCATCTTCTTCAGGGTCTGCCTCAGTTGCCTTGCCTTGCATCCTTGCAGGAGTGGTCTACATCCATGCCAGAGAAAAGTGGGTCTAAAGGCCTGGTTGTTTCAGCCACTGCAGGATTGTTGACTTGGAATCTTAGCCCTTGAGCTACCTGTCATCTTCAGCTTTCTCTGTTTAATCCTGTTTCTTTGTTCTTCCTTTATGCGTGTTCATCCATAATATGTGGCTTGACCCCAAAATGTGTCTTAGTGTCTCCTTCTAGAGAACCCAATCTAAGAGTAGTCCTAGGAAATACACAGTAAGTTAGAGTTTCATTTCCAGCTGGCAGTGAGGGTACTGGATACCATTGCTGGTGGAAGGTGGATCACAGATAGCCCCTGGCCCAGTGTGTTGATCTGATGGTTAAACTTTTACTGGTGGTGAACTGGGAAGGTGTACTGATAGCAAAGAATGCTCTAGAGGGTATGATGTATCAGGTTTCTGAGGCATACAAAGGAAATTATAGCTAAAAGGATAATGATATTCCTCAATACTGATTGCTAAGGCCATTGATGCCCTGCAGAAACACAACAAATATCTGAGTAACAGATAATTGAATGCTAAGTGGAAGAGCCAGTGGTTTTGTTGTTTTCATGCAGAAGTCCTCATCTCCTGAAGCTGCAAGAAGAGACAGAGCCCAGCCTGATAATCTGAGGACTGAACTTCAAAGGTGGTTAAACTTTCAGCCAAAGCAGGTCTCATGCCAACATCAGGACCCTGATTGGGGGGAAATGGGAAGGGGAATTCTGGGTGGATTTATATATTTTTACTACGGCATTTGGAACATTATACTTTTCTTTTTTATTTTCTTTTTTTTTTTTTTTGGAAGCAAGAGGGATCACTTTATTTTTTAGAATACCAGGACTTTAGTGTCTCTGAATTCCCAGCTCTCAGGAGCTAAGTCAGCCTTACTCACTTTTTTTTCTTTAATTTATTTATTTATTATTATTATTATACTTTAAGTTTTAGGGTACTTTCTTATTTATTTATCTGATTCTCCCATAGGCTTTTAACCCTTTGACTGTCGGTTTTATATTTTACTCCTTGTTGTCTCCCACTCCCCTCTCCTTCATCGCACAGCCCCTCTGTAGCTCATAGAAAGCTGCTTGACAGGTAGTGAATTCTCAGTACAAGTTTTCATGAATGACTCTCCAGTGTTTGCCTGAGATTACTTATTCCTTAATATGTATACAATTTTTTTTTTTTTTTGAGATGGAGTCTCGCTCTCTCACACAGGTTGGAGTGTGGTGGTGTAATCTTGGCTCACTGCAAGCTCCACCTCCTGGGCTCATGCCATTCTCCTGCCTCAGCCTCCCGAGTAGCTGGGACTACAGGTGCCCGCCACCATGCCTGGCTAATTTTTTGTATTTTTAGTAGAGACGGGGTTTCACCTTGTTAGCCAGGATGGTCTTGATCTCCTGACCTCGTGATCCACCCACCTCGGCCTCCCAAAGTGCTGGGATTACAGGCATGAGCCACCGCACCTGGCCTCCTTAACATGTATACTTTCATCTTTACTACCTAGATCCAGAGGGAAATGTATTCACTTCTATCTTCTTTTTGACTTTTCAGTGTCTTCAGTTTTTTCTCTCTATTATCTGTCTTTCCATGTAGTATTACCACAGAGTGAGGGCTTTGCAAGTATCAGCTTAATGAATGAGTCTTCCATTGTTTCTCCCCATGAGTCTTCCACATTGATAAACCTGATCTCTCAACCAAAGCCATGGTTAATCTCAACTCTACACCATTACCTATGCTGCTGTTCTCTATCTGTCCCCTCAGGTTCTACAGTGGGGATGGAAACTAACAAAAGATAATATACCCAGAGTAGTGATTTATACCAGCAACAAGAAAGTATTGCATAGACGAGGGGCTAGTCAACCAAATGCTACCCTAAAGTGGGCAAATTGATAGAGCCTGTCTATGAGGAACGGGTATTGCCAACAGTAAGATTTCATTCTCTTGTCTTAAAAATGCTCTTTTTGTCTGTATCTTTAGTGAACCTTCCTTCATGTTCACACTCTCTTTTTTCCTCCATTCCTTCTTTGGGCTTAGTCTTTTCAGATGATACAAGCCTGTGTTTTTATTCCCCACCCCCACTATGTTCCCACAATGGCTCCACTACAACCTCTACTTTGATCCCACTAGGTAGATATTGAAGGAGCTGATGTGCTACTTATTAGAAGTCCTGTGGGTTAGGAGGTCTAGGTTATTAGTCTAAGTGGAGTCCAATCTTAAAGTTTCAATGTGTTTATGGATTTGGAGATGAGAGAGGCTCTGGTAAATGATCAGTTTTGGAAGACAAACCCATAAACTTTATCGAAAGCACAGGGTCAGTGTCACAGGAGAGACACAATTTTCAGTGAAGCGAAGTCTTTGTTGCTGAAATCATGTCATGCCTATTCACCCCTTCAATCTTACCTCCAGCCCCACACACCCAGTTACTCATGCCAGGGCTGTAGGGGAAAGGAGAACTTGAAAAATAATATAGCACTTTTTTTTTAAGTTTAAGAACCCACATGATAGCTGGAGATATCAGAGTGGAGCATAATGTTGAATGTCAAGTTTACCCATTTTGTTTTGGAGAAAGCAACTTATTAGAGCAAGAAGGGTAACAGCGGTAGAGTAACACTAGAACAGAGACTTATGAAGGCCTAAAGACCCAGGGAAAACTTGTTTCCTTTGTGTCCTTCCAGGTTTAATCCTTCCCCTTCACCATCCCTGAGAGCACATCTATCATATTTCTAACCCTTGTTTTGAAGCCCTTCATGGGCAGCCCCATTCTCCATATCGCTTCCTTTTGAACTCTAAAATGCTCATGGTCTGTCAATCATTTTGGTCCTGAATCACTATTTTATATCTATCTGGCTTACTCTTTGCAGAGAATAGACACTGGTTTCTGAATTGTCTATAGTATCCAGCAGAATGTTAGGTCTTCCAGCTGTGACGTGGAAAAATCTGTTGAAACATTAATGATCTAAGATAAGGGCTAAATGTGAAATAAGAAAACATTGACTTTCTGACCTTGCATTCTGCTTCTTTCTCATTAATGTTTCCCTTATGGCTTTTTTTTCTCTCCCTCCAAGGTCACCCAGCCAAAATAATCTACTCTGCCTGCCCAAGTGTGAAGCCTAGTGTGAAACCTACTCCAGAGGTGAAACCCCACCAAGAGATGAAAACCACTTTGGGAAATACCTTATGTCTGATATTTTCTTCTTCATTTTTTGATAGGACTTTTTTTTTCCTGCTCAAAAGTGACTATCTGGTAGTACATTCCCAGAGGATCCTGGCCAGGTAACAGAGAAGTCTGAAAGGCTACCTTGAGATAAGGTACTAACAGCCTGTGGTAGCTTTAATAGAATATTCTGGTTTAAATAACAACCTTGAACATCCAACTTATTCAGATTCAACAAACATCTATCGAGTATTTACCCTCTGCAGATAAGACAAGGCCATGTATTAGATGTTTCCTCATGTGTTATATCATTTAGTGATTACAACAAACATCAAAGGTAGCATCCCTACTTTACAAAGTAAAACACAGATACTCAGAAAGGGTAATTTATTCACTGAAAGTCAAAGTGAGATGAATTCAAACATAGGTCCTCTAACACCCAGGGCACAGACTGATGATGTTCATGACCAGCTGAGTTTATGAAATCTCTTACGCTGTCTGTCCCTAATCTGCCTATACATTAGCAAGGTGTAGAGAAGCACCATGCTTCTGTCCAACATAACAGGGTTAGAAGGTCACTTTTCTGCATGTTTCTACATTATTTTCAAAACTGCCATTCATCTGCGTTTTCAAATAAATATCAACAAAATTACTTTTGTTAGCCTGTAGTTACTTTGCTATCCTACAGCCTTAGTCACATGTAAGCAGATTACTAGAGCAGCATGTGTTTCAAATCTCTTCCTGGGAAGGAGTCAACAGGTGGAAAAACAAATGCTAAGCAAACCATCTAGAAGACTCCTTCTCAAGGCTTTAAATGCAAAACAATGTGGATAGGACACATGGATATATCGTGCCATCTTCTGCTTTAGAAAATGATTACTTTGCACCTGTGACCCATTTACTAAACCTCAAAACTCTTGGTTTAAGATATGTTGTTTTGTAATTAAGCTTTTGAAATGCACATTTGTTGGCTTTTGTCCTGTGCTTGTTATTATCTGAACTATGACCAATTATAAATACTAAGCTATTTAGAGTCTTAAAAACAAATGGATATCTATACTTCGTGATTTACACAAATATTAACTTTATTAGCTACAAAAAATTATAAATTGGACTTTATATAAAATTAAAACCTGTTCTTCAAAAAAGAAAATAAAACACAAGCCACAAACAGGAGAAAATATTTTCAATGCACATATCTGGAAAAGAACTTGTAACCAGAGTATAGTAAAAGCTCTTACAACTCAGCAGTAAGAAGATAAAACAAAAATAGGCAAAATGTGAATAAAGAGTTCATGAAAGAAGAGCTAAATGGCAAATAATCACATGAAAAGATCTTCAACATCATTAATCATCAGAGAAATGAAAATAAATACCATGAAATATTGTATACCCATTATAATTGCTAAAAGTAAAAGGACTGAAAATTCCAACTGTTGGAGAATTTGGAACAACTGGCACTCTTGCAAAATAGTACAGCAACTTTGGAAAACAGTTTGGCAAATTTCTAAATGTTAAATATAAACTTTCCAAACCACTCAGCAATTCTGTTCCTAGATATCTACTCACAAGACAAAAAGTGCATGTAAAAATAAATAAATAAATAACTTATAGACAAATATTTATAGCAACTTTATTTGTAAAAAGCTTGGAAAACAACACAAATCACCAACTACAAATAAATAAACAAATACATTGGGGTATTTCCATGTAATGAAATTCTTAGCAGTAGAAAGAAACAAACTACTGATACATAGAACAACATGGATAAACATCAAATACATTATTCTACGCAAAATAGTCCATATATAAGAGATTATATACATATGATTGCATTTCTAAGAATTTATAGAACTGGCAAAACTAATCTATGATGATAGAAATCAGATCAGTGATTGGCTGAAATCAGATCAGTGGTTGCCTGAGAGCTGTGAAGAGGGGACAGGAGATCATAAAGGGACACAAAATAATTTTCTGAAGAGATGAAAATAGTCTACATCTTAAATGGGAAGTTTGTTATATGTGTGTGTATATATATATGTGTGTGTGTGTGTGTGTGTGTGTGTGTGTGTCTGTGTGTGTATGTATGTGTGTGTGTGTGTGTGTGTGTGTGTGTCAAAAGTTCTTAACTTATAAGACTGCAATACAATAGCTTTTGAGCAACTAATGGGTCAAAGAAGAAATCAAAAGGAAAATTAGAAAACATCTTGAGACAAACCGAAAACACAATATACCAAACTAATTAGATGCAGCAAAAGCATTTCTAATAAATACCTACATTAAAAAAGAAAAAATATCTCTAACTTTACACCTCAACAAACTAGAAGAAGAACAAACTAAGCCCAAAGTTAACAGAAGGAGTAAATAATAAATATTACAGCAGAAATTAATGAAATATATAATAGAAAAGCAACAGAAAAATAATCATAACCAAGAGTTGGATTTTTTTAAGTTGACAAACCTTTAGCTAGACTAAGAAAAAAGAGACAGAATTCAAATAAAATCAGAAGTAAAAGAGGAAACATTACAACTGATGCCACAGGAATAAAAAGGATCATAAGGGACTATTATGAATGCCAACAAACTGGATAATCTTGAAGAAATGGATAAATTCCTAGACATATAACCTACCAAACGTGCATCACGAAGAAGTATAAAGTCTGAACAGGCCATAACTAATAAGGAGATTGAATCGGCATCCTAGTCCATTTTGTGTTGCTACAACAGAATACCTGAAACTGGGTAATTTATAAAGAAAAGAAATTTATTTGGCTCACAATTCTGGAGGCTGGGAAGTCCAAGAGCATGCTGTTGGCATCTTGGAGGGCCTTAGTGCTGCATTATCCCATGGTGGAACTCAGAAGGGTAAGAGGGTGAAAGTAAATAGAAAGAAGCCAAACTCATCCCTTTATCAGGAACCAACTTCTATGATAAATAACCCATTCCTGTGATAAAGCTGATGCCTTTATCCCATTCATGAAGGCAGAGCCTTCATGCCCTAATCACCCCTTAAAGGCCCTACCTCTCAACATTGTTGCATTGGGGATTAAGTTTCTAACACATGAACTTTGGGGTACACACTCAAGCCATAGCAGTCAGTAATCAAAAACCTCCCAACAAAGAAAATTCCAGGTCCAGATGGCTTCACTGGTGAATTCTACCAAACATTTAAAGAAGAATTGATGCCAATTTTTCTCAAACTCTTTTCAAAAATTGAAAAGGAAGGAACACTTCCAAACTCATTTTTATGAACCCAGCAAAACCTCGATACCAAAGCTAAACAAAGACACTATACGAAAACTATAGGCTAATAGTCCTGATGAACATACATACAAAAATCTTCAACAAAATGCCAGCAAACTAATTCAACAGCATATTAAAAGTGTCACACACCATGTCCAAGTGGGATTTATCCCTGGGATGCAAGGATGGATAAATATATGAAAATTAATTAATGCGATACATCACATTAACAGAATAAAGGATAAAATCACATGACTATCTCAATAGATGCAGAAGAATTCGATAAAATTCAACACATTTTCATGATAAAAACTCTCAACAAACTAGGAATAGGAAGTAAGTACCTCAACATAATAAATGTTACATACAGAAAGCTCATAGCTAACATCATATTCAGTGGTGAAAACTGAAAGCTTTTCCACTAAGATCAGAAACAAGGCATGGATACCCAGTCCTTTCTATTCAACAGAGTACTGGAAGTCCTAGCCAGAGCAACCAGGCAAGAAAAAGAAACAAAAGGTAACCAAATTAGAAAGGAATAAGTAAAATTGTCCCTATTTGCAGATGACATGATTTTATATAGAAAAGCCCAAAGACTCCACTAAAAAACTGTTACAACTAATAAATTGAGTAAAGTTGTAAAATACAAAATTAACATACAAAAATCAATTACATTTCTATACACTAATAATGAACTGTCTGAGAAATTAGCAATCTCATTTACAATAACATAAAAAATATTTTTAGGAATGAAATTAACTAGGGAAGTATATCCTGAAAACTACAAAACATTGATAAAAGAAATTAAAGAAGACCAAACAAATGGAAAGACATCCTACATTCATGGATTTGAAGACTTAATATTGTTAAAATGTCCCCAAACGATCTATAGATCAATGCAATTCCTGTCAAAATCCCAATGGCATTTTTTATAGAAATAGAAAAAAATACCCAATTCCACAATTCACATGGAGCCACAAAAGAACCTGAACAGTCAATGCAATCTTGAAAACTAACAAAGGTGGAGGCATCACAGTTTCTGATTTCAAAATATAACACAAAGTTATAGTAATCAAAACAGTGTGGTGGTGGGATAAAGACAGAAATATAGACGAGTTACCCAGAAGTAAACCCACACATATATGGTCAACTGATCTTTAACAATGATGTCAACAATACACAATGGGGAAAGGATAGTCTCTTCAACAAGTGGTGTTGAGAAAACTGGATATCCACATGCAAAATAATAAAATTGGACCTTTATTTTATACCATACACAAAAATCAACTCAAAATGGATTAAAGCCTTAAAGGTAAGACCTGGAACTATAAAACCCCTAGAGGAAAACATAGGGAGAAATCTTCATGACGTTGGCCTTGACAATGATTTTGTGGATATGACACCAAAAAAAGCATAGGTAACAAAGCAAAATAGACAAGTGGGACTGCCTCAAACTAAAAAGCTTCTACCAGAAAAGAAACAATCAACAGAGTGAAAAGACATCCTATAAAATGGGGAAATATTTGCAAACCATATTTCTGATAAAGGGTTAATTTCCAAAATATGTAAGAAGACTTATATATAAGAAACTCCTATAACACAACAGTAAAAAAACTAGTAACCTGCTTAAATAATTGGGCTAAAGACTTGAATACACATTTTTCCAAAGTGGACATACAAATGGCCAACAAGTTTATGAAAAGATGCCCAGTCACTAGTCATCAGGGAAATGCAAATATAAACCACCATGAGATATCACCTCACACTTGTTAGGATGGCTATTATAAAAATACACACACACACACACACACACAAAGACAACACATGTTGATAAAATGTAAAGAAATTTGAATCCTTATACAGTGTTGGAGGGGAATGCAAAATGATGCTGCCACTATGACAAACAGCATGGAGATTTTTCAAAATATTAAAAATAGAACTAGCATAGGATTCAGCAAACCCACTTCTGGGTATTTGTCCAAAAGAACTGAAGTCAGGATGTCAAAGAGATATTACCATTCCCATATTCATTGCAGCACTATTTATAATCGCCAAGCTGTGGAAATAAAAACTAAGTGTTCACTGACAGATTAATGGATTTTTAACAATGTCATATAGACATGTAATAGAATACTATTTAGTTATACAAAAGAAGGAAAGCCTGCAACATGGAACAACATGTATAAATGTTGAGGACATTATAGTAAGTGAAATGAGCCAGTCAGAAAAGGACAAATACTGCATAATTGCACTTATATGAAGCGTCTAAAATAGGCAAACTCATAGAAACAGAGGGTGAATAGTTATTGTCAGGGGCGGGGGGATGGGGAAAATGGAAAGTTGCTAATCAATAGGCAAAATATTTTTATTTTTATTTTTATTTTTTTGAGATGGAGTCTCACTCTGTCACCCAGATTGGAGTCCAGTGGCACGATCTTAGCTCACTGCAACCTCCACCTTCTGGGTTCAAGTGATTCTCCTGCCTTAGCCTCCTGAGTAGCTGGGACTACAGGTGTGCACCACCACACCCAGCTAATATTTTTTGTATTTTTAATAGAGACGGGGTTTCACCGTGTTGGTCAGACTGGTCTCGAACTCCAGATCTCAAATGATCCTCCCGCCTCGGGCTCCCAAAGTGCTGGGATTACAGGAGTGAGCCACTGAGCCTGGCCACAATATTTCAATTATACAGGATACACAACTTTGTGTCTATAGATAGCATTACTGTATTTTACATTTAAAAGTCTATTAAGAGGGCAGATTTCATGCCAAGTGTTCTCATCACAATAAAAAAAAATGAAAACAACACCAATGATAAAAAGGCGGTAGATAAATAAATACCCCAGTTTCCTCATCTATCAATCAGCTGGGGTAATTCTGTAGTATGGTCTACACTGTCTCCCAGTGTTCTGAAATGGGATTAAGCCTTTTTCCCCTAGGATAATCACAATAATTCACAATTTATTGGTTTCCTTCACGGTCCCATTTCGCTTCCCACTCCTTCTCTGGTACTCTTGACTACAATAAATCATTTTCCCTGTAAAGAACGTAGTCTTTTTATTCCCTCAAAAAATATTTGGGATGCTTTTGATACTGATTTAATTAATTAATCAATTATATTACTTCATTATGAAGTTGCTCTTTGGAATAATTATCATAAAAACATAACATGGGTTCTGTCAGTCTACACATTTTAGGATGATTTTACCAGCATGAATGATAATAAAGGTTAAGATAATAAAAAAGTCATCAAATTGTATACTTACATATGTAAACACTATTGTATATAACATAATTCAGTAAATTTGATTTTTATATGGATAGACACAATATTAAATGTGTTGACATATGTATATGAACTTAATCAGAGATTAACTTAAGAATTATGTTCAAGGATGTTTCTCACTGCTATTTTTTTATTATTATACTTTAAGTTTTCAGATACATGTGCAGATCCTGCTGGTTTGTTTCATAGATATACATGTGGCACAGTGGTTTGCTGCACCCATCAACCCATCATCTAGGTTTTAAGCCCTGCATGCATTAGGTATTTCTCCTACTGCTATCCCTTCCTTTGCCCCCCACCCCGATAGGCCCTGGTGTGTGATGTTCCCCTCCCTGTGTCCATGTGTTCTTATTGTTCAACTCCCACTTAGGAGTGAGAACATGCAGTGTTTGGTTTTCTGTTCCTGTGTTAGTTTGATGAGAATGATGGTTTCCAGCTTCATCCGTGTCCCTGCAAAAGACATGTTATCCTTTTTTATGGCCGCATAGTATTCCATGGTGTATATATGCCACATTTTCTTTGTCCAGTCTATCATCGATGGGCATTTGGGTTGGTTCCAAGTCTTTGCTATTGTAAACAGCGCTGCAATAAACATACGTGTGCACATGTCTTTATAGTAGAATGATTTATAATGCTTTGGGTATATACCCAGTAATGGGATTGCTAGGTCAAATGGTAATTCCAGCTCTAGTCCTTCAGGAATCACCACACTGTCTTCCACAATGGTTGAACTAATTTATACTCCCATCAACAGTGTAAAAGTGTTACTGTTTCTTCACATGCTCACCAGCATCTGTTGTTTCCTGACTTTTTAATGATTACCATTCTAACTGGTGTGAGATGGTATCTCATTGTAGTTTTGATTGCATTTCTCTAATGACCAGTGATGATGAGCCTTTTTTCAGGTGTTTGTTGGCTGCATAAATGTCCTCTTTTGAGAAGTGTCTGTTAATATCCTTTGCCCACTTTTTAATGGGGTTGTTTGTTTGTTCGGGTAAATTTGTTTAAGTTCCTTGTAGATTCTGGATATTAGACCTTTGTCAGATTGGTAGATTGTAAAAATTTTCTCCCATTCTGTAGGTTGCCTGTTCACTCTGATGATAGTTTATTTTGCTGTGCTGAAGCTCTTTAGTTTAATTAGATCCCATTTGTCAATTTTGGCTTTTGTTGCAACTTGCTTTTGGTGTTTTAGTCATGAAGTCTTTCCCCATGCCTATTTCTTGAATGGCATTGCCTAGGTTTTCTTCTAGGGTTTTTATGGTTTTAGGTCTTATGTTTAAGTCTTTAATCCATCTTGAGTTAACTTTTGTATAAGGTGTAATGAAGGGGTCCAGTTTCAGTTTTCTGTATATGGCTAGCCAGTTTTCCCAACACCTTTTATTAAACAGGAAATCCTTTCCCCATTTCTTGTTTTTGTCAGGTTTGTCAAAGATCAGATGGTTGTAGATGTGCGGTGTTATTTCTGAGGCTTCTGTTCTGTTCCATTGGTATATATATCTGTTTTGGTAAGAGTACCATGCAGTTTTGGTTACTGTAGCCTTTCAGTATAGTTTGAAGTCAGGAAATGTGATGCCTCCAGCTTTGTTCTTTTTGCCTAGGATTGTCTTGCTATGCGGACTTTTTTTGTTGTTCCATATGAAATTTAAAGTAGTTTTTTCTAATTGTATGAAGAAAGTCAACAGTAGCTTGATGAAAATGGCATTGAATCTACAAATTACTTTGGGCAGTATGGCTATTTTCACGATATCGATTCTTCCTATTTGTTTGTGTCCTCTCTTATTTTCTTGAGCAGTGGTTTGTAGTTCTCCTTGAAGAGGTCCTTCACATCCCTTGTAAGTTGTATTCCTAGGTGTTTTATTCTCTTTGTAGCAATTGCGAATGGCAGTTCACTCATGATTTGGCTCTCTGTTTGTCCATTATTGGTGTATAGGAATGCTTGTGATTTTTGCACATTGACTTTGCTGAAGTTGCTTACCAGCTTAAAAAGTTTTGGGGCTGAGGCAATGGGGTTTTCTAAATATACAGTCATGTCATCTACAAACAGAGACAATTTGACTTCCTATTTGAATACGCTTTATTTTTTGCTCTTGCCTGATTGCCCTGGCCAGAAATTCCAATACTATGTTGAATAGGAGTGGTGAGAGAGGATATCCTTGTCTTGTGCCAGTTTTCAAAAGGAATGCTTCCAGCTTTTGCCCACTCAGTATGATATTGGCTGTGAATTTGTCATAAATAGCTCTTATTATCTTGAGATATGTTCCATCAATACCTAGTTTATTGAGCGTTTTTACCATGAAGGGGTGTTGAATTTTATCAAAGGCCTTTTCTGCATCTATTGAGATAATCGGGTGTTTTTTGTCATTGGTTCTGTTTATGTGATGGATTACATTTATTGATTTGCATATGCTGGACCAGCCTTGCATCCCATGGATGAAGCTGACTTGATTGTGGTGTATAAGCTTTTTGATGTGCTGCTGGATTCAGTTTGCCAATATTTTATGGAGGATTTTTGCATTGATGTTCATCAGGGACATTGGCCTGAAATTTTTGTTGTTGTTGTTGTGTCTCTGCCAGGTTTTGGTATCAGGATGATGGCGGCCTCATAAAATAAGTTAGGGAGGAGTCCCTGTTTTTCTATTGTTTGGAATAGCTTCAGAAGGAATGGTACCAGCTCCTCTTTGTACCTCTGGTAGAATTTGGCCGTGAATCTGTCTGATCCTGGGCTTTTTTTTTTGTTGGTAGGCTATTAATTACTACGTCAATTTCAGAACTTGTTATTGGTCAATTGAGGGATTGGACTTATTTCTGGCTTAACCTTGGGAGGGTGTATGTGACCAGGAATTTATCCATTTCTTCTAGAGTTTCTAGTTTATTTTTGTACAGGTGTTTATAGTATTCTCTGATGGTAGTTTGTATTTCTGTGGCATCGGTGATGATCTCCCCTTTGTCATTTTTTATTGTGTCTATTTGATTATTCTCTCTTTTCTTCTTTATTAGCCTGGCTAGTGGTCTATCTATTTTGTTAATCTTTTAAAAAACCCAGCTTCTGGATTCATTGATATTTTGAAGGGTTTTTTTGGTGTCTCTATCTCCTTCAGTTCTGCTCTGATCTTAGATATTTCTTATCTTCTGCTAGTTTTTGAATTTGTTTGCTCTTGCTTTCCTAGTTCTTTTAATTGTGAAGTTAGGGTGTCAATTTTGGATCTTTCCTACTTTCTTCTTTGGTCATTCACAGCTATAAATTTTCCTCGAAACACTGCTTTAGCTGTGTCCCAGAGATTCTGGTATGTTGTGCCTTTGTTCTCATTGGTTTCAAAGAACTTATTTATTTCTGCCTTAATTTTGTTATTTACCCAGTAGTCATTCAGGAGCAGGTTGTTCAGTTTTCATGTAGCTGCATGGTTTTGAGTGTGTTTCTTAATCCTGAGTTCTAATTTGATTGCACTGTGGTCTGAGAGACTGTTATGCTTTCCATTCTTTTGCATTTGCTGAGGAGTGTTTTACTTCCAATTATGTGGTTGATTTTAGAATAAGTGTGATGTGGTGCTGAGAAGAATGTATATTCCGTTGATTTGGGGTGGAGAGTTCTGTAGATGTCTATTAGGTCTGCTTGGTCCAGAGCCAAGTTCAAGTCCTGAATATCCTTGTTAATTTTCTGTCTCATCGATCTGTCTAATATTGACAGTGGGGTGTTAAAGTCTCCCACTATTATTGTATGGGAGTCTAAGTCTTTTTGTAGGTCTCTAAGAACTTGCTTTGTGAAGCTGGGTACTCCTGTATTGGGTGCATATATATTTAGGATAGTTAGCTCTTCTTATTGTATTGATCCCTTTACCATTATGTAATGCCCTTCTTTGTCTTTTTTGATCTTTGTTGGTTTAATGTCTGTTTTATTAGAGACTAGGATTGGAACCCCTGCTTTTTTTTTCACTTTCCATTTGCTTGGTAAATCTTCCTCCATTCCTTTATTTTGAGCCTATGTATGTCTTTGCACATGAGATAGGTCTCCTGAATACAGCACAACAATGGATCTTGACTCTTTATCCACAGTCTGTTTCTTTTAATTGGGGCATTTAGCCCATTTACATTTAAGGTTAATATTTTTATTTGTGAATTTGATCCTGTCACCATGATGCTAGCTGGTTGTTTTGCCAGTAGTTGATGTAGTTTCTTCATAGTGTCATTGGCCTTATATTTTGGTATGTTTTTGCAGTGGCTGGTATCAGTTTTTCCTTTTTATATTTAGTGCTTCCTTTGGGAGCTCTTGTAAAGCAGGCCTGGTAGTGACAAAAATCCCTGAGCATTTGCTTGTCTGGAAAGGATTTTATTTCTCCTTTGCTAATGAAGCTTAGTTTGGCTGGATATGAAATTCTGGGCTGAAAATTCTTTTCTTTCAGAATGTTGAATATTGGCCCCCACTCTCTTCTGGCTTGTAAGGTTTCTGCAGAGAGATCCACTGTTAGTCTGATGGGCTTCCCTTTCTAGGTAATCTGACCTTTCTCTTTGGCTGCCTTTAACATTTTTTCCTTCATTTCCACCTTGGTGAATCTGATGATTATGTGTCTTGGGGTTGTTCTTCTTGAGGAGTATCTTAGTGGTGTTCTCTGTATTTCCTGAATTTGGATTTTGGCCTGCCTTGCTAGGTTGGAGAAGGTCTCCTAGATAACATCCTGAAGTGTGTTTTCCAACTTGGTTCCATTCTCCCCATCACTTTCAGGTACACCAATAAATCGTAGGTTTGGTCTTTTCACATAGTCCTATATTTCTTGGAGGCTTTGTTCATTCCTTTTCATTCTTTTTTCTCTAATCTTGTCTTCACACTTGATTTCATTAAGTTGATCTTCAATCTCTGATATCCTTTCTTCCACTTGATTGATTCAGCTATTGATACTTGTGTGTGCTTCACGAAGTTCTCATGCTGTGTTTTTCAGCTCTGTCGGGTCATTTATGTTCTTCTGTAAATGGGTTATTCTAGTTAGCACTTTCTGTAACCTTTTATCAAGGTTCTTAGCTTCCTTAGAACCTTGTTCCTTTAGCTTGGAGGAGTTTGTTATTACCCACCTTCTGAAGCCTACTCCCGTCAATTTGTCAAAGTCATTCTCCATCCAGTTTTGTTCCCTTGCTGGCAAGGAGCTGTGATACTTTGAAGGAGAAGAGGCATTCTGGTGTTTGAAATTTTTAACATTTTTGCACTGGTTTTTCCTCATCTTCATGGATTTATCTACCTTTGATCTTTGATGCTGATGACCTTTGGATGGGGTTTTTGTGTGGGCATCCTTTTTGTTGATGTTAATGCTATTGCTTTCTGTTTGTTATTTTTCCTTCTAACAGTCAGGCCCCTCTTCTGCAGGTCTGCTGGAGTTTGCTGGAGGTCCACTCCAGACCCTGTTTGCCTGGGTATCACCAGTGGAGCCTGCAGAACAGCAAGGATTGCTGCCTGTTCCTTCCTCTGGAAGCTTCATCCCAGAGGGGCACCCTCCAGATGCAAGCTGGTGCTCTCCTGTATGAGGTGTCTGTCGACCCTGCTGGGAGCTGTCTCTTAGTCAGGAGGCATGGGGGTCAGGGACCCATTTGAGGAGGCAGTCTGTCCCTTACCAGAGCTCAAGGGCTGTGCTGGGAGATCTGCTGCTCTCTTCAGAGCTGGCAGGCAGGAATGTTTAAGTCTGCTGAAGCTGTGCCTGCAGCTGCCCCTTCCCCCAGGTGCTCTGTCCCAGGAAGATGGGATTTTTACCTATAATCCCCTGACTGGGGCTGCTGCCTTTCTTTTAGAGATGCCCCGCCAAGAGAGGAGGAATCTAGAGAGGCAGTCTGGATACAGCAGCTTTGCCACGCTGTGGTGGGCTCCGCCCAGTCCAAACTTCCTGGCGGCTTTGTTTGAGTAGGGGAAAACCAGCTACTCAAGCCTCAGTAATGGTGGACATCCCTCCCCCAACCAAGCTCGAGCGTCTCAAGCTGACTTCAGACTGCTGTGCTGGCAGCAACAATTTCAAGCTGGTGGATCTTAGCTTGCTGGGCTCCGTGGTGGTGGGACCTACTGAGCAAGACCACTTGGCTCCCTGGCTTCAGCCCTCTTTCCAGGGGAGTGAATGGTTGTCTCACTGGGCTTCCAAGTACCACTGGGGTACAAAAAAAAACCTCCTGCAGCTAGCTTGATGTCTGCCCAAATGGCCACCCAGTTTTGTGCTTGAAACCTAGGGCCCTGGTGGCAAAGGCACTGGAGGGAATCTCGTGGTCTGCAGGTTGGGAAGACCATGGGAAAAGCGAAGTATCCGGGCCAGAGTGCACACTTCCTCACGGCACAGTCCCTCATGGCTTCCCTTAGCTAGGGGAGGGAGTTCCCTGACCCTCTGTGCTTCCCAGGTGAGGCGACGCCCCACCCTGCTTTGGCTTGCCCTCTGTGGGCTGCACCCACTGTCTAACCAGTCCCAGCAAGATGAACTGGGTACCTCAGTTGTAAATGCAGAAATCACCCACCCTCTGCGTTGGTCTACCTGGGAGCTGCAGACCAGAGCTGTTCCTATTTGGCCATGTTGCCCCCTCCTCCTCACTGTTATTTTTAATAATGAAAAAACAGAAATTGGCTGGGTGGTGGCTCCTGCCTGTAATCCCAACACTCTGGGAGGCTGAGGCCGGTGGATTGCTTGAGGTCAGGAGTTTGAGACCAGACTGGGCAACATAGTGAAACTCCATCTCTACTGAAAATACAAAAATTTGCTGGGGGCAGTAGTGCACCTATAGTCCTAGCTACTTGGGAGGCTGAGGTGCGAGAATTGCTTGAGCCTGGGAGGTCAAGATTTCAGTGAGCTGAGATCATGCCACTGTACTCCATCCTGGGCAACAGAGTGAGACCCTGTCTCAAAAACAACAACAAATAATCCAGCCATTACCTAAATGCCAAGAAATAAAAGACTGATGTATAAAAACAGGGGCCTTTGGTGTGATGGATGCATTAGCATTTACAACTGAGTTTCCTGCTCTAGCCTAACCTGCCCTGCAGACCCCTGTAAGGCCTCCCCAAGTATTTCTGGACTTCCTCTAAGTTCTCCCACAGGAACTCATAAGTCAGACTATTAGATATAATCACATGTGGAATTTGCCTTATTCTTTCTCTTTCTCCCCCTCTCCCTCCTCAGCATCCTCTACTCACAACACCTTCTGAAGGAGCCTCAGTCCTGCCATGACTGGCAGAACCTATCACGAGCATCGCCGGCATCCATGCCAACAGCTCACCTGCAAGGCTTTCAACTCTGCTGACCTTCAGAGTGTCAGAGCAGTGCCGAAGCCCAGGACATGGCTGTCATCCCTTATTCCTCCTAGCTCAAATCACCCTCAATATCCTGATAGGAACCAAATACCAGGCCATCCCGCCATTTCAGTCTCTGTCCCAAGGACTCCTCATTAAATTCCATCATCATCCTTCAGCTAACAACCAAAAGCCTTCCTGAAACACAGCCTCATGCAAATAGGTACTGAGAAAACTTCCTAGCCCCTAGTTCTGCAAACACTCACCTACGCAGTTTAGAATCAGCTAGGTTACGTGCCTGTGCATTTATATATGCAGATAAATAATACAGCAGCTATACTACAAGTAGGTGTCTCTTCAGCCTGTTTACTTTAATTTTTACATATTAGGCTCATCTCTGAATGCCCAAAAGAGGATGTAACTGATATATTCTCCTGGCAAAAGAGTCAGGAGTCATTTCCCAGCTGAGGGGATGGGTTGATGCTCTTCCATTTTCTCTTAACCCTGTGCAAATGGTGCTGGGCCATAAGAGGACATCTGGGATTCAACTCCCACTGTGTATGGCTAAGAATCAGAACAAAGTATGATGTCCACAGAGGACCTTGAGCTCACAGGCTCCATTCCAGAGAGTAATACAGGGATAGTAAACCACTGGAAGCAAAGACTCCCTGTGGAATAGCTGCAGTCATCCCCCATGCTGGCCCAGCCACCTGAGAAGAGACAGTCTTGTTAGGTTGACTTAACTATTGGTCACCTGAATTTAATTTGGCTTACTGAATTATGGATGAAGGAGACAATAATCCCCAAGAGTTGGCCAATCTTTGTCATCAGGGGTTTTCTTATGTTGGTGAGAGTGTTCTAGTACCTTAATAGGCAGCTTGAGTTTGATGCATGAGTCATAATGAATCAGATGTACCAGAGTTGTTGTTTTGATTCAGCTCAGCAGTTATGTCTTTGAATCTGAGTCTCAGATGGGCACCTGAATAGACTCATCACAAAGCTTCATTGCAAATTATACAGTGCAGGGAAGCTCAACAAATTATTCTGATTGTTTCCAGAAAGAAAAAGGAAGGCAGGATTATACAGCATTTAGTGTCACCAATTAACAAGGTCATGGGGCTGAACCACTCATTCCAAAAACTTAATATCTACAAACTCAAGCACAAGGAGCCTCTTTTAATTATTTGGAAACTGTGGGCTGCAGGGAAAGCGAGTGCTCTCAGCCTTGTGATCTGAGCAAGGTTCAGGAGCTGGAGTGGGTTTGGCTGAGTCACCACTGGCTGCATGACCCCACACACATCACCTGACCTCCACATGCTTCAGCTGGCCCGGCTGTAGAGATGAGAAAATGCAGCCGGAAGGCCCCAAGGGGCAAAAACAGCCTTCTGCACACAGCTGCCCTGGGGCAGCTTCCTGCGGCACAGTTTAGCTCTATCAGAGGCAGGGGGACCCTAGTCTGGGCCACCAAAGCAGCCTTACCTAAAAGCCACCTTTGGGAAAGGGCCTGTTTCATGCCGCAAGTGTAGGAGTATAAGTAAGTAAAACCTTTTTTAAGCCTTGAAAATACTCATATGTTTTGGTTGCATGATTTCATTTGAATGAATTTATTCTTAGTCAGGAATCAGAGGCGTACACAAATATGTATGTTCAATCATGCTCATCATAGTGTTAACTTTAGTAACGAAAAACTGAAAATTATCTAAATGTTCAACTGTAAAGCATTGTACAACAAACTATGGTACATTTTTATTTTGGAAGGTTGTATGGCCATTAAAAAATCACTAGAACAGAATAATCAATGACCTGGGAAAATGTCCACCGTAGGATAGTATATAGAGAAGGACCGTAAAACAACATTGTTAGAATAATCCAATTTGTTTTACACTATATGTACTCCCAGGTGGATAGACAAAAGCCTGGAAGGTGAGACAAGAAATTATTAATGATGTTTAATCTCTGCGTTTGGGGATTATCAGCTCTTTTTAAAATTTATGGTGCTTGCCTGTATGTTCCAATATTTTCTATCACAATGGTCATGTGTTCTTTTTGCCATAAAAATCAATTTTGAAATTCCCCGAGTTGCTGTTAACTTGGCCTGTCTGTTGCATATGGGGCCAAACTACACGCCTACCTGTGGAGCAAATGAATACAGTGACTCATCTGTGAGCTGAGGCTTGAGCAATTCCAGCCCAGGAGGCTCTCCGGCCTGGGAACAGAGTGGGATTTTTTGTCTGAGGAGGCTGAGTCTGGAAGAAGGATGACTCTGTGGGTGGTTTCCTAGATCCTCAATGCACGTGGCTTCCGGCCTTGACTCCTCCCTTAAATTCTGGGTTGCTGGCCAAGGCTGAAGAACAAATTTGCCTCAGCAGCCAACTCCTCTATGTAAGCCTGACATTTACTCTGTATCTACATAATATCTATTAAGCAACACCTGATCCTGTTCACCAGGATGTATGTTCCCAGGGAAACCTTCCTTTCAAAGTTAAGCAGGCATTCTTGGTAAGTAGCCCTAACACCTGGGAATCATGCAGTTAACTTTCCAGGCCTCAATCCTACATGAGTGTCCTGGGTTATAATAGCATGGCTGGATGGGTGGTGATCTCACCATTTTAGCCAGTGGCTCATCCTGCATGGGAAGAAAAGTTTTAAAATGGCACAGCTTCCTTTGAGAAGAGAGCCATCTGCTCCATAATATATGGGGAAGGAAAATGGTGCTTTATGAGACAATCAGAGCAAATTGGTACATCATCATGGAGCTTTCAAGGTGATATTTTCTAAAACAACATAGCCATTTTTTATTCCTCTTACCAAAGCCAAGGGGCAGTCGATAATCTCAACATTTCTGCTCTCTGCTTCAGGTGTAGGCTGTCATTGGCTTGCTTAGGTCAATAGTGGACACCAGCCTTCCCTGAGCTGACTTATTGAAGATGGCCCAAGGGCCTGGCAGGCAGTCTGAAGTACAATCTAACATTGTAACAGATAAGTCCCAGTGTGAAAGAGAGTCATATTATCTCCATTTCACACAGAAGAAACCAAAGTATGAATCCTCATCAAAATACATTTTATTGAGCACATACTTTGTGTCTGGTAACGTTTCAGGCACTGGGAAAACAGCAGTGAACAAAATAGATCAAGTCTTTGCCCTCAAAAAGTTTACATTCTTTTGAGAGTAAACAATAAGCAGAGTTTTAATATACTGGGTGATAATCAATATGAAGAAAAGTAAGGCTGAGTAAGAGGATAGAGAATAAAGGAAGTGCAATTCTATATAGAGTAACTAGGGGAGTTTTTTCTGATAAACTGATGTTTGAGCAGAGACAAAAAGGCAGGGAGGAAGTGAGCCACTTGCATCCTTGCAGGACAAATGTTTGAAATAGAGAAAAGAAGGCTGGGTGCGATGGCTCACACCTGTAATCCCAGCATTTTGGGAGGCCAAAGCAGGCAGATCACCTGAAGTCAAGAGTTGGAGATCAGCCTGGCCAACATGGAGAAAGCCTGTTTCTACTAAAAATACAAAAACTAGCTGGGTGTAGTGGCATGCGCCTGTAATCCCAGCTACTCGGGAAGCTGAGGCAGGAGAATCGCTGGAACCCAGGAAGCGGAGGTTGCAGTGAGCCAAGATCATGCCACTGCACTCCAGCCTGCAAAACAGAGTGAGACTCTGTCTCAAAAAATATATATATTAAAAAAAAAGAAAAAGAAAAGAAAAAACAGAAAAAGTGACACAGAGAAAAGAGCAAATGCAAGGCCTTGAGGTGAGAGCACGTCATGATATATTAGAGAATCAGCAAAGATGACACTGTGGCTTCAGATAAGACTCTCATCTTTGAAGGGTTCTCAGCAGAGGAGGGACACGATCTGCCTTATGTGTGCTGGGAGCGGGCACGGTCACAGATGAGAGGAGGGTAACCAGCTAGGACGCAATTGCCATAATCAAGGCAATCATGGTTGGGACCAGGCTTGAAATAATGAAGGTGTAGGAAGTGGAGCAATTTCAAAGGAAGACTTGGGTGCCATTTTAAAGAGCAAGGTCACTAACAAAAAGCACAAAAGTGTAAAAAAGTGGCATTAAATAGATAATGAAAAGGATGCTTATTTGCATCATGAGAGTTGAAACAAGAAGGTAGAATGTCTTGTCTCATCCCAGCTGGAACGTACATGTCGGGTGACTCAAAATTTTTATAGGCCTGCACGTGACTGCAATGATTATGAAAGTGCCATGAGTACTGATCTTGGGGTCACAAATAGAGTTTAGTGAATAAGAAAATTTGCAAATATGGAATTTATGAATAATGAGGACTGAACTGTCTGAAGGGTGAGAGGCCTATTATTCATGTAAGTGGAGATATGATAAATGAGAAGAAAGTTGGAGGTAGAGGCACAGATCTGGGAGTTATTGCAATGTATCTAAATCTCTATATCCTGCATGAAACTGGATGAAACCATCTTAGGAGTGTAGAAAAGTAATAGGAGAGTTCCAGAAACTGGATCCAGGGGCATTACAGCAAGAAGGTGCCTGCAAAGGATGCTGAGAAAGAGCAAATAGTAGAGTAAGAAAAAAACCAGGAAAGAGTCGTGTTTTAAGAATGATGAAGGGAGTCAGGAATGGGTCAATGCTGCTGAAAAGTCGAGTCTCATGAGATGTAAGAATGAACCTTTAGATTAGGCAAGATGAAGGGCACAGGTGATTTGGATGAATAGTTTCATTTGAACACTGGAGGTAAAAGCCTGAGTGGATCAAAGAGCAAATGCACAATTCTTTCCATGAGTTTCTTTTATTGTTTCAAAAATGCAGTTTATCGGGCCAGGTGCAGTGGCTCATGCCTGTAACCCCAGCACTTTGGGAGGTTGAGATGGGGGATCACATGAGGTCAGGAGTTCGAGAGCAGCCTGGCCAACATGGTGAAACAAACCCCATCTCTACTAATAATACAAAAATTAGCTGGGTGTGGTGGTGGGTGCCTATAATGCCAGCAACTCAGGAGGCTGAGGCAGGAGAATCGCTTGAACCTGGGAAGTGGAGGTTGCAGAGAGCCGAGATCATGCCACTACACTCCAGCCTAGGCGACAGAGCCAGACTGTGTCTCAAAAAAAAAAAAAAGCAATTTATTTACGTATTTTTAATTTTTAATTATGTTAAAAAATTTGTGTAGGTACATAGTAGGTGTATATATTTATGGGGTACATTAGATGTTTTGATACAGACATGCAATGTTAAATAAGCACATCATGAAGAATGAGGTGTCCATCTCCTCAAGCATTTATCCTTTAAGTTACAAACAATCCAATTACATTCTCTATGTTATTTTTAAATATATAATTAAGTTACCATTGGCTATAGTCACCCTATTGTTCTATCAAACAGTAGGTCTTATTCATTTTTTTCTATTTTTTTCATACCTATTAACCATCCCCACCTTCCCCCAATCCCCAACTACCCTTCCCAGCCTCTGGTAATCATCCTTCTACTCTCTGTTTTCCAGGAGTTTTGACGTAAATGAGAGAAAGAGAATAAGGTCACAACTGAAGGAGGATGTAGGATCGCAGATTCTTTTTAAAGGGGCGAGTACAACATATGTATGCTAGGGGGAATGAACCAATAGACAGGAGAACTGATGATGTGGATAGGTGAAGTCATCATTGCAGGTGGTACCTCTTCTATGACTGCAGTAACTTACTTAACTTCACATCCATTGTATGTGGTGAGTAGTGTTCCTATCTTCATCTATGGATGAGAAAAATGAAGCAAAGAAAGGTCAGAAACTGGTTCATGGGCACATGGTGATTAAGCGACAGAACCAGGATGCAAATCTGGACCTTCTGTTTCCAGAGCCTGTGCTTTCACTGCTGTGCCACACGTCTGCAACTTTAAATTCCCATCAATTCACATTTATTGATTACTTTGTATCTAGCAGTCACTAGCCAAGGTTGAATGGCGAGAGGAAGAAAGAGTGAAATCCCAGCCTCGGGCCTTTTTTTTTTTTATCACTCTCTTGGAAACATCACACTTTGCCCTCAAAGACAAGCTAGAGAGAAATGCTGCTGCTGCAGTTTGAGTGATGCCCATGAAGTCAGGGTTATTGCCAATACCTGATGCTTCCAGAATGTGTCTCACCTGCAGAAACACTGAGAGGTCAATTTTGAAGCACATGGGAAATAAAACTCATTCTTCAGGGTCATTCCCAAATCAAGAATTTAATTAATCTTCTCATAAACTTCTCCCACTCTTATTTTGATCCCACAGGAGAGATTTCTGAGAAAATAGCTCAGCTTTTCCCAACCAAAATGTATGCAGCTTGGCATTCCTTTGGACCCTGTCTACAGTGGTTAAATAAATCACTTGTTGCTAAACAGAGCAATTTATTCCCCTGACATCTGCATGGCCCTCTTGGTTTATTTTAAAATATATCAACTAACTTGCCACAGCTGCCATTGCTTTTAATGTGTCTGACACATCCAATTTCAATAGCTCAATGAAAATGTCATGCGATAAAACAGAGAGAGGCAGACAGAGAAGGTGATGAGAGTCGATGTGCAGACACACCCTTGGAAAGCAAGCAACAAAAACACTTGTTCAGGTGGGATTCAGGAAAGGGTCTTCCTGCCAGTAGTTTGGGAAATTAATTATATTACATAGAAACATCTCTTTTTATATATTCATTTTTAAAATGTTAATTCTCCATATTTGTTATTTTTACCAATAGAATCTACTCACTCTCCCCGCTATTTCACATCAAGTAGAACCTGCCTGGCTAGTGTTCTTAATTTTTCATTTCCACCAGAAATATTTACTCAGGATGTAGTCATGTTATTTGATAAGGTAAATAATTCTATAATGTTAGATGTGTGGCATCCATTCATTCATTCCACAATCAGATGATTCCATGCTACCAAACACTAGGCATTGTGCCTGGTGTCAGGGTCACAAGATCACCCTCCTGCCCTCACTGGGTTTGCAGTCTCATGAGGATGATCTCTCTCTAGAGGCAAAGGAGGAAAGAGGTGGTCATGCTGGAGCTCTGCTACTCATTATGTGGTAACTAAGACAACTGAATTGGACTCAGATTCCTCATCTATAAAAATGGAAAGATATTAAATATTGCCTGCCTTTAGGACTGCTGGAAGGATTAAAAGAAACAACATATGTCAAAGCACTATAAAACTCAACACAAACCTTGGTTCTTCTTAACTGAACTCAAAGTACTTTGTGATCATTGCTTCTCTATCTAGAATATCCAAGGAACTGATTCAACTACCTAATATCTACTATCTGTCGTATTTTTTCAGTGAAGCTGTCTGGCGTTCCAAATAAGGTGTTAGGAAAACAAAATGATGATATTATTTTGCCACAGCAATTAGAGAGTGTACTATAATATTCATCTGGATGCCTTGTAGATTCCTCAAGCTCAACAGGTCACTAACATAATCACTCTTCAGAATTTTCTCTCCCTGCTAATGACATTTACTCTGTCTCCCAAATTAGAACTTTCAGCTAATCCTGAAAAACTCTTCCTTCCTGACTTATTATTGATCTAAAATCCTGGACCTCTACCTCATTCATGTCTCTTGGGTCTGTTCTTGTTTATTCATCAGACAACCACTGCTCTGGGACAGGCCTTCTGTTCTCTTGGGTGGATCTTTGTAACAACCTTCAATCGAGCTGAGCTTCCTGTCAATGGCTTCTTCCTCTCTAACCCATCTGTGATGGTTAATATTGAGCATCAACTTGACTGGATTGAAGGATGCAAAGTATTGATCTTGGGTGTGTCTGTGAGGGTGTTGCCAAAGGAGACTAACATTTGAGTCAGTGGGCTGGGAAAGGCAGACCCACCCTTAATCTGGGTGGGTACAATCTAATCAGCTGCCAGCCCAGCTGGAATATAAAGCAGACAGAAAAATGTGAAAAGGCTAGCTTGGCCTACATCTTTCTCCCATGCTGTATCCCTCCTGCCCTCGAACATCGGACTCCAAGTTCTTCAGTTTTGGGACTTGAACTGGCTTTCCTTGCTTCTCAGTTTGCAGACAGCCTATTGTGAGACCGTGTGATCATGTGATTTAATACTTAATAAACTCCCCTTTATATACATACATATATACATACATATATACATATATACTAATATGTATATGTATATATATCCTAATGAATATCCTATTTGTTCTGTCCCTTTAGAGAACCCTAATACACCATCCTTCCTTCCTTCTTCCTCCAGTCATATCCCTAAAACTAAACATGATTGGGTTCTGCTTCCTGTATAAAAGCTTTGGGGCTTCCCCCATTATTCCTTGGGATAATAATCTAGAACAATTTCACAGCTACCTCTCCATGACACAAAGGCCCTTTTGACTGGCTGTTCCATGAAGCCTGTTTCTTTCTCTCCGCTCTCTCAGTTTGCTTTCACGCTTCCTGCGACTTCAGTGTCCCTCTCCCTGAGCCCTTTCCTTGGCCACTTCTAAATTCCCATTCAATTCTTCACAGTCTCTCTCAACACTTTGGACGTAGCAACTTCTTCTTTTGAGCGCCCACAGCACCTTCTATACCCTGCCAATAGATTTACTACATTGTATTAAAATCTATTTTTGGCTTATCACATCCTTGAAATGTGAGCTCCCCCAAAACAATGCTTGTTTTATTTATCTTTGTATCCCCAGTGCCTTGCTCAGTGCCTGGGATGATCCTGGGCCTGATGGATGTTTGTTAATAAAGGTAGGAAGAGGTAGAGCTTGGCTTCATTACTTCGCTTCTTTCAGGTGTTTATCCTGAATGTTCCTGTTCCAAGAGTTGCCTAGCTTTCCTCCTGCTTTTACCTTACTTTAAATATTAAAAAACACTGCGGTGGTCTTAGTTGTTTGGGCTGCCATAACAGAATACCGTATACTGGATGGCTTAAACAACAGAAATTTATATCTCACAGTTCTGGAGGCTGAGAAGTCCAAGATCACGGTGTCAGCTGATACGGTTCCTGGTGAAGGTCCTCTTCTGGGTTGCAGGCTGATGACTTCTCACTGTATCATCACAGGATGGAAAGAGAGAGAGCTCTGTGGGTTCCTCTGGTAAAGGCACTCATTCCACACATGAGGCCTCTACTTAATTACTCCTCAAAGGACCCTTCTCCTAATACCATCATACTGCAGGTTAGGATTTCAGCATATGAATTTGGTGTGTAGGGCCAAGAACATGCAGTCTTAATAGCTACAGTCCCATTCCTCCTTGAACCTTATTCATCCCACATCTCTATTTGTCTTTAGGGCACAGAATGTAGGCTAAAAGGATGGATTCTGGAATGACACTGCCTCTATTCTCATCACCACTTACCTGTTGTGAAACTTTTGGCAAATTGCTCAACCACCCCATGCCTCAGTTTCCTCATCTTTAAACTAGAGATAATTATATACTTATTTCATGGAGTTGTATGAGCATTAAATAAGTTCAAACTTAGAAGAGGACCTGACCCTGAGGACGCATACAGGGAATGTTAGCTGTTACTAGTTTTACAAGAATGTGAATTCTCCATCTGTGATCCTCTCTCTCCTCTCCTCCAAGCGCCTTCCTCTGGGTCCCACAGTCTACCTCTCTTATCTCACCTGCCACCTGGCTTCAAAATTGTCTGTGCACCTGTACTTCTCAGTAGCTGTTAAGTCATTTTAAGACATGCCATATCTTTTTATTTTGATTCACTCCCTGCCTGCCACTCTCCCCTAGAAGATATAGGCACAGAGTTGGCACTCAACAAATTACCACATTTAGGGGTACATCATCGACTATTAGCCAATATGATCTAATGGAAAAGTGACAGGCTATCACAGTCATCACTCTCCTCCCAACAGTGCTTTTTCAATAGAGTGTCTTCTAAAGCCATTTACCCACTTTATACCCAATTCTTCCACAATTATATTAAATTTTAAAAAGTGACTAATGAATAATGGACAATTCAAATCAGATAGGAGACAGTGGAGTCTGGCCAAGCAGGGAGGGGCATGGCCCTCCCAGAATTGACCATCATGCTGTGTGTGTTGGCTGCCTTCATAGTTCATTCACTGAGCCAGCCCGGGGGTTAAAGAATAATGAGATCGTGAAGGGTGCAAACAAAATCAGTCTCAATACTTTGTAATATAGTGCATTTATTACTTGTGTTTATCTGTGTGCATGCCCACACACAGCCCTGCTGCGTTATTTTAAGCCAAGAAAGGGACATGCTACAATGTATGTATCGAAGCAGTAGAACTATGTTGAAATTGTTGAGTAGCACAGGCAAATTGCCACCTGCTGTGTATCTTGAAGCCAGAACATTGGAGCCTATTACAGGTGAGTTTGAACTAATAGTAATGTGCTTCTCACTTAAAATCTTCTATCAATCATACTATTTATAGTTTTTCCTGTAATCAAATTTAGAGGGGTATTAAAAAATTGAAATGCAGAGAAGGCTCTTCTGCCACCACTTCCTTTAGTTCGATATTCAGTGGCATCCCTACTGTGTGAAGGCTGACTTGAAAGTTTGGCAAGGCTGGCTTCTCTAGGGCATCTCCTGCTACACTGAAGCAATTCTGCACCACCTTTCCAGGTGCTCTCAATCAGCAATGCTGAAGGAAGAAGAATGCAGAGTTCCTTTTAGTAGAACATTTTCCTCACTTCCTCTTTGCTCTTCTTGCTTGAGGCAGGTTGATAGGCATGGCTGGCAGCCCAAATTGCAGTGCCCAATAAGCAACCCTTAGAGAGCCAAAGTGCATCCTCCCACACTGATTCTAGCTTCTCTTAAAGTCAGAGTCAGTGCATTATTTTCCACTAATATATATACACAGACCTACAGTGCCGCAGCAAGTACTAGTCCCAGAAATCTTCCTACCCAGGCTCCTAACACTTTCCTTCATTGATTAAATATGCCAAGATGCACTTAGCTTCTCTCCTAGCCTGTTCTACTTCCTGTAGTGTCAAGCACAGGAAGTTTATCTTTAGAGGTGGAATGAGAAGATCTGATGGAAATGCAAGAGAGAAAGGGGAAGTTGACACTGGAACTGAAGAACTCAGAAATAGTTCTCGTGTTAAAAGGGATGGCTGGTCGGGAGGTGGTGGCCTGTAATCTCAGCACTTTGGGAGGCCAAGGCGGGTGGGTCATGAGGTCAGGAGTTTGAGATCAGCCTGGCTAACATGGTGAATCCCATCTCTACTAAAAATACAAAAATTAGCCAGGCGTGGTGGCACACATCTGTAATCCCAGCTACTCAGGAGGCTGACGCAGGAGAATTGTTTGAGCCCGGGAGGCGGTGGCTGCAGTGAGCCAAGATCTTGCCACTGCACTACAGCCTGGGTGACATAGCAAGATGCTGTCTCAAAAAAACAAAAATTAAAAATAAATAAATAAATAAATAAATAAATAAATAAATAAATAAATGGGATGGCCACCTATCCAGATGAGTGTGGCCCATGTCCTGAAATCAGTGACAAATTGTGGGAATCAGTCAAAGTTTTCTCCTAATTTCTTTCTTTCAGCTATCCATGAACTAATTCTCAGAATGGAATGTCTAGTGTGTTGTACAAGACACAGTTAGAAAAGTTCCTTAACAGACTTTTCTTAGCTTCAGTAATGGTATTATGTTATTTAGTCAACGAATGATTAAGATATTTTGTTTTTATGTTGTACTATGAGGTATGGTTTCCTTTCTGGTTTCTCTATGCTTGTGAATACAGAGTTCGGAAGAGCTAATCAGGCTCTGATGGTCTACCTGCATACTTGCCTGGAAGTTCTACATCTTTTTGAAACTCTTCTCTTAACTTCTGAAACATCATTTCTTCATTTCTTTTTGTTCTCTCACTAGCTCACTGGTTTTCTTTCTTATTTTAATATTTTTTGCTAGATTTTCTTCGGGGCTGTGTCCTCAAACTTCTCTTCTTAATATCTACTCTCTCTTTCAGCATTCATTCGTTCCTTTGATCTCATTACCATGTATGTCCCGATGACTCTGTCATCTTTTATTTCTAGCCCTAGCTTTTTTTCAGAGTCTAGACCTATATATCCAATGGTCAAACAAATATTTCTTCCTGGGTGTCTCTAAAATAACTAAAACTCACATATTCAAGGATAAGCTCATCATTTTGAATACTTTTTGTAACCAACTCCTTTTTCTGTCCCTAGAGCCAACTCCTTAAGATAAAACCACTATCCTGTCTTGCCTGGACCACTGAAAAATTCCTTAAATATAACAAGTACTAAATAAATATTTGTTGAGACAAATAAATATATAGGCATGGAGGTAGAGGCTATTCAAAAATCTCAATATTTGTTTGTTTTTCACATGAATGGCTATCTGTTCTATCCTATATTTATGAAACTGAGCTTTTTGGAGCTAAACTTTGCATTTTTCAGTTAAAGTTATTCAAAATAGCTTTGTTCATTGTTCCAGTTTTCTGATATTATTGTTACTCTGTCATCAATCATGTTAAATCTACTTTCCAACTTTATGTCATTTCCACATTTTATAATTTTGTTATTTCTTTCTTCCAGACATTTAAATAAATGTTGGTTGGGAAAAGCCAAGGACAGAGATCTAACAGCAGGCCAAGGATATTTTACTCTAGTCTCATATTAAGTGAAATTGTTCACTTGCATGCAAATTGGTAAGCTCCATTCTCATCCAGGACAAATTTCTCTATCTTGTCAACAGGAACATCATGGAAACTTTTCTTAAATGTCTTGTTGAAATCAATTTAAACTGTGGCTATGGTGTTCACTTAATCTACAATTCTAGTGATCCTATCAAAATGCAAATGAGTTTGGAAGAACTTGTTCTTAGGAAATACTTGCTGGATTTTAGTCATTAGGATCTTCATTTCTTTTTAAAAATGTTATTATTACACTATAAAAGCAACTTTTAAAATGATAAAAAGTTTAGAAAGTAAAGAAAAAGGAAAATAATGTATACCCTACAGCTATTTTACAATGAATATCATTGTACTATATTCTGTTCAAGTTTTTTGGAGAAGTTGGCTTTTTTATATCGTGAAGATAATAGTGTATATACAATTTTGTAGCCATTTAAAACATTTATTCTGCCTATTTACCAGTATTGCCTCAATGTATATACTTCTCATAGGTTTCATAACATTCCAACCTATGTCTCAATTATAAAATTTTAAACACACCCAAGTCGCTGGACATTTGGACTATGTTCAATTTTTAAATTATAAATAATAATATGATGAGTATTTTGTATACACAGCTGGCCCTCTGTATCTGTAGGTCCTGCATCTGTGGAGTCAATCAACTGCAGATAAAAGATATTTGGGAAAAGAAATTAATGTTTACATCTGTACTGAACATGTACAGACTTTTTTTCTTGTCATTATCTCCTAAACAATACAGCATAATAGCAACTTATATAGCATTTACATTGTATTAGGTGTTGTAAGTAACTTAGAGATGATTTAAAGTACACAGAAGGAGGTTTGTTGGTTATATAAAAATACTATGTCATTTTATATCAGGGACTTGAAAATCTGTGGAATTCAATATCAATATCTGTGGGTGGGGGAGGTCCTGGAACCAGTACTCCCCAAATACCAAGGTACAACTGTACAGATCTTTTTCTTAGTTTATATTTTTCTTGGATAAATCCCAGAAGTTAGGTATTTGAGTCAATTTTCTCATGACAGTAGGTAGCTAGTCATGTATGAGCAGGGCAGGAGAGGACCCCCAGCCTGACACACACACCAAGAGCATTGGGCGACCATCAGGTGATGGTCAGGCATTTGTTAACTGTTTCTCTAAAGTAGTAATTGGTCACAGCTGGCACCAGAGAAAGGCAGTTTCCCAACAGGCAGAAAACACCTGAAACTGATCAGCAGCTTCCCAGTAAGATCTCAGGAGTTGGGGGAAGTAAGGCAAATCCTGGAAGTAGGCCCGAGTCAAGAGGTCAAGCTACGCACTTGGTTTCTCAAGTCATTCACTTGGCCCTCTTCAAGTTATACTTCCCTTCTTTCCTTTCCTTCCTTTCCTTGCTGTTCTAAAGCTTTTTCACTCCTGCTCTGAAACTTGCCTCAGTCTCTTTTTATGCTTTATGCCCCTCAGTTGAATTATTTCTTCCAAGAAGGCAAGAGTTGAGGTTGCTGCAGATCTGTACAGATTGGCTACCAGTAACTCGGGGTAACTCAGATCTCTTCCACTAGTAACATCCTGATGCCTAATACATATGTCTGTGTTAGTCAGGTGGCTGGGTTATGTTGCAGTAACAAGTTATCACATACATTTATTTAACAACACCAAAAAGAAATAAAAATCCTTAAATTTTAATGGCTTAACACATAAAAGTTTATTTCTCACCAATTCTGCTGTGGGTCTCAAGGTTCTCCAGGGTAGTTCCCTTCAAAGATTCAGAGATTTAAATCTCAGGGATTTAGGGTGGTTCCGTCTTGGCCTCCATGATTGATGTGGCAGGAAAAGAACTGAGAGCTGTATAGGGGCTTTTGAAGCCTCAGATTGTCAGCTGGCCTCACAATCCATTGGTGAGAAGTAGCCATGTGTTGCCACTCAGTTGCAATGGGTGCTGAGAAGCGTGACTTCTGTGCATAAACTAGGCAAAGGGGTATCACTACTGAGGTCTACTCCAGTGGAGAGGTTCTGAACTATATAACTAGCTAACCCGGAACTACAGAATTTCTTAGAATTCCCTTACTCATAGAGTTACACATTAGATATGACCACAGGAGATATTTTCACGAGATTTGGAAAGTGGAAGTGATGCACAGTCACTAAGCTCAGAAGGAGCAGGCAACAGGTGCCGCTGCAGCTCCCAGCCTCATCTCCTGGCTCACTCTGTTGGTGTGGGCAGTAGCTAGCCCACAGTCCTCCAGCTCCCATGAGATCTCTTCCTTCAGCTCATCTGAGTCCTGGGTCAGATGCACATGCAATGCCATGAGGAAGGGTGCCAGCTTTGTTTTTAGGTCACCCACACTATGGAGTTTGGAGGTGGTGAGAGCTAGATGCAAATTTTGGTTTGTCTTCATGAGTCTTCATGAGTCCAGCTTGTCTTCATGAGTCCGGCTTGTCTTCGCTCTCTCCCGCTTCATACCCAGCTTTCCTTCCTGACTGCCAGCCCAACTGACTCACAGTGACTTAAGGCCTACCACCAGACACAGAAGCATTAGCTTTCCGGAGAGGTCTTTACCATAACTGCATGGTATCTAATGCCTAAAATAAAATTTTCAGCCCAGGATACCCATACTGATTTTGTTTCCCTGATAGACCCTAATTGATAGTTGTACATTCATATTTTTAACACCATAGGGCCTAATTTTTAATATATATATATTTTTATTATACTTTAAGTTCTAGGGTACATGTGCACAACGTGCAGGTTTGTTACATATGTATACATGTGCCATGTTGGTGTGCTGCACCCATTAAGTCGTCATTTACATTAGGTATATCTCCTAATGCTATCCCCCCCCCGCCCACCCCACAACAGGCCCTGGTGTGTGATATCCCCCTTCCTGTGTCCAAGTTTTCTCATTGTTCAATTCCCACCTATGAGTGAGAACATGTGATGTTTGGTTTTTTGTCCTTGCGATAGTTTGCTGAGAATGATGGTTTCCAGCTTCATCCATGTTCCTACAAAGGACATGAACTCATCATTTTTTTTAAGGCTGCATAGTATTCCATGGTATATATGTGCCACATTTTCTTAATCCAGTCTATCATTGTTGGACATTTGAGTTGGTTCCAAGTCTTGTGAGCAGTGCCGCAATAAACATACATGTGCATGTGTCTTTATAGTAGCACGATTTATATTCCTTTGGGTATATACCCAGTAATGGGATGGCTGGGTCAAATGGTATTTCTAGTTATACATCCCTGAGGAATCGCCGCACTGTCTTCCACAATGGTTGAACTAGTTTACAGTCCCACCAACAGTGTAAAAGTGTTCCTATTTCTCCACATCCTCTCCAGCACCTGTTGTTTCCTGACTTTTTAATGATCACCATTCTAACTGGTGTGAGATGATATCTCATTGTGGTTTTGATTTGCATTTCTCTGATGGCCAGTGATGGTGAGCATTTTTTCATGTGTCTGTTGGTTGCATAAATGACTTCTTTTGAGAAGTGTCTGTTCACATCTTTCACCCACTTTTTGATGGGGTTGTTTTTTTCTTGTAAATTTGTTTGAGTTCTTTGTAGATTCTGGATATTAGCTCTTTGCCAGATGAGTAGATTGCAAAAATTTTCTGCCATTCTGTAGGTTGCTTGTTCACTCTGATGGTAGTTTCTTTTGCTGTGCAGAAGCTCTTTAGTTTAATTAGAGCCCATTTGTCAATTTTGGCTTTTGTTGCCATTGCTTTTGGTGTTTTAGACCTGAAGTCCTTGCCCATGCCTATGTCCTGAATGGTATCGCCTTGGTTTTCTTCTAGGGTTTTTATGGTTTTTGGTCTAACATTTAAGTCTTTAAGCCAACTTGAATTAATTTTTGTATAAGGTGTAAGGAAGGGATCCAGTTTCAGCTTTCTACATATGGCTAGCCAGTTTTCCCAGCACCACTTGTTAAATAGGGAATCCTTTCCCCATTTCTTGTTTTTGTCAGGTTTGTCAAAGATCAGATAGTTTGCAGGGCCTAATTTTAAGGTATTGTGGTTACAGACTTTTTATTCGAATTTAGTGCTTAGAAGTCCAAGATCACAAAGATACACCTGACCCACGTTGAAGGGGAAGAGGGAGTGAGTTATGGTATAGAGAAAGGAGGATACAATTGTCCAAAGTGAAGATAATTATTACCAAAAAAACCAGAAAGCACAGTCATTAGAGCAGGGAGCAGCCTTCAAAGCAGCTCTGTCCTATGCAAGTAGACCTGAGGGGAGGGGAGCTTTGCAAGGATGTGCTGGGGTGGGGATCGTAGAGGAAATCCATGCCTGTGGCCACATTTCCACAGCTGTGAGTAGGGCCACTCTACCTGGAGCTGATCTTGCCCCAAGGACCAGAGTTAAAGGGGAAAAGGCTAATCTGGGGGGAAATCCACACTGAAGCAGTAAAAGCCATCATTTTCTGGGAAACAGAGTCAAACGGAGTTTAACAACTTATCTCTGTTTCTATACATTTTCTCCCAGCATCACATTTGGTAACTGTTTTTGTTTGCCATGCGGCTCTGTGTGAGGTGCCAGCACCTCTGATGTGGGCGAGGAACATAGGTGAGGCTGAAGTACACACATTCTGGCTTGGAGTTGTTCTCTGAACATTAGGCCTTCCTAGGGCTCCCTCAAAGCACCCCAGTTGACCAGGCAAAGGAAGGGTGACTTGTGGACTTCCACCACACTGCCCCCACATGCACACTACTGCCCGCTCTTCGTGCCAATTACTCTCACCGGAAGAGGAACTCCCTATCCAATTGCCCTCCCCCAACCTTTCCTCTGATTACAAACAAAACAAACAAATGTTTCCACACTACTTCAAGGAACTGTGGCACACTGGAAAATACCCAGATGAACAAAGAATTCTATTTCCAGATTGCATGTGATTCGTGCCACCCATGTTGACTTCAGCTGTTGCACACTCAGTTCTTTTCTGAGGGGAACTATCATTTAAAGCTGTGCGTGTTAAGAATCAGGAAATCCTAAGCCACCCAATGGTCTGTGCCCACTGAGCTCAAGCAGGGCATCAGACACCATGTGATGCACCAGTACTAGTTGGTACATTGGGGAATTGACCAAATCCCAATAAGCCTTAGGCACACTAGTCCATCTGGATTAGCTCATCGGTGTGGTTCAAGTCACCAAATTTTTTATACCTCATGTCTTGCTATGTAAAATAGCAATCATAATGCCTTTTCATACCAATGCAGATATTACTTAGAAACATGGCAAGAAATGAATAAAGCACTTTAAAGTATTGCAAACAAAAAAGTTATACACATCCAATTTTATTAACATTCACTTATAAATTATCTGCCCTTGTCATATATTGGAATCGTGTTTTTTAGGCAAATATAACAATCCTCTACTGCAGGAGAGAAAGTCTTCTTGGTGATATGAGAAATACTGGTGTGATAATTTCATAAATTATTCAAGTCTGTGGAAACACTCCAGTTCAGAGAAGGGTACCTGGATTTGTTTTCAGCTTTCTCGATTTTCACATGCACGTTAGGCTATCTGGTTTTGATAGTGCGTGTTTTCTTCTATTAAGTGAGATAGCTTTCTCAATAATTATATCAGAAACAGCAGCAGTGAGTGACTAGAGGGCCTCTACTGGCCTCAGGCATTTTCTAAAAACCGGAATTAGCTGTCAAATTTTGAGAATACAGAGCTTCCCACGGCCTCCCCCATCCCTGCATTTGGTGTGCACCTCACAATTTCATGCAATTTAGTGACTTGCCAAGCTCCTGCAGGCATCTGTGTTTGTGCTGAAGATGTCTGTCTCCTCTGCGGTGCACCGTGTCGTGTATCACAGCATATTGGAATGGGTCTGTAGGTAGGAATAGCTGATTTGTTATTCAGGATGGCTTTAACAGCCGCTGGAAGGAACACACCATCTTATGGTAGTTGCTCTTCCACACAGCTTTGTTCTCTGCATGGGTGAGGGGTATCTCTGGGGTCCATCAACTATTACATCATGATGCCTGTGCAATATTTACTTGCTTACGTCCAATCTACTGGGTCCCTGAAGAATAAGCTTTTTTCTTCTTCTTAGCTAATATTTACCCCTCCTTTTCTCTAATGATAGAGTACTGGGAAGCAGAAATCCCTATCTCCACCTTCTCTCACCAACTCCCCAGCCTCCCCACTCATTCTCAGTCCTGGGGACTGGGGGCTAGTGGCTGAGTGTGGGCTATACTGCCTTGCTGTTTGCAATGAAACAATTGTAAAATAAAGAGAGCAGCCAAAACAGGGAGTTATGAGCTGAGAATATGGGAATAAGCACACAATTAGTTCTGACGAAAGAAATATCTTCCTGATGTTATTAACAATCTACTAGAAATTGTGTCCTCTTTACCAACAGAAAAATATTGATGTGCAAGAAAATAAGCTTATTTCTAACTTAATTTTTTAAGGGGTAGAAAATATGATAAATTTTGCATACATACAATTTATTTATTTATATTATAGCCCTGTATGATACAAGCATTTTCTCATCTAAAAGTGTTATTTTAACTCAGAAAACATACTGGCATTAAGCTCTTGAGCCTCAGAATGGAGCACAGAGGGAACAAAACCCTTTTGAAATTAAAAATATTATTCAGCAGAAACTGATACTTTTGAACCAATATGAATTTGAAATAACTAAATATTTTTTCAAAATCTCCCTTAACATCAAAGTTCAAGATGATTGCATTTATTTTGATGTCACTATATAAATACAAGGATGTTAACTGATACTCACCTAAGTCAAATATTCCAGTTGCATTAACAAACATACACATAACAAATATAAATTTATATCAAATGTCAAATTTCCCCATTATCTTCTCCTCTTCTTCATTAGGAATTTGATGTTCTGAAAAGTGCCTTTTTTGTCTGCTTCGATTTTTTGTTGCTGTTTTTTTTTTTTTTGCTTTATAATTTCTAAGCATTTAGGCAGAAAAGAAAGAGGCATTAAAAATACAACTCAGAAATATTTAAATTTTGATGAAATAAGAGTCTTGTTAGTTGCAGTCTCTTTTGAATACTTTCCTTGGGAGAAAATATGCTGTGAAACAGTGATCTGCCACTACAAAGTGGTTGGGGACATTAGGTCATTTCTAGAAAGCAATTATATACACCTAATGGCTTATTCCCTACAAAATGAACTATTATGGTGTCAGAAAAGGCTAGATACTTTATCATCTGAAAGACAGGTTGCTCAGATGTATACAAATGAATTTATTCTCTTGACCTCTAGTTCAGATGTCAGAAATATTTTGTACTAAAACAGAGATAGGTTCCTATATTGGAATATGTTCAATATTTACTACCTTTCTCTTCTATTCTCTATCCATAAAACTCTGCCTGATTAAAATATTTTAAAGTGTACTTTTTACCTGATACTGTTAATAGCATTGATGATCCTGGATTTTAAAGATGGCTGCTTTAGTCTACTTTGATTTTGGGAAAGCCATTTTAAACAAACAAATATGTGGTATCATTTAAAGTTTTATAAAGAATTAAGAGTAACTGAATGACAGCTGAATTTCTCATGTATTTATTGACTGCCTCCTAGGTTCAAAGTTCTGTGCTGCATGCAGACATATCAAAATTTCTTATATCTTTGGATCATGAATGTCAGGGTCTTTCAGCTCCTGGTCAGAAAAAATACTGTCATGTCAGAGTGAGGAATTCTTAGTATGAGGTGGTGCTGGGGAGTACCAGTAGCTTCAGTTCAAAAATTCATTGCTCTGGGTCCCAACAGCTTTGTTCCAAGTCTACATCTTAACAGTATGTGGAAGGATTGGTTCAGGCTTCCTTTATATTCTACATAGATCTTGATTTGGGATTTTTAGGAACCAATAGCTTAAGCTATGTTAGAACAATCCAAAAGCTTTAAAAATTGTCAGAGCAAACCCTATAGCAAACCCTATCTAGACCTTAAACCTTGGCGTTGATAACTGAGAATTTAAAGACTCTGGAGGCAGTGTTTTGTTCCTGTGGGGGAGAGGCCAGGTCAACTTGCAGAGTATCTCCCAGAGTCTGGTATCAAGTGTCTTCACTCCCTGTCACATCACTTTTTTCCCAACACTTTCATTATCCATATTTTGCTCTGCTATTCCAAATGTGTAGTCTCTAAGAATAACCTGAACACACCAGGTTATTCTCTCCCTCGACAAATTCTGAGTGCATGATTTAATACAAAAACAATTTGAATAAGAGATTTTTATCTTGCTACATTTTGAAAAGCCCTTACAGATACAGTTTTAAATATGTAATTGAAATGTGGCATTTTCTTGAGTATTCAATACATTTCTTGGATTTTTTTTTCCTAACTGCAGGAACAGCATACATAAAAACGCTCGGGTCCTGAAGCAATTCTTTAAGCACAGCAAACGTTGAGTCAAATGGCTTTCACTCCATGTTTATAAAAGGCAATGCCACCATCATAAGTTTCTCAATAATTCCTATCACTTTTAAGCATTTTCATGTATTAATCTCAATATATTTTAATAGCATACATATGGTCTCAAAAAACCCTTTCCTGGGGCTTACTGTTGGCTTTTTATTCCCCCAGATCTTCTTAAAATCTTAGCCTATACATGACTTAGAACATGTTTTTAACAAGTTATATGAAAATCTCCTTTTGTGCTCCACATTGACAGAGCCTGTCTGAATCCCAGAGAAGGCAATCACATCCTGTTATGTTGTCAGTGTGAGAGGCAAAAGCTCCAAAGTACTAAGTTCCTAGAGCTGTAAATCCATTGTGCTTCATGTTATAAATAAAGAAATTGCCCTGTGACAGCTACAGTTTGGAAGCATTATCATTTCTCTTTTCAGCTCTCACTTTTAATCTTTTCAGTTATTTTCCTTAGTAAAACTTAGCCACCAAAGTATGACTTCTTGTGTCACAAACCTATATGCCACAATTAAAAGAAAGAAATTCCAGCCAACCATGTCAGTGGCTGTAGTCAGCATTTAAGACAAAACTGACTCCTATCGATTTAGCAGAAGAGAGTTCTCCCTGCCCCGTGTCTCCTTCCATCCTGCCGCTCCCTGCCCTCTCCAGCCTTTTGGGCAAGCCTTTTCTTCCTGATGCATTGCGAATGTGTGATGTACGCTTTCTAGCAGATGCATTTGAGGTTAGGTCTTCGCAACCATGAAAACACAGTTATAAATTGTTCTCGGAGCTAACCCACTCAACATCTTGGCACTTGGTTGTTTTTAACTTTTCAACAATAGGCACTGTTCACTCCCCTCCATCTCAGTTCTTTATTCAGTGATCAGGCAGGACACTGATGAAAGGCTAGTCACGGCTTCCCCCCATGGTATCAGTGTGGTGGCATGTGATGATTCACATGGGGTGTGTTTGATCCGAGGAAGCCCAGTCTCTGCTTATTCTTCCTTTGTTCTGTCATCTGGGGGAAAAGAGAGAGTGTGTGTTCAGCGGATTTTCTCACTCTTACCCAGTGCTGGTGGGCCACAACCGTTTTGAGTTAATATTCCCCAACTACCTACTGTCCAGCATCATATAGAATATATTTATCAAAAAAGGGATTTTTTTAAAAGTGAATTTCCATAAACAGAGAAAAAGAGCAAACCCCTCTGTGTGGTTAGGAAGCAGGAGCCATTTTAGAAAACAGATCTTGCCTGTCACATAGCTGTCACCATCACCACAGTCATTTTAATAGCTACCATGGTTACTGTTGATATTTTTACTAACAATTTTATATGATAAAGGGGTTCATTATAGCATTGAAATGGCAGATACTAATGAGGATTTGCCTTTCCCATGGGCTTAGTAATTACTATCATGGCAGAAAATGATTTTTTTTTAAATGCAAAGAGGTGCTTGTATTTTGGCATTTTATCCTTTCCCCCTTCCATAGAAGGAGAAGTGTCGTGTGAGGCTCAGGGAGATGGGATAAGTAGAAGTCCCCGTTTGCTGGGATGTGGTTCTACAGTACAACGTGAGGTTTCTTTCTCGGAGTTTGCAATTCTCTGTGGATAATGACCTGGCTCCCTGGACCCTCTGTCTCCCCTCACCGGAAGTGGTGAATGACTTTATCCCACCCAGCCCCATCTCCCTGAATGCACCCACCTGCTCCTTGAGCTCCGCCAGCTGACCCGACAGCTGTTTGACCAGACTCATGGTCGATTCCAACTTCTCCTGAAGGCTCCGAATTTCATTTTGCTCACTGTCGCCTTCATTGCTAACGAGGGACATGGCTCGCATCCGAGGAAACCAATCCAAATTCTTCTCCTGAAAGCAAATAAATGTGTGCGAACAAGGGAATAAGTATGGAAGGGGAGAATGTCTATAGCTGTTTATTATTACTAACATTTAAACCAAAGTCTCTTAGCACTCAAATTGGAGAGAGAAAACCTGGCATAGGGAGGGGCTGAAGTAGGGCTTAGACACTGGTCTTCACGGGCTGGGGGAAGACCCCAAATATTGAAGCAAACTTTATACGGGCTTCCAGGGAGGTTCCGGCTGAGACATTTAGAAAGCACCGTGAAGGCTGCAGGCATTCAGTGAATGATGGTGAATGATGAGGTGGGGTCTGGAGGCTGGGGGAGCAGATCCAAGTGTGTGTGGGTACAGCATAGGCATGCACTGTTTCTCTTTCCCCCTGGCACACAAGAGAAGTGGGGGGATGGTATAGGAAAGTGGTAAAAGAAATGTTTCAGCCTCAGCCACCCACACTACTTTACCTCCCACTTCCTCTGTAAAGGCTCCCCACCAGCTCTGCCTCCCTCAGAGCTCCACTTGAGGAAGAGGGAAGTGGGAGGGCATGGCCTGAGGTTACTCTGTCTGCTCCCTTTGGAAAGATTTTATTGCAATGGGTGAGAGTTAGACTTCCCCACAGGGCAATAGCTGGTTCCACTTCTGTTTTTGTAGGCAGCCTGGGTGTATGTAGGTGTTTTGTGTGTGTGTGTGTTTTTCCTCCAATCGTGGCAGACTGACAGATGCTTTCTTCAAGACTCTGCTCGATTGTCTAACATCATAGAATCACTATGCATTACTTATATGACATTTTTCCATCCTCCCCAAAGCTCTGCAAGGTAAATCATGTGGTCCCCATTTTACAGATAAGGAAACAAGAGGCTCTAAGTTTCATTACTCTTGTCACAAGCTAGTAAATGGCAAAGCTGGGATTTGAAGCCTCTGCAGCATTGATGGGGTGTGCCAGTCTTTGTCTCTGTCTACTCACCTATTTCTCTAAATCACCTTCTCCCAACATCCCTAGCAGTGAGCATCATGCTTGAAACTCTTTCCATTCCAGAGAAGTCCACTGAAATGGCTACAACAACCTCTGCCTGTGGGATCCCTAGAATGAGAGTCACTGGAGTGTTCTTCCCTAAGTGACAGTGGCAAGGCCCAATTTGTGTATCTCTAGACTGCAGGCTCAATCTTACCTGGCCCTTGGGTTGGCTTTTTGTTGTTGTTGCATCAGAGAATAACAAGTTCTTTATAGTTCCCTACCCCCAATGGCAGTGAAAAGGGATGATAAAGAACTAAAGATAAAATATATTGAAGAGTTTTAAACTGCATTTAAACAGCTGTAGCTAATTAGCATTTCAAAGGTGAACAGTAACTTACTCTAAAGTGCAGAGTGACAGATTCATTCATTCAGTCAATCCTTCAGCATCTATTGTTAGGTATTTAGGGGTGAAAGTCAGATAAGACTGTGTGTCTGCTCTCAAGGAGCTTATGGCTCAGGACAGCCCTCCACAAAGAGTGGGCTGCACACTGTGTGTATCAAAATCCCCTGGTTGCTTGTTAAAACTGCAGATTCCCACCCCACCACCTCTTACCAAATCAGGACCTCAGGGAATGTGTGTGGTTCTAATATCATTAAAGTGTTAAGGACTCTGGTTTACAGAAACAGAGAAGACAGTGGCTGGGTAGGGAGACAGAGCAAAAGGGAAAGATCTGAAATAGGCATGTGGGGGAAGAGCAGAGGAAACCTAACAGGGGCCCATGAAATGCTTGCACGGTAGTGTGGCTGGGCCAGCTGCTCACACACAGCCCAAGTGGATGTGCAGATGAGGCAGAAAGCTGGACTGACACAGCATGCTGTGTCTCTCTGGGATGAGCATCAGGAAGATCAAGGTTTAAGGGAGCTGGGAAGATCAATAGAGTGGTGGTTGATGTGATGCATGTTAATGTGTGAACTGGTAGGAAGGAGGGAGGAGAACAGACCTGTGCTAAATGCTCTTTAAGCACTTATTCCTTTCAACAATTCTGTGAACTTAGGTTCTGTTATCTATCCAGTATTTATATTACGTATTATCTGAATTTTACAAATGAAGAAAGTGAGGTGCCATGGTTTAGATATGGTTTGTCTGCGTTCTCCAAACCTCCTGTTGAAATTTGATCTCCAGTTTTGGAAGTGGACCGAATGGGAGGTGTTTGGGTCACGGCGGTGGGGGGGGGGGGGGGGCGGGGGTCAGATCCCTCAGGAATTGGCTTGGTGCCATTCTCACAGTAGTAAGTGAGCTATCATTCTTTTTTGTTTGTTTGTTTTTGTTTTTTGTTTGTTTGTTTGTTTTTAAGACTGAGTTTCACTCTTGTTGTTGTCCAGGCTGAAGTGCAATGGCACAATCTCAGCTCACCACAACCTCCGCCCCCTGGATTCAAGTGATTCTCCCGCCTCAGCCTCCCGAGTAGCTGGGATTATAGGTGTGCGCCACCATGCCCGGCTGATTTTGAATTTTTAGTAGAGATGGGGTTTCTTCATGTTGGTCAGGCTAGTCTTGAACTCCTGACCTCAAGTGATCCGCCTGCCTCGGCTTCCCAAAGTTCTGGGATTACAGGCGTGAGCCACCACGTCCGGTGAGTTCTCACTCTTAGGAGCCTGGATGGGTTCTCGGGGGAGTGGATTAGTTCCCATGAGAGTGCGATGTTATAAGCCAGGATGCTTGGTTTGGTGTCTTTTTGCACATGCCCACTTCCCCTTTGGCCTTTCTCTGCCATATTTTGACGCAGCACAAAAGCCCTCACCAGAAACCAAGCAGATGCTGGTGCCACGCTTCTTGTGTAGCTTTCAGAACCATGACCTGAATAACTTTCTTTTCTTTATAAATTACCCAGTCCCAGGTATTCCTTCACAGCAACACAAAACAGATTAAGAAATGAAGCTAGTAACTGGATTAGCTGGGATCCCAACTCAGATCTGTCTGCATCAAAGTCTGTTGGCAAGACAGGAGATTGTGGACAGAAAATAGAATAACAAAATTTAAAATTCCGAAGGTAGAACAACTTCAGGAAATGAAAATTTTGGGGTGAGAGTGCCTTAAGTCTGGTAAAAGTAAATATCACTGAACTTGGGAAGTTAGTGTTTAATGGATGCAGACTATTAGCTGGAGAAGATGAGAAATTTCTGGAGATAGATTAGTGATGGTTGCAGAACAATGTGAATGTGCTTCACGCCACAAAACTGTACACTTTAATGGTAAAATGGTAAGTTTTGTGTTATATATATTTTACCACCATTTAAAAAAAATCACAGAATTTGCAGAGGCTAATCTTTTAGATGAATTGTGCACTAAACTCCTGAAGTCATCCTGCAAGTCAGTAGTTGGGGTAGATGAGGAGGCTGTGGGTGGCCAAGGGCCAAAATCTGTATGAATGAACAAAAGTGACCAGGAGGTATTAAAGGATAGGATGGGAAGGATTAGAAAAGTGCATTTTTATGGGAGGTTTGAGGTGTGTTGATTTCTTGGTGATGAGGAGCCCAGAGTGCTGACCCTTTTCTAGGGCTCTTAATACAGACAGGGTGAGAAAATAGGCAGCTGCCACCAAGGGGCTAAAGGAGAAGGGGGTCACCATGGTTTGAATGCTTGTCCCCTCCAAAATTCAATTTAATTTTTAAATTTAATTGGCGTTGTAACAGTATTAAGATGTGCGACCTTTAAGATGTGATTAGACTATGAGGCTTCCACCTCATGGGGGTGGGGATTGGTGCTGTAACAAAAGGGCAAGTTTGGTCCTTTCTTGCTCTCTCTCACCCTCTCACTTTCCATCCTATGATGATGCAGCAAGAAGGCCCTCACCAGACGTGGGCACCTTGAAAACAGACTTCTCAGCCTCCAGAACTGTGAGCCAATAAATTTCTGTTCATTATAAACCACCCAGTCTCACGTATTCTGTTACAGCAACACAAAACAGACTAAGACAGGGCTCCTCTTGGGAGAGCCAAGAAAGCAGCATTCTGGGAGAGATTTTTTCAACATATAACAGCACAAGGATTCCAGAGGGGTTGTTGGGGCAGGGGGATTTGGGAGCATCACAGACTGGGCTTGGGGTAAGAAGGTACCAGGAATGTGAGGGATGGTGAAAACATCAACCTGCAAAAAGGTTCCAAAAGAAACAGATGCAAAACCTTGTTCTAACAGTAGACTGCAACTCTCACAGATAGTGTGTGAGCATTTGTAAAGTTGCCTCCAAAGAAACACTATTGCAAGCATCTCAGGGGCCAGGATCAGCCAAGTCCATGGCCTCTTGCTTTTGAGGAAACAATGGCAGCTCTCAGTGGACCATAGCTGGTGCCATTTGAGCCACAGAACTCCCTTTCCCTACACTCTCTTTTTTCATTTGTTTCTTTGTTCATCCATTCACTTAATAATCCTTGCTTGTGTTTACTATGTCTCTGTTAGGCACTGGGAAAACAATAGTAAGCAAAATCCAGCACAATTCTCGTGCTTATGGAACATATAGTTCATAGGTGGAGAGTAAGACTTCAAACAAAGGATGACAAAAGTAATGAGAAGCTGTGCTTAAGTGCAAAAGCTACACAGTCCTGTCATCTTTTCTCTTCGTTCCTAAATATTATTCTGTCTTCCAACCCTCTTCTGGTTTTTCTAATCTTTCTTTCACTCCTTGTATCTGTCTGTGTTTTGGTTTGTTTGTTTCTCAGCCTTTTCTCTCCTACCTTTCTGCTTCTTGTTCCACTCCTCCCTTCCCTTGTGTATCTGCTGGTCTTAATCTGAGACAAATATATAATGTACAACTAAAAATCATTTTAATATTGAATATTTTAGGGTTCCTTTTCTTAATTTTTAAGAGACCTGAGTTGAATGCTTTACATTTCTCACTGCAATGGAAAAAAAAAACAACTTAAATTGATTGCTTTCTGTTCTCTTTTTTGAAGAAAGCAGTCTTGTAAAAATCAGTTCCACAACTGATTTTTCTTCAAAATTACTGCAGAAAGTACAGTAGTCCCCCTTATTTGAAGTGGATACATTTCAAAACCCCTAGTGGATGTCTGAAACTGTGGAGAGTACTGAATCCTAGATATACTACATTTTTTCCTATATATACATATCTATGATGAAGGATAATTTATAAATTAGGCACAGTAAGAGATTAACAATAACTAATAACAAAATAGTACAATTAAGACAATATACTGTGATAAAAGTGGCTTCTGTTTCTCTCTCTCAAAATATCTTACCATTTTTGGACTGTAGTTGACTGTGGGTAACTGGAAGCACAGAAAACAAAGCCATGGAGAAGGGGGATTACTGTACATTCTTTTCATGAAAATTAACTCCAATATAGCAGCATTCTTACACAGTGAATATGCTTTTCCATTGAAAGTAGCTGCCAATTAAATACTCAGAGGTTTCTCTCTCTGCTCTTATGGCTTCCACAGAAGGCTCAATCTGAGCAGGGGAAGAGGAAGGTAAACCCCAGACTTTAACCTAAGCCAGAACCACAGGACAGACACACAGAGAAGATACTAGTTAACAGGACACCACTTCCTCTCCATGTCGACTTGTAATATGTATGCCATCTAACAAAGCAGTTTGATTTAGTTTGTTATTTCTTGGTTTACTCATGCATGCTATGTACATCTTGCGATCATGCATATGATTATTAGATTCCCAGGATGACTTTGGTCAAAATGAAATAATCTCCTTACTTCACCAGGAATAAACATATTTGACCACAGGGTAGTATAAAGTCAGGGAAGATGTAGGTTAACTGTTAGATTCTGAGGCTATAATGTATGGTCCTAGTAAGTGGGTGAGTGGAAATCCAGAGCTTCTCAAAGATTCTAAAATGCAAAACTCCAAGATGAACCATCATGTCCCTGAGAAGTCCCTTTAGGGCTCACACACCATGTCAACCATACCCTTTTATCCCTAAATTCTAACAGTTATCTATTTCTCTGGGCAATTAAAAGACCATTAGATAGAAGTGTAGAAACCTTGTAGTCATTCAATAAAATGATTAGGTTGCAAGTGTCAAAAGTCAGCTGCGCTGGGCCAGGCACGGTGGCTCATGCCTATAATCCCAGCACTTTGGGAGGCCGAGGTGGGCAGATCACCTGAGGTCAGGAGTTCGAGACCAGCCTGGCCATCATGGTGAAACCCTGCCTCTGCTAAAATTACAAAAATTAGCCAGGTGTGGTAGCGGGCACCTGTAATCCCAGCTACTCGAGAAGCTGAGGCAGGAGAATCGCTTGAACCCAGGAGGTGGAGGTTGCAGTGAGCTGAGATCATTAACACAGCACTGCAGCCTGGGCTACAAGAGTAAAGACTTTCTCAAAAAAAAAAAAAATCAGCTGTGCTATGTTTTCATATTTAGTTCTTAAATGTGATATCTGATCTGTGGGAAAAGGAAAATGGGAGTATAACGGAAAGAGCACCAATCTATGAGTCAGGACACCCCGGTTCTTGTTTTAGCTTACCAAAAAACTAGCTATAAGATATAAGGAGGAAGAAAGCCTTATTCTCTGAGTCCCAGTTTCCTTATCTGTAAAATCAGAATGTTACCCTAGGTGGTGTCTGTGTCTCTTCCAGCTCGTCATTCTGTGAGCTATGATGTAAAGACAGCTTAAAAAAACAAATTGTTGAGAGAAGATTGAGCTTGCCAAGTGAGCAAACAGAAACACGGCATTTTGGCTAGAAGCAGCCTCAAAACCATACAGCCCACACCCAGTATACTGCAAATGCCCAGCCTGAAACCTAGAAAGTTTAGGTTTCCTTGAGGTCTCAAGGCACAATAGCAGCAAATGTCCCTGCACCTGACTTCCACTTCTGGGCAAGTTCTTCCATATTACATAGTGGAATAGCTCTTATATAATCTATCCCTATTCTTACTTAATTGTCCACTGGCTCAAGAAAATATAAAGAATGTAATAATTTTTCTCCATAACAGAATGAGATTAAGAAATAATGTGATTGGCTTATGTTAGGCGAACATTGGAGAAATTGTCTTGGTCTTTTTAGCTCTATTAGGTACATATTAAAAGTTGACTGTGGGTAAGCTATAAAAAGCAAGAACTGTGGTTCTACATCATAGTAATGTATCCTACTTGTGGGCTGCCTACCAAATGGCAGGCACTTTTTAATCATGCTATGACCGATACCCACAATTCCATAAGGTAGGGACTATTTCCATCCCATTTTGCAGATGACAATACTGAGGCAAGGGGATTAGTTACTTGCCCAAGGTCATATAGGTGGTGTTAGTGGCTAAACCAGGCTTTGACCTCCACCCTGTTTGATTGAAAAGCTTGTATTCTGTCACTGCACCAGATCACTCTGCATGTCTAATGGAGATATCTATGCTTAGCTTCTGAACTTGCTAAGGAAAACAAAGACTACAGTGAATCTCCAAACAGAAGCTACTATACCTTGGGCCCCCTTGATTTCTTCTTCTGGGGTATGCTAACGATTGATTTATTAAAAATCAGAAACACAAACCCTCTAGGTATGGTATCACGGATGCAAGTGCAGGTACTGATAGAAATGCAGCAACAGTTGACATTCACTGTGATTTTGTAGAATGCTCTGAAACACTGCTAATAAAGAACAACCCATGAAATATACTATGTCTTGTAATGGAGTATTGGTAAACCATTTAATATGTACCTTCACCTGTGCATACAGACTTGATGGCTATGCTTAGAATGTGCTATCACAAGACCATTTCCTAAGGTTTTTCTTGGTTACCATCCTTTCCTGAGCTTTATGTTTATACTGCATTTTCCATTCTAAAATTCATTCACAAAGCCTTCTAGGCTGAGGAGCATTAAGCATTTCCCCCAGAGCCTCAGCATGACCTATTGCATTCCTCTCTTTGCACTTTTTGTCTGAAGACATCAGCAGAAATGGCTCTCAAAAGCCACACAAGTCACGCTGCTACTGCCTACTTACTGGAAGATCCCTCAGGGAAAGACAGCATTTCTTCTTTCCTAGAACTTTAGACTTAGAAAATAATCTGGAACAAGAATTAATCATTTGGTTATGGGGCGTGGTTATGGGGGCGTGTCTCATGTACCCCAGCACCTCTGCTCGATTTCAGTAAGGGCATGATGAGTTTCTCACCTTTGCACCAACATGGTGGCCTTGAGGGCAGATTAGGCATTATCTCAAAAAATTAGGAGATACCCATGACATTGGCATTGGGATTCCTCATCCAGTTTCTAGTGAACACCCACCTATATACAACTACTGCTCAAGGTGGGCAACAAAACAACTGGTTCTCACAGAGGCTCAGATGTGGGCCTTGCATTCATGAGGGAGGAAGGATGGGCTAGAAAACACAGTCTTGTTTGACAAGTGTCAGGGACTGCAGGTGACAGAGAAAGGATACAGTTGTGTTCTTTGAAATTAAAACACTAAGGCTAGGCATGATGGTGCATGCCTATAATCCCAGAACTTTGGGAGCCAAGGTGGGAGGACTGCTTGAGCCTGGGAGTTTGAGACCATCTTGGTCAACATAGCAAGACCTCATCTCTACTAAAAATTAAAAAATTAACTGGGTGTGGTGGTGCACACCTATAGTCCATCTTGGTCAACATACCAAGACCTCATCGCTACTAAAAATTTAAAAATTAACTGGGTGTGGTGGTGTACACCTATAGTCCATCTTGGTCAACAGAGCAAGACCTCATCTCTACTAAAAATTAAACAATTAACTGTGTGTGGTGGCGCACACCTATAGTCCAAGCTACTTGGGAGGCTGAGGTGGAAGGATCATTCGAGCCTAGAAGGTAGAGACTGTAGTGAGCTATGATCATGCCACTGCACTCCAGTCTGGGCAACACACAGAGTCCCTGTCTCTAAAACAACAACAACAAAAACTATTCTTGGACTGACAAATAAATGAAAACCTTGACAATTCATTCTAAAAACAGGGTTAGGGTTAGGGAAGAAGAGTAAGAGTGAATTTTGCTCCATTAGAAAAACACGTGACAGGACTTGAAGATTCATTTTCAAGCTTGTATTAACCAGATCCTTCTTTCTGTGTCTCCCTGTCTATTCTGTCTGGATCTCCCTGGATCTTCCTTGTGAACTGTTAGATTCCTGTAAATGTGGTGCAGTACCAAATTTGTGTGGATTGAGAAATTTGAAATGTGTTAGTTACACAAAGCAAAACAGGATTGAAAGATTTTGCAAAGCAACAAATCCCTTCAGAGTATTATCATCATACCTTGAAATATTGCTCAAATCTAAATGCTCAAATATCAGATTTACATTATATACTCACATATTATAAATTTGTGAATTTTTACAAAATTATAAAGCAATATGACAAACAGAAAGCATCCTTGGTTAGCTGAGGCCATATGCAGAGTGGCTGAAGCCCACGCCTTAGAGACGTGCATGGCACCCAGCAAAGGCTGGTGTCACTGCCGTGTTCCTGCCTGGCCCCTTTTTCATGGCACCACTTTCAGTGTGCTGGTGGGAAGGGGATCCTGGCCTAGGAGCCTTCCAGGGACGAGCCTATTTAATCTAGTCATTGCTCCCAATGGCAGAGGGAAAAAGAGTCTCCATGAAAGTGCCCATGAAGGAGGAGAGTTCTGGGATGAAAATGACTTCACGGGACTCCTAATCTCAGCAGGGCCCAGGTATACAATAAAAAAGCTACAGCTGGAAGGTACTGAGAGATGGGCTGATTCTATAACCCCTGGCTTTATAGGCAGCACAGCCATGATGGGAGGGGGTGTGACCCATGCCCAGCACAGGGCTTGCAGGAGGACAGGACTGTCCACTACCATGTTATGGATGGTCCTGCGGGCTCTAAGCTTCTGTAGGTGTGAGCCTGAAGGCCCCTATCCCTACTGGCTTCCTGACTTTAGGGAGGCGGAGGGAAGCAGGTAAGTGAGGACCCCCTCTGCCAAAAAAAGGATCAAAATAGTTCAACCAACATTTCAAAAAATGCTAAAAGGTGTCAGGAAGAACACTGGGCTCTGGAGTTTCAAAGACTCATGGGTCAGAATTTCCATCCTTAGACTGTTTCCAGACCAGCGGGGGAGTTGGTATGGGTAAAGACAGATGGCAGTAAAAACTTCTGCAGCGGGCATCCTGGGGGCGAGAGGCACTGTATGTACTAGCCCTCATCTGCAAATCATCCTCTGGGATGGGCTGCATGCCAGATGGTGGCTCTTAATTGCTTGAGGGCATTGAGAGAGCTGTGATCTTCAAGACCTACCTCTCCCAGGTGGCCTGAAATAGCACCAAGTCTGAAAGCAGGGCTCTGGGCAGTGACTTGGGAAAACAGGTGTGGATACCAAGTGTGATGAGGACCCTTGAGCTTAGCTTTGTTCCTGTGGTGGCAAGTGGTGGGTCTCACCCCCCAGACAACAGCCTGGACTATGAATAGAGACCACAGCCCCCGAGAACCCACCTGGCCCATTCCTCCTCCTTCCTCCTTCCCAACTCTCCCTCTTAGAAACTTTCTGACCCCCATGAGCAGGAGGGCAGAGGCTGCATAAAGAAGTGCAATTACTTGTGTCTTCTCTTTTGGTCCCAGACTTCTCATCCTCAATCCAGCCAACCATAAGCCTTAGCTGTCTACAGAATGCATCAGCTACATCTGCTCATGGTGGGGTCCTGCCCATTCCCAGCCAACAGGGCACCGAGGGATAGAGCCACAGAGAGAAGAGGGAGTGACCCAGGACTGGGGAGGTCTAAGAAGGCTCAGATCCAGTGGCAGCTTAGACGGCTGGCAAGCTACAAGGCCTCTTATCAATAACTTTAGCAGCACTGCTAGGGCAGTAACCGGGAACATGAAGAAGCAGGACTCTAGGATGAGTGACCACCTCTGATGAGTGACTTGCTGGGAGGCTCTGGGGACGGGCACTGGTCCCAATGCTGACCCAACATGAGGGTGAGAAACACTCAGAGAGGGGAGGTGGAGTCCAGCTCCCAGAACTGCTCTCAGCCATCAGCCAGCTGATTCCTAGATGCTGTAGTGGCATCAGACTCAGGGACTGGGGCCCAATCTGTCAAAGGTCTCTAGGAATCTGGAGATGCATTTGATGATGAAATGATGGGGAAGCTGGTCTGAGCAAGGGGCCTGCCCAGCATTCTCCCGGATCCCTATTGCTGTTTTTCCTACAGAAATGTCAAGCGGGAAACATTCTGCCCATAAAGGAAACATAATTAGGTAAAGCTTTGGCATCAGAAGAGACAAATCAGCCAGGAGTGGCAGCACACACATGTAGTACCAGCTACTCAGGAGATTGAGGTAGGAGGACTGCTTGAGCTCTGGGAGGTCAATGCTGCACTGAGCTGTGATTGTGCCACTATACTCCAGCCTGGGTGACACGGTGAGACCCTGTCTCAAAAAAGGAAGAGACTGTTGGGGACACCAGCAACCCAAGGTCCTACCAGTGGACTTCCTCAGGGCCAGTCATGTCTCTTCCTGCTTTTTCCTGTGTTTTTCTTTTCCTGTCAATTCTGAATTCTACTGAATCTCCTTGGGACTTTAAGCCTTTCTTAATCTTATTACTTATTAATTTCCATATTTTAATCTGAGTTATCATCTCCTGTCCTCCTTTGAAAAGAACATAAATGTTTATTTCTTCTGCAAATAATATGAAGTAGAAACATTTGCAAATCTCGCTGAGATAGACAAAAACTAGAGATTTCTTCATGGTGAGATTAAGGGAAAACATTTGGAATAGGGTATTGAATACTCAAGGGGGCATTCGTCCAATGTGTGGCTGCCCACAATCTGAAGCTCCTTCCTGTATCTGAGGAAATCATTACTGTGGGGTCCTGATGGAAGGTTGGGTCCAGTCTTCTGTGACAGAAGCTGAAAAGGCTGATACTCTGTCTGCCCTCCCTGTGGCAGCTAGAGCTCAGTCATATGACCAAAGGGCGACCCATCAGATGCTCTTGCCTGAGATTTTCATATGGAACAACAGATGCCAAGAAGCAAAACAGTACAGAATTCTTTCCATTCACGGTAGTTGGAGAGGTGGCTTCTGGCCGTGGTGATGCCCTCTGTGCTGGAGCCAGCTTCCAGCACTCAACAATGGCACTCTTCCTCTAACCAGGCTGTCCCCAGGTGGGACCTCTGGCCAGCTCTTGGATTTTCTCTTGGAATCTGCTCATACTGAGTCTGGTTTCTGCTTTCCTCTGAATGTTGTAATCCTTTCCACAAATTCATTCTCTCCCTAAGATAACGAGAGTCAGTTGCTGTTGTTTGCAACATAGAACCACTGCAGGAGTCCATGTGGGCACTGACGGTGGCTTCAGAAGGGGTGGCAAGAGTGGGACACAGGGAGGTGATACCACAGTAATGTCTGCCAAGGGGGCTTTGAAGTCAAAAACTGGGTGCTTGAAAATGCACACTTGACAGACAACAGTTTTCCCCTGGAGGATAAGAACGCATTCACAGAGCTCAAAATAGTTGGTTAGCATGATTAATGTGAACAGACAGACTGGATAATTCAGCCCCTAAAGTGGATTATTAGGCCAAAATCCCACAGCTGTTCTCTCAGAGAAGAGAACTGGGTTGCGCCATTTGTAAGGACCAATGGTGCACATCTCTTTCCACCTCTGCATCCAGTGACACTGTGTTGGCAGTTTGAAATCAACCCTGGTGGGAGTATTTGCACCATGGACATAGGCAGATGCTATAATTGAGGCTTACTCAAATTGGTTGTTAAACACCAACTAGCACACCACTGAACAATGTCCCTTACTAGCGGAGATGGAGGAGACCATAAAGGATAGGTTAAATTAAATGACTGACCCAAAGTTACACATCAGAAGATCATAGCAGAACCAGGACAATGAAGGTCTCCTAATACAACAAAGATGCTTCTGACCTTAAAAGCCTCTTTACCTTTGAACATGTTACCATTGGAATTTTTAGTTTACTGGGCTCATGGTTCAGTCATTGTCTTTCTGAGTCTTTCAGTTATTTTGTATTTACAAGTGTATTTTGGTGATCAAAGTCCTCGATCATGATAATGAAAAGCCTGTTACATCAAGATCATCTTGCTCCTTAAAATCCAAAAAGGTCAACAACAAAACAAAACAAAAAGGCAGTTTATTTTTCAAATACTACTCAGAAAATGCTGAATAGCCAGTGATGGCACCAGACTCAAGGTGGCCTACAGAAAGACTAGATCTGAGTCTTTTAGGTAGACTCTTACAGAGGGGTCTGCCCAAATTTTCCATGACAGTCTGAGTATCTCTCCTCTGCTCATCTTTTAAGAGCAACCTGAAGACAGGATTCAGGATTTTCCAGTTATGCTGAGGTTCAAATAATACAACCATTTTGTGCTTTAGTCATAAACAATAATAATTTGGCTCCATAATTGTTTCAGTTAATCCACAACTCAATAAATTTCTTCCTAAAATGTAAATCAAAATAGCTTTTCTGTCAGTCTTGCCTAATACTTTGACAGGATGTCACTGAAATTCCTCAGATATGATCATTATATTTATTTTCACTGTAGATGACTTATTAGAGGGAGAATTAGGAATAAGTACTCATATGCAGAACTCAAGGAAAACTATACACACACACACACACCTCTATATACAATGACTATACAGAAAATACTATACCTGAGAACCTAAAGAAAAACCATCCCCAGAAATTGTTTAGCACCATAACCAAATGCAACAACAAAAATGCAAAAATAGAATTAAAAACTGTTTTGGGCCAGGTGCAGTGGCTCATGCATGTAATCCTAGCACTTTGGGAGGCCGAGGCAGGTGGATCACCTGAGGTCAGGAGTTCAAGACCAGCCCGGCCAACATGGTGAAACCCCGTCTCTACTAAAAATACAAAAATTAGCCAGGCATGGTGGCAGGTGTCTGTAATCCCAGCTACTCAGGAGACTGAGGCAGGAGAATCTCTTGAACCCGGGAGGTGGAGGTTGCAGTGAGCCGAGATTGCGCCACTGCACTCCAGCCTGGGCAACAGAGCCAGACTCCCTCAAAAAAATAAATAATAAAATCCGTTTTGGTAAATGCATCTGTTACCTTTTGATAGTATATTTTTAGGTTTGTCTCACACAAATAAATGGGTAAATCTGCTAAAAGTCTACTGCTCCTTTTGAAAAAAAAATATTTAACAAGTGATGATGAAACCTTAAAATTACAGAGTAGCTCAAGGAAGGGTCCACCACATGGTCATAGTCACAGAGCGTTACCTGCTGTCATCTGATTGTACTGTGTTTGCAGCCGGCCAGCTCACCAGCTAATGTTCTTTCACTAGTCCCTGACATTGCCATTTTATTTAGTTGTTCTTTAAACTGTGAAGTCTCTCTTTAAGTCTTTTCCATTGTCTTCAAAATTCTACCCAGCAAGAGGAAGAGAGTTGGTGGTTCTCTTTTTTGTTTGTTTGTTTTTGAGATGGAGTTTTGCTCTTGTTGCCCAGGCTGGAGTGCAATGGTGGGGTCTCAGCTCACTGCAACCTCTGCCTCCCGGGTTCAAGTGATTCTCCTGCCTCAGCCTCCCAAGTAGCTGGGATGACAGACACATGCCATCTAACACGCCCAGCTAATTTTTGTATTTTTAGTAGAGACAGGGTTTCTCCATGTTGGTCTCGAACTCCTGACCTCAGACGATCTGCCTGCTTTGGCCTCCCAAAGTGCTGGGATTACAGGTGTGAGCCACCGTACCTGGCAAGTTGGTGGTTCTCAAAGTCTGTCTTCCCTAGATCACCTGGGAAATGGTTAGAAATACAAATTTTTAGGCCTTACTCCAGATCTACAGAATCAGAAACTCCGGGGTTGAAGGCCCAGTAATTGGTGTTTTAATGAGACCTCTAGGTGGTTGTGATGCATGCTAAAGTTTGAGAATGACCACTGTAGATAACTTAAGGTCTAACCAATGATTTCCTAACATCACTACTCATTGGATGAACTATAAAGAAAATTCTTAACCATACTCATCGTACATGCTGATTTGGTAATCAAACAATTTATTGGCTAAATAGGTACACATTGGAGCATAAAAGGAGTGCTACTAATAATTATGTAGAGACAAGGACATTAGGTGAAAGACTGCTCCAGTCAAAACTATGGTTCCTCTCTGGGTTCCATTAAAACCTAGACTATCATTTATTGGATCTGGACCAACTAAGAATGAAATAATTCTGTGACAGTATTTGGGCAGCTTCTCTAGATTAGAAAGTCCCATTTACATGTGTAAAATTGTGAGAGCATGACTTTGAGATATTATCTACTGGGAAGTCATAAGCATTCTGGTCACTCAAAAAATGCCTATAACAATGGGTTTTAACATATTTCTTTTGTGAGAGTGGTCCGTACTGGCCACTCCCATTTCATTATTACCCATTCTCTCCTTTAACTCTTATAAAATAGACAGATGCTAATACTCCCTTGAAATTCCTCTTTGATTCCAAATACCTTTTTCTAGAAAATCCCTATTTTTTCCCCTCAGTCTTTCATCCCTGGTCTCTCTACTGGTCTCTGAGCTTTCCAAAAATCCACTGCCAACAGGCTGGGGCACACTCAGGTTAAAGATCTTGAATGGCTTTTGGGGGTCAGCACAACACAGAGGCCTAACAAAAAATTCAAAGTTGGATGAAGGTGATGTGCCAGGTTGCACTGAAGAGACCTTGCATTCAGACTAAACTTTCCCATTAGCATCAGAGACCTAAACATTCTTCACTAGATTTTTCAAACAGGGCATCATGTGGCATGAGGGATGGTGAATTTAAAAATCTGAATTGAGTACAGACCAATATGTTATTCTGGGAGGTGAGGCAAACACGGTGTGATGTCAAAATGGCATTCAACTCTAAGTTAGATTATAGCTTTGCAGAATATAGCAATGACAACTGTCTTGCTGACTCTGGGAACTGGACCCAGTACAGGGTGGTGCACAGCTGGAAAGGCATTTCACTGTCACCACCAATGAATTGACAGCTGGCTAGATGGGTCCCAGACCACGTGGTCCTGCACACACCTTCACCTCCACCTTTACTTGGCAGCCATAGGTCTTCACCTGCTCTGCCAAGCAGATGTTACATGGTGAGAAGAAATGAAGTAATGCCAAGTAGGGTGAGCATAAGAAACTTAAAATGATGAAGCCCAGCCATGGAATTCCCAGGAGACAAGTGAGACCGAAAGAATACGGTATGCTCTAATTCCAGAGGATCCTGGCTCTTTTCAAATAATGGCTCTGTCTGATCATAATTATAAGATGCGTAGACACAAAAGGCACAAGGTGTTGGTGAACAGGAATTACAGCCATGAGCCATAGATCAGTTTTACACAAATGGAGTGTGGAAACAACTGTTGATCATGCAGTAGGTGCTGCATTTCTAATTTTTTGTGCAATTTCATGAATAAATTCCCCATGTTTTAAACTGAGGCTATTTAGGTTATATGAACTTTATACATTTTTCTCATTGATTGATTGATTGTAGGGTGGGGTCTTGCTACATTGCCCAGGCTGGTCTCCAACTCCTGGCCTCAAGTGATCCTCTTGCTTTGGCTTCCCAAAGTTCTAGGATTACAGGTGTGAGCCACTGTGCCCAGCTCATTTTATACATTTTTTCTATTTTTGAAACATTTCACTGATTATTTGTTTTTATGGGGTATCAATCTGATAGAAAAAGACTTTAAGATACTGAAATAGATATTGAAGCAATTCCTACATGTAAAACTTGTTTCTAATACATGATGAAGCCAGTCTGATGAAATAACATAATGTTTTATGATTGGCCAATCATATCACTTGGTATTTCCCGAGTGACAGAGTGTCTTTTTTATTCATGGGCTGCCAGAGCGCACCTGGGTTTATGCTAATGAGGTGACTCTTGGTGGGCCCCTACATAGTGTTGGGAGGTTATGGCGTTGGGGGAAGGGGGTTGGTTACCAGAGAGACCAAGCACACATGATTGCAGGGTTGGGGTTTCAAGTCAGCCCCACCTCTGGAAAGGGAAGGAAGGATGCTGGAGATCGAGTTCATTCACATGGCCAATGATTCAATCAATCAGGCCTATGTAATGAAGCCCTAAAAAAACCTCTGGATACTGGGGCTTGGTTGAATTTTGTTGGTGGACACACTAATGTGTAGGGAGGGTGATCTGCCCTGGCTCCATGTGGAGAGGCCATAGAAACTCCATGTTCCCTCTCAGACCTCACCCCTTGTGTCACTTCATTTGGCAGATTCTCTTGATTTGTATGCTTTATATAATAATAAAACTGTCATCATTAGTGTTTTTCTGACTTCTGTGTTCTGTTATAGCAAATTATTGACCAAAGAGGGTTGCGGGAACCGCCAGATTTATATCCAGCCTGTCATAAATGCTGTAGCCTGGGGACTCCCAAAGTGTGGCTGGCATCGGACATAGGGCAGTATTGTTGGAGATCATGCTTTCTAACTTGTGCGGTCTGCACTAAGCCTGAGTGGGCAGTGCCAAAATTGAGTTGCAGTGCACCCAGTTGGGAATGAAACTAAATAGCTGGTGTCAGACCAGGCACCCACCCTACACACCACCTCTGGTTGTGGCCCATGTGGCCATCAGCTGCTGCCCATGGCCAGAGGGGAAGGGTGACCTTGGTGGCAAAGGTGAGGAAGCTGCAGGGCGGCTAGCTCGGGTTGCTGGGTTTACATTTGCTAACTGTTGCTGCTCAGAGACCTATAAATAGTGGACATTTGGTTGAACTATTACAAAGAGAGCTACAGAAGCTAGAATACACCCAGAAACCTGCAGCTATGTACATATTTAGGATATGATCATGCAAGGCAGAAAAGATTTATCTGGGGTCTATGGATAAAGAATAAAGTCGTTCGGCCGGGCGCGGTGGCTCACGCCTGTAATCCCAGCACTTTGGGAGGCCGAGGCGGGCGGATCACGAGGTCAGGAGATCGAGTCCATCCTGGCTAACACGGTGAAACCCCGTCTCTACTAAAAATACAAAAAATTAGCCGGGCGTGGTAGCGGGCGCCTGTAGTCCCAGCTACTCGGGAGGCTGAGGCAGGAGAATGGCGTGAACCTGGGAGGCGGAGCTTGCAGTGAGCCGAGATCGCGCCACTGCACTCCAGCCTGGGCGACAGAGCGAGACTCCGTCTCAAAAAAAAAAAAAAAAAAAAAAAAAAAAAAAAAAAAAGAATAAAGTCGTTCTTGTTTTCCCTTGAGCCTTGAGCATGAAAAGTGTGCTGCTGGACTGTGATCTTACATACATTCTCTCTTTATTTCTTACCCATTCTGCCTGAAGAGCTGGCAACAATTTGAAATCCATCATCCCGGCTGTGTTTTGTGGATTAAACTACTTATTCTCATATGTTCTACCCATTTCCTTGTCAGGAGTGAATTCTGTGTATTACAAATAATTGATGATGTTGGGCACATCTCAGAACAAAAAAAAAAGGCACTGATATGTTTTTAATATTTTCCTGGCATAAATTCTTAACTCCTTTCCTAGCCCAGGGGGCCTTAAGTGATCCAGTCTCTGTCCCCCTCCCCTCCCCCATCTGTGGCTGCCACCTGCCACCCTCACTGACTCTGGCCACATGAGCTGTGCTGCTGGTTTTCTGCCATGTCCAATCTGTTCCCACCAGGGGTTGGCTCCTGCTGATTCCTAGACCTCTCCATGGTTCACTCACTTACTCCATAGAGGGCTCTGCCCCAGTGTTCCTCCTCAGAGAGGCTACCATTGACAACCCTACCCAGCACACTTTCATCCCTTTCTGCTCCTTCAACTTGCTTTGCTTTCCATCATTAGCTGACATTGCCTACATCATATAGTCATTTGTCTCCAATAGTAGAATGCAAGTTCTAGGAGGGCAGGGCTTTACTTCCTTTGTTTCTAGAGCCTAGAACAGTGTCAGGCGCATAGCAGGCTTTCTTTAAATGCTAGCTGAATAAGTGAAGAAATACAGAGGTCAAAATGGAAGAAAGTGTCCCGCCACTGCTACTTCATTTTTTCCAAGGTCTGGAGGTGAGAAATATTCAGGTACAAGGTAAAGTGACCTGTCCCGTGCTGGAAAGGTCTGTGCACCATATTAATGCTAACTAGGATGAAACCAGTCTTGGCATCATCCAAATGAGAGGATGCTCAGATATACAGGGAACCAAGAAAGCAGGCTATGATTTAAAAGTCAGAGGTTTTGGAGGCAGGGCAATCTCAGTCTGAATCCCAGCCTCACCTCTCATTATGCATGTGATCAGATTAGTATTAAAGTTTCTTCTTCTGAAAATAGGGATAAGAATGCCTATCTTTTAGGATTTCTGTAAGGGTTTCATAAAATGATGTAGAGAAACTAGTGCAATGCTTTTCTCTTGTGGGGAAAAAAAAAGCTAATATTTAGAACATGCTTTTGGTGGGAGGAGATGGCAGGGGGTCAGGGTGGGGAAGCGTAGGTGTGTCATGAGGGAACATATGGTTTGGGGCAAAGCAAAAGGAGAGTGGGAGGAATGATCTGTGATTGGCCTCATGGGATGATGACATCCCCAGAGTTAACACATTTTCAGGGACAAGCACATGGCGTCACCCGGATGTGAGTTTTCAAACCTTCCCATGTCAATTGCAATTTGGGAGTTTCCATCCACTCTGCCCCACCCTACTGCTTGGTAACCTTGTGGGAATGAGGAACCCATTCTTCTGTTCTGTATCCCAAATACCACTTTCGCCTCTACGTGCCCACTTTTTAAAATTTAAAATGTAAATTCCTCAAGTTGCCATGGCTCTCGCAATCTACTGATTGAAAATCACTGACACACAAAGAGAAGAAGGAGGCCACTGCAGGATGGAAGGACTCTATTTTTGTCTCCGTTTCTTTGCAAGGGCATTCTGTGGTCAGGTTTCCTAAGGGGTGATGCCTACACAGTCAGAGCTGACCCATTTGTGTATCTGGACTGCTACTTGGAAAGCAAGCTCTGAGGCTTTGTTCCAGCGTATCTGTAGCCCTTCCTTGTTTTACTAAACACACCACGAATCCTCTCTCGCTTCCTCCTTCATTATTTCTCTTACCGGGGGGCTCAGAGAACCACTTCGAGAGGGAAGTTCATCTCTTCTCGCTCCTATTCTGGCCTTGTTGTTTCCCGTCTTCGAGGTCCGCTGTTTTGCAGAAGTGATGATGATCTTTAGCTTCCCCTGGTCCCAAAGCCCATGGTCATGAATTGAGCCCAGGAAGCCTTGCCCTGAGAGCCGTTTTTGGCTTTGCCATACTTTGTGCTTGAAAATTAGATTACAGGAGGTGTCTACAGCTTGGCCCAGTTTGTGGCTTCCACATACTGCCAGTGAATACATGCCTACTTAACTTCAGAGCTGACAAGGCTTTTTAGTGCCCTAACAAACAGAATTTATTTGGATTTAAAATTTATCACCAGAAATGGAAAATGGATGGTCTTGCCAACGTTAGTAGCCAAGATTTCCAAGGTCTTGTTGAACTCAAATTTATCCCTAGCTCTTCAATAGATGTTCTGTTACTTCCTGTAAATTTCACCAAAAAATTTCTTTTTTCCTTTCTATCACTAAGATGTTAATGTAGTTTGATGACATCTTTGCATGGTCATTATAAGTATTTTAAAAATACATTGTAATCACCACCTCTAAGTTTACCAATTTTTTTTTTCTGCAATTGGGGTACTTATTGAGAACTAACAACAATGTTAGCAGCCAGGCGCCATGGCTCACGCCTGTAATCCCAAAACTTTGGGACGCCGAGGGCAGTGGATCACCTGAGGTCAGGAGTTTGAGACCAGCCTGGCCAACATAGTGAAACCCCATCTCTACTAAAAATACAAAAAATTAGCTGGGCATGGTAGCGAGCGCCTGTAATCCCAGCTACTCGGGAGGCTGGGGCAGGAGAATCACTTGAACCCAGGAGGCGGAGGTTGCAGTGAGCCGAGATGGCACCACTGCACTCCAGCCTGGGCAACAAGAGCAAAACTCCAAAAAAAAAAAAAATGTTACCAATAGCTTCATGTTTAATTGTGCTGGAAGTTGGGTTTTGAATTATGTTATCTATTGAAATCATAGCAAGATCTACACAGCATTATTTATGTGGTCTAGCTATGATTTAATCCCTGGTCATGGTTTATATATCATATAAGATTTATCACAATATCCTCTCATTCCTGTTGCTCAGAGTAATCTTTGTTCACCCTCCACCCCACCCCATTGCATCATAATTCTTTTTTAATTTGCTAAAAAAATGGGTGAAGATTTGGCAATACAATTATACAATCCAGCTTGTATTGGTTTAGACTGTGCACAATTACCAACCACTTCAAGAATAAAGGTAACCTAATTATTTTAACCTAAGATACAGGTGGCTTTAGGGTAACGTGATATATAAAAATGAAGTTTACAAAATCCATGAAAAACAGATTATCTACTATTAATTTCCAAAGGATTCTCTCCTAAAGGAATAATCACCAGATTTCTTTAACTAACAATTTTCCAAAGGAACATTGAAAACGTGATTTAAACTTTCAACACAAAATACATTTATAAGCAACATTTCAATAACATGCCTAATGTATAACGTGAGGTTGAAATTATTTCCATGTGCACTATCAGTTTAGGCAGCAATTTAGAAAGATCTTATTTATACTGACTATCATTTTATTGCACAGTCAAATTTTGTAGAATGATAGTAGCTGATGCAATGTATGGTGTAAATTTTCTACCCACCAAATCCCACTTTGAATACATAAGTCTTCTGTTATTCTCTAATTCACAATAACACCACCTTATTGTGTAGAATCCCATTGCAATAAATACACTTATGATGACTGGATCAAAGTAATTTTGTGATATGCCCAGCTTGCAAGTGGCTTGTGGTTCAGGGGCTGGAGGGTGCTGTATTCCCAGGCTTCAAGCTGGGGTCAAAGTGCTAAAGCTCCGTTAAGCAGGATGGAATCACTTGCAGATTGACATTCCACAAGGCAGTGTGTCACCTGCCCTAGTTCAACCTGCACTTCCTCAGAGGTGGGCACTAGCAATTTACTTCCAGCCTGAGCTTAAGGTCAAACCCAGAACTAGCAAGGATGTTTCTTACCAAAATTAAAACTTCCATAGGCCTTCTGAGACCTAAGCACCAGCAGAACATTTTAGAAAACATCTTTCCACCATTCCCTGGGTCACATGCATCTGAGGGCCACTCAGATTTTTCTCTTAGTGCCTAGCCCACAAGCCCAGCAAGTGCTCAAATATGTGGAGGTAGATGCATACATGCAAGAATACGGATAGACTTTTACTGTCTATCTCTTCCTCACTGCTACTTTCAGTTAGTCACTGATTACTTACAGTCATATTTTTCTTATGACTCTCAAATCAGATCCCTTTTCTCTAATACAGTACTGCTGGGACTCCTTTAACACCGTCCTCATAAACTGCTCTTCTGCTCAAACACCACCATTTTCTAACCTATCAAATCTGACGTTCTTGGTCTCTTGCAATAATAACATTAGAGCCCAACCATTATCGAGTTACCCAAACTATTCACAGGTATTTTCTCTCCTATCCTAGAACCTTCACACTCCCTCATCACCTCTTCCTAGTGTAGCTGAAAGAAAGCATAACTGGGGAATAAAAGATGGGGAACCTACTGATGGGTGATCTTGGGCAAGTCTTATTTTATTCTCTCATGAACCCTATGAAAGGCAGCCCCAATGCTCCCCAAGACACAGGAAGAAAAACTAAGCTACACAGTTATGGCAGCATCACGAGTCACGTAGATCAGGGCCCCCAAACCCTGGGCCATGGACCAGTACCAGTCTGTGGCCTGTTAGGAACTGGGCTGCATAGCAGGAAGTGAGTGGTAGATGAGTGAGTGAAGCTTCATCTGTATTTACCCCATCGCCTGCATTACCGCCTGAGCTCCACCTCCGGTCACAGCAACGGTGGTATTAGATTCTCATAGAAGTGTGAACCTCCTATTGTGAACTGTGCATTTGAGGGATCTAGGTTATATGCTCCTTTTAAGAATCTAATGCCTGCTGATCTGTCACTGTCTCCCATCACCCCCAGATGGGACTGTCTAGTTGCAGGAAAATAAGCACATGGCTCCCACTGATTGTACATTATAGTGAGTTGTATAATATTTCATTATATGCTACAATGTAATAACAAATAAAGTGTGCACAATAAATGTAATGCACTTGAATCATCCCCAAACCATTCCCACCTCCACCCCCTCACCCCCGATCCCAGTGCCTGGAAAAATTGTCTTCCATGAAACTGGTCACTGGTGCCAAAAAGGTTGGGGACTGCTGATCTAGATAATGAGAAAGCAAAACTAGAATACAGATTTTTGATTTCCAGACTCTAAGACTTTCTCTCCAGATCACAATGCACTGATACCATTTTCGTGATCTGATCTTAGAAAAGGTGGGGCTTAAAACCTAGATGACGGATTGATAGGTGCAGCAAACCACCATGGCACACAGGTACCTATGTAACAAACCTGCACATGTATCCCAGCACATGTATCCCAGAACTTAAAAGAAAAAAAAAAGAGTCCTACAAATTGCACTAAGTATGGAGATACTTCTAAAATGCTTGAAGTTAGACCTAAAATCTCGACTCATGATAAAGGAAATGAAAAGTGTATAATGACACCTTTATGTATAAAATGTCTTCTAAAACAAAGAAAGACCCAACTGTTAACTAATCAATGGAATTTACAAATCTAAAGGCAACACTGGCAATTAGGAAGACTGCACTGAGCTTGGAACAAATGGGGTGGAATGAGGCTGAACTAGCTTATGTGTCTGGCACTCTCCCGTGGATATTTGGCTAGGCTCTGCCTGTTCCTCAGAGAAGATAAAATGAAAGTCATAATAATAACACCACACTAGAATAAAAAATATGGCGGGTCAGATACCATCATCTTTACATTTAAGATTTGATTTTATTTAACAGTGAATCCACCTGTCCTGGGGATTTTCCCTCCTCTGCTTTATTTTTCTCTGTAGCACCCATTACCATCAGGCAGACTATATTATTTATCAATCGTATTGATGGCTTGTGTGTTAGAATGTAAACATCATGAAGGTAGGGATTTTTATCTGTTTTGTTCACTGCCATTCTGGGATATGGGCCTAAAATAATTCCTGGCACAAAATAAGTGCTTTATACATAGTATAAATGAATAAATGAATGAACATTCACAATAACCCTAAGGTAGATACTAGTCAGTGTTTCCCAAGGTCACAGAGCTGGTAAGTGGGAAAGCCAGGACTCACACACAGGATTTAAGCAAGCCCTTGTCTAAACTCTAGTCTCCAGCTGGATGCAGCAATGAGGTTACATCTGTTTATCTCGGTCTGGTCAACTATTCAAATCATAAAACCAACTAACTCCCTTTGCTCCCAACCTCTGCTCATTCAGCAACCAACCTTCTCATTATAATCTGGCGTCTCAGGGAAAAATACACTGACCTGCCATCATGTGTGTCTGTCCTGCTTGAAAATCAATTTATCTTGTTAAATCAATGCATAGGTATTCTGATTTATCCACATTTCTGTCTTTTGACTCCGGTTAGTGTGTTACTACCCCCAATTTGTTCTGTGTACCCTGACGGCCTCTAGGATGAGTCTGTAAAGGTTAGCACTGGGCCTGGACCTTTGTCCCCTAAGAGAGAGACTGTCTGGAGCACTGTCCTGAGAGACCATCTGATGATCTTCAGGTCGGCCTCCCCATGTGGTAACCCAATATCACTGCGTTCTATTTTAAGCAAAGCAGTATTCTGACTACAGTTATCTGGTATAATCAGGGAATAACGATAATGAACATGAATTGCGAAGCGAGACTCATTGGTATCACACTGGCCCAGGTAGAACACAGAAGGGAGTCATAGTTTTATTTTAGGGTTTACTAGCAAGGTTAAACTGGAAACTCTAGGCAAGTCAGACAGTTTTCATGCCTGAACACAGAGGACCTGAGGAAAGGAAAATGAACGGTGTCACTACAAAGAATGAAAATGTAATTTGAAGCTTAGTGATTCCTGAAACCTGGGTACCTAACAAAATTTTTAACGTAAGAGTAGGGCATTGTATATTTCCCAAACATTCCAGGATTCAAGAAATGGCTCCTGCAACTTTAATTACATGACTCTTTTTTTCTTTTTCCTGAAACTGTATTTTTTTCTCCTTGGCGTACTGTATCCCCAGACTCATGACACAGGAGTTCAGAAGTAATAGATCAGAATTTTCATTAAGTACACATGACACCCTAGAAATGTTAAATTGTTCATGCTTGTTTACCATTATATAAGTAAGTTTACCATTTTAAATCCTGAAATAAATTTGCTCATCTGTGCATTTATTCTAGAAGTTAGGAAGTAGGAAAGAGAAGGTGTTTTCTTTGGAAAATAAACTGTGGATAATACTTGCATACTAGCTAAAGGAATAATGTTTTAATTAAAAGGCAAATCTATCACTTAAGGAGTTTAAATAGAATGCTTGTTTAAAACAATTCTATCTGACTAAGACAATGTCAATGAAGAGGGCAGCCAACGTGTTTAAACACAAAAGCCAATGAGCGTGCAAAGGAAAAGTCTTACACAAACACTGATCCCACAGCTGCTGCCTGCTTAGAAACCATTTCTTTTTGAATATTATTTATTTCAGTATTATTCTTGCACACTGTCAAATTTACCATGAAAACTATAAATTATTTTAAACTACAAAATAAAAATAACACGTAGAATATCTTTAAAAAGGCACCAGAAGAGAAATCTATTTTAAAGTAATTACCAGTTAAACCTCTTCTGCTTGCTGACAGGTTTTCAGTGATTATACAACAAATATTCTTATTTTCCTACATCGGTTGGTCTTTTCATGAAACAGTGTAGCCTGCTTTCCTTGTTCTCTTTGCAAACTCTAAAGACATTGCCCATGTGATGTGGAAAATGTTGTTTCTGCTAGCTTAATGGCTAATGATAGCAACAGGAGGGACAAATAAGAAAATCCAACTAAATGACAAATAAGTAATGAAAGGCTATGTGAACTTTCACTACAATTTCATGCCCTGTGCAACTGTTCTTTTACAAAACCTTTGCCAACAATTCTTTCTGCTAATTTTAGTTTGATATTTTGATGTGTATAGTTATCTGTTTTCCAGAAAGTAGCTTCAGATTGTGTTTGTATTTTTCAGGGACGTCTTTACCAAGAATCACCCAACTGTGGTCCTATTTCTCCTCTATCTTCAAAATAAAATACATTTTCTTTTTGTTGAAATAACTCAAATACAATCTACCAAGTTCTTCGCCACTGTTGTTTTATGATTTCTTTTAGGATGGGAAGACTAAAGAGAATGTAAGTTTTAAAGAGAATACTCCTCTTCCCGTTGTAAACCCCTATTTACCTCTGCCACAGGAGGGAAGGACCCCCTTGATCTGGGAGGGTGTACTTTAAGCAAATGTTCCCTTTTGAGAAACAGCAATAAAAGCAACCTGTAGAGCAGTCACTTCTCGAAAGGATGCCTATTTGGTAGTTCCAAAACCATAAAAAAAGAAAAGTCATTTTTCCCTTTCTGCCAATTTTGGAAGAATACATTTTTCTGGTTCTCTAAAAACAACATTAAGACTTCCTTTCCACAGTGAAGAGAAGAGAGCATGAGCTGATTACTTGGTCCTACAAAAAATCATCCAGATGCCATTAGAACTGGGAGCGATTAAAAAAAATGACAGTCAACTGAGGGCTTTGAGGATTATTCAAAACCTCAACTTCTCCCAAATTCTCAAGAATACTTTATCTATGTAATACCTGAATATAATTCTTGATCTATTGAATTCTACAGAGTGACTGTAGTGGCTTCCATTATATGTAGATTGGATATACCCAATTTATAACCTTAGATATATACTTTTATCTCTGAAGGGCCTTTGAGAAAATTGTATAAAGTACTGTGCCAAAGATTGTTGTTGGAAATATTGAAAGACTTTATGATGTAAAAAAATATATCAATGTCATTTAAATTGAACAAAATGGCTCCTTACTTTTCCATATACATTTTAACTATATTTCAACAAGCTTGTTCAATAAATACTGCATGAAACAAGCATTTTGCACCTTGTCCCATTGATGCAATTTGCCAACCTGATTGATTTCTTTCTCCATGGCTCACCTGCATTCCACATACCCTATATTTTTTTCTTTATTAAAGATGATGTAATCTTAGCTTCTATCATTTTCACATCCACCAAATCACTGAGGAAAAAAAAACCAGAGATGCAAGATGAAGATAGTAAAGGATAAGATTTCACAAAGCAGGTTAGCAATCAAATATAAAAATCTGAAAAAACCTTTAACGCAGATAGGGAAACTAAATGAAAAATGAAGTTATATGAAGAGAAGTAATCTGGCAATACAGCCAAACTAATACACAAACTTAGAACAAATAAGAATGGGCAGTAGGAACAAATTATTTCTTCTGGGAAGACTTTCTGTGTTATTACGATTTGAAAAGATCAAATAATTTGCATGGGTTGCCAGATAGAGAAATTGTATTCATGTGTATTAGCCCATGTTTCTACCACTGTTTGTTTCTAGTTCTTCTTACACAGTGCACTATATTTCACTAATGATATCAACAAATTTCTAGTCCTTCTTAGATAGTACTTCATTGGAGAAAGAGATGGCTGACATGGGTTGTTGACTAAATCCAACTCGAGCCTCGACTACATTTTCTTTGTGATTTTCCCCTGCAGACCAGAGCTGGCAACCTAATCACAGCCAACTGAACCATGCTCTTCTGATTATGTTCTGCAAAGTAGTTTATTTGACATTGGAAGACTCTTTGGGGACTATTTAAATGAGCAGAACCTTATAATAAAGAAGAGAGCCCACTGCTTTTCTTCGAGCTTGGTATATGATTTCCCTATCATTCTCTGGCTTCCAAGTTTGTCCAGACTTGTGGTTTTAATTACAACACCACAAAATATCAGCACTCAAAGAGTCTTTGGATAGATTTAATTCAACATCCTTGTTTTTCAAAAAAGGAAGCAAGAAGCAGTAACTTGGCCAAACTCTTTTATATTTCTTAGTTTCTAATCTAGTCTTGTATATATAAAAGGTCTATCTTAGATCTGTTGGATCCTTTAATCACAGGTTCCATTGAATATGTGTAGATTGAAGAATTATAGGTATTGGGAGAGAGTATATTCCTTTTTATAAAAGGTCTCTGAATACAGTTTTAAATGTAAAGGTAGATAATATTACTACATTTTCTTTTTTTAAAGAGACAAAATAAGGCTCAGAGAGGTTAAGCAAATTCCCCAAGGTCACACAGCTAGGAAATGGCCAAGCTGGCATGTGAACTGAGACAGACTAATACCTGTGCTTTCAGCTGCCATACATTTTTACTCTAGCTATCACTTGCATTATTAAGAATCTAGGCTAAGTCACTAAAGATATATCATTACTTATTTCTTGTTCATTCATTTGTTTATTCAGTCATTTATTCATTCAGCAAATATTTACTAAGCGCCCACTATGTGCCAGCCACTGCTCTAAGTCCCGATAATACAACAATGAAAAAAACAAAGTTGTTGCCCTAATGCAGGTTACATTCAAATGAAGGAGACATACAATAAAAAACAAATATGCAACATGATGTCAGATTATGATAGCTGTTTTGGGGAAATGAAAAATCAGGGTAAGAGGATAAAGAATGACATAGTGGGGAGATGGGACCTCTTTAGAAAAGGTGACCAGAGAAAGCCTCTCTGAGTTGATGACATTTAAGGAGAGATGTGCAGGATGTAAAGGAACAAGTAGAGTGCTGCAGGCTGAAAGAAGAACATTTGCAAAGGCCCTTAGGTAGAAACAAGCTTGGCATATTATGGAAACAGCAAAGTCCATGTAGCTGGAGCCTATGAATGGGAGGAAAGGGCAGAGCATAGCAGGTGCCAGAGCTTGTAGGACTGGACAAGAAGGTTCGGGTTTATTCTATGTAGAGTAGAAAGCCAGTGGAAGGTTTGGAGCAGGTGGCAGGTGACATATTCTGATTTATGTTTTAGATTTTTTTCATTTTTTTCTTTGAGGCATAGTCAGTAGAGGGGCAAGTATGGAAGAAAAAAGACCAGTTTAGTGGCACCTGTCATGGTCTAGGTGACAGTTGAAGGCTATCTGAATTAGAATGATGGAAGTTTTAGAAAGTAGTGGATTAATATCAGTTTTATTAAATAATGTGAAGAGATATTTTGATGGAATGAATGTACATCGTGTATAAGAGGGATAGAGGAATGAGAAGGGCTAACTTTCAGTTAAGATTTAAAATTTCTTTCCAATTAAGTGCTTAAATTAAAAAGCAACAAATGAATGTGCAGAAAAATGCAGTACACCTGATGTATAATAAAGACTTATACTAGTTTTGTCCCTGATTCTTGGGAGGGAGATTCTAAAACCCCTGGAGTTTCCCAAATGACAGAAGTTTCTGTGTTATTCATGAGCCCTTGGATCACATCTGAGTTTAGGCTAAGAGATGGGATGACTCAGCAGGAGAGAGGCTGGTCACCAGAAAGACCAACTGCATGATTAGAGAGCTTTGAGTCAGCCCGGCTCTGGAGAGTACAAGGGGGCTGAGACTGAGCTCAATTATACGGCAGATGATTAGGTCAATCATGCCTACGTAATGAAACCCCTGTGAAAACTTTGGACATTGAAGCTCAGTGGAGCTTCCTGGTTGGTAAACACATCACCGTACCAGAAGGGTGATGTACCCAGATTCCACAAAGACAGGGCACAGAAGCCCTGTGTTCAAAACCCACTCAGATCTTGCCCCATGTGTCTCTTCATTTGGCTGTTGCTGATCTGTGTCCTTTATAATAAAACTGTAATGGCAAGTACTGTGCTCCTGTGAATTCTGTGAGTCATTCTAGTGAATTATCAAACTGAAGGGATGATGGTAACCCCTGAATTTGTACCTATTTGGTCCAAAGTATGAGTGGCCTGGGGTCACCCAAAAAGCAGTTGGCGTATGAAGTAAGGGCATCTTTTTGAGGACTATGCCCTGGAACTTGTGTGGTCTGTGCTGACTCTGGGTGGTTAGCCCGGGAATTATACTGCAGTATGTTACCAGTTGGTGTCAGGATAGCATTACAGGTCATTGTCACTGCATAAGATGGGATGGACCTGGGGAGAAATTTTTATCCACAGCCAGGTCCTAATGAGAAGGGAGTGTTTTAGTTCCACTGCCACTCTCTCCTAAACAATGAGCAAATCCATGTAAATATTACATGATAAAATGGACTTACCTGCTAAAATCTCTTACCATTTTCTTTTGGGTTATTTTCCCCCATGCGGAATTTTCACTAAAATATAACTAGCTCCACTAACAGTTTCAAATAAATCAGTCTGTTACTACTAGTTGGCAAACACGAATTTATTTTTGTTGTTGTTGTTGTTTGTTGTTTGTTTGTTTGTTTTGATGGAGTCTTGCTCTGTTGCCCAGGCTGAAGTGCAGTGGTGTGATCTTGGCTCACTGCAACCTCTGCCTCCCAGGTTCAAGTGATTCTCCTGCCTCAGCCTCCCCAGTAGCTGGGATTACAGGCGCCTGCCACCACCACCGGCTAATTTTTGTGTTTTTAGTAGAGACAGGGTTTCACCATGTTAGCTAAGCTGGTCTCGAACTCCTGACCCCGTGATCCGCCTGCCTCGGCCTCCCAAAGTGCTGGGATTACAGGCGTGAGCCACTGCGTCCGGCCAAACACGAGTCTTATGTATGATTTCCAAAACTCCCATCTTCAATTTCATTCTGTTTTCTCTCCTGAAACATCCCAGTTTTGTTGTCTCCAGGGACCAGGATATCATTGCCCTCTGGATGGCCCATTGACACCATACATGGAATGAGCTGGCAACCAAAATCAGTGTGCCTGAATGTTTGAGGAGAGAGGATAAAAACTGATATTTCAGTCATTAAAAGTATTCTTCAAGTCACCCAAACTCAAAACCTTAGTCTTCTTTTTCCCTTTCTCCTAAATACTCTGTCAGCAAGCAGTTTTCTTAAGTTCTCTTTCACCTAAAGTCAGGAAGTCAGAAAACTGGTGCTAGAAAGGACCTTAGAGATCAATTATTTCATTCATTTACTCAATAAATATTTATTAAGACCCTTTGGGTTTCAGAAATAGTTCTAGGTACTGGGGAAACAGTTACCAAGACATCAAGAGTCCAGTTCACAAGGAAACAAAGACAGTGAAAAACAGGTAACAACTCCACAGGCAAGTAATTTGAGATAGTGGTAAACGCTTTGGATAGACTATGACGAAGTGCTCTTATAGAGGGCCTGAGGTCTTTAGGTGGATTGGCCACAAAAGGAAGATTTTATTTTCTGAAGATAAGCATTCCAGGTGAAGGGAACAGCAGAAGCCAAGGTTGGCAGAATTGAAAGCCTCATAAAGAAGATCAGGAAGGCTGAGCCTAGTGAGAGAGGCAGGTACGGGGTTGGGTGTACGGGAACCGAGCCCTCTTGGTTTATGGATTGTCACTCTTGGTCAAATCTTCTTTCCACCACACCCATCCCTTCCTATTTCCAGTTCCTTCTATCACATTTTTCATCAGTGTGATGGTCACTGATTTTCCTTCTGCCAGACTCTTGCCCCTTCATGAAATCCTGCTATAGACTCTTTGATACTTCCTTAAAATCGGATTTTTAAAAAAATCACATAATTCCTCTACATAAAAGTCATCAATGCCTCTCCTGTGTTTGAAGGATCAAACAGGAACTCCTTACCCTGAGAATTAATTCCTGTTTCCCTTTAGCTCCAACCTAATCCAGGTGGGTTCACCTACTCTCTGAGCTTCAATTATTCAGATCTGCCTATTTTCCTTTATACACAAGGTCCTCTTCCCATGCTAGAGGACAGCTCCTCATCTTAGCTCATCAAATATTGCTGCCTGTTATTAACTCATCTTTATGACCATATATTATTATTTCTCATTAGGCCCAAGATTCCTGAAGCAGGGAATTTATTCATCCTTTATTTGTGCTCTCCTGCAGGATCTTATCCATTGCCCTAGATCATGGTAGGCACTAAGCAAAAGTTGTTGAATAAATAATAATTTATTGAGCCCTGAAATGCTATTCTAACACTCATACATATTTTACAGTTTAATTTAAAATGTACTGTCTGTTAGATAATGCAAAAACATTAAATTGTTTAATCCTTAGGAAACGCTGAATGTAGGGATGTTTACGCATTTTACAGATGAAGATACTGAGGTACAGGGAGGTTAAATGCCTGCCCAAGGCTTCCAAAGTCCCTGAGTCTGTCTAAACCACCACATCGCACTGTGTCTAACACACAACAGCACCCCTTCCATTAACGCTCTTTCTACAATCCAGACTCTTATTTCATTTATTCTTGGACACAAGTGAGTTATACATCAGAAAATAAAGTGAGGCAACTGTGATACTCTCAAGTAAGAATAACTTTTATCACCCCAATAAAATGGGTTATCTTATTATATATCTGTTGGCAGTATGTCTTTGTTTTCTAAAACAGCATTTTCAAACTGGGTTTAGTGCTTCCAAATGGTACTGGGTCCTAAGCTTGGGAAACAGAAATTCTCACAGGCCCTTCAGCATAGGTGTAGCCTGAGACAGTGGAAATTCCTCGCGCCTCCCACTGCCCCCCGACCCCAGCCAGAATCACCATTTAATTTTCTCTTAGAGGGTCTGGATCCATGTCTTCGAAGAAAATTCACTGTCTGTCCATAATCAGTGTTGTCCTACTGAAAAGGCCGCAGCACAAGGGTGTAATCATGTGGACTGCATAACATCAGAACTTAACAGCCAGACAACAGCCGGGGAAAGCTGATCCACATATGATCCCCCCAAGGAATACAATGGAAATAGTCAAATCTGGACCACTCTAAAACTCCTGTCCCAGTTGCTTCTGGTTTGTAAGATAAAATAAACATTAATATACCCACAACTTCATGTAAAGAAATATTTTAAATATTTTAGAGTTATCAGAATTTTAGAACCAGGACAGAAGAGATAATGGAAGTCACTTGGATTCTCATTATGAATGAAGAATCCACATCTGTGGCAATCAAGTCTCTTCTCAACGTCATAGGCCTACCTAGTGCATCCAGGACCCAGGGCCTTTATATCACAACCTGTTGCCAAGAGAGTCAAAAGAAATCCCTGAGTAATTACCTCTGAAAAGTTACAGGTACCTTTGCAAATAAACCACCTCTGAATTTGGCCATTTTTGAATTTCAGGTTCTGGTGAACTGGTGCTTTTTATGTCATTTGTATTTGGAATGCTTATCAATAACCTCACACAATGGCAAAAACACTTGAAATCTTTCTTAAGAGTTAACAATCACAGTAGAACCCCAATTCAGAAGGAAACTTGGAGGGCCGGAATATTATTTCTCCAAGTACTAACCAGGCCCAACTCTGCTTAGCTTCTGAGATCAGAGGAGATCGGTTGCATTCAGAGTGGTATGGACACAGACCAGAATATTATTTCTAAAGCAAAAAATATGTGCTTTATACTGGAACTTTTTCAAATGTTGGAAAAAATGAAAAAGCTGATTACATGTGTGAAAAATGCCTCAAGTTCTTCACTTGAAGGAGCCCAAAATGTATTCTTTGGAAAATGAAATAAACATCCTTTGTTGCTTTCATGATATAACCTAGAAGCAGGCAGAGCTTGCCCCTAGCCTCCCAGGGTAAGGATAGAAGTAAACTAGATGACATTTCTTCTTATGTAATTTGGGTTCTGACTCAGAATTAGCTCCTACCACTCCTGTTCACAGTATGTCTGTCCTCATGTCCTCTCTGCGGCACTCCGGATGGTGTCATACCACACCTCTTTGTGGTAAGATCTGTCTTAACATCACTTGTAAACTCAAATGGATTCAATGGTTCCAGCAATGCAAATATTTATGGAAGCTCCCAACTTTTGGTTAGACAAAGGAACAAATGCCAAACAGGTTTGTGTCAGACAACAATATAGGAAGCCCCTCTGCCTGACCTTCGCTTGATGGTAATACTCACTATTTAGCTATGTAAAACCTGTGGTGACTTGTCTAGGATCTGCCTTCAGCTCTAAACAGGTAACTGTGCAACAGGCCATGGCTGTCTTTATCTCCTCTGCGTCCCTTTCCAGATGTGGGCGCAGCATCTAGGACATTATAGGTGCTATGTATTTATTGAACATATGGAAGTTGACCTTTGCCTAACCTATAAAAGAAACACTATGTAGAATCAGTGAAGACTTTGAACATTGAATGGTTTAAGAATGTTTTGAATCCACAAAATAGTATTTAAAGTTAGCCATATTATTTATTTAGCCAAATATTTTAAGTAGATGTGGGAGATTAAACATTTGTTGAACAGTAACTGTGAGCCAGACACCATGTTAGGTGCTAGGATAGATGTGATTGTGTTTAATCCACACAGGAATCCTAGTAAAGGGGAGTACAGAGGAGGAAACAGACTCAGAGAGCTGCGGTAACTTACCTCAGATGCTATTATTTCCAAAACATCTTGATCTCTAAATCCCATCAAAGTAGCTGACTCCACTAACCTGATATTAAATGACTAATCTCTGAAATCCAAGTGCTGAATCACTTTTGTAAAATTCAGCAATTATTTTTCAGAAATTCCCTTAGATAAAATTAGTCCCAAATCCTATGGACATGCGGTTGCCTGATAACCTTATCTAAAACAAGAGTAGTATTTCAGCTTAATTGCCATCTTAACTAATTACTTACAATATGGCATGGGCTATGCTAGCCTATTAAAAACCATTAGACAGAATTCGTGTGGCTTTACAGTATATAGTTCTTATTCCCACAACTTACATTTTGATGGCATCTGTTACTCCCTGGAAGAAAGCCAGAGTTTCTAAGTAAAATGTATCAGTCCTAACAATGTGGACATTATTATTCCAGAAAGCCAACTGAGAATTGAACAAGATCTTACCGTAATGACTAGAACTGGGAAACAAGAATTTTCTTCAGCACAGCAGGAGGAAATCTTTTTATTAAGGTTATGAGAATCAGAGAAGTGAACATCCCTTCATAAGTCTAAAATAAATGACTTAGGATGGGTTATCATTTCAAAAAAGCTTCCATATACTGAACATGTCCAAGTTACTTTGCTCTAAACATTTGGGTTTGCAGCATAATTTCATACTAAAATGTAATCAATGTCAGATCACATGATATCCACAAACTGACCACACCACCTCTAGGTTCACTGGCTAATGAAAAGTCAACATCCTCTTTCAGAGCCCCACCATGAAAACTGTTTTTCTCCTGGTTCTACTTTTTGATGAGTAAAATCTGAGTAGTAGACTTTTGACATTATTATCATCATTATTATTAAATAACAGGGATAGGTCTGTGCTATTCCAAGTCTGAGGGCATGCTTTTTCTGAATTTCTCAGTCTATATAGTTTCCTTTGCATAGCCTTACCTAAATCTGTGATTTCAGCTATCAAGTATACTCCAGCAACTTACAAATCTTTGTGATCATTTAAGAAATCTTTACTGAGTATCTAATATATACCAGGCACTTTTCTATTCTCCTGGGATGCCCTAGTGCATAAAATAAAATCTGGCAGCACTTTGGAAGGCCAATGTGGGCAGATCACTTGAGCTCAGGAGCTCGAGACCAGCCTGGGCAACATGGAAAAACCCCGCCTCAACTAAAAATAGAAAAATTAGCCAGGCATGGTGGCGTGTGCCTGTAGTCCCAGCTACTTGGGGGCACTGAGGCAGGAGGATCACCTGAGCCTTGGGAGGCCGATGCTGCAGTGAGCCAGGATCATGTCTGAGCAAAAGGGCGAGACCCGGTCTCAAAAAAGACACTAAAATCTTATCCTTGTGGTAATTAACCTTTTTTAGTAGATTGTCCATTTTAGATTTCTCATCCGAATTACAGACCTATATACTCAGTTTTGTATTAGAATTCTTAATTTCTAACTTACAATTGTGGAGGTATCATCTAAAATATCTCGAAAATGAAAATGCCTTGAAAATGTCCAAGTCCACATATGCACTTAGGCACTATAAGCCAAACTGAGATGATCACATCTCCTCAACTTATTCCTGTGGAACCCTTTCCCTCTCCCCAGTGCTCAACCCTCCCTCCCCTGACTCTCTGAGGTCAGGGACCTAAACAGTCTTCCCCTTACCTTCATTAAAACTTCTACCTTAATTTTTTCATAGCCATCATTTCTTTTCAATTTCCAGTGGCATTTCCTTAGTACCAGATCTCATTATTGTTGCTGGGTAATAAAATCTTTCTGCCTGTTTATTTTTTTTTCTTCCAGGATGGCTCCCTTGAATCCATTTCGTATACTGCTATAGAGCATGCTTTCTAAAATGTAAATCTGCTCCTGTCTCTTTGGTTTAATATCTCTGCAGGGCTTCCCTTAACTTTCAGGATAAAGTAAATCAATTCTTTCTTTTTTTTTCTTTCTTTCTTTCTTTCCTTTCTTTCTCTTTCTCTCTCTTTCTTTCTTTTTCTTGACTAAGTCTCACTTGGTCACGCAGGCCTGAGTACAGTGGCTGACTGCAACCTCCACTTCCTGTTCTCAGGCAATCCTCCTGCCTCAGCCTCCTTAGTAGCTGGGACTACAGGAGTGTGCAACCATGCCCAGCTAATTTTTGTATTTTTAATAGAGACAGGGTTTCACCATGTTGATCAGGTTGGTCTCCAACTCCTGACCTCAGGTGATCCACCTGTCCCAGCCTCCCAAAGTGCTGGGATTACAGGCATGAGCCACCATGCCCGGCCCAGGATAAAGTAAAAATTTGTAAGCACACAAGGCCCTTTGCAACCTGGCTCCTGGTTACTACTTTAGCCTCCTGCCCTCCCAAATGTCCTCACTGTTTTTCTAGACATACCTACCTGCTCCCTCTACGTGTTCCATCTTCATTTACCCGATCAGCCTCAAGCATCCAGGCATGACCTCCATGAAGCCTCCCTTCCCAAGCCCTAGGCTCTGGCAGACTCCACTGCTGCCGTGTGTTATCATCACTCCTTTATCTATTTCCTTTATTTTACCAAAGCTTCCCAAGGGAAGTTAGAGAATCTGCCTCAACTCTGCATCTCTAAACCAAGCCTAGCACCTCGAACACAATAACACTCAATCTGCATTTGTTGAATAAACACATCTTTAAAAAATAAAAAATGATTCATTGTCCTGCATTTTCAAGGCATTTTAGATCACACCTCCACGAATGCAGCTTAGAGATTAAAAATTCTAACTCCTAAAAATATTGGAGAAACAGAAACAGCTTTCTTCCTTCTAAAGGATGTCTTTTGGCTTTTGGTTTTGAGGTTTTCCCTACCTGTTCTCCAATACTTGATTTACATATATTTAGCCTTTGTCAAATTTTACCTGATTATTCACTAGAAGAAGGCATAGCTAAAGGTAAAATCATAGACATCGGTCCCAGGAAAATCTGGATTTGCATCCTAGTTCAAGTACTTATTTACAGAGCACCTGGGATGACTAACATTTTTCTGAGCCTCAATTCACATAAAATGGGTATAAATAAGATAACACGCAAAGTTGCTAACACATATCATATCCTTAATTCGTTTCCTTTCTTGTTCTCACACTTTTCTTTTAAGATACACACTTTGCCTGGAACATATTCCCCTCCATCCTTCTATCAAAATCCTCCTCATTTTTAGCTCGACTCTCCTCAAAATCTTCTCGGTGAAACTGTCCTTAGTGCCTTCGACCAGAAAGAACCTGTCCTCTGTGCTCCAGTGGCTCTATATCTTATTTATTTTGTTCAACGAATTTATGCTGAGTGCCTACTATATACTGGGCATTAATTTAGGTGCTGGGAATACAGAAGAGAACAAAGCAGAAGTGTAAATGCCTTAATGGGGTGCATATGGTACTGATGAAGAATAAACACTCCAATAAATATAAAAACAATTTAAGGTCAGATCAATATAAAGCTAAAGGAAATAAAGGGTGGTGGGCTAGGAAGTAACGGGAATGGGGATGTCAGGGAAGGCACAGACATGCAAAGAGCCAGAGGACCATGACTGCAAAGAGCCAGAGGACCATGACCACAAGCAGAAGGCACACGTGGGCCGAGGCTCCCATCAGGGAAAAGCATGGCATTTTTGAGAAAAGAAGGGCCAATGTGGCTGACTGTTGTTGGCTAAGGGACGTGGGATGAAATGAGACTGGTAATATAGAATGGGGCCAGACTATATAAGCAGTCTGTGAAGGATTCTGGATTTTAATCTAAGTGCCATGGACAGGTTTTAAGCAGGGGTGCAGTGGTGTGATTTGACTTAAGGTTTCTCTGGCCGCTGAATGTCTGTACCAGAGTTCGTTCTGATTTGCACAGTCATTTCTGGTGAATAAAGCTGTCCTTCTAGTTATAGTGTGGTCCTGGGAGGGCAATGATATTTTATTCTTATTCTTATCAGTGCCTCATGCATAGTTCTCCTCAGTAAATACTCGTCAAATTAAATTGAAACATCCTGCAGCCTCTTTTTCTTTCTCGCCTGCAATTGTAATAATTGTAATTGTAATACTTCTAATCTTTGTAGGAAGTATGCAGTTGCCAACCAGCTCTGAACGAGTTCTCTTTTTTTCCTATTTGAATTCCTCTCAGGCCTTCCTGCCATTGTAGGATTGTCATCTGACTTCCTGTCTCCTAGCCAGGTCTACTCCCTGCCCTGTGGACTGAATTTTTATAGTCCTTCTGTAAAGTGCCATGTGCGCTGCCGAGAGGGTTGGGTACAGCTGGCCTTGCTTGTTCCCAAAGGAATCACAACTTCTAGCTTTACACATTGTATGGGATCGAATACTAATAGACATTTATTGACCACTTGCATGCACCTGGCACATTATGGGCATGGCATCCGTTTGTGCAAGCTGTGCCACTTTGGGCAAGCTACCAATCCTCTCGGAGCCTCAGTTTCCTCATGTGTACAATGGGGATAATAAGAACAATAGGATCTGCCTCCTAGAGTTGTCACGAGGCTTTAAAGGAGATCATGCATGTAAAGCACTTAGCATAGCACAGGCACTTATCTAATGTCAGCTGGATAAGTAGTCAACACTTACCCATGTCAGTTATATTAGTGGTAGTGTTGTTAGTGGCATGATTAGTGGCTATTATCCACAGTCAATACTTATCCATGTCAGTTATGTTAGTTGTAGTGTTGTTAGTGGCATGATTTTATTGAATCCTCATAGCAGCTCTGCAAAAAAAGTGCAGTTATACCCAGTACCAATATTTAGCTGGTATGCAAAGATATGGCTGTACTGCAATATCTCCTGATTGTCAAGTAAGCCCCTCTCATAAGCCCTCCAAATACGCCCTCCCCCTATACCCCTGCAGATTTATCTGCCCTAGTCTGCCTCTGGGATCCCCACCACGCCTCCTCTGCATGATCCAACAACTGAAGGGTTAATGCCTGATACAGCCAGAGGCCTCCAGAGTCCTAGCTCACTTCAGTTGGCTTCTATTTTGAGTTCTAACTGGCCCATTATACATATTTTATCAATGGGTACATTGAAGTACAGAGGAGATAAGTAAAGTCACTAATCTTGTAAATGGAAATCCTAAGAAATCAAACTTCAGATTCATATGCTCAGGTTTGTTCCTTCACACGGAACTTCTCCTTAAACACTGATTAGAAAAGCTAACAAAAGCCACTTGGGTTCTGTAACTCTGTGGCCAATCACCCGAACACTAGCAGATCTACAGTTTCTGATCAATTCAGGAAGTAACCTAGAACATCTCAGGTTCAGTGTCTTACCTGCCTTCCCTCATTCTTATTCTCCATGGCAATTCTACCCATGAAAATCATTTAAACACTAGTTGGTCCAAATCCTTTTATCCTCACTTCCAGCACCAAAGTCTAACAACCTAAGCACTGGACCAGAATCCTTAAGATGAAGTCTTCTTCTTCATCTTCATCTTAACAGCATTCAGCCACACTGTTAAGTACCTATTACTTCTGTCTCTGTTTCACAAACTAATAAGAGGAATAGAAAGATGTTAACATCTGTGCAAAAATGAGGTAATTCATGGTCTTACACATGAATACTAAAGAGAAAATGAGAATAACATAGGGGACAGATCCCATAGTGACAATAAAAATCCAGAGAGGGGCATTTTAAAAGATCCATCTTAAATTACAGACACATGTCTGGACTTAACATGTGGGAAGTGAGGGTGGTATCTCCCTGAACGCTCAAATTTACTTTTTAATTGTGCATTCTGAGCTGCAAAGACCCCCTTGGCTTTCCTTGAAATGTAAACATTTAAAATTAAGTTCTGAAGTCTTTAAAATAGTGTTTAGTTAAAGATTAAGCAGTTACATAATTGGCTTAATGAGATCCAATTACAAAATTAGTGTAAACTAGAAGTAATAGAACAGAACATATAATTTCATAATTATGACACATAACAATAATGCAGAAATTAAGTTGGCCAGTGGTGCTAAAGCAGGAGGGGTGCATAGAAATCTTAGAAGACTCGATGGCTTTCATGAGCCCAAACATCTCCCCTCCAACAGTTACTGCTCAAAAATATGTTTTAACTAAACAAGACTGATTTTGATTTCCAGACTCAGAAAACAACATTTGGGAAATTGCTAGTTCTTTCCCCTCCTTATGTGGCTAAAGTACTGGGTGACTAGATGGGTAGATTTATTTCCTATCTCATTAAAGTATGACCTTTCTTTTTAAGGTCTTAACAGATCATGGCAAGGAGGAATTCATTCTTAAGGGTGAGTTATGCTGAAAACCCCACCAGTGTGCATCCCCACCCCTCTGCTAGGAGAGCAGGGGAAGGCCTACTCCTGTGGGAGGGAGAGGCTGGGTTGGAGAGACACGATGAGAGAGGCCACAGATGGATTAATGTGCCTACAGCCTCATCTTTCAAATCAGCCCTCTGATTTGGGTCAAGGGACATAACCCTTCCTGCTGTATTTTTATCCTTCAGTTTTCAAAAGAAGGGACAGATAGCATTTGACTAATGAGAAATTTGTGTTGCAATGTCTCACATCTATCTTGGTATATCTTTCTGTAAATTATGTCCAACTCCCAGAGGGCTAAAAAGAAACCATTCATTTATTTATTAATTCACCTATTATTTATTCATTCAATAAATGTTTTGAGTTTCGTGGGAGAAGAGGCAATTTCCTATTTATCTTTATACAGCAAATCTTTAGCACAGGTGCCAGCATACAGAGACATTCAATGTTTAGTGAATTGCTGTTAATACATATTACAGATATTACCTGCCCTGGTATTGTGCATAACAAAGATTTTCTCTATACCTGATTATAGCTTTCAAGAAACTTATATTTTAGTTACGACAGACAATTATTATGTTAACAAAAACATGAGTTAAATTGTCTTCATCAACACTGCTGCAATGTCAGAGTGCAGTTGTTAATCAAGAGAAAAATAAATAGACGAGTTTGCAACTGTGATGCAGTAAAAGGAGGAAACGGTTCCCGAAAACCCATGGCCATGACATGGGGAGGGTGGCCATCCAGGTCTCACTAGCAGCCCAGTGCTGTCAGAATACTTGTGGAGGCAGCAGCTCTCCAGACACGCATGCCGCCTGCTCTTATACAGACCTCTGGTTTGGATCCTGCTATTTTTCAAATTAAGTACAAATATCCGTTAATATACCTCAGCAAATGAACACTGGTAATCTGAAAATGACCCCAAAATGTTAGAGAAACATCTAAAAGTCTTGGGTATTTTTTCTAATGATGTCTATTTTTGTTTGTTCCTCCTCAGTCATCATCCTTTGCTTAATGGGAGAAGCAAAGGGGCTTAGTGATGCTCAAAGGCCATTATCAGTATGGGATGGAGGATTTATCCTTTCATACCTTTTCCTCTAGTTTTCTAAATTTTCTTTTATTATTTTTACTTTCCTGTATGGTCGCTCCTTTTCCCTTCTTACTTTCTGTTCCCAGCAAACACTAGCTCAAAATATCATTTATTTTATCAAACATGAGGGTTTACATCCCCAAAATACCTTGATCTACTCATATTTCCCTGAACAATATCCCAGAAGATGCTCCATGTTAATTCAAATAATCAAACAGTGGCTATTTAAATAGCTTGGTTTAGAATTTGAAGGTAAGGCTAGGTGCTGTGGCTCACACCTGTAATCCTAGCACTTTGGGAGATCGAAGCAGGTGGATCACTTGAGGTCAGGAGTTTGAGACCAGCCTGGCCAATGTGGTGAAACCCTGTCTCCACTAAAAATACAAAAATTAGCAAGGTGTGGTGGTGCATGACTGTAGTCCCAGCTACTTGGGAGGCTAAGGCAGGAGGATCTCTTGAACCTGGGAGGCAGAGGTTGCAGTGAGCCAAGATTGTGCCACTGCACTCCAGCCTGAGCAAAAGAGCAAGAATTTGTCACACACACACACACAAAAAAAAAGAATTTGAAAACAGAGGTAAGAAAGTTTTAAGTTTTGATTAATATTTCAGACCCCGATCCTATTATTGGATGGATACAAAGACACATATGTGTTTCCTGCGATTCTAACCCTTAGAAGCAATGTATTACTTTATTTACAATGTATGTTTGATATAGTATGGATATCTGTCCCCTCCAAACTTCATATTAAAATGTCATCAATAGATACAATATTCTCTATTATCTGAATTTTACAAATGAAGAAACTGAGGTGCTATGGCTTGGATATGGTTTGTCTCCTCCAAACCTCATGTTGAAATTTGATCCCTGGTGTTGGAGGTGGGGCTTAGTGGGAGGCTTTTGGGTCATGGGGGCAGATCTTTTATGAATTGTTTGGTACCCTCCCTACAGTAAGGAGTGATTTCTCACTCTATTAGTTCACTCTGGACTTAGTTGTTAAAGACTTCCCTCCCCTCTCTCTCGTTCTCTCTCTTGCATGTGACACACCTACTCCCACTTCACCTTCTGCCATGAGTGAAAGCTTCCTGAGGCCTCACCAGAAGCTGAGCAGATGCCAGTTCCATGTTTGTACAGCCTGCAGAACTGTGAGCCAAATAAACCTCTTTTCTTTGTAAATTACCCAGCCTTAGGTATTCCTTTACAGCAATGCAAAACAGACTAACACAGTGCTTTAATGGATATTAGTATAAATATTCCTTACTGACATGGTAACAAAGCTGAAGCATTGGAGGTGAAAAAATATACAGAGGGAGGAACATTCCCAGAACTTATTCTATGTTTTTTTGTTTGTTTGTTTGTTTGTTTGTTTGTTTTTTTGAGATGGAGTCTTGCTCTGTTGCCCAGGCTGGAGGGCAGTGGCGTGATCTCGGCTTACTACAAGCTCCACCTCCCAGGTTCTCACCATTCTCCTGCCTCAGCCTCCCGAGTAGCTGGGACTACATGTGCCCACCACCACGCCTGGCTAATTTTTTTTTTTTTTTTTTGGTATTTTTAATAGAGATGGGGTTTCACCGCATTAGCCAGGATGGTCTCAATCTCCTGACCTCATGATCTTCCCGCCTCAGTCTCCCAAAGTGCTGGGATTACAGGCGTGAGCCACCACACCCAACCTCTATTCTTGTTTTTCCCATTTCTCCGAAAGGTAGGAGGCATTTTCTAAGGGTCCCAAGGTACAAATCAGATTTACATAAACAGTGTAGCAGGATTCAGATGAGTTGTTTTGTGAACTAATATGAGGAAGGACTTTTCACATTTTCCTTTGCATAAATCCATGAAAGTAAAAGCAACATCAATTATAAAGAATTTGAAACTTCTTCCAAAGCCCTATTGATAAGCACCTAAATCAACTTGTTAAGTGAACCTATTTTTAAAGAACAAAAATAAGAGTGGCAGAAAATGTCTGGAAGATTTCCTACCAAAGTTTGAAGAGTAGCTACCTCAGGAGCAGAGAAAGAGAAGAGAAAGAACAGTCTTTGAACTGAACTGTAGATGTGCTTCAACTTTCCACGTGCTACAAAATCTTCTCTCTCTCTAGGAGGATAGTCAGAAGGCCATCATTTCCACAGAGCTTGGAGTAACAGATTTTCTGAAATGGGTTTTTTAGCTACAGATTTTTAGATGTTTTCCAAAGAGGCTATTTCCATAAGTAACCTTCCATGCAAACAACTTTTCATTTCCATCAGACCTGAGTTAATATCACTCTTCCTTCTCCTGGCCATTAAAATTCAGGAATGGAGCTTGTTCTCTTGGATGTGCACTGCTTGGATGAAAATGAAACGTTTCATGTTGGAATAAGCTTGGGAGTTCTTATCCCTCTTGTCATGGCTCTGGAGAAAGCTCTGACAGAAGAGGCTGGGGAGAAACATGGATAAGTACTTGGATACTTAAAAATTCAAGTACAAGTGCCTGGTAAAATGCTGCTTTTAATGTTAAGGCCAGAGATGGGTCAACATTTTCACAGCAGTCTTCTCTTAAGGTAAAAAAGTCACCCGGTGATTTCTAGGTCATAAAATCCAAAGGCTTTGACCTGTTTCTTCTTTCTGGCCTCTTTGCAGCAATTGATGCTGTTGGACTCTGACACTGAAATCCTCAACTCTTGGCTTTAGATATACTCCTGTTCCTGGCTCTCCTTATGCCTTCTTTATTGTCTCCTTTCTTGCTTCTTTACTTGTCTTTCTTCTTTTTCCTGAATGGGGGATCCCCTGGGTTCTGTCTCAAGTTTTCTCTTCTGTCTTTATACTCTTTCCCTTTCCCCACCATTCTCTAATCTGACAGCTTCTATGGTCATTCTATGTGAACTGTCACAGTGAGAACCATCATTTACAGAGAGGATCTCTGCACTCTATGAGGCACTTTCTACACATCATCTCACTGAGTGCACAACCCTCCTGTGGGCAATGCAGCAGTTCCTCCCTTTAGATGAGGAGGCAGAAGCTCAGGCAGGTTTCAAGACTCATCCATGAAATCCAAGACCACCCAGCAGATAAGAGACAGAGCACTGGTTTGATACTCCTGGCTCCAAGGCTCAAGCTGTTGCCCCAACACTGCTCCTCCTACCCATGACTCCTGGCCTCCAGTCTCACCTCAAAATCAACAAGAATTCTTCTCTGACCAGCTTGCCTCCCTAACAAAGATACCTTCTGAAATGACCCACCGCCTTTCTCCCAATGACCAGGCACACACTGGCTGGCATCTCAGGCTCATCTTGCTCTCTTTGACTTCCCCTGCTCCTCACATATCCTCACCCCTAATCTCATCTGCTGCCAAATTCCATCTTTAACTTCCTTTCTCCTCTCCAAACCAGCCTGCACACTGCTGCCTGCCTTTTTGCCTAGGTCACATTATTCCCTTAGTTATAACCTTTAGAGGTTTCCCCTCGTTGATGAAATAACATCCAAATGCCTCTACCTTTTTTATTCAAAGTTCCAATCTACAGTTCCTGTCAGATCTCTCAGAGTTTCCCTATAAGTGGACCATGTGCCAGTGAAACTGGGCAACTCACGATCCCCTGAGTGTCCAAGTGTCTCATGTTTATGCTTTTATTCAGGCTACTCCCTCTTATAGACAGACACTCCCCATCTACAGAAATCCTCCTCTCTCGGGCATATTGCCACCCCACCCCCCATCAATTCCTTTCACCTGCTCTCATTGGATGCCACTCTCCATCTTGAAGCCTTCGCAGGTTTTCATTTGGACTTCTCTTGTAGAACCTGGCATATTCTACTTTGGGTTTGTTATTCCCCCCTTCCTCTTACTAAGCTCTATGTTCCTTGGCAGAGGGGAAATATATCATACTCTTTAGTGTATAGTATACCCAAACATCTATTCATCCAAGGCATATAACAGGAGTCTAATAAATGTATATTGATGAAACTTACTCAAACTTTGAAAAAAGACAGCAATGTGAGGTCCCATTTTAAATATAATGTTTTACATGTTTTTACCCTCAGCAAGCAGAAACAAAATGTTTTTCACAAGTGAGATCAAGAAAGTATAAATGATGACCATGAATATATATCCTTAAAATGATTACCTTTTTCCTCTGATTTAAAAGGAGGAGGAGGCAGAAAGGCAAAAGTGGAGAAGACAAACAATGTTAGGTTCTGTCCATTGTCCAATGAAGAATGCAGAGAAAACAACTTAGAGTAGAATGCAAGTCATTAATAACAAAGCATGAAAAATGCTGAAATATATAAATCCAATTTACATGTAGCTCTTTTGTGACATGTAAATATTGACAGGTAAGGTAAACTATGACTATATGAACTTATAATTATTAATATGTTATCCTCCAAAAATGTTCTTTGGTTGCTCCCTAACTACAGTCTCTTCCTAAGCAGATGATAAGTTTGCTGACATTTCAGCATTGGTGCAAATATTGGTGCTTATTAAGTGTTTTCCTTAGGACCAAGTAGCAAGGAGGATCATGAGTCATCTAAGGCCTCTTTCTCAAATGGTGAACACAATTTTGTCAGATTTTTTTGGGGGGTGGGGGGAATATCCAATCTATAGCTATATTTAATTATAAAAATGCAAACATTTATATCAGATGTAACGATACTCACTAAATGTGTACACATATACACTGAAGTTGTAACTTTAATTTCCCTTTCGGGCCAATTTGTTTTAATTTTCTATGAGACAGAAGAAACTTCAAATCATGGACAACCACATCCTCTGTCCTAATCTTGCTGAGGAGTTATAAGCAACTAGATGTGGCAGGATCAGTGCAAATTCATCAGCAACATTGGTAAATCAATCCGAAGTATGTGTTGATGGAAAATCAGTGCTCTCCCATTAGGACTGAACATCATACTATCCCCAAACACAATTCAATTTCTTAAACTCTTGATTTTTGAAATTCAAGGGATTCCTTAAGGTATGAATCTTCTGTTCATATTTAACAATGGGAAAGTTCCAGATTTCAGGAAGTGGGACATCAGCAATGATAAAAGGTATGATGTCAGAAGGTGATGAACATAACTGAGATGGTGCTAGTCATTGCAAAGAGAATCCAGGAAATATCATCTGTGCACTGGAGACTCAAATTTGGTTTGAATAACCAAGGAGTCTACTGGGAACCAATGACTTAGTCAGTGTAGATGTTCTTCAGTGATTGACAGGCCTATTTAAATGTTAACAAAAAATGATTGCTACAATCTTCATATTTTGGGAGGATGGTAGGGTAGAGAAGATGAAAGCCTAAAAGATACAATATAGTCACAAATTAAAACCTTCTGGTCACTCACCACAATCATTTGAGCCACATAACTTTCAGGTCCAGTGTATTCTGTTGGGTCTTTAACTTTCACCAGGACTATGAAGTACAAATAATGCCACATATTGTGTTCTGACTTAATGTGCTCCTCAAATGAAACCGTTTTATTATCAAACTTGTCTCTCTCAAGTCCTGAAAAACACAGGCAACACAATATATGTAATTCGTCATTTAATCAGTACTTGCTTCTTAGCATAAAAACAAAACACAATAATTATTGTGAAAAAAATGCTTTCAGTAAGAGTGTGCCAATTTAAAATGCTATGATTAAAAACAACACAGTACACAAGACCTCCAGAAAAGAGGCCATCGTTTATAGATTTTTTCCCAACTAACATTTATTTTTCCCCATGGATCCTTGGAAATGCACAGTCCTGTAATAGATGAAAAAGTTGCAGATAATTTTAAATACAGCCATATCAAAATTTTCAAATTAAACTGTACCACAAGTCTGAGAAAAAGAGGTAAAAATGATCATGCAGGAAAAGGTATGCTTGCTAATCAGGACAGAAAAAAAAAATGTCATTTTACCCAGAAACTTGGATTAAAAGAGGGAAAGAATTGAGACAGTCATCTGTTCAAAACCACTTGGAATCAGTGAAAGGAACACAAAGAAGATGGCCGTCCACACGCTGAGGACAGCAAGTGCTCAGACTATGCCAGCCCTCTAGGGTACCGTGTTCCAGGCATTTTGGGCAGGGGGTGATCTGTTCCATTTCCAGGGCACATTTTTAAGCCTTTGGAAGTACAGTAAAGAAAGCACCTAGATAATAAAATTCTTTTCTCTCAAAGTTAGAGAATAGATGAAAAGAAATGAATAGAGATGAAGAAAAACATCTATGGAAACATGAATTTGAGTGCCAAGTGAAGTGGGATGTTGGGATTCAGTTAGGTTGTTACAGCTCAGATACTGAAGAAGAAACCAGGAAACTGAAATCCAACCCTGGCTATTCTTTCTCTAAGCATTTTTTGTAAGTTCACTCAGGGATGTAGAAGACCCTTTTATTTATTTATTTTTTTGAGACAGAGTCTCACTCTGTTTCCCAGGCTGGAGTGCAGTGGCTCAATGCAGACTCAACCTCCCAGGTTCAATTGATCCTCCTACTTCAGCCTCCTAAGTACCTGGGACTACAGGCATGCACCACCATGCCCGGCTAATTTTTGTATCTTTTTTTTTTTCTCTGTAGAGATGGAGCTTCACAATGTTGCCCAGCCTGAAGACCTTTTTTAAATAATAAGATATAAAGCACAATAAGTAAAAAATCTGTCCCCATTGAAGGGGTGACTTTTTACTTACATTATTGGATATCTGTATGGAAAATACTATAAGATTCTGCTGGCTGATGGCTAGGCCTCATCTTATTTGACCTATAATCAGCTCAGCATGCCCAAATAAACTACAATTTTCTTCCCTAAACCTGCTTCACCCACAGTCCTCCCCTTTTATTCGATGGCAGCTCTGTTCTAGTTGTTCAAGCCAAAAGCCTGGACGTCATTCTTGAATCCTCTCCGCCTCTCACACAGCACATCCAATCCATGTTGAAATGCTTTTGGCTCTACCTTCAAAACATATCCAGAATCTGACCACTTCTCACCCGCTCTGCTGCTACACTCTGGTCTGGGCCATTGTCATCCCTCATGTGGATTACTGCAATAGACTCCCAGGCCCCCCTGTTTCCATCTTTACTCTCCACAGCCCATTCTCAACACAGCAGCCAGAGCAATCCTTTAAAAACCTAAGAGAAATGGTGTCTCTCTTCTGTTGTAAACCCAACAATGGCTCCTCCACCTCCTCAAGATAAAGGTCAAAGTCCTTACAAGGACCTACAAGTAGAGTTGCTAGATAAGCAACAGCATGGTCAGTTATGTTTGAATTTCAGATAAATAATAAATAATTCTTTAGTATGAGTCCCATGCAATATGTATTTGCTAAATCCTATGTGACTTGGCCTCACAGCCACACTAACCTTACCTCTCACTGTTCTCTCCCTTGCTACCTCCCATGCAACCACACTGGCCTCTTTGCTTTTTTTTTTTTTTGGAACACAGGGCCTTTGGACTTCAGGACCTTTGGAACGGTTGTTTCCTCTGGTTACAAAACTCTTCTCACTGACATCTCTTTAAGTAACTCATTCACCTTCAAATTTTTGCTGAAATCTCACCATCTCAATGTGGTTTAACCTGATCATCCTGTTTAAAAATATAACCCTTCTGCTGACCTTCTTGATCACCTTTTCCCTTTTCCTCTCTTTTTCTTATAGTGCTTACCACCTCCTTATAGACTGAATATAGCCAAATCGAAGTTATTAAATTAAATTGGATTATATCTCTAAGATAAAGAGGTAAAATGATTGTGTAAGAAAAAGCCTGTCTGATACTCAGCAAAGGAGAAAGAAATGTTATTTCATCCAGCAACTTGGATAAAAATTTATTACATTTATTATGTATTGTGTTTGTCCTCCCACTAGAGTATAAGAGCCACCTGGGCAGATATATTTCTTTTCTTCACCAACGGTCCCAAAAGCTCGGAATGATATTTGGCACATAGTTGGCACTCAATTAAATACTGATTGATTGAATTAATAATATTTCACTACTAAAATATTGTTCCACTAGAATGCCTATAACCAAAACCAGATAATAATAAGTGTTGGTGAAGATGTAGAGAAATTAGAATCCTCATGCACTGCTAACAGAAATGTAAAATGGTGCAGCAGCTACTTTGGAAAACAGTTTGGCAATTCCTCAAATGGTTAAACAGAGAGTTACCATATAACTAAGCATAACCCACTCCTGGGTATATATTCAAGAGAACTGAAAATGTATGTTCACATAAAAACTTGTACATGTTCATAGCAGCATTATTCATAATAGCTAAAAGTGGAAACAACCCCAATGTCAATTAATTGATGAAAGGATAAAATATGGTATATCCATATGACAGGATAATTTTTTACAATAAAAAGGAACGAAGTACTGATACCTGCTACAACATGAACCTTTAAAACATCCTACTAAGTGAAAGAAGCTAGGTGCAAAAGCCCACATATTATGATCCCATTTATATAAAATGTCCAATATAGGCAAATCCACAGAGGCAAAAAGTAGAGCCGAGGCAGAGATGGAAGGTTAGGGATCAGATGATGGCTAAAGGGTATGGGGTTTCTTTCTGGGACAATGAAAATGTTCTAAAATCAATTATGGTGATGGATGCACAACTCTGAATATACTAAAAACCACTGAATTGTACATATTAAATGGGTGAATTATATGATGTGTGAATTATATCTCAATAGAGCTATTAACAACAACAACAACAAAACACTAAAAAACAAAAGAGAGAAAAACAAACTAAACAAAACAAACAAAAGAGAGAAAATGTTAAAGTAGATTTTCCCAGAATTCAATTCAAACATCTACCAGTTGCAAGGTAATGGGGCTATAAAAATTAGGTTCTTACTATCAATTAATCTGTAATACGGTAGAGGAAACAGGCACGTTGCGTTATATTCTGAAGAGGTATAAACTGCCAAGGGAGCATAAAGAAGGGCAAAATGAACTCTGATGAGGGTCATTTTAAAAGGTTTCCAAGAGGTGCAAAGCTTGAAAAATCCAGCCTCAGTACATGATTATGGTAAGTGGAGAAGAAGTGAATGGTAATAAAAGGTACTTAATTTTTATTGAGCATCTATTGATGCTGACAACTATAAAGATGTCTAAATATGCTATTATAATTACAATAATCCAATCTGACCTTTTAGCATGTGAGGAAATAGATTCAGAATGATTCAATAAATTGCTCAAGTTAATATCCCTATTTAGCGGAAGAGTCAATTAGTATTTAAATAAAAATATTTCTGACTCTAAAGCCCATGTTCTTTTGCCATCTGGGCAGGAAAAATGGCATGGAAAAGCCAGAGATGAAGGTACATGACCTGTTTAGGGAATGTCAGTTACTCTGGTGTGGCAGAAAGGGAACATTTGGAGATGCAGATGAAATGGTACATCTGGCAGAAACAACGGCAAGCTTTAAACTCAAAGCTAAGGCATCTGTATTTTATTCTGAAAGCTTCTTCTTCTTCTTCTTCTTTTCCTTTTTTTTTTTTTTTTTTTTTTTTTTTTGACAGAGTCTTGCTCTGTCACCCAGGCTGGAGCGCAGTGGTGCGATCTCAGCTCACTGCAACCTCGACCTTCCAGGTTTAAGCGATTCTCCTGCCTCAGCCTCCCGAGTAGCTGGGGTTACAGGAATGTGCCACCACGCCCAATTAATTTTTGTATTTTTAGTAGAGATGGGGTTTCACCATGTTGGCCAGGCTGGTCTTAAACTCCTGACTTCAGCTTATATGCTCGCCTCGGCCTCCCAAAGTTGCTGAGATTACAGGCATGAGCCACCGTGCCCGGCCTATTCTGAAAGCTTCTGAGTAGAAACTAGTGTATTCAGAGCTATACTTCAAGTCGTTCCTGTGGCAGGATTCAGGGGAAGATTGGGATAAGAGACTAAGGATGCAAGACCCAGGCACCAGGGCAGTGGAGGGGGAAATGTAAAAGAGGGAAACTGGTTGTCTTTCATCTTCGTAAGTTCTTGCTCTCTAAGCTTCATCATCCATTCTCACGGTTTTACCATCATCTTGCTGATGTTTTCTCAATCTTTATCCCCAGTACTGACCTTTCTTCTCAATTTCCACTCCTTTTTCCAGCTGCCTGCTGTATATATCCACCTGGATAGCTTGTGGGGATGTCAAACTTAACTCGTCAAAAATGTGTTTCTTGAGCCCTCTTCTTCGTCTCTGTTAATGAAGTCCTTGTTGACCAGGGAACTTGAAGTCATTCTTAGACTCATGCACTGACATTCCACTCAGCACAGTTCTTGTAGTCATGCTGACTTTCTCATCATTCGCCAAATACACCAAGACACCTTCATCTACTCTCTTTTCTGCCTTCCAAGTATTCCTTCTTCAAGCTTCCCCACTTCCACCACCGACTCCCACAGACACAACCAGCTGTTTGATCTTCTGGGCCCACAACACTTCACTATGAAAATGTGCCTGTTTCCATCTTAGCCTCTACCATTTTACTGTCTGACTCATTTTTGCATTACCAGCACCTGGCAGTGTCTGGAGAACAGTAGGCATGCAACTAAATTTGACAGAATAATTAAATAAATGAATAAGAGAGACTGAAGAGGCATTTTGGAATGAAAACTTGAACGGGCTTGATGTCCAATTAGAGATATAGATTTAGAAGAAGGAGAAATCAGTAATGACTCTGAATTTTCTGACTTGAATAACTTGAGTTTATGATACTTGAATGACTGAGTTTATGATAATATCGCCACAGCAAGATACCCTATCCTTAGAATAGGAATTCTGACCTATCATCAAATCCTTTCTCCATTCTGTTGTTTTGTCACACCTGGTCTTTCGACATCTCTTTCTTACTGGATCTTCAGCCTCTAGTAACTCAATGTTCATAATTAATATGGATGCAAGAGCTAATCTGTGTCTCTGCTTCCTGCTCAGCTCTGTCATCTGCTAATCCTCACCCTCCAGGGCCACCTTCTGGATCACTAGCTATTGTTTTCTGAGTCATGTTTCACTTCCAAACATCTGGACATTGTCTTCAAGGCTGGGAAAGTTCCAACTAGGTCCATTGCCTGTCACAGAATCTACATCCTCTTGTCCTACTCTGGGTGTCCCTTGGCACACACCTGGAGCCAGTTCTCTCTTACTATGGAGATTCTCTCCTTTGTTATTTGGTACTATGTCCTTCTTTGGATCACAACTTCACATCCAACTTTACCAGGAACCATGTCTAGACCAGTCACTATTTTATAGCCTACTAGCACAACCCCCAAATATCCCAACCATTTAAATCATTCTTGTAACTAAGTTCTCCTAACATATATGAGATGAATTATATCATTTGTGTGGTTGGAGCTTCTGGGAATGAATGCATATCTAGATATACATTATCATAATGCTTCTTATGTGTTTCTGCTCAAGGTCCTTTAAGGGAAGGGAGCAGAAAATGTATACCTTTCTGTTACTGAGGTTACAGAAAGTAGCAGCAAAAAGTACCTGAAGCCAATTATTCATTTTTTAAAAAAGTTTCTATTTTATTTTAAATATTCACGCTGAATTTGTTCTATTTTACAATATTCTATTTGTTCTAATATAAAAATACTATTTAAATTTACACTTAGTTTAAATTACTTAAGTGTTTCCTCAGATTTCTGAATAAACATGAAGCTTCTAGAAAACAGACAATATTGATCTTACATCTCTTTGTGCATCCTGCAATGTCACCCTACATTCCTGTGGGCAGCACTCCACAGAAACAATACCCTGCATGTAACAAAATCTGGAGCAACCTGGAATCAGCACACCTGTTGTCTGCAGTATATACAATCTCAATATTTTATCTGCCTTTTGTAGATTATAAGTCAGACAAGTATAGAGACAATATCAGCCTGAGGCTGACTTATTGGATAGTCATTCATTAAGCAAATATTTATGGATATTCACCAATGCACATTATGAAAGCAAAAAAAAATGGATAAGACATGGATCTGGTTCTCTTAAAGAAGAGAAATTAACATGTGTTGAGGGCAGACCCTCAGTTAAGCCTCGTGCTAGAGATTTTGATATACATGATCTCATTTATACTCATCACAACACCAAACCGTGGCATTATATTCCTCATTTTCCAGGTGAGGGAACAATAGCTCAGGATGATTAGAAACTTGGCCAAGATCACATAGCAAGGATGCAGAACCAGTGTAGACCTATGACTACTTGTCTATAAAGTTCATGCATTTTCTTTGATATGAGAATGCATGGCATCCAGCAGAGGTGATCAGACAACAGAAATATGTACAGTGCTATATAGCTAAGTGTGATGTGAGGAATTTAGGGTCCGATGTGTGAGATCGGAGAAGACTTCTAGAACAATGGCATTAGAGCTGGGCCTCAGAGAGAGGGCAGGAGTTCAACAGCGTAGGAATTGGGGCATTCCAAATGAAATTGTTCTCCCACAACTAAGAATACATGGAGAGTCTGGGAAGTTAAAGGTAAGTAATGTAGTTGCCCTGGAACTTGAGCTATAAATGGGAGAACAACAGGGGAGAAGGTAGGCAAAAAAAGAAGGGGCCAGATTGTGGGGGTAGCTTAGATGCCAGGAAAATTCAAGTTACAGAGTTATAGACTGTGCAATGTTATTGATGGCTTTTTGAGTAAGGAAATGATTAATTCAGAGTGGAAAAATTAGTCTGGCAACACCGAGCAGACCATTTGGGGTTGTGAGCCCGGGTTAGCCTGAAAAACTAAGATGTGGCTGTGGGAATGTGTGGAAGGATGTGGGTGAGATTGTGAAGGTGGGTTCATTAGCGCATGGTAGCTAGGGCACCTGGAAGAGAAAAAAGGAGATGCTAAACATGATGGTGTGGTTCCCTCAGATAACTGAAGGCACTGTGGGATATTACTAATAGCAATATGGATGTCAGGAAAAAGAGCTAGGCTAGAGGAGGGAGACAGAAAGGGATGATGGACTGGCTTCAGACATGGCCGGTTTGGCTGCCGGGAAGACATGCCTGTCTAACTGTCCAGTGAGTGACTGAAAACAGAGGGGAAAGCCTGGGGAAAGGTTGGAGCTGAGCATGCATACTTGGCAATAATCTACATAAAAGTGATGTCAAAGAGGAGGACAGAGAGGAGACAAGGAGTCAAGGGCAAAATCAAAACCTTCTATTAAGGGGTTTTGGGAGACGGAATAGGACCCTGTGACCCAGAGAAAGCAAGCAGAGGGAGAATAAAAGGTCAGCGGGAAGTTAACAGTGAGATTCAAGAACACTTCAATTTGTTGATGACAGTTATTGTGATGTTTAAAGGAATTTATAGGTGACTGGCTTTTTAATAACTGTGAAAAGCCAAAGAGAATTCTGACCGAGAAGGGAAAGCTTAGAGGAGCAGGAATCTTGGGTAAGCAATGGGCTTACGTTGCTGTTCATGTTTTTGGTTAAAATATAGGAGACAATATCATGTCTTAGAATGAGGCTTCCAGCCTCTGGTCCATTCTTCCAAAGAGCATCTCTTTCAGAGGTAGTGTACCAACATGATGATGATTATGACCGTGAAAAAAAGGGCATGGAGGAAGAAGCAGTGCAAAAGAAAGACCACGAGATACACAGAGAGGTTTCTGAGGGCAGCATCATTCTCCTGTATGGGACTCACCCTTCTAAACAACAGCTTGGCCCCATAACGCTATACCCTTCCACCAGGATCTGTTCTCAGGCTTGGTTATGCTTGAATGAGAACCTGTCACTTTGTCATTTTAGAATAGGATAGCTGAGTGGACTTTTGAGTTAGGTAGTCCTCCGCTCAAATCTTGGCTCTTCTGCTTACTAACTGGATGTTGACGGGAGCCAAGTCTCTGTTTCCATGTTTGTAAAGGAGTGGTAATATACATCATACATAGTATTCATTTTTTAAGAATAAAATGAAAAGAAATACCTAAGTGAAAAGCCAGACATGTAGTAAGTATTCAATAAATAATCATTTAAAAATTTTTTTATGATAAGGCTGAAAGAGGACAGAGCTCCAGGTGAGGTGACCCAAGGGAAGAAAGAATCATCCTTGGAAAGCCTGAAGGATCTGCTGAGAAGAAAAGAAAGGAGACACACATACATCTATTGTGAAGAAATGGAGGTGGTGATAGCTGTCACATAAAGAGAAAAATAGAAAAAAAAATACAGGGTGTGGGTTATTTTTCTATAAAGGTAGGAGGAGGTATATTTATCTTCCAAGGTTGATGGAGTGTCCTCTCAGCCTCTTCCTGATCTCTCTCAGTTTCCTTCTAGCAAATCTCTACTCAGCACTGCACAATCCACTCTACCTAAATTCACCAAAGCCTCCTAAATGAGAAACCAGTAGGCTTTTTAGGTCATGTTACTGGCCTTCTCTGCTTGGGCAGAGTTGATAACGAATTCATTTCTTTCCAAAGCTGTTTTCTCCCCTCTCTTCCACAGGCCACCCCTTCCTGCTTCTCCTCACACCATTCTGACTTGGTACTCTGAGTTGTTGGTGTGTGCTCCTCTTTCTCTCCTAAGTCTTCAAAGCTGGGGCTTTCCACTTGTAGTCTCTCTGCTTCTCTTCTCACTCGGACACCCTCCTCCACACTCCAGATTTCACTATCACACATAGGCTGAGGATTCCCCAGTTATAGTCTCCAGCGAAGACTCAATCTCTGAGGCTCAGACTCATGAATTGATCTGTGCTGTATCCCACTGGGGTGGGTCAGTACACACTCAATTTCAGGATTCTCAAAGTTAAACTCAGCATATTCCTACCTAAATTGTTTTTTTCATCTATTCTCAAGCTCAATCACTTGTTAGTATTACCATCCACTTGGGCATCCCAGCTATCTTTCATATCCTTTCCTAAGCATCAAGATTTAAAGATTTTATCTCCTAAATATTTCTTGACTCTGCCTTCTATCCTTAATACTGCCACCACTAACTCTCCTGCTTTCATTACCTTTCACTTGGACTGTGGTAATGACCTCCTACCTGATGACTCTGCTTCTGGTACTGTTTCCTGATGAATGACCTCCCAAAGCTGCCATGGTGCTCTAAAGCAAAAAAAAAAAATAGACCCTGCAGTGTTCTACTTAAAATTCTTTAATGGTTCATCTTCCACTGTAAGTCCAGATGATAAAGTCCAAACTGCCTAATATAAAAGGCCATGCGTGGTCTGGCCAACCTCATCTCTTAGCACGCCCTGCTCTGAACTTTACGTCAGCAACACTGAGCTGCTTTAGAGTAAGTGAAGACCCTTGTACTGTTCTTCCACCTCCATGACTTTGCTTATCCTGGCCTTTCTGCTTGTACTCACTTTGATCTGGCAACCTCTCCCTTTCATCTTTTACCACCAGCTCAGTCACCATCTCTTCTAAAGGCTTTCCTGACTCTTCTTTCTCACTCCCTACCCCATGCTGGAGAGGTATCCCTCCTCTGGGTACCTGCAGCTTCCTGTAAACTTCTCTACCATTTCCTTCAATGCATGAGATATCAAGGCTATTTATTGTGTTTGTATCCCAAAATAGATCGTGAACACCCCAAAACAGGGAATGACTGCTTTCTATTTGTTTCCACTGAATATAGCATAATATTACACATTATTACCTGATACACCTACAACTGTTGGAGGAAGGTAGAAAAGGTTTGGAGAGACATTGAGGTGAACGAAACACTCAACAAAAGTTGAAGCAAGGAGAGAATGAAATGTATTGAGGACCCAATTTGTTACATACAGTAACGTTGTAGTGAACCCTTAGGCTTGTTTTGTGACTATCACCAAAAGATTTTTTTCAGCCTAATGTGGCAACAAGGAGGGTGAATGAAACCTAGAGTGGGTGATCACCCAAAGAAGAGGATAGATTCTAGGGTGCCGAGAGACCAGCTACAAAGACAACTGAAGCCAGAAAGAGGTGATGGGTACAGAGAAGAGGGCAGAGCTGAGGGGGATGATGAGGGCAATGAGAAGGAAGGAGAAGGCTGTGTGCACTAGGAGAGATGATGACAGGAGAAGGGGAGGGGAGTGGTGTGTGTGTGTGTGTGTGTGTGTGTGTGTGTGTGTGTGTAAGAGAGACAGAGAGAGAGAGAGAAATTAAAAACTGAGAGAAGGGCCGGGTGCGGTGGCTTACACCTGCAATCCCAGCACTTTGGGAGGCCAAGGCGGGTGGATCACCTGAGGTCAGGAGTTCGAGACCAGCCTGGCCAACATGGCAAAACCCCGGCTCTACTGAAAATACAAAAATTAGCCAGGTGTGGTGGTACATGCCTGCAGTCCCAGCTACTAGGGAGGCTGAGGTAGAAGAATCACTTGAACCCGGGAGGCAGAGGTTGCACTGAGCTGAGATCGTGCCACTGCACTCCAGCCTGGGTAACAGAGCGAGACTCCATCTCAAAATAACAAACAAACAAACAGAGAGAAGGCTCAGTTCAGAATCCAAAACATAGTGATGTCAGTGAGTAGAAGTTCAAGATGCTGAAAAATCATATTTGGATTCATATTCTAACAAAATTAAATGTGATTCTGTTGCATAATAAATATGTTACTGTGATTAAAAATCTGTTTGCCAGTTGGTGAAACCTTTTGGCATTTTGCATCACATTTCTATAGTCAGAGAATCATGTAAATCACAGAAATAATGACAGGATAGCTTTGGGGTATAATTCCTCTCTCTATTTATAGAAGCAGAGAATTCCAGTCTAATGCTCAGTTACATAATCTGAATTTTATCCAACCTTCATTTTGAAATAATTTTTCCGAAAGCATGAAAAATAAAAATCCCTCTAGCCCCTCTTTCCTGCAAACAGTCTATTCATCTATTATTTTAGCATCTGCCGAACACTTACCACAGATGAAACAAGTTGTCTTTAGAATTTCTTCTTTTTTCTGTTTTTCGCTTCTGAGATCAGCAAAAGTATCGATGATAACACCAAAAATCAAGTTCAGAACAATAATGATAACAATGAAATAAAAAAGAAGGTCATAAACCACTCGGGCAGCAAACAAGGGCTCCTGAAATAAAAATATTTAAAAAAATCACACTAGGCATAGTGATTGAGCACACTGTCTAGCATAGAGAGTATATTCAATAAATGTTTGTGAAATGAATATAAATAGTATCCCAAGTTGGAAAAATAAGGCTCACTTTCCATCTCTACTTTAAGTGTTGTAAGAAAAACTTCCTAGCCTATTTCCAGAACCACTTACATTTCTCTAGGACTGACACATGTCTTTCCCACAATGGTGGGACTTCACTTTCTTTAGAAAGGACTTTATTATGCCATTCTGCTAAATGCATTTTGGCACAGTGGTCTCCTATCCCAGACATTACAGAAAAGGTAGTTAAATGTCAATTCCAAAAGTCAGTGATTGGGGAGCTAAGGAGGACCTAATGACTTGTCAATTTCTGGAGTAGGCTTTATTCTTGGCCATACAGGGTCAAGTATATATAGCTCCTTCTTATTTCTTCCTGATGAACAGTGTTAAAATGCAAATTAGAGACCAGGCAATCCAGTTTTTTAACAGAAGAGGAACCTGAGGTTAAGAGGTTAGATGATTTGACAATATGATACAACTGGCCGGAGCAGAGCTAAGATTCTTCAAGCTCCCAGCCTGGCACTTGAGATTTTGCAGCTAGTGAGAAATGTTTCCACTTTGCCATTTTAATATATGAAATCCTGTTAGAATTTGCTCAAATGTTATATTTATCATAGATAAATGATGGAGGCTATTCCTATGCAGAAGCAAAGAGTAAATCTTCATGCTCAAGAAACCTGATAGGCAAGAGGCAACCTCGTTTATGTTATTTGTGTAACAATCAACTCCTATATAAAGTTCGCAGTCATGATTTCATTGCTGTAATACAATACACAGATTAACTTGGAAACATTTCACCACTCTACGAACACACAAAGAGTTGTAGTACATTAGCTATGTAATCCTAGCAAACAATTAATTGGCTTTAACAGCCATGGTTATACTTTTAAAGCAAATGGTACAATATATTTTCCTGAAAACCAAAACTAAATTATAAATGCTGTGAAGAAAGGTTTAAAAAAAAGATGTGCTCCTTGAAAAAATACTTTTACTCTGGCTTACATCTTTCGATGGCCTTCTTAGCACATCCCCCACACCACCGCCATTCCTGAGGCCCTGGTTCAGCACGGTGACAATGCACATAAGGAGAGTGTCACACGTCCTTTCAATTCCATCTTCATACTCTTCATCAGCTATAAAAACACATACAAATATATGATATAAAATTATGTAAAAATATATAAAATAAAATACACATAAAATGAAATATACATACAATAAATATACATACATATACATAAGTATGTAAATTTATACACATATGTAAATATACATACAATAAATAAATATACCTAAATATACATAAAATAAAAGATACATACAAATGTATATGAATATAATATTAAAAAGTGTAGCAAACTTACGTTTTAAAAAAATACCATTACCTCCTTCCAAAGGGCTATTTCTAATTGTGCCGTGACACAACTTTTGGAAGTCACACAGCATCTGTTCCATATGTGGCAGCACATGACTGACACATAATGATGAAGCCACATATGTAATGTCCTCAAATATTTTGTTTCTTCTATAGGTAGAAAATAACAGGACAAAAAGCACAAAACATAAGGCTCACATTCGTTGTGCTTGTTATGGTAGGAAGAGATTGTGGCAAAACCTGGAAACACAGCCACGTTACCCAGGAGGCAAAAGGACTGCAGGGGAGAGAGCGTGAACAAGGAAGCTTGCCTGGCTTCCAATTCTGCTCCGTTCCCACACTGGGACTCAGGCAAGTTGCTGAACCTTAGGATCCTCATCTGTAAAATGGGGAGGGCCGTTTGGGGGTTACACTCTTCAGAGGGTTGTTTAAGAATTACCTTTAGCCGTCCTGGGGCAGTAGCTAATGCCTGTAATCCCAGCACTTTGGGAAGCCGAGGCGGGTGGATCACTTGAGGTCAGGAGTTTGAGACCAGCCTGGCCAACATGGAGAAACCCTATCTCTACTAAAAATCAAAAATTAGCCAGGCATGGTGGTGTGTGCCTGTAATCCTAGCTACTAGGGAAGCTGAGGCAGGAGAATCACTTGAACTCAGGAGGTAGAGATTGCAGTGAGCCAAGATCACACCACTGCATTCCAGCCTGGGTAACAGAGCAAGACTCTGTCTTTAAAAAAAAAAAATACATTTAGGGTATGTAAAATATTATACTTTGCACAGAGATTGGCATACACACAATAGTTGCTTAAAAATTGGGGCAGATATTATTTCATTACTGCGGTTAAGTGTCTAAGCTTTCTCGAGGACCAACCTGGAGCTCTTGATAAGAAGCACAATGTATTTATGTGAAAAATTCTATTTAGGGATAAAGGAGGAAAGAGAAAAAGACATAATGTGACAGAAAAATTCCTATTCTTATTTTGTTTAAAGGTATTGGGATCCAACTTGAAACATAATTTCTTAGCCATTTAAAGTAGTGAAAAATTAATACTAAGTTGGATATTAGAATCAGAAATTCCTAACACTGGCAAATGACCAGAAATGTATTTTTCTCACTACAAGGTTAAAGAACCACAGGGGTGATAAATTTTGGGATTATGCAGCCACAATATGCCCGTCAAGGCATGCGTATAAAAACAAGAAGAACAATTCAGTCCAACTTTATCTACGTGCTTCATGCCTACAGTGCCTTTGATACTTCGTTAAGAAAAGGCTAATTTTCCTCTTCTGAGCCGACTTTATTTTAACATTCTATGGATAAGGGATCCTGATATTTTTACTTTCTTTGGAGCTGTTTCCTTTTAAAACATGCTGGGATACACCTTGAGAGGAGGGCTGAAGTCAGAGATGAAGGTGCAAGTGCAAAATGCAGCATCAAAGACATTGGCAGAATCTGTGCTTGGTCACTTACCTTAGCGCTGAGTCCAAGGCACATTCTGATTTAAAAAGTAGGAGAACTAGAACTCCTTTGGAGGAAGGAGAAATAGGGAAGAGGTAGGGCCTGTGGTGAGAGCAATCAGAGCAGCAGTGCAGACAAGGAAGCCAGACCAAGGGTGGGGGAAGCTCAGTCTGGAATGTGCTAGTGAGGTCCCCCCATACATGGCAGTAGATGCCAACATGATGGCTGAGAAGAATATGAGGAAAAACAGTCAGAAATGTGTAAGAGAGCAAAAGGGGCTTTTAAGGGGAAAAATCATTTTCCAATAATCAGGTCATGTGGAGCATGTCTACATGCTACTTTGCCACAACTGGACTTCCCATCACTACCGTCTATCTAGCGTCACGATCTGCATTCATTTATTCATTCAGGAACTACCTGGTCATGTCACAGGTGTTTGTTAAAGGCTTAGTAAATGCTGATTAATCAGCACATAAACGCTACAGGAGAGGGCTTCTACCTCTCTCCGAGAATTTAGAAATAAGATTGTTTGTTCTCTAACAGGTGAGCTCAGTAAAATCCACACACAATTCATGTGATTAGCTGTTGTGGAATAAAACGAATTGGCTGAAAAATCTATAATGAGAGAATTGGTTTTCTGAGTGTCATGTAAATGGGAGGAGAACACCCTGGTCAGGTCAATGCCAGCAATCATCCTGCTCAAGATAATCAGTACACATGCATGCTGATTTTATACAGAAGCCTCTATGCCCTCAGTTAATAAGGTTCTACCTTCGTGAGATGCAGCCACTCTCAATATGGTAAGCCAAGTTCCCAGGCATCCAGCCTGAAAGTCAGGCTCTGAGTCATGGTAAATTCATCTAGTAAATGCCACCTTGTGGTTACCTGTGTAATCAGCTGGCCTTGCCCATGCCACACCTGCCTCCTTTCACTACTCCAACAGCCGCTGGACGAGGTGCTAGGAATATATGAGAGAAGGATGGAAGTGTCCCATCTGTAGAAAATTTATGGTCCCTAGGAAAGGTGGGTCAGCAGCTGAACAAGGGCAGTGCAGTATCACAGGATGCTGCGGAGGCAAAACAGATGCATATCTCACAGATGAGGGCTTCAGTATCCTGAAGGGGGTATCACCTGAGTTGGATTTTGAAAGAGGGTCATGATTGGCCAGTAAAACCAATGAGGGAAGACATTCCAGGCAGATAACACAGGATGAGCAAAGGCAAACAGGCACAAAAGCATGCGGGGTGTTTTGGGAAACTCAGGAAGATGGGAATGATTTAGACTTTGGTAAACACAGAAGGGTGTGGGAGGTGAGAGAAGAAACGCAAGAGGGTACCAGGTCATAAGGAGACTCACACATCAAGCTGAAGAATTTAAACTTAATCTTGAAATTAGGGGGAGGCACTGGAAGACTTTCAACAGGGTAAGTTGGCTATCCAGCCAGTTGGTGAAATAGTACAAGATAAAACATGTAGAAGACAAATTAGCATGTGGTAAAAGACACAGAAGTGGAAGCCAGGCATGGTGATACACGTGTGTAGGCCCCGCTACTCAGGAGGCTGAAGGGGGAATGTCATGTGAGCCCAAAAGTTGGAGACTGCAGTGAGCTATAATCACACCACTGCACTCCAGCCTGGGTGACAGAGAGACTCTGTCTCTAAAAAAAACAAGCAAACAAACAACAATGCAGAAGTAGCAGTGATGCAAAGAGACAGAAATAGGGAGATAAACTGTACAGAGATAGAGGGGAGTCCCTCTAATTAATGTAGACTCTATATTAAGTAGTAGAATCGAGTTTGCCTTGACTCATCAATGTACTAAGACTTGAGTAGAAAGGCATCTCAAGTGCCAGGGACAGAAAGCCCCAGAGGTAGAAAAATGTATGCTTGTACGATGAACAGCAAATAAACCAGTAAGTATGGGTGAGAGGAGTGGAAGACGAAGCTGGAGCGATAAACTGGGAGCTCTCTGTGAAGCTGTAGGGAGTTTGGATTTTATTGGGCGGGAAATGGAGCATCATGGAAAGCCTGAGTTGGGGTAGGGGAGGAAATATTCAAGGCAGCGATTTCTGACAAATAGTCTAGTGGTGATATACTGGGTGAATTGAAGAGGAAAGAATGACTGGAGGTGGAAAGACCACTTAGGAGGCAGTTGCAATAATTCAGGCATGATGTTCTATGAGCCTCAACCAGGGTAATGGGAGAGAAGAGGCAAAGGATGAATGAAAGGAAGCTGACAGAACTGTAGGCAGAAGGGGGAAGGCAGCATTAAATACAACTCTGAGGCCTCCCAGCCATGGGTGACTTAGGAAAAGGATCGTCCCATTAGACCATAGAAATAGACCATTTAGAAGGAAGAACTGGTTGTAGGGTGTTTTGATGAAGGCAAGCAAAGCATCTCAGATGATTTGTATGTTTATAGAATGAGAAGACAATAAAACATTTTTAAAAGTCAGAGAGGACAAGAGAGTTCAGAGGATACTGTGATCCAAATTAAGGAAGACAATAATTTTAAAGATGTCAAAATTGCAGAATAGTCAAAGGCAATGAGAAGCAAAAAAATAGTCACTGGATTAAACAATAGGGTCATCAGGAAACAGTAGGAAGAAGGCAAATGGTAGAGAAAAAGCAGTGCAGAAATTAAAGGAGAGAGGGTCGGTCAACTGTTTTATAGGGAAATTTGGTACTGAAGGAAGGAGACTAGTAGTTTCCTGGGAGTTTCAGGGAATAAGAAAACCCAGAGGAAGGTTGAATTGGGACCTAAGATGTGTGTAGGAAGAAAGAGAGAGAACAGATGATGACAAGGAAAAGATTTCAGATGTAAGAACAATGGTCCAGCTGATGGTGGCCAGGAAGTAATGATAAACACAGGGGTAGTTATAAAAGAAGGGAGAGGGCCAGGTGCGGTGGCTTATGCCTGTAATCCCAGCACTTTGGGAGGCTGAAGTGGGCAGACTACCTGAGGTCAGGAGTTCAAGATCAGCCTGGCCAACATGGTGAAACACTGTCTCTACTAAAAATTCAAAAATTAGCTGAGCATGGTGGCACAAGCCTGTAATCCCAGCTACTCAGGAGGCTGAGGCAGGAGAATCACTTGAACCCAGGAGGCAGAGGTTGCAGTGAGCCAAGACCGTGCCATTGCACTCTAGCCTGGGCAACAAGAGCAAAACTCTGTCTCAAAAAAAAAAAAAGAAGAAGAAGAAGAAAGAAGGAGGAGGAGGAGGGAGAGAACATGTTGCTTATAAACAAAAGTAAAGAATTAGTGAAAATAGACTTTTAATGTGGAGACATTTAAAAGAACTAAATATATACCTATGAAGAACTTAGAACAGTGCTTGGCGTATAGTTAGGACTCAATACATTCTAGCTATCATAATTATCATTACTGAGAGATAGTGGTTAAATCTCATGAAAAGTTTTGGTTTTAAAACAATAAACAAATTCTAATCTTGAATTCTATGAGGTTAAATAATCCTCATTCTCAGTTGACTAGTAAAATACAGTATTTTTTCTTAATTTATAATGCAAATAAAATGTTTTATATGAGGGAAGGAATACAAACATATTTTAGTGGCTCTGAAATAGTTCCCTCTAATCTGAGGTGTTAATCTATAAATTTTAAAAAATATTGGCCATGCTTGAATAACGGTATTTAATAATGCCATTTTTCTGCTTTAATAATTAAATTCAGTGTTTGTTATGGTTTCTTAGAAAACAAGGGATTGTCACTGAGACACGTTTGAAAGTATGAGTGCAAATGAACACCTCTTGTGGGTGGAACACCTGAGGTCAGGAGCTCAAGACCAGCCTGGCCAACATGGTGAAACACCTTCTCTACTAAAAATACAAAAACTAGCCAGGCGTGGTGGTGCATGCCTGTAATCCCAGATACTCAGGAGGCTAAGGCAGGAGAATCACTTGAACCTGGGAAGTGCAGGTTGCAATGAGCTGAGATTGTGCCATTGCACTCCAGCCTGGATGACAGAGCAAGACTCCATCACAAAAAAGAAAAAACAAAACAAAAAAACCTCTTGCCTGTCAGTCTTAAGCTTTAATTATAATCAATTCATTGGTGGAAATGCTGATTTTAAAAATTTCAACTATATCCAAAATGTCAGTACTGCTGGAAAAATAAATAAATAATAAGAAATAAAAATTTTAACGAGAAAAAAAATTTAAAACACTGGGGACCCAGTGGGAAGCCAAAATGTAGAATGCATTAAGGCTGACTGGTTTCTGGTATTCATCAATCTTTTCTATTAAAGTAAAATATCCAAACATATTAAATTTGAATTATTCATAAATGTTAAGTGTCTGTGAACTTTGTCCTTTTTTCTGTACATTCGAATGATTTTTACTTATAAAATAATTGTAATTGTATTTTGTAAATTGTTGCAAAAAGGCCTTGCTTTTTTTAAGGTGAATATTTTTGTTCAGGAACCAGGGAGGTCTGCAGCAAATGAAATATGAAGTTTTTTTTTTTTTTTTTTTTTTTTTTAAACACAGTTGGTTGCCAGTTACTGCGTGAATTTTCTGGCGCTGGGACAATGACCTTCCCTGCATCCACAGGAGCCCTCTGAGGGAGCTGGCCACTCTGCCTCCTAGTCACCGTGAGGCTTGTTATTAAGCTACTGTGTATGTCTGTACCTTTTGTAACATGGACCTGCTGTCCACAAGGTAACAAACTAAGGCTGTCATGGATGCACACTAGGGTTTGCAAGTTAAAATTTAATCCTGGTCTTAGACATAGAAGTTATTTTTAAATTTAAGTGACACATGCTGCACAACAAACCCCAGGTTCTAGCTTTCACTCTACTTTTGCAGTTAACTACATGCAGTCAAAATTTAAAAGTGCCAAACGCTAGCAGATCAAATCCATAACATTTTCAAACAGATGAATTTTATCACTTACAATGTCAAATACAAAAAGTGTATGGAAGAAACAGTAGATTAATACAGGCATTCCTGTATTTTTATTACTAATGTAGGAATACTCCCTAATTGTGAAAAGCTATTGCCACCATCTCTGGCTTCCAGCAGTATCTGTGACACATCTCCAGAGATGAAACTCCTCCACTCTCCAGATGGAATCCTCGCTTTCCTCCCTACTCTGGCAGCTATCCTTACAAAATCATCTCCACCTCTTCCCCCAACTCCTAGCTCTGCTGCAGCCTAAAAGATGGAGACTTTCCCCCAATGTGCCTGGGAGGAACAAATCACCATTTGTTCATAGGAAGGAGAAATGATGTTCTTTGTGTAATATATTAGGTGAAGTGCAGGTTATAGAGGTTTTCCTGGGAAGCCTTTTATAAGAGTTTGTATTCAGGGTCATGAATAACATCCAAACAGAACAGTTTATCAAGCTTAACATTATTAATATTTTGGGCTAGATGATTCTTTGTTGTGGACTGTCCTGTGCAATGTGGGATGCTTAGTAGCATCCCTGTCCTCTACCCACTAGATGCTAGTAGCACCCCATCCCAGTTGTGACAACAGACATGTCTCTAGACATTGTCAGATGTCCCTGGGGGGTTGGGGTAGGGGTGGGGACAAAATCAACTCCAGTTCATAAATACGTAACAGAGAATATTTATATTCAAGAAATTGTCTTTAGTAGGTATAAAGAAAGGCTTAAAAAAATCTATCCAAACATACTCAGTGAAATGAAATGATCTCAAATTTTGGTTAGGGAAGAAATAATTTATAGTGATCTTTTAATTAGGAGGCAATAAGACAGAAGGTTGGAATATAAGCTTTGAAATCTATGTTGATATACATTGACTGACTAGCTGTGATCTTGGCAACTTATTTAATGCCTCTTTCCTTAGGGTCCCTACCGAAAATGTAAGGATAACTAGTAGTATCTATCTATCTCACAGGGTTGTTGTGATAATTAAGTGACATAATGCACACAATGCGCTCAGCACAGTACCTGAAATGAGTAAGCCTTCTCCAGGTCCTTGAACATGTCTCAGGGCGTTCACTCTCAGATGTTCCATGTGGCCAGAACACACTTCTCCCTCCTCTCGGCCTGACTAGCTCCTTCTCATCCTCCAAGTCTCAACTTAAGTAATTCCTCTTAGAAAGGTCTCTCTGTCTAATCTCCCAACAGCCAATCTCTATTGTGATGATCAGTCATACCACTGTTAGTAATACTCACCTTATCTTATAACTTTTTATGTTTCCCTTACTGTAAGTTCTATAAAGGCCAGAATCATGTTTGTTTATTCAACACTGTGTCCTCAACAGCTAGCATGGTGACTGGCCCAGAGTAGAGGCTCAACAAATATAACTATGTGAAAAAATGAATGAAGGAATGAATACACAAGGCTTTTATTATATTATCATCCTCATCATCAAGGTTTGTACTGAATAGACTTAACTACTCTCCCGTTTTCTAAAAATATTTACTTTTTAAATTTTAAGATCAAAATGTCACAATAGTAATAACGTATGAAATAATTACAATAGACCATTTGGTTGAGCATCAACAATCATGCCTGGGGAGTTGTATAAAGCCTAACATTTACAGGATTACACAGAGCTGGGCAGCCAACCATCCTGGGAGAGTCTCACACTATGAATGACCTGGAAGACCTCATTCTAGGAGAGTGGCCCTGGCAGTTCTCTCTCTCTGTGCCTTGGGAGCCCTGGCTACCACGCTGTGGGTGAGACTCAGATCCTCTTCTGGGCCCACTGAGTCAGCCCTCTTTGTATACTCTGGAACAACAAGTACTAGCTTTGTTGCTGGTTCACTAGCAAAGCAATATTTTGTCTTGAAATCAAACCACAGTTAAAGTATATTTGCTTTAAAATAAAGGAAACAATATTAAAGAAATATTCAGAGATAGAAGACCAATGCAAGCATAGGGCCACTGATACTTGGAACCATGTTGTTACAATAAAATATTTGTGTTAATAATAAACTTTTTAACATATTATTTTTCATACTCTGTTAAGGGGGGAAATGTTGAATTAAAAGAGAAATAAATACTGATGACAATAATCTGAACTTTGAGGTGGCCAAAGAGATCCCAGGAGTCATTTAATTTTACCCAGCTATTTCAACTATGTTCAAGTTTTCAAAATGTCTCTTTTTAAAAAGTGATTTTTTAAAAAGTCATGGATAATGATGGAAAATGAGGGACACCTGTAGACCTGAATTTGAGACTGTGACAGACTCTGCAAGCTGCTGAAAAATGCTGTTTGACACCAAGACAAGATACTAAAGTGGATCACTAAAGAGACAGTGTGAGTTAGGACTAACCCACACTATCAGTGCATTCAGTACACGTTCAGACTAACCTCAAATTAGAAAAGTAGCAGACATCATGTATCTGGGCTTTGGCAAAAAGTCTTTGATAAAAAGTCTCATGATATCCTTTGAAAAAAGATAGAGCAACATGGGCGGAATGATGTTAACAGTTTCTTTAAGAGAGATTTCTATGCAACTGAAGAATTGCACAAAATGCAACCATGTCCATGTGAGAGCATGTTCTAGTGCTTAGCACTGCATTGCTGTCCTATGCATTTCTGGCACCCTTAATGGAAATCTTCTAGAACAGAGGTTGGCAAAAAAAAAATTTCTGTAGCCAGATGCCAACTATCTTAGGCTTACATACAGTTTCCATCACATGTTTTTCTTGAAAAAAAAAATTTACAATCATTCTTAGCTCAACGGCTGTATAAAACTAGAGCAAGTCATATTTTCCCATGGGACATAGTTTGCCACCCTCTGTTCAAGGGTGTATCAAACTTGAGGACATGAAGGAGAATAAATATATTGCTTGACAGAATCAGGATCCATACGGACACCATGAGGCTCATGGCACATTAGAACTGGAAGGGACCTGAAACCGAGAGATCTTCCGGGCAAAGACCTCCTGTCTATTCACTGGTCAAATTGCGACGACCTGGGATTATGGGCTGGCAGAAATATGTAGAAAAAAAATGCATGGGCTTCTATTTGAAATCCCAAACTCCTAATTATATGAGAACAGGGTGGCTGTTTATGACATGACAGCTGAACCAGTGAAGAATGGCATTTTAGCCAAGAGTCAGCCAAATATGGATCAAGAGTGTGATGTGGTTCTAAACTCCAGTATCCAGAACAAGACAGCACTTTTCAACTGCTTGCCCTGGAGTGTCATGGCAGTACTCACTGTTATAGTATGTGAGGAAAGCTGAAGAAATCGGAGGTGTTTAGATTGGAGGATGCAAATAGCAGGATTTTAGAAACTGCAGAGCACAATAATGCTATACGAGTCAAGAATGAGCTGGTTCTTATTGTGAGCCTTGACTGGGAGAGCAGGCGGCAGGGGAGAGAAGTGCTGGTGACGGCTGCCCACAGTGCCTATGGCTGCTGGGACACTGGATGGAATGTATTCATGTGCTTAATTCTCTCTTTAGGTCAAGAAGCATAAAATATTTAGTCAGTAGAAGGGTCTATTCATTATTCCTCAAGCAATAGTCCAACATCTCAAGGAAAAGGCCGTTTAGGAAAGAAAGCACTATCATTATGACCAGACAAACAGTGTGGTCCCAGATGGAAACTGGGGAACTCCGCACCTACACTATGCTTAACTCTTTCTTCCCTTATCTGTCCTAAGTCTAACTTTGCCCTCTGTAGATACAACACATCAACTCCTACTAAATCTGCTCCTTTTTGTATATGACAACCCTTAAGATATTTGAAGACATACACTCCCTAAATCTTTGCTGCTTCAGGAAACAGGTCACTAATTTCTTCTACAGTTCCTTATATATGACACATGCCATAGTTTCCAGCCTGCCACATCCTATGAGATCAATTCAGAGTTTAAAGAATTATTATTTTTATATGTATGGTTCCATTTGATCCTGTGGAGGCAGGGAAAGTTTCATTCTCATTCTCTCTCTAGAGAGAGAGAGATAGGCAGGCAAGTCATCTGAACAAAGTCCAGGAAATTTGCATAACTTGTCCAAGACATAGAGCTAGAGACTGTCAAGTCCAGGATTATTACCAAGTCTTTTGAATTATAAGCCCATACTCTTCCCGATCCTGTGTGAAAGGCTACACAGCTAAAAGGGACTCACTTAGTGTGGTTTGCAATATGGTAATAGAATCTTCAGCAGCACATACCACAGGGTAAATGTGCTAAATCCTCCTGAATAGAAACAATATAACGAACAGGAGAGGGGTACAAAATGACCAATGTGGGAATCCTTTCTCCTGTTCAAATCATCTTGGTTCTTTTACTCTCTATTCTTCTATTTCAATCCATCATGAAATTTGTAGAGCAATTCCCTAAGAGGTAATAATATTTACTAAATAAAACTTCAAAGATATCAAGTTCATACTGACCCAGAGTCCTTTCTACAAACCTGTATTTGAAGCTGGAATTGTGGGTGAACAGTTCTCCTTGGCACATGCTTCCATCATGGTAGTTAAAGTCATAGTAGGCACTTGATGACTGCCTAAGAAAATACAAAGTAGTATATAATATAGAGTCAAATATGCACATGATGAAAACTGAACCTACAGTTCTAAAGATATGTAAATTAAAGGCATTCATACTCCAACTTAGCTGTGTTCCTAAAGTCCTAGGAAGTTAGTATGGAATTCTGAACACAGTTTTGCCTATTGAAGCAATTTTATAAATGGAGAATAGCTTCATAGGCCAACCCACTAAAAGCCTTTTATACCTTTTTTAAGTGGTTGAGATAAAGTATTAATACTGTAGACCTTTACATCCATGTGTAATAATGTTTCCATGGGCAAACTCATTCAGGGTTCTGACTTGGGATGCCAGGAACATATTCCCCTCAGTGCAGTTGGCAGTCCCTGAGCCCTAAGCCACTCGTCCCTACAACTGAGGCAGGGACTGCTGCTGGTAGTGGTTCTAACAGTCAGGTACAGGCTCTAGGGAACTAAGGGCATCATATGCCTTGGGGAGCAAAAATCTTCTGCCAGATCTGTGTTCAGGATCTTCTATTCTTCCATAGTCCCCAGGAATCCATCTGCTTCCTGGCTCACCACCTATTTCCCTGACACAGAATAGAATAGAAAATAGTAACCCTCCTATTTGTATGAAACAACGTTTTATTTTTTTAAATGTTGTTTTTGTTAGTAACACATATGAAGTAAAGAGGTTCCTCTCAAACCTATTTTTCCCATAGAGCCATCGAGGGAAGTCTTCATGATGGAGAGACAAGGGTAGGTCCAGTTGTAGCTACAAAGGCTGTAGCAGTATTGAAGTGCATTTCCCAGCAATGCCACACCATGATTACCCTGACTGTGACTAATCAGCTGAGATGGGGTAGAAATGGCAAAGGAAAGCTGGAGTTTGAAGGAAACATGAGGAGGAGGAGGCAGAGTGAGGCTGGGGTTGCCAGCCACACAAACACTGGAGCTGAGAGAGCTAGTGTCCTCCCCAGACACAGATTTACCTCCATCCCCTGAGGGTGGGCACATCCCCATTAATCCTGAGTTGAGGGTGTGCGGGTGTGGGGGGTCAGAAAGTGAGAGAAGAGTGTGCCCTGTGGCCATTCCCTTACTTAATACTTACTGAAGCATCCTGCTAGGCCCCCCAGGCCCAGAGCTGAGGCCTGGAAGAACAACAGTTAGCTAGAGGACATAGAGAGATATAGACACAATTATAATTGACTGGAGAGAGTGAAGTACAGATTTCTTTTTTAATGTAATACATTAGAGGAGGAAGAAGTGAATTCTAGGAGGGGGAAAAAAACCCAGAAAGCTTTTTGGAAAAGGGTCCATCTAAAGGAGTCATAGGACTTAGATTCATCAAGGTAAGGCAGGGAGCAAAGGGGGTGATTCCAGGTACAATTTGTCTGACAAAAGGCGCAGAGGCCAATGAAGGCATGGACCAGTCAGAGTGACCAGAGCTACCAGCCACTACTTTAAACCAAGAACCCCACATCCAGTGCAGATCTAAAGGCTGTGAACCAATGAGAGACAGTGAGAGCTATGGTTGGAATGAGTAATTTGGGCAGGCAGAAGAGAGGCTATAGGTGGGGAAGCCACATAGGTGGCTCCAGCAGAATTCTGGGTGAGTGGAAATGAAGGTGAGAAACAGAAGGGTGAGAAACAGGAGGATGGCGCTGAAAATGGGGAAGAGGGACAGGTGTGGGTGAGAGAAACTGTCACCTCCACTTCTCAACAGATCCTTCTCTCTAAGTTCACAGACTTTTCTAAGACACCAATTTTCTGAACATTGCTCAAGTGGCAGCTACTTCATCTATCAACCCAGATTCCTCTGGTCCTGCAGGCAGGATCTGCGTTTGCAATGGCATTTGCCAATTACCCGTCCTCTATTCTCACAGGGCCCTGTGATGGCTTTACCATTCAGCTTTAGAACTCAACCTCCCCTCATTGCTCCCACCAACTGATTTTCTGATCTTTTCTTCTCATTCGCTACAGAGTTGCATATTTCTCTGCACTCCAAATTTCACTGGCTACCCAGGGGTGTCCTCAATAATGTCACTCAATATACATAGTCAACTTTGCAAGTAAATAGTGTCCAATACATGAAAGAATAAACTTAGCACTATGTATCAATAGAGACAATATGCGGCATTAGAAATGAAATTTGAAATATTATGAAAACAAGGGTGTTTTTCCTAGGGCATCATGTCATGTATAATCTCAGTCTATGAAACAAACACTCTTAATATATGAATAATCAAGGGTTTAACTTTGTTAACTGTCCCCATATGCTGGGTTTTCATAGTATTTATAAAAGCTTTATTGAACAGCATTCTATATGAATGTGTATAAATATTTTTAAGTAAAGAGCTTGAAACTTCTGGTCTACTGCTGCCCATTTTGTAAAAAACAAAAAAAGAAAAAAGGCATTTTTCCAAAGAAAATATTTATGTTCATAACACAATGATAACCAAGTTACTTTTTAAATAGCACAAAATATTTACCACTTGATTTGTAAGACAATAACTACTGCACACATTTTGAATTCATAAATTACGATTCAGCTTTAGACTCAATCTGTACTGAGTTACTCAGTGTCATCATGCCTCAAATCTAGTAAGTAATTAATGTGGAGGTTTTGGGAAGCAGATAGTCTACATGTATATATGTACACACACACACACACACACACACACACACACACACAAACACAAGTCCCCATATTTATACCTGTAAAACTCTGGGAAAAGTAACATTTAAGGAAGAAGAACAAGAAAGACAGTAACAGAAAATACTCTATGTTCCTGTGAATAAAGACTAATACCTAGGTATAAAATTCAGGACAGTCTCAAGTTTAATAACTTCCAGTCCACATATATGATGTTTCCATTCTGTGCTTTGATGACTGAGACTTACTAATAGACTTAAGTGCCATAATCTAAGTACTACCATATATCGTCAATTTAGTAATTAAGAAATGTTTGTTAAAGGCAAGACAGAATACCATTTGCAAGGCATCACTAATTAAATCCTAGTTTTACATTTAACGGTTTGAGGAGAAAGAGTGTCATATTTTGGTTTCCATTCTCTACAACCCATAGTCGGCAGAATCACCCAGAGAAACCATTAGCAAAGTGCAGAACTATGATTTCTACCCAGCAAAGCAGGGGAGGAGGAAAAAGAATAATAAACTTCAGAAGCTTAACCAAAACAACACAAGGTAGGAAAGGGAGAAAAACACTTTAGAAAGCTTAATAAATAAAAAAATCAAAATAACATGGAGAGAATAAAGCCTAACACCACAGGAATCACACTGATTATAAATGGACGGTGCCTAACCAGTCACGACAAAAATAGAGTATAGAAATTCTGAAAGTCACACACTGATAGATTTGGTCCATTAATCCCAATATTTTGAGCATGTCTTCCTTCTTTTGCTCAATATTTTGAGCAAATTTCTTATGATCTGGTGGTTTCAAATCAAAGCATTTATCATTTTCAGTTATTTAAGTATAATATGATACACTATGATCAAACATGTATGGAATAATGATTGTGAATGATGCTAGCTGTTATTTTTGGGGAGACAGGGAAAAAGAGGAGGAAAAGATTTTTAAAGTTATTATCCTGCACTGAAGTTGTTGACTATCTTTTGGAATATAGTCAGCTTTATTGAAACTTTCTTACCGAGACTGAGCTGGGATGGTGTTTCTCATGTAAGTATTTCCCTATACACATTGACAGCTAATATACAGCCTAAGAGTACTTCACATTCCTGACTCTTAGTAGTAAACAAAACATATTCTCAAAGGAATAAAAGAAAACATTTCCTCTATTCGTGTTTATCTATGATCCTGTTAACAAGCTACACACAAGTCATATCTGCCATCAGAGAAACCTCATTTAGTGGTAATAGCAATACCTGTAACAGGAGTTCGGTTTTTCAGCCTATCAACTTCCATAGTGAAGTCATCCTTCAAAAAAAGGAACCCAATAATGGAAAACAGGTAGACGAGGATGAGAGCCAGGACTGCAGTTAGAATAATAGAGCGGCCATTTCGTGTGACACTTTTTATGACATTCAGCAAAGTCTCTTCCCTGTACACCAAATCAAAAAGCTACAAAGATAAAGAAAACACTAATAAGAAAAGAAGGCATTGGAGGAAAAGGTGAACAAACAAAAATATAATTACAAATACAAATGCAAGCCATTCTAGTTTATATATAAAGAAATAACCTAAACCACCTTAAAATGAACCAAAGTATTTATTTCTTCTCCAGCTGGAATATATTAATAAATTGTTTTTCTATAAAGATACATCTAGCACAACATATAATGTGCATCTGTTGGTTTCAAAACCAACATAATATCAATTTACTAAAACATTACAGAAATAGCTTAGTTTTACATTTGAATTCAGAAAAGTTACATTGTACTTTACCAGCTTAGCTACTTATTCACTTATTCTTTATTTTTGGTCTTACTGATATTCTGCAGTTACTTCTGGAATATGTAAAATGGCTTAAGTGAGAATGCTGAATTAGGTCCTCCTGAGTGATGAACAATTGACAAATTCATTAAATGTATTACTTAATCAAGGGATTAGAGGTGAAATTGTAAGAACAGTTTCATGAGTCTGATGCAGCCGGAAAAGTATGAAATATAAAACTATTTGGGAAATGCAAACATCCTTCCTTAGTAACAGGGTATAATGAGGAAAAAAACCTATTACTTTAGTATATACTTTTGGAAATGGAAGTATAAACAAAAATATAATATGTACATTGCTAATTGATTTTCTCTAATAGGTTACTACCTATTTTGTCTTCAGTAGTAGAAAATCTATGCACTAGTCAAGCTATGTGTTTGCAATCTGTGTAGACACTAAGGACAATTTTATTTATTGCTACATTATAAAGTTGAAATTATACATTAGAAAGTATGTGTTTTATTATTAAAATCTGGTTAAATGCAATAAAATCACATTCACTTTTAGAAAGGTATAAATATCTGTTTGGAAATGAATAGTATTTTTAAAATTGGAATAATTGAGGTTTGTCTTCTATCTGTGGGCAGTAATTAGAGTTTCTGAACTGGCTGAAATGATCAATTATGTGTCATATACCCTTTCAGGACCTTGTCTATTTTTTTTCTGAGTACTGAGGGTTATACAGTTACTGTCCAATTTAATTGTAGTCTTGCAAATAATTGCTGACTAGATATTAACTTGTTTGCTCACCTATGGAAACTGCTATTTTACGATGGTTAAATTTTTTAAAAGTCTATTTTGCAATCTATTTACCTCCTGGAAGGAGCAGCCAGCTTTAGAAATGAAGTCAATATTCTTCAGTACAGACAAATTAACTAATGCACATTCAACTTCCAAATTGTCAACACTGTGGCTTATTAAATTTATTTAAGCAGTAAGTTGACATAGTCGAGATTTTTCTTTAAGTCAACTCAGCTGAGGTTTAAAGAAAAAAAAATCTGGCAATGTGCTGTAGGTCAGCTCTAGAGAACGTTTACAGCTTTCAGGAGCTCCTGGGATGCTTGCTAAAAATGCATATGCCTGGGTTCCGTTCTAGGCCCATGGAATCAGAATCTTACAAAAGCTGTTGACATTGGGCAAGCTGATTGTTCTTTCCATTTATTTCTGAAAACAAAATCTAGAGTGTGGTTTTTATTATTCTGGATAAAAGACTGACAATTGTGGGTACAACAGGGAATATTCAAATATTTTTTCAAATATAAAAAATCTTTTAAAAATATACTTACATACGATTTTTGATATCATGTATACCACAATTTTCTTCTAGTCCTCTAAACATCAAAATGGACTATATCCTTTTCAGAACCAACCCACTAAAAACAAACTACCATCAATATTGTAAGATTTGAAAGATAAAAGACCAGAGGAAAATACAATTAGAAAATGGGGTTAATAAAAACATAAACATGTGTACATCATTTCACATGTTTTTCATATTATCTGATATGGTTTGGCTCTGTGTCTCCACCCAAATTTCATCTCGAATTGTAATCGCCATGTGTCAAGGGAAGGACCTGGTGGGAGGTGATTGGATCATGGGGGTGGTTTCCCTCATGCTGTTCTTGAGACGGTGAGGGAGTTCTCTGGAGATCTGATGGTTTTAAAAGTGGCAGTTTCCCCCGTGCTCTCCTCTCTCTCTTCTGCCACCATGTAAGACATGCCTTGCTTCCCCTTCACCTTCCACCATGATTGTAAGTTTCCTTAGGCCTCCCCAGCCATGTGGAACTGTGAATCAATTAAACCTCTTTTGTTTATAAATTACTCAGTCTCAGGTAGTATATTCATAGCAGTGTGAGAACGGACTAACACATCTGTTTAATGGATCTTGATATTCCTATCCATTTTATAAACAAGAAAGTTGAGCACAAAAGTATTATAAACTCATCAAATTGCATACATTAAATGGGTATAGCTTTCTGTATGTCAGCTATACTTCAGTAAAGTGGTTTAAAAATTATAGAATATTACATGTCAGTCAGGTAAAAGTGCTGGGTATAATAGGACTTTATGTATCACTGACTGGTTAAAAAATGAACTTTTTCTGGTGAATCAGGGCAAAAAGAATTCATTTAGATTGTTAGAACGGAAAAAATATCTGTTGCTGAATAATCTAACTTAACTGCCTATAAGTTTATATGAAAACATAATAGACAAATCTACTCTTCACTGTGGCTCTTTCAAATGTTTGAGGGTATATGGAAAATTGGCCTCATTTCAGTCTTCTCAAATCGGTGTGCTAGATAATAGGGAGGCAGGAGGTGCTGGATTTGTCCCTCATGACTCAGGCAAATTCCTCAACAAAATGTTTTTAGATGTTTAACTTGTTTTCAGGGATCATCTTATTGGACAATGCTCTCCACTGCATGCCAACTATGAACTGGAAAGATAAATAAATTGTTCCTATGGCATCATGATGGTAACCTGGTAGTGCTTTTTAAGCTTCAAAACATTATCACATATTTATATTGACTCCTCTCCTGGTTTATGGCTATAAACCAGTACATATATAGGAAGGTAAATCAGAATTTTTTTAAAAAGTAACCTTTAGAAAAAAATTTGAAAGAGCCACTTAATGAGTTAAATATATGTAGATAAGTTTAACAGCAAGGACATATTAAACCAAAAACTATAAGACTGTTCTTAAAACAACTGTCTCTTTGCTATGATGGTTTTTTTAAATCCCCCTCATTTTACTTATATGCTATTCTAAAGGTACACATAATTTTTGATATTATAAATAAAATACAATGATTTCAGTACCTAAGAAAATATACCCCTATTTTGTCTCCCACACTGTAGAGAATCTTTAAATGTAAAGGGAAATATTAGTTGGCTGAAAGCAAAAGCAGCCCTTGTCATGTGAAGCCTGGGTCAAGAGGTGGGGTGACTGGTTGCTTCTCAAAGAGGAAATAAAGAACTCCACCACCTGTGTGGTTTCCCAAAGAAAAAAGATTACAAATGATAATAATTCACGCTTTTCCTAGGAAATTCTAAAAATAACATAATTTGTCCTAAATGTCAGGCTTTGCTTAAAAAAAAAAATCAAAGGAAGAGGCATAAGAAGCAGCAGCATTGTGTACTTTTTCAGCAGTGATTGTCCACATAGAGATGTACTCACCAGGAAGCTATAGAAGAATTCATGGACAAAAAGGCCCAGCATGCAAACCAGGACATACGCCACGTGATAGAGAAAGGCCATATCCAGGATGACTGCTCGGTACCCACGGGTGAACGTGCCACGATTTCCAACAAAACTCACCAGAAAAACAATTTTATTACAAAGCTAAAGGGAGGAAAGGGTTACAGATTACTGTCTTATTTATCCTGAAACCCACATGGATGAAAACTACTATTCATAGTCCATGACTTTTTGACATGGATGAAACAATTATTCATTAAAATCTATGACTTTTTGACATGGATGAAAACTATTATTCATAAAGTTCATGACTTTTTTCATAATTTCTCATTTTGTAGGTCTTCAGCATTGCTTACAAACTGGCACGTAAACATAATACATGCAAAACTTGCATCCTTTGCAGTTCCAGGAAGAGAGAGAATGGTAAGAGACTATGCAATCAAGACAGGTCTGGATTTAAATCTTGGCTCTTCCATTACTGTTGTGTGACCTAGTTCATGCAGCTGAGGGCCTTGATGGTTTATTCTGAAAAACCGGAATAAAAGAATTTCCATCTCATAGAACCCCTCAGAGGATTAAATGATATAATACATATGAAGTCCTTAATACAATGACTCCTAAAAATATTACTTTTATTATATTTTTTATAGTAAATATGTAAAATGTTTTTATTATGCTGTAAATATAACAGAAAATATCTTTTCAGGAAATGTCCAGAGATCTGTTCTTGATTTTGTGTTTTTATCATGGACTTTGTCTACTGAGTACTATTTTAAACAAGTAAGTGATTAAAATTATTTTTGCATTTAATTTATTTTATATACATAGAAAATATAAATGTACTTATATACCTGAGTTAAAATAAATATAATGTATGTATGTATTTTCTAAGCCCTATGTGTGATAATAATTCAATAAACATTTTGGAGTGTTTATTATGCTTCTGACTATGTACAGTATTTATATTCAACCCACATTTCATACTGCCTTTTGTGGCATAATTTTGGAATGTAGAAATTTATACTGAGATCCTTTGGCAATAATAACGATGTGTGTGCACTGATTTATAAACTTAGCACCATCTATTTAGTTCTAGAATCACTGCAGTAATTACAAACCAAAGAGCCAATTTTGTGTCTTAGTCATCAAGGAAAGAATTACAGATTTCAAGGGTTTACAGTTTGCTCTTCCTAATTGTTCCGAGTTCTTTAGGTTATCTACTGGAACCATATTTGTCCTTAAATGTCCAATCTTAACTTTGTAAAAACAGGTTGCTCTTTGCAACATTGTTGATTTGTTCAATATATATTAACAAATTATCGAATGATTTTTAAATAACATAAGAAGGACCATAACACTTTGAAGTAGATGTAAAATTGGAGGGATTGGAAAACCTTTTCCTTTCAATTTCTGAAGTTCAAATCAATACAGATGAAGTGAGAAATGGGTTACTATTACATGTTTTGAAGAGCCAACCAAATTAACAACATAGCAACTAAAAAGGCCAAACCTTTCCTAAATTTCTCCCCTGCTGATTAAGTATCCTCTCAATAATCAATGTTATCACTTCATTCATGTCTTATTTCACTGTTTAGTGTTTCATCATCAATATCTTATGCTATTATTAAGTATAGCTGTAGCATAATGAATGTATTTATATTTTCTGCCCAAGAGCAGGTTTAATATTGTAAGAAATTATTATTTAAAAACCCAGGAAATATATAAGAATACTAATCTATATGACATATTTAACAATAAACACCCCTAAAAATGGTGAAAAAGAGAGTGTCCAGAAGTCATATTCAGTAATTATTTAAATTGTTTTGAATGCCATTATTTAAATGTGTACTATTTACCTTGATTCATCCACCAGAGTTCATCAATATGAATTAGAAATAAGTTGTATAAAAATAAAATAAATAATTGGAGTCGTGAGTTTTCAGAAAGACGAATGATATGTTTAAGACACATTGTTTATATGATTTCTAATTCTCCAAATGAAATCATAAAAATTACGCAGAAAAACTATTTATAAGCTCCATATACTGAGGAAAAAAAATACACTGAATTTAAATTCTCAAAAAGAATAATACATTTAATTTCTCAAATAATGCAAAAACAAGGCCACATTTCTTCCTAAAAGAGACTCCGCCATTTTCACTTGAAAAATAAAGATTTGCCTTCTTTGTTTTCAGGTTTTGGTTTTTGTTTCATTTTTGAACCTTGATCTAGAGCTTGATGAATAGATTCCTGTTCTCTTCACTAAGTCTTGACGTGGAGTGGAGTTGATAACTGACAGTGGCGTCTACCTATTTCTGTTGAGATAAAAAACAGGGAACTTGGTGTGCTTTTGTTTTAAAGTGTTCATATGAAGGGGAAATATGTGCAAGAATAAATGATTCGGGTGGGAAAGAAGTTGAGCTGTGAATTCTCCTTTCTTCATGAAACTTACAAATTGTTTTCATATAGCATTTTCCATGAAAGTTTGGAATATTTATGCCAAGAATGAGCAAGTTGCTAAAACAGTCTCCCTTTTCATGTCATAAAAAAGTTGACATCGTCTAACCAGTCCTTCATTTGTCAGTGCCATTATAGCAAGGGTCCATGTGGGTGACAAAAAGTGGATGGTGTGCCCAGGAAACTGGGCAAGATGGTCACAAGGCTCTTCTGAGCTGGTGCTAAGAGGTTCCTCAAGTCAACACACAAATTTCAATTTCAAGGACCATAACTGTCCTATATATTTTTTTCTTACTCTGTCTATTATTCAAAGCCATCCCTGATACAGTTTTTGTTGGGGATGAGGTGAACTGTGTGACAGTGGGGAAAGGGATGGAATTGAAACAGCATCAGTGCAAGCTTTGGGACAGTCTTTAAAAAATGATAATACACCATCCAAATGATTTACCAATAGGTCTTCTAAAAAAAAAAGCAAAATTAATGTTTGTTTGTTAATTAGTGTATACTAAAGTTCATTACATTTACTTAAGTTTATTTAATTAAATTATCTATTTGCTAATTATTTATGAAATTATTACTAATTACTAAATAACTAAATTATTTACTAATTATTTACTAAATGATTAATTAATATATTTAATTTATTAGTTAATAATTTAGTAAATAACTAGTAAATAATTTAACTAATTAGTTAAACTATGAAGTATATATGAAAATACTACTTAATTATTTAACCAATAATTATTATTGAATTATTGAATAATTATTATTGAATAATAATAATACTTTATTGAATAATTTAACTATTTAATTAGATAATTTATTAGTTAAATAAGTTATTTAAGAAAGTAGTGTTTTCATATATACTTTATAGTTATTGATCTGTCTTTGCAGGACATTTAACAGTACAGTGTAGCAGAAAGACACTGAATTAGAAGGCGGGTCATCTGGTTTCAATCTTGGCTATGCTACTAATTTCTTGCTTTGGTAAACCCTCCTGGTGTCTACAGGACTTTGTTTTCTCACATATAAAATGAAATGCCTAGAAGTGAACAATCCTTAAGCTCCCTCATAGCTGTAGAATTCTGTGTGATACCTTTAAATGTTACAATTTTATTTGATCACAGACATTTATAGCTGCTTTATCTTTGTCTTTACATTATTCATTTCATCTTATTTGGTACTCTGTTCCTGATCAAGAATTCTATCCCCATCTTACATTGTTCCTATGGGAAAACATGACCTATTTTACAGGAATAAATTGTATAAAGAAAAAAAGACTGTCTACTTATTTATTGAAAAGTAAAATGGAATTTGTGATTTTCAACTCCATTACCATATTTTCATCAACCATGTAAGTTAAACTTCTTACTAAACATGAGATGGTTTGATTCAAAAATCTCCATTTCAGGGGCATTACATCTACAGCAGGACAAGGTTCTAAGATCAATGTGTAAGGCAAAATTTGCATGCAGTCAAAATCACCCTGGAAATCTCTTAAATTGCTGACAAAACAGAACAGTAAGCACAGGTCATGTAAATGGTAGTGTCTCTTACTAAATTCATCTCATCATACTTTAACCCCAGCGTTGGAGCAGTTTTCTGTTTCTGCAACTAGAAGTAGTTAGGAGCATTCAGTGACCACATTATATGAAAAAGGGTAGGTCTGTGTGTGTGGAGAGAGAGAGAGAGAAAATGAAAGTTGTTTACTCCAAATATATCACTGAATTTGTGTATGTTAAATGAACATATGGTGGAACTCGACCTTACGAATTAGCAGTAACATAAGACCTCCCAGAAAGCTATCTACAAGTAAGTAACTAGGGACATTACCCTATTAAATTTGAACACAGTGGCTCATTGTTAGTAGACTAGCTATCTGCTAAACTCCATTTGCTCCTTCTCTCTGCAAATGGTGAGACCAACTTATTAAATGAATTACACATTTCCAGGTACTATTAGAAAGGAAAAATCATTGTAGGTAAGAAGTTTAAAAGATCTTTTTGTAATATTTTACTACATTGTTATTTATTTAAAAATCTGAACAACAAAAGTTAATGGAGTGGTTATAACGCCCATATGACTGGAAATAATACAGTTATTAAAATGAGGTTTACAAATAATTTTAATGGTATGAAAGAATATTAAGTGACCCCAAATTTATAAAATATGTGCTTATATTTGTCAGAATAATATATTAATTTCTATTACCAATGCAAACTAACAGTGCATTGCAGAGGGAAGAAAACTAGACTGGGTTATAAGATGTGCTTTATAATGAGAAAAAAACACTTGAATTTTTTGAAATATCTCAAATATTGCGATCACTTCTGTGACAAGGCAAACTAGTTGAAATCTAGACCAACTCCTAGTTTTAGAAATGAATAAAGACAATAAAAAAGAAGCACCATAGTAAACAGAAACCAGTACTAAGTTGTTATAACACAGGTTGAGGCTGTTCCTCCCACTTGATTCCTTTTCCAAAAATAAGACTTTCTGCAGTGGCTTAACATTGTGAAAAACAGAGTCCAGAAACAACTCCCCAAGAACCAAAACACAAATATTTTTACAACCATAAAAAGAATGTTTTACAATTAAAGGGTGCTTCATGTATTATTACAGATAGTTGGTAAACAGCTGCCATTGTTACTATCCTATCATTATCACCATTATTAATCTTTTCTAAATCTTTTCAACTATCCTAGCGAAGACAGATCAGGCTTTAGTATCTTCCTTTCACTAATGAGAAGAATGAAATTCAAAGTCTTGTTGATTTGCCTAAAGTGTAGAACTCTGATGGTCATTAAGGCAAAATTGTCAGGTAGATGTCTTCTTTTGTTTTTCTTATTTCTGATACCTATAGTTTTAGCACTTATAGTTTCACCTCTTACACAATGCAAACTTTTAAGTGTAAATTAAGTTAATAAATGTACTAAAACTTAAGGTACAAGATATGACTAATTGATATTTTCATGTATTTATTTCCTACCTCCTGGGTAATGATAAACCATAGATAGCTTTGTAGTGAACTTGTTTTTTGGTTTTTGTTTTCGTTTTGTGTTTTTTTTTTTTTTTTTTTTTGAGATGGAGTCTCGCTCTGTCACCCAGGCTGGAGTGCAGTGGCACGATCTCGGCTCACTGCAACCTCCACCTCCTGGGTTGAAGCGATTCTCCTGCCTCAGCCTCCTGAGTAGCTGGGATTACAGGCACGAGCCACCATGACCAGCTAATTTTTGTTTTGTTTTGTTTTTGAAACAGAATCCCATTTTGTCACCCAGGCAGTAGTGCAGTGGCCTGATGTCAGCTCAGTGCAACCTCTACCTCCTGGGTTCAAGCGATTCTCTGGCCTCAGCCTCTGGAGTAGCTGGGACTACAGGTACGCACCATCATGCCATACTAATTTTTATATTTTTAGTAGAGACAGGGTTTTCACCATGTTGACCAGGCTGGTCACAAACTCCTGATCTAGTGTGATCCGCCCACCTCAGCCTCTCAAAGTGCTGGGATTACAGGCATCAGTCACTGCACCCAGCAGTGAACTTGTTATGTTAAAAATGAAGGTAGATGATATTCGCTAAAATATTTTTTTTTATTTTTTGTAGAGATGAGGTCTCACTATGTTGACCAGACTGGCCTCAAACTCCTGTCCTCAAGCAATCATCCTGCCTCAGCCTCCCAAAGTATTGGGATTACAGGCATGACATAGCATCCAACCTAAAACATGTTTATTAATCCACATATTATTAAAATTATAGATAAAATTTTTTGTCAATATCTACAATATCAAAATGACAATTATTCCACTGAATGTGTTTGTCCCAAATTAAAGTTGATTTTTTTTTGGTCAAAATGCTCTGAGCGGCCAGGCGCAGTGGCTCACGCATGTAATCCCAGCACTTTGGGAGGCCAAGGCGGGTGGATCATGAGGTCAGGAGATCAAGACCATCCTGGCTAACATGGTGAAACCTCATCTCCACTAAAAATACAAAAAATTAGCCAGGCATGGTGGCACGCGCCCATAGCCCCAGCTACTCAGGAGCCTGAGGCAGGAAAACCGCTTGAACCTGGGAGGTGGAGGTTGCAGTGAGCCGAGATCACGCCACTGCACTCCAGTGGGCGACAGAGTGAGACCCTGTCTAAAAAAGAAAAAAAAAAAAAACGCTCTGAGCTGGTAGACCACAATGTATCATTTGACTGTACAAACAGATGTTCTATGCTGTGAAAGCAATTACAGTCCCCACAGATTTCTACAGTTAATAAAGGAGAGATGTTGCATATCTACATGTATATTCTTTCTCATAAAGAAAGTGAAATATAAAACTTGCCTCTTCTATGAAGAGTCATTTGCTATAGTGGAATTATTTTCACCAAACCAGGCAAAAGCTATCTTCTTATCCTCTCCCATGAGGGGAAAAAATGCTCCAAATGTCTTTGGTTTCCCCCAGTAGACATTAGAATGTTATTCCTTATCTCTTTATATATTCTTGGTCCAAAAACAAAGGAAATGCAAATCGGTGAGTGTGACACATCAGCTTCTGGATGGCAAGAACCATTTCCTTTATCGTCTTGGTATTTTTAGTGTCTATTATATAACAGAGGCCCAGTAAATGATTATTATTTTTGGCCCATCTCTAGCTATTATTTCACTTTGTCAGACTTGGATTTTTTTTTCACTTGGATTCATGTCTTCTTGAGGGCCAGTTACCAGTTTATAAATATTATTTGCTTCTTCAAATAATATAGTTCAATATGCAATTTATGTTTTTAAAGAAAAAAAGTCAAACACATAGGCTTAGAAAAATTTAGACAAATTCATGAAGATTTTCTAATTTGCTTGGTTGGTAATACTGTAAAATCAGCTTATTTCCAAGGCATTGAAAGTACACATTCAGTTCATGTAAACATTTTCTGAATGTTTCAATGCCAGCTGTTAAAGTAGAGAAACATGGAGCTGGGAAGGAGTGAGGCAGGTAGGGCTAAATTTATAAATGTGACAACTTCTGCCCTCAAGAAACTTACAGAATAATATATTTGGTATTTTACAAAATTCTTTACTGATAGACTTCTTTGTAGGTATAGTACACTTCCCTTTATTGACAATGATTGAGGATAATTGGTAATTTGGTTGCCTGAATGTTCTAGCTAATTGGGAGCTGTCAAATACATCATGTCTAATTTTCGAAGAATTGTAATAAAATAGAGGTCAGAAACACAGAAATACAGAATTGGCCATATTAGCTCAGCTTTATAATTCTTGAAAGTTTGGTTGACTATTTTATTAATTCATTTTAATAAATAAATAAAATAAATACATTTTATTTATTAAGTAAATATTTGTTAAATATTAGTTATTATTAAATATTTGCTAAATATTAAATATTTATTACTAAATAAATATTTGCTATATATTTTATGTGCAAGCCCCTGTAAATATATAAGAATACAAAGATAATTGTTCACTCATTCATTCACTCACTTATTAATTTATTTATTTAGGAAATATTTACTGAGTACCTATAATGTTCTTGATACTGAATGATCAATCCTTAAGCATAGTAAAATGTAGTAGGGGAGACTAGTCCTAATTACAGATACCAGAATGTAGGACATTATGTTAGAAACCCAGGAAAAGATCGAAAGTGTCTAGGTATTCAACACATAGATCAGCAATACTTATTTTCTTACCTGGCCATTTGTTATTTCATTAGCCTGATGGTTTTACCTTTTAATATCTCTGTATGGCTGTGCCATGCATAACGTTGGCTAGTCCCTTTAAAATTGTATTTCTCGGGTAAAATTATTTCTATAAATGTATCACTTGCTTTTTGAAATACTACTACTCTGTGCTTCCTTATTCTAATATTTCAAAATTCGGTCAAAAAATTAATCCTATCTATGACTTTCATCAGTTTATAAAATTTGTTCACATAAAAAGAACCCAATTTAATATTTTCTCATATAGAAATCCTTTTTCTTAGGTCATTTGATGAAAGGTGCCCACTTTCAAAATTCTATTGAACATAATTTAATCTTTTTTGGATGATTTACGATGTCACTTTGGAATATTAACAATGGCTCAGTCATTTTTGTCAATAGCTGTGGGTATAGGATGCAGAATGCATTAAAATTGGATTGGATTAAATTGATGGCAGAACTGGGTCATTCCCCAAATGTTACTTCTTAAATATAGCAATCTTTTACCTATCATTTTTTCTTTCACTCAAAATTAAATTAAAAAAGTACAAATTATGCTCTGGTTAATTTAGATTTATAATAAATTAGAATTCACCATGCATACATGAATTAAAAGCTTATAGTTATATTTTTATATTTCATACACTTTTAAACTAATTCTGTAACAGTACAAAGCTAAGTAAAGTACTTACATTAGCTGCACCAAGAAGTATTAATGTAGGCCCAAGACCTATTGTATATATTGATCTGAGCATTATTGATACAAGAAACGGCCGAATACCCACAGGCTTGGAGAAGAAAAACAGCATAGATGTGCAGATCGCAACTGCTATCCAAAGAAGAACCGAGAACAATGGAGAAAGTGTACCTGTAAAATGTGGAAGAAATTTATTGCTACTAAGAATAAAACTAAAAAATGCTAAAATATTTGCTGCTCTACTTTATATGGTATCATTAAGTCAAAGCCATAATCCAGTAAATTTCAAAATGACCCCATCTACGTTCTTTATATTTCAAGGAAATGTCTTTGAAAGCATTACTCATTATTACATTTCCAGAAAATTTGTGATTACTTTCAAGCTACTTAAATACTCACTAGTTAATGTTCCTTTTATTAAGTCTGACAATTGTTCATCTTTCTGTCATATGAGGGTGATTTGCTAAATACTTTTGATAGACATCTCTCTCGGGAACCTTAATCCAAAATTTATGATTAATGACCATTAGATATATAGCTAAATCATTAAAAAATTGAATTCATACCTTGTCTTGTCCTATCAGTATCAAGTTTCCATAGTCTAGATTCCTCTGAAGAATCTAGTAGAATAACCTTTATAAAATAGACACATGCTTTAACTGCTAAATACACATACATAGATATGTGTATGAGTACGTGCATGAGTGTGTGTATTTGAAGGCCAACTCTACTGCTAAATAAAATTTTTAGCTATTTACTCATCAGAAAATTCACATTCCAAATGTCTTAAAAAACGAACTCTGTTACACATAAGATTTCTTAGGAACTCCCCAAAAGAGAGGTTCAAAAATATTTTTTCTTTAATAAGTAGTACAATTCATTGACATTTGCACTGACATGTGCATTCAAGGAATCTTTCCCTGAAGGTCATGTGGTGCTGCATTTGCAGAAGTAAATTAAGAGGCAACATTCTTGGGCTGATTGGATCAGCTCTGGGGCCTCAAATGCATGTCTATAGGCTGACATAGAAAGGAAACAACAAAATGGAGACTTTCCACTGGTAAATATTCAATAACAGTCTTAATCTTTTGGCCACACCTCTTATCTTTATTTATAAAATTTGCTACCGCATGCAAAACACCTCAAGGGCTTGATATGCATAGCTTTTGTACTGTCATCAAAACCCTGGGATTATCTGACTCCTTTAATGAATTCTGTATAAACTCTTAGTTCATAGTGTGTGCTAACATCTCAGAAATAGGCAGGAAGATCCTGTCAACTGTTAAAAGACAAACAAAAAATCAGATAATGAACAGCATTCATTTAGACATGTTTACTTTTGCAAGGTTTGTTCTTATCATGCTGTCTCTGAAAGCAAACAATGATGAAAGGAGCTTGGGAAGACAGATGTGATATTCTCCCTCACCAAATTTATAATCTGATAAGATTAATTTGGAGATGGGGAAAGAAAAAGGGTAAACTGCTCTGAAAGTTACCTTCAATTCTTGTCCTCTGGCAATGCTAACATACAGGTACCCTACTCGTGTTTATGATGATGTTGGCTTGTAAGCACTCCACATCTACCAAAATACAGGCTGACCACCAACTGCCCTGACCTCACAGATCTCAAAGAGCCATAGAGTAAATAATGTCTTCAATTTTCTCTCTTTCTTACTGGGACTTGAGACTCCACCAGGATGTACAATCTAAAAGGATGAGGGCCATCTCTAGACCTATCGCCATGCCTGTTACACAACAACAAATAAAAATTTGTTGATTGAGTAAATAAACAAAAATATATTCTGTGAGTTTGTTTTGAATAAATAACTAAGTCTCCAGTTATCAACTCCCCAAGTCATACAGCTTAGCTTTTAAGTTCACTAAAACTGACAATATCTTCAAGGCACATTTACAGCTGTCAGCCAGTTATTTGACTTTTCAGCATAATTCATAAGCAATGTCTTGGTGACACTCTTATTCTAGAATAATTTGGCATAGATAGTCACATTGTGCATTGTCACTAATTTCTGATAAACTATTCACCTCTTCACTATTCTTTCCAAGACCATATCTGGTTTGCTGAGATATCCCCTTGATCAAACAGAAATTATAGTCAGGCACTTAAAATTGGGTGTTTGATCCCTTTGTGAAAAGAACTCAAAGAGTGTCTAGTATAGTAGCTTGCACATAGGTTCATACTAAATATATATTTGTGGAATAAACTCAAAAGTTATTTAAAACAGCTATTGCCAATGTTTATAATTAACTTCTCTAAGAATGATCATATTGGTTTCTATCTGAAGATTCAATGCTAAAAAAGAACTGAAGTCTCTCTGACAAACTCTAGAGAAGACAGTACAGATTTTCTTTGAGTCTTGCTCTGTCACCCAGGCTGGAGTGCAGTGGCGTGATCTCGGCTCACTGCAACCTCTGCCTCCCAGGTTCAAGTGATTCTCCTGCCTCAGCCTCCCGAGTAGCTGTCAGTACAGGTGCCTGCCACCACGTCTGGCTAAATTTTGTATTGTCAGTAGAGTCTAGGTTTCACCCTGTTGGCCAGGCTGGTCTCGAACTCCTGACCTCAGGTGATCCACCTGCCTTGGCCTCCCAAAGTGCTGGGATTACGGGCATGAGCCACCTCGCTGAGCTGACAGTACAGATTTTCAAAGCCATTCTTTACCCATTAATGGTGGGAAGGGAGGAGCATTTTCTCTCCTTAATACTTTATATATGTATCCATTTTCTATAATAAACATGATATTATTTTAATAATACAAAAAGTTTTATAATTTACCCTATACATTTTTAAATCTTAGAAAGTATGAAGTTTATCTTTTGTAAAAGAAAATTCAGAAAGCAAAATTGCAAACTTCAATCCAGTTCACATAATGGAGCTCTGCTATCTACCTCATGCAGACTCTATAGTTTCCTGTACAGAACATGCTGCTTCTTACTTCCCTGTTTCTCTCCATCCCTCTGCCTCCCAAGTAGCCTCATGAGATCTTTCTGTTTCCTCTGCCTCAGTCCAGCTAAAGTAGACATCCACTCAGAAATCCCTGGGTGGTCTTTACTATTGTGCCTTATTCATTTCTTGGTCCCTTAACTGGACTGTGAACTCTCTGAGGACAAGGACAAGTTTACTAATCTTTGTATTTTTTAAAATACAAAGATTGTAAAATCTTTTATATTTAACAGTGCCTAGCACATAGCGGCGCTCCACCAACAGTTAAATTGAAGGAATTGAAATCACCATGAAGAACTCATTTTCTTTAACACAAAGCACTTGATGGAAAAAAAGAATTACACTACAAATTCTAATATAATTTTTTAAAATCACATACTATCTTGGTATAAGACATTCTCATGGCATCAATTTTCTCCACTAACTAGTCTGCCTTTGCCAAATGAAATCCTGGGTAGGGATATCTGGCGTGGCAGCTGTCAGCTTCTGAGTGGACTTCCAGGCTATTCCCAGCATCAGCAGCTGCTGCTTCAGCCGCAACCAGTGTAGCCTCATTCCTCAACATTGGCATGTTTCTTTTTTAGAGAAGCATACCTTAAACAAACAAACAGCCACAAAAACCAATCAGCCAAACAAAGAAACCCAACCAAAACGTTTAGCCATAAAACATCAGCCCTGTACTCCTGAACAAATTGAAACCAAACTCTTCAAAGCCTGGCAATTAAAGGAGATTCTCTATCTGCAGTAGAGGGTGAAGAGTGCCCAACAGGCTGGTCCTCTGAGAATTCCCTCTCCCTTAAATGTCTCCATTTAGTCATTGTACCCCACTACCTGGTTGAAGAGGGCAACTACTCTCTCAGTTAATATCATAACCCAAGTGTGAACCAAATATTTGAGCACAAGAAACTCCTAGTAGTCCAGGTGTTCAGACTGGGAAATATAATTGGAGGAAGCATACACGGCTCATTCCCTCTGCCAGTCCCTCTGTTCTCACCACCACATTGGTACCAGCATGTATTAGGATCTGGGGTTGGAAGGTGGCATATTTTAACCAGAGCTCTTTTTGTGGTCCAAGACTTACCAGGTGATTTCATAATCAGCTTCTATACCGAGTCAAGGAACTTCAGGGTTGGACAGACTCCTTACATTTATTATTTTTTTTTCTTTTTAACTTTATCCTTTACCTAGATTCCCCAAATGTCAACACCTCATATAACTACATGAAAATGATCAATATCAGGAAATTAACATTGATAGACCACTTTTACCATCTATCTAGTCAAAGTTAGTCAATTTCCCAATTTATGTCCTTCTTCTGAACCAGGGTCACACATGGGATTCAGTTGTCACGTCTCTTTAGTATCTTTTAATTTGGATAGTTGCTCAGTCTTTCTTTGTCTTTCATAAGCTTGACACCTTGAAGAGTACTGGCCAATTATGTTGTAGTATATCCCTCATTTGGGGTTTGTCTGAAATTTTATCAGTTAATTTATTTTTGGAAAATGATGTTATGTCCTTGTCGGTGATTGTATCAGGAGGCATGTGATGTTGCTGGGTCTCATTACAGGTGCCATTAATACTGATCACTTAGCTAAAGTGATCACTTTAAAGTTATTATTTTTCCTTTCATAATTAAGTATACTGTGGGGACAGAATTGTACATTATATATAGGTTATATACTTTTCATCATATAGTCACCCATTAATTTTAGCAGCCATGGATAATTTTTACTACTGTGATGTTTGCCAAATGGTGACATTTATTTCCGTCATTCTGTCTACATTTTATTAATTGGAATACAATTACTAAAAAAGAGCTTTATCTTCCCACTATCAACATGAACTCCTGGATTCTTATTTTATTCTATAGGAGATGATGTGTCACTGTCAATAATCTTTTTCTCTAAATTTTCTCATATTTGACCATCTGGAGACCTTTCAAGTTGGATCCTGGGTTTTCTGACATGTCTCCATCATTTTTAAGCACTTCTTGAAGGAATTTTCATCCATCTTTAATCTCACCCACCTCTAAATCACTTCACAGTGGCCCTAGCATACAGTCGTTCAGCCTGTTTGACCAAATCCAGCATCAGAGAACCTTCACCACCAGCACAGAGCTTTCCTTCTCCAGACAATTCTGATGGCCAAGTATGTGTAACAGTCTTAGCTCTGTTTCCTCAGCATTCCTAGCTATGCAGTGTGCAACAGATTAAGACTAAGCTAATCCTGACCAAAATGTTAACCTTATTCATGGGGCTATAATTAAATAACTCATCCAGAACTATAACCAGATGACCCAGACATAACCTTGGGGTTTGATATTGCCAAAATGGCAGCTCATGCCTTCCCTTCCCTCTAAGCACCCCATCCACTTGGATATCCTAAGCTGAGCCTCTACATTGGTTACTACTGTTAACTGCTATCCAGTCCTTTCCCAGAAGTAAAGTCTGCATCTGCACCTGATGATAGTGCACCATGTCTTCCAGCCTTGTGTTCGTTAGTCCTATTTCTGGGACTAACAAACTTATACCTCCCATAACTAGGAGAAAATTGATGCCATGGGAATGTCTTATACCAAGATAGTATGTGATTTTTAAAAATTATATTAAAATTTGTAGTGTAATTGTTTTTTTCCATCAAGTGCTTTGTGTTAAAGAAAATGAGTTCTTCATGGTGATTTCAATTCCTTCAACTTAACTGTTGATGGAGTGCCGCACTGTTAAATATAAAGATTTTACAATCTTTGTATTTTAAAAAATACAAAGATTAGTAAACTTGTCCTTGTCCTCAGAGAGTTCACAGTCCAGTTAAGGGACCAAGAAATGAATAAGGCACAATAGTAAAGACGACCCAGGGAATTCTGAGTGGGTATCTATTTAGCTGGACTGAGGTAGAGGAAACAGAAAGATCTCATGAGGCTACTTGGGAGGCAGAGGGATGGAGAGAAACAGGGAAGTAAGAAGCAGCATGTTCTGTACAGGAAACTATAGAGTCTGCATGAGGTAGATAGCAGAGCTTCATTATGTGAACTGGATTGAAGTTTGCAATTTTGCTTTCTGAATTTTCTTTTATAAAAGATAAACTTCATACTTTCTAAGATTTAAAAATATATAGGGTAAATTAAAAAACATTTGTATTATTAAAATAATATCATGCTTATTATAGAAAATGGATACATATATAAAGTATTAAGGAGAGAAAATGCTCCTCCCTTCCCACCATTAATGGGTAAAGAATGGCTTTGAAAAATCCGTTATTTCAAGTCCTTTTTTAACGACCAGTTGCACCAGCAATACCTGGTGAGCTTATTAAAAAATACATATTTTTGGACTCTAATTACAAGGCAAATCTTCAGCCTCAGTTTCTTCATCCATAAGGATATTCTTCCTCCATAAGAATACAGATTTGTCAGGAAGATTAAGTGAAATGTATGTGAAGTGCTTAGCATTTTGCCTGACCCAATCTAAGTGGTGAACAACATCCGCTGCTGTTATTATTATCAGTATTACTATTATAACTATTATTGGCCAGGCAAGTATTACAAATACCATGTATTCTGCTTCTCCTGAATGAGTAAAGAGCAACTGCCCAGAGGGGTGGCATTTCCCATCACTACATTTCATGTACAATAGGTGGCAGCAGAGCCTACATACATTGGCTCTGGTGGTCAAGAAAGGGATATCATGGAATGGAACTCAAGGGAAATTAGGTCTTGTATGAAGAAGGGACATGCTTCTTGTTATTGACATGCTTCCAATCCACGGAGAAGGGTCCTAGATTGGAAACAAAAGGGTTAGCCTTCTACTCTAAGATATGTCATTTTTTAGGCTTTCTGGGCTTCCATCTGTTCATCTGTCAAATGAGTGTTTGATATTAGATGATTTCCAGAATTGCTTCCATTTCTAAGACTTTATGCTTCTAATAACTGGGACTCTATAATCTTCTCAGCATTCTGTGTGAAGATGATATTGATTTATCATTCATGCTGGACTTCTTTCCTCCCAAGAGTTATATTCCTCTATGCTAAGAGTTTATCACCAAAGGAGACCAAACACAATGAAGAGAATGCCGTTTTTACTTCCTGGTGTATTTGCAGTTGCTCTATAATGGATGGCCAAATATTTGCTACATTTTCACTGCTATTTAACTCATACATCCACTCCATTGCTTAATATTCTTCTTTTATTACGGGTATGCCTTCCAAAAACAGTGGTTATTCATGACTACTCAGATTACAGCTAAAGTTTAGAACTTTGATATCTATGTTACCTGTAATGAACCTGTAAAATAGCAAATGACCCTTGGACTCCCATTTCCTTTTCTGCCCACCCCCAGTTCATCTGAAATAGGCTGAAATACCTGTTGCTCTTATCATACTCTCTTTCCACTACGCTTCCTTATGTAGTACAAATATGTACCTTTTAAACAGCAACCACCACCATTGAACTTTATTGAAGGTTTATCAGGTACTATTCTAAATGCTTTACCTATAGTATCTCATTAAATTCTCACAGTAATCCCATGAAATGATGAGATGCAAAAGCACTGCATGGTTATTATTAGCTGATTTCTCCATCTTTTCTTTCAAGCCATTCTTTCCATGCCCATTCCAAAGTTATTTACCAGATTGTAGCCCAAGCCTGTAACATACTTCCCATGCTCTCCACCAAACTTATACAAAACTTACTTCCCAAAAATCTCACGATTCAGTATATTTCTCCTATATTTCTCATTTCCACCTAAAATGGTATAATTTCTCATTTTTGCTTTTGTATTATTAGTTTAATAATAGTTTCATATTCAGTATCCTTTATTTCCTATTATTATATTGTCTTATGCTGTTCACTTTTGAAACCTCAGATGATAAACATTTAATTATCTTAAGAATCCCTGACTTTAGTATAGAATTAAAAATTATTTCTAGATTACATGTATGCTCACTATAGAAACCTTAGACAAGACAGAAAACAAAGAGAGTAAAATATAAACGCCAGTATTTAGGTAACAACAATTAATATTGGGCACAGAACTGTCATTTGCATAATTTAGATGATACAGTATAAAAATGGGGTCATAATAATTAGGTAGAAATGACAAATCTTTTCATTGCTTTATTTGCCAAGATATAATATAGCTCTAATAACAATTGTGTATATGAGCTTTTTAAAAAATAACAGTTCTGTTGACCACACTTTTCTGCCTGTTCTATTTACTATCATACTCTACTTCCAACAAGTATAGAAAAATCCATTTAACAGGAATGAAATTATTCTTATTTTGAAGCTTTAAATAGTTAAGTGGGAACTTTAAAATATTTATATTTTAAGGAAAAACGAGCACTTGCCTTCATCTCCATCATCCCCAAATGGGTAGAAGAGAGCAACAGCTAAATTGATGAACACAGCCAGGTTGAAGGAAATGCTCCCCCAGAGAGAGATGTGCCTCGAGAACCAGAACAGTGCAGGGTTATCTAGGAAGTGAGAAATGTAAAGGAACTGAACAGGAAAATACATTTTGGTTTCAACACATGAAGCTTACCAAAACAATATTTTACTAAATGCATCATTTTTGTAAACTATTATAAAAACCTATTTAAATAAATATTTGACTTGAGTAAGTTTATTAAAAACAATCAGAACCATAAAGGAGTGAAATTTGATTTCTTCTTTCATCCTTCAGCCAGTTTAGGCCTAAACTACTGTAGAAGGGTGAGGAATTTTGCAATTGCTAAAGGTGGTCAGAAAAGGTGATTCTGTAATAACTCTCTGTAATCTATCTGCAGAGCAGTTTAGCAGTTGCCTGGGGTCCCTTTTAATGAAATGATATACTTCATTGTATAATTTGGTAATATTGATAAATTGGTCCCATTCCCATGCCTTAAAGTCAAATAAAAAAACTCAAACCCATAGCACAGATATATTTCTAATGAAAATTCCTATGACAGTCACAGTTACCTGAAAGTATGAAACCTAATCATGTGACATAGTATTCCTGATGGGGAACTAGTGATTTATAATATTATCTACATTTTAAACCTTAAATCTTCCTAAGAACTTGTTGGGTTTGAAACAGCAGAAGAAAATGAGCACTATAATAAAAACTGTTAATAAGTGGAACACGCTTTGCTGCATATATTCAACAAAGGACTCTGTGTCTGTTATCACAAATGAATTAGTAAATACATCAATCGAATACAGTTTACATTAACCAAAAATCAGTTCTTTCCACCTCTGTTAAATAACTGAACGGATTGGTAATGCATGTAAGTTTGAATGACAGCCAAATCTACTAGCCTGCCCTGGGCACTCACATGGCTCCTATAGGCCTTGTCCATTCTCTAACTTTTAAAAACTTAACACCAGGATTAAAAAATTGAAGTTAATCAAGGGGGAAAGGCACATCGATTTTCAAATGGAAATGATTAACTTTGTAGATATATCCTGTGAATTTCAACCTAGTGCCTATTGCCTACTTACAAACTGTACTTCTCTTTAGTACATCTTGTTTTCCTTCTCTTGGAAGGGAACATTCCAATGCCGAAATATGCTATGATCAGCTATGCCATTCAATTGACTAATGTATCATAAACTATAAACATCTGCATCTCCATCATTCCTGAATTAGGAGTCCTCATTTTTAAAGGTAGACTATTAAGACAAAATTAGAAGATGTTGATGCATGTATTTGTAATAACAAATTCTCACTATTGAATCCACCAAATGAATTAGACTCTGCCTATAGCCTCATAATAAGCTGCTTCCAAATTTTAAAGTAAAATGTACATTGAAAATTATTTTAAGATTTAATTTTTGGTAAATGATAAAATACTTATTTTTTTAAAAGCACAGACCTCCCCAAAGCACTAGTTCAGTATTCAATTTATTGTCAAGGAGAAAATATATGTTTTTTTGTTTTGTTTTGGTTTTTGTTTGTTTGTTTTATTGAGATGGTGTCTCACTCTGTCGCCCAGGCTGGAGTGCAGTGTTGCAACCTCGGCTCACTGCAACCTCTGCCTCCTGGGTTCAAGTGATTCTCCTGCCTCAGCCTCCCGAGTAGCTGGGACTACAGGTGCCTGCCACCACGCCCGGCTAATTTTTTGTATTTTTGGTAGAGACAGGGTTTCACTGCGTTAGCCAGGATGGTCTCGATCTCCTGACCTCATGATCTGCCTGCCTCGGCCTCCCAAAGTGCAGGGATTACAGGCATGAGCCACCACGCCTGGCCAGAAAATATATGTTTTTTAAATGCTCCAAATAAAATTGTGTCTTCATATGTATTTTAGACACCCAAAATTTTCACTGAATTCCATAAGGCTCTACATGGTAAAATGCTAAGGGAGAATAATTTTGATTTTTTTAAAAGCATTCTGTTTTAAAAGCCTGAAAATGCATACCACACCCCTATATCTAAAGATGATATTTCTCAAGCACCACTCAAATTCATAAATCATACCCACTAAAGTTGCTGAAAACTACCATAATGAAATACTGTTGAATAGAAGTATTGAGAACATATCCTGTTTGTCTAGAAAACTCCAAGAGACTGAAAAAGACCTACTCAAGAGTTTCCCCCATTGACTTTCGTGAAAAACTCATGAGATCCCTTATTTTGGAAAATAAAGTTTATTTAAAAATTCTAAAATTTTAAATTTTAAAAGTCAGTGTTTCCTAATAGACGTGGGACCTAAGAGATAGGTCATGGGAACTGTACTAAGCTGATTTTTAACTGGAATATTATAACATTGCTCTGTTTAAATACAAGTGTTATCATATGTATAACTTGTTTGATTTGGGGAGGTAAAGATATGTTCAAAGAAAGAATTACTCTCAGCAAAACACGAAACAATCCCCTCAATCACAGGACAACAGAGGAAGAGTGCGCAGGAGCTGATGTCTCTCAATCCTATTCACTGATAGGCCAGTCAGGGCCCATTCACGGACTTCAAACCTGTGGCTGTTCAACATTTGAAATGTACAGCTTCAACCCTGCATTTCATAACATTTATTTAAAAATAGGATCATCATGAAGAGTCGATGTAATTAGTTAGGGCTTTCTGTTTTCCTTAAGCTGCGGGTGTCTCGGCTCCAGTGGTAGACTAAGCGGACACTCTTAAGACTGCAAGTGATTTCAGTAATATCAGACCAGCAAGAAATTAAAAAAACAATTTAAATGAGCTGCATCATGTGTCCCAAAGTACCAAATTATCTACCACTATGCACAAAACTAACCATTTCAGTTTACTGTACTTACTCCTGATTTTCTTCTGCCACTTCATTTCATTGTAGAGATCTTCTGTTTGCTGGAAAAAGTCATTCACTTTACTTCCTTGTTCATCCCTTTCAGTTGTATTGAACACACGGCACTTGGATTCTCGAGTGAGGTATTCACATATATTGGGGACAGGAAAAACTATTTGTTCCATGGTCCTATCATGCCGGACAATCTGAAAACATTAATTTGCATTGTTTTTAGCCTTTCGGACACCTCAGTCTTAGACTTGCTTTTGTTTTTAACATGAGTTTACTGAGAATGTTTTATGAATTCAGTTGTGAAAAAATGTGCCAACTTGAAGTATCTGAAAGAACCCTTTTTACTATACTACTTTGTATTTTTCTCTTTAAAAAAGAGAAATTAATTGACTAATATATCATGAACACTATACTTTGCTTAAAATAACAAAAACTAAAACCTTTTATTCTTTCTGGGTTAGCATTACACTTCTGCCACCCATTTTTATTTTTGTGAAGTACATCCTAAAACTAAGACAGTCTTAATTAGAAAGTGATTGGCTGGGTAGCCTTAAACATAGCGCTTATGTTATTTGTATCTTGTTCTTAGCCTCTTCATCCTAAAAGGGGCTGCCAGGTAACAAATGACATATTCAGCATTATGTGTCTGAACTCTACAGAGAAAAGCGCTTTATATCATTAAAATGTTCTCTTATTCATGGTAAAACATATTTTTGTAGCTACAACATCCATGTAAACATATACCCACATTTAAATACTCATCATTTTTAGCCTCCCTTATTTGTTATTTGTGACTGTTTAACTTTAGACTAAAAAAAGGCTGAATATTTTCATACAGCTTTACTATGTAACAAGGGCTTATGTAGCCTAAATTTCAAGGTTCATATTTATGTACAGTGCCCAGTTCTCAGGAATGAATAAGGATTGGCTTAACCCAAACGAGTAATTCTGCTTCCCTTTGCCACTGACTGGTGTGGTGGTGGTCATGGACTGTACCTCTGGAAAGTGAGGCATAAAGAGAAATATCCTGAAAGGGCTTCCAGGAGAGATTTTGCTTCTTGGTAAAGGCAGAGAGCCATAAGAGACACACAAAACAACAACAACAACAACAACAACCAAATACACGAAAACAAAAGTTTTTTGTTGTTGTTGTTGTTTTGGTTTGCCTGTACCCTCTTTCTTCTTGCTTAGAACAAAAGGGTCTAAGGGCATGATGCTTAGAATGCTAGCAGCCATTTTGCAACCATGAGGTGAGATAGTGTCAGCATGATAAGGAACCTAGTATAAAGATGTGAAGAGTCTGCATATTTTAAGACATCACTGAATCACTGAATCAATTACAGAACTACTGGTACTCCAGACTTCCCATAAGATAAAATTTTACTGTTTAAACAATTGTCACTGTGGTATTCTATTAATCTTGTAACTGAAGGTATCCTAAATGATATGTGATATATTCAATTACATACTAGAATACTGTCATAAAGCAAACTACATGAAATTTAGTAGGGTAAATAAAAATTCTTGCATATAGGTTACAAAAATCAATTGTACAAAATAATTGGACATATTTGATATGACAGGCAACCATATAGGGAAAAAAGGTTTACTTGATTCAATAGTGTCAAATATTTTTAAAAAATCTCAGGGTGCATCAAAGAAATCATGTCTAGATTATTATAAGCCAAGCTCTTCAGTCCTTTTATGAAATGTTATGTTTGATTATGGTTGTCACATTTTACAAGCAGCATGGACAAACTGGAGGGATTACTGAAGGAAATGGAGGTGTGTTAACCGCAAAAAGCCAGAGATGGATAATTTTTCAATACGTTTATTCAACAAATGCTTATTCAGTCTTTAGGTGAGGCATGTTGGAGAAAAAAACAACATGAACCCCAACAGGTAAGAGCTTGTAGTTTAGTAATCATGATGGCTCTTCAGATGTTAGAGTCAAGCTATCATGTTGAGGGAGAAAAAAATGTTCTGAATGTAAACATTAAAATGGGCTAATGTTAACTCTTCATTTTAAAAAAAGTTTCTAATTACTAGACATTCAAAATCGGATCAGTTTCTTCCTGATGTAGTGAGAACTCTATCGCAGGAAGAATTTAAAGCAGAAGCAGATCATTAGAGGGCAATTCCTTCTTAGATGGGTGATTAGACACAAGGCTCTTCCTATTTCCCAGGGTCTTTAAGTCTATAACTTGCAGACAAACTATTATTCTCAATAACATGAATTGTTGTGGTTATGTTCAAGGCACAGGGTTCAGTTTTGGAAATACAAAGATGACCAAGACCAGTCCCTGCCTCAAGTAAAGGAGAAGTGACATATATGAAGCTAACAATATTCCAATGTGATAAATATTAAACTAACAGAATAACCAAACTGCTGTGGAAGCATACACAGTGAGATGAAATTAATGAAAGCCTGGAGAAGGGAGGAAGGACTCTCTGAGTAGGTCATGTGAGCTGGCTTCAGATGAGTGCAAGAGCTGATCAACGAGTTCATCAGCCTGGACCACTCCTTTGAAACCTGGACTTGTATATCCAACTCCATGGATGACTCAAAGTCACCTCAAATTCAATCTATCCAATAATGAACAAATAATCTTCTTCTACCTTTTAGCTGCCAAACTTCACTCTCTCCTAGCATTCTCATACATGGCACCAACTTCTGCTCATTTATTCAAACCAGTAGCCCAGAGGACATCCTTTTCCACACCATTTTCCTAACATGTGCAATTCAACTTCAACTTCAAAGCCCTGTCAGTATGTATATGTATATGTGTGTATTTATAATATATATATAACTATATAGAGATCTATATGTATGTATGTATCTGCATCTATGTATCTATGTATTTTCCAGTCCAGCCATCTTCGATATCACCTCTCACTTTTGCCATTATAATATCTTCCTATCTGTTCTATGTGTTTTCTATCCCACTCTCTTTTCCAGTCCTGTCTCCAAACGGCAACCAGATTGATCTTTTGAAAATAGTCATCTCCTTCCCATGTTTTTTAATACCTTCCCTTCACTTACTTTCTCCTTTCTGAAATCCCCATCCTGAAGGAGAAACTCGTACTCAATCTTTAATACATTCTTAAAGGCAACCTTCTCAGTGAAATCTATCCTGAAATCGCTCAGGCACCACTAATTATTATTTTCTCTACATTTCCTTGGCCCTTTGTTTATATACTTATAACATAGAATTATCTTCTATATGTGTGAATTGGTAGAGAGTAAGTGCTCAGTAAACATGTACTGAATGTGTGTATTTATAGCTAAATCTCTCCTCACTACTGGAATCAATAAAACAACATCAAACAACAGCTCCCATCTCTCACCCGCATTAACCAAACTTCTCCCATGGCCTGCTCACTCTATTTGCTATTCCCTGGTCTCTTCTGATCTCCTAGCTTTGTACTTTGACTTCTGGGATCTTCCTCAAGACCTTCATGGTTTGATGACCTATTTCTATTTGTATAGAAATGTTTTTGCTGCTAGTCCAGCTCATGGGTTCCACTAAGTCAAGTCCAACACCAAAGCTATGGTACTATTAATGTTTACAAATGTGAGCAAGGTATCCGTTTCTGTGACACAAAGGTTTGACAATAGTAAACAATACAGTGTAGGGGTTATATATCTTGAGAGTGAATACAGTGATGCCCATCATGCACTCTGCTGAAAAGTAAAAAATATCTGCCAAAATGAATGAATGTATAAATGTAAATTATAGGAGTGACAAGCGTCAACTACTCTGCTCACTTCTGCCTGATTAGCTCTGCCAGCCAGTGTCAAAATGATACCATAGCTAGTAAATGACAGCCAGATGGGTCTCAGAACACATAATGGTAAGTCCATTTTGACCCACACCTCCTGGACTGCCACCAACCATTAAATAATGTCTCATTTATGAGGGTGGTGGAGGGGTCAAGTGCTGCATACTGAAAATGGAAACTGTTAAACCTTTCCAAGGCTATGCTATCAATATGAAAACTGTATTAGTTTCTTTCATGTTTACTCCACTTGTGAATTGCTGGAGATCTCTATTTTAATAAGCTTTCCACAATTTTAAAAAAGAAACCTTTTCCTGAATGATGGCTTCTATTATAATAATCCCATCTCTCAAACGCTATTGCTCTGCAATGATTGATTGCTTCTACAGTTAAAAAACATCTATTAATTACAAAAAAAAATTTTACATATAGTTTTAGTAAAAAAAGACAACTTTGAAAGATGTACACCTCAGTTTCCTATAAATCACTCCTCACTCATCCTTTTACTATACATTTTTCAGTTTAAACCACTCACTTCTGCATCATTGCTCTAGAAAAAAATATGAAAATGGTCTAAAATAGGAAGTAAGCATAACTTTTCACAGTTGGTCTCTTTCAATAAATAATAGATGGTTACCTCAATCTGTGCAGTGTGGTTGGCATAATACTTTAAGGCTTCATCTCCTTCATCTGGATCCGATCCTGGTTTGAGCATCTGCTGCAACAGTTTATTGTGGCGGGCCAACTAGAGTAGGGAAAAAATAAAGGTTTTAGGTCTTCTTTTCCCCTTTCCTAGGGTCAAACTTTGCAATATCTTTGTCTACTTGTACACATAGCTTCAGAGTCCTAGGGTTAAGGACAATTAGTTACACTTCAGGAAAGCATGTCTGTATTTGAAAGGCAGAGATAATGAAATCACAATGATCAGCCATTAATATTTGTTGATTAAATTTATGTCTTCAATAAATGTACGATTGTACCAGGAAGAAGAAATGTTCCCAGTGATACATAATTGACACTGTCTATAGTAAATTTAAACTACATGCAAATAAAAACAAAGTGATCAACAGTGCAATAAATCAGTGAGTGGTGGGAACAATATAAATGTGTGTTTTTCCTATACACACATAAATAGGTATCTGTATTTCAGAAGAGTTTCTCTTATAGCATGTAATCTAAGCTCTACATTAGTAGTTGGTATAAAGTCCTATGTTGCTTCATGTTTGTAAGCCAAAATGAGTGCTTTCTGGGTATAGATCTTGATTTTATTGTCATTGAAATCAGGCATTTAAAAAAGCAAAAATTTCACCATAAATTATTTTAAACTGCTTGTAGTGGAAGTGATCTTTCTCTCCCATTTGAATGTCTACAGCATGTGTTGGCTAGTTCTCTCACTTTGTAGATTAGTAATACATGTTGCCTTCAGATGTCTCTTTTATGGTTGTCTCGAGCAATTCCTGAAACCTTGCAATATCTTTCACTTATCAAATATCTTATTAATGCTTAAATTCCCTGAGGGCTTCTACTAACAGAGACTCTACCACAGAACTCTTTCACTCCCAGCACAATGCCTGCCTCCAACTCCATGCCAGGCACTAATTCTAAGCACTTCAAGTACATGATCTTATTTGAATCTACTAAGAAATCCAGTGGTAAGCACTCTTATTATTGCCATTGACAGATGAGGAAACTGAAGCACAGAGAGTGTAAGGAACTTGTTTGTGATAACATAGCTAGAAAATGGTAGAGCCAGTATTTTATCGACATTACGGAGCAATAAGTTTTCCTATTATTCATGAGATCTTAATACCAATTATTATTATAATCATGGAGATGAATTTTAAATAATTCAGAAACTAGAAGACCAAATGAACATTATCCTTATAAGTGATAATTTGGTAAGTTAAATGTTCATTACATTGATGCTGCTCTAGAGCAAATCATTTTGAAAACTGTTATTTCAGAATTGGTTTTCTGGGTCACTAATCAATCACTCAAGAAAACTATTTCCTATTTTCTATTTACATTTTTTTAACTAAATTTGAATTATACACATTTTTATTACAAACCACAGTCATGAAACTTGTTGTGACTTACAGGGGTTTCTAAAAATCTCAATCAGTTTGAAAGCATAAAATTACTGTAATCTTTAGGTACCTTAGCATGTTTTAAGAAGTGGCCAGTTCTTGAAGGCAAAACTGGCATGATTTGTTTGCTGACTGGATCTGGGGCATGAAAGAAAGAGAATTAAGGATGATTCCAAAGTTATTGACCTGAGCGACTAATAGTTTAGAAACGTCATTTACTAAGAAAAAATGTAGGAGGAGTACATTTAGCAGGATAAAATCAGGACTTTGGTTTTGGACATATGAAGCTTTAGACGAGGAGCGGGCTGTTGGATTTGTCTGTCAGGAATTCTGGGCAGAGGTCAGTGCTGGAGCTGTGCATGGAGGGGTCGTCAGTATATGACTGATATTTAAAATCATGAGCCTTAGTGAGATCACCTAAAAGTGAGCTTAAACAGAGAAAAGAGCTCCATGGAACTCCAATATAGGTTAGGAAGAGAAAAGACATCAGCAAATTAGACTGAGAAAGTTGGTTAAGAAAGGTAGGAACAAAACCCCACGCAGCCAGGTGTCTTGCAGCCAAGTGAAGAAATAATTTCAAGAAGGAGGGATTGATTATCTGCATCAAATGTAGCAGGTAAGTCCAATCAAATGAGGACAGAGAAATGTCATTTGGTTTAGCAACTCAGAAATTACCAAAAAGCTTCACAGCAGCCGTTTTAGGAAGTGGTGGATACCAAAGCTTAATTGTAGTGAGTTTAAAAAAGAATGGGAGGTGAGGAAGTATAAACAAGGAGTGTGAGTAGAGGCAGCTCTTGAGGACTGCAGGTGTAAGGGAGACCCAAGAAATAGATGGCAGCTAGACAAAAGGGCAGGGATAAAGGTGGATTTTTTAAATACGGAAAATAGAACATAGTGTTTGTTTGGTTTTGAAAGGGACTATTCACTAGAGCAACATCTTGACTAGGTGAGAGTGGAATGATCTAGAACATTTGTAGAGGGGTTTGCCTTAGATAGGAAAAAATTCACCCTTAGAGACAGCAGGGAATATGGGCACAGATTCAGGAGGTTGGGTGGTTGTGATGATGGGAACACTGACAAGTTCTTTTCTGGTTACTTTTTTTCTCAGTGAAGTAGGAAGCTGATAATGAGGACGAGAGAGGAGGTGTTGGATAACTGATGAAAAGCAGCTATAAAATAGCTAGGGAAAGTACACGGACTTGGGAAATATAGTAGTACTGCCAGGAAGCCTTAAGGGTCTCCCTTATGTTATGGTCAAAGGGAGGCCAGGAACCATATTTGTGTGTTTTTCTCCAGCAGTATTCAGCTGTATGGGTATACGCATGGAGTAGAGAGTTGTAAATAATGAGATACGTAGTTTTGTTGGGTAAGGTCAACAACACACACAAAAGAGATACTTAAATACTGGAACTCTTTAAATCTTACATAACTGATAGTCTCCCAAGGTGAGACAGTAATTTGAATAATTTCTCCTAAGTTTATTTATTAAAAAGCTTTTACTTCTTTATGATCACTTTATAGGGTCAAAAATTGCTACAGTTATTTTAAGAAACCAATAATGTTATTTAATGTGACATAATTAATAGTGAACAAACCTATACAAATCATTTTCAGTTAATATATACAGCTTAACAGAAACACAGAAACATTTGCAGGCCTTTCTCCCTCCCATTGACTTAATGACATGATTCTGCATTTGTCTAGTTTTACTGCAGAGAAGAGGCATTCTAAAAGGGACTCAAAAAAAAAAAAAAAAACACCCACCTAGGCCTCCCTTCACATGTTCAAAGTATTAGAACAATATTTTCATTCATGATTAGATAAGCCATCTATACATATCTTTGAAAATTTGAAATATATAATTGAAAAAGAACAATAAAAACAAAACAGAGATAACTTCACTGTTTTTTTCTACCTGGAAATCTTTCATATTCTTTGTAATAGAGGGTCTTGACTCATGAGGCTTATTTTCTCCTCCCTGTTCTGTGTTCTGATAGTGCCCTGCACATATCTATATTACGAAATTTCTCATATTGTATCTGAGTAACTATTATTTCTCTCCAGTGGTCTGTGACATCCTCAAATAAAGGGCCTGGTCTTACTCATCTCTTTGTTCTCAGCACTAAAAACAGAATTTGATACATAAAATAGACTCAATAAATATTTGTTGAAATCAATGAAGAAATGGGCTAGTTAATAACATATATTTATGCGTTTAAGTGGACAACAACTCTTAAGCCTCAATGAATTATCTCTCTGTTTCATCCTCTGTAAAGAAGAAGGGCAAATAAATCTGATTAGAAATCAGATGATGGTACAAATTCCAGTATTTGTAGAAAGAAAATATTTTAATATTTTTTCTTGTTTGATAGTTATTTATGTACTCATATGTATTCTGATAGATTGTAAGCTATTAGGAGGAAGGAAATAACCATTTTTAGTGGCATCCTTTATTATCCATTTCACATTTATCTTTTTACCGCTGAGATTTTAATGTTCACTTCAGTATGGGTCCAAGTAAGGACAGAGTAAAAAAAAAAATCAAGAAATATGCTTTGATGACATTCAATAATAATTATTTCTTCGTATTTTTCATCTGTGTTTTTTTAATGTGAGTTTCACTTTTATTGGGTACCCAGTCAATGTTGAAAGGAACACTGGATGATAAAGCAAGGATAGCATTCCTATTATATAGACAAAATGCAAAAGGATTAAGGAATATCTCAATGATTGTGAAATGCATAAAAATGACTGATATCAATACAGTGCTTTCCTGGTCCAAATTAACAGTTTACTAAAAGCACAATACAATGTCTTAGAGACCAATTAACATATACTTAATAGTTTTTAAAGGGTTTAGTCCCCTATAAATGCAATCTGATTTAAAATATTCTATAGAATGAATGCACTGCCAACCAAAGATATTCGATTGTCTTAGTGATGGACTCTAGCCACATTTATCTACTCCACAGTTTTATATGCCATGTACCCTTTTACATGACTTTTTTTTAAAAAAAAAAAAACCCAGCATCCAAAGCAGCAATCACACCATTTAGTATTATGTGCTTTGGAAACCAAAGGTAAAAATACCTGGTAAGTTTCTGCACAAGTATGGCACATCTGTGGTGAGTTGTAACAATAAGAAATCTAATTTAGATACTAATTAAAAACTGAAAAACTGCTAATGAAGATATTCAAGGACAGCCGTCTTACGATATCCAACTTTACTATTGACAAAGATGCTCCCAACAGGACTTGAAATCAGCTGATGTCACTATACAAACGTGTTCCAGAAAACTAACCAACAATCAATATTAATGATAATGAGAGTCTGAATTTGGGCAACTGCATTGAATGTTAAAAGGGGGAAATGCCATGGGGGGGAAATCTCTGGGTCTTAGAAATACTTGTATTCCACAACAATATGAGCCAAAATAGCAGCAATTGTTTTATATATGGTGTGCAAATGATGCCTACCCAGTTAGTATGCAGTTTCAAAAGAATTTTAGCAACAAGGAACACTTATTAGGTCATTATTGCAAATAGAAAAACTAGGCCTGAGATAATTTATTACATATCATAATATTAAAGTCTCATAACAATGCAATGAATACATGGGTAGATACAGTGCAAGCATACAGATTAGTGAGGAGGGGATCCAAAGCATTGGTGGATAGTCAGTCTTAAGAAAGAATAAAGACATCCCCACAGGAAAGACTACCAAGAGATTCATTATATGTTGAAGACAAAAGGAAAATCATGCATATCATTATCAATCATGACACACTTGTAATTTAAATACAGATGCATCACTAAATAGGAATAAGAACATGTATATGTATATATTCATAAAATATAGACAGCACATAAGTGCAAACCTTATACATAAACATATATAACCTGCAGCAGGGTCTTTGAGCAACACCATGCATTTTTTGAAACCAAGATTAGGGAATAAAGATGACAGAGTTGGGCTTTTCATTTTTAGTGGCACCCTTTATTATCCATTTCACATTTATCTTCTTATCACTAGGATTTTAATCTTCATTTCAGTTTGAGTCCAAGTAAGGATGGAGAAAAAAAAATCAAGAAACTATATTTCAATGACATTCAATAATAATTATTCCCTAGTACTTTTCATCTGTATTTTTTTAATGTGAGTTCCAATTTTATTAATTGGTAAAACTGTGACATAGCAATTGGCTTTCCCAAGATCGCAAAGTGAGCTGGAGCCTGAAGTCAGAATAACTGCCTTGTATATTTAGGCAATTGTATTACAATACAATGCCTTCATGTCAAACACTACTCCTATTTGAAGCAGAGAGAAATCAGCAGAAGGGGGCAAAAACTAAGGCTTTACGTATTCTAATGTGCAAAATATGGAAGCCTCCTATTTTCAAAACATCTACTTTTTTCTCTGATTCTGTGACCCTGCAAAGTGCAAAGCACGGTTTTAGCTACTGTGGGATGATAGAGATGAGCAAGACTTATTTTCTTCTTTCAAGCAACCTACTTTCTAGTTGGAGGAATTAAAACAATGATAGACATGTAATTAATACAAGGAAAAATGAGGGCAGAATTACAAGGAATCACATTAGATTTGGTGGCACTAGGAAAGGAACCATGTAAGAAGTGCATCTGATAAAGGTTTTAAAGAATGGATGAAATGTCCAGGTAGAAAGGAGGAAGAAAGGATGGCATGAGGAAGTGATTCTGCATAGAGAGAGGGATCCCATGAGCCAAGCCATGGAGGATGTGCAATGAGAAGAGGACTAGAAGGTAATTGGGAGCCACACTAAATGCCAGTGTGAGGAGTTCAAATACAGAATACTGTGGTGGGCTGAATTGTGTCCAAATCAAGCCAAAAAGATATACATGTTCAAATCTTATCTCCTGGTACCTATGAATGTGATCTTATTCAGAAACAGGAATTTGCAGATGTGATGAAGTTAAATGAGGTCACACTGGATTAGGGTGGGCCTTAATCCTATGACTAGAGTCCGTACAAGAACAGGGAAATACGGGCACAATCAGACAGACAAGGAGAATGCCATGTAATGACACAGGAGAGACTGGGTGATATAAGCCAACATATGCCAAGAACTGCTGACAAACACCAGACACTGAAAAGAGGCAAGGAAGGATCCTCCTCGAGGGCCTTCAGAGAGAGCATGGCCCTGCCAACACCTTGGCTTAGGACTTTCGGCTTCCAGAACCGTGGGACAAGAAATGTCTGTCATTGTGAACTTCCAAGTTGTGGACATTTGTTATGGCAGCCCTAGGAAGTTAACACAAATCCACCAAGGAACTTTTCTCTTGACTGTGGCAAGATAAACTCAGATTCTATTCATCTCTTTCTTCCCTTCTCTTAAAAAAGGAATTTGGGGATAAGACAGGATCCATTTGGGCATGGTGCCATCTGTCCAGGGTTCCTTGCAGTACTGTGAGGTCCTTCATAAGAACACAGACCAAAGAAGAAATAACTGGTCTTCCCGAATACTGATGCCAGAATTACTACCCTGTTAGTAGGGTCAGAGTCCTGTGAGAAAGAAGAAAAGGCTTTCCCACATGAGACTCAACTGTGTGGTCTCAGCCAGAAAATACTCACTACGGCAGGTGAATATTTGGTACTTAGACCACTTTAGAAGAAGATCAGCTTCAGGAATTCCTAGTAGGGAGAAGCACATTTTCCCCACTTTAGTCAGCAGAACTGAGGCAGCCAGAACCACCAGGAATATCCAGCATAAGTCTCAAGCTAAACAATCCAGAAGACACGTGAAGGGCTGTACGCACTCTTTTCTCAAAGAGGAGATAGTTGTTTCCAGAGGGGTTGAGAACCTTAGAGTGGAGGGGGAGGGGAAAGTCAGGAGGGAAAATGGGAAAGAGTATGAGATGGGCCATGGGAAGCAGATGAAAGCCCTTATACCCCACCAAATAGTACAGTGGAATGGATTAGTTAGAAAAGCTAACAAATCTGTGTTTCTTGGAAAGTTAATTCTTGTCCTTCTTTCTTTCCAAGACACCCTTGTTCCCTAGTCAAACAGAGTTGTCCATATTATCTTGAGCAGATTTTGGTATATAACTGGAATGGAAAAAGAAAGAAGCAATGTTCATGTTTCTGAACTTTCAAAATAGGTTTTTGAGAATCTAAAGAGAAAGCCTTAAAGAAAGCACAACCAAGAGGAAAATGTGGCAGTGGACAGAAAGGAGAACAGGGGTGATCATTCCAAAGAATACAGACAAACCTGGGGAAGAGACAACACAGACTCTTGAGTACCCTGCAAGACAGCTCTGGAGGATTCATGGACAACCAGACCAAAGGACCACAGACCTAAGGGAAATCATGAGATCTCAAGACAGCTTTCTCTCATATCACACACACACACACACACACACACACACACACACACACACACGGAAAGTAAGGAACTGATGCCTTCCCTCCCCAGCAGTACTGAAGGAGCGACCCTAGAATGCCACCAGCATCACTCTGCACTATACAAACTTCACCCAAGGAGTTCTAAAAATATTGTAAGTTATATTTATCTATTATCTTTTTAAAAATCCACTATGGTTCTTAGAGATCAGTTTATTATTTCCTTTATAATGGTAGCCAAACTAAGACAAAGATAGGTACAAAATAACAAGAAATTTGCCAGAATTAAAAAATGAAACAAACTTCTCCTAATTTCAAATGATCTAGACTCCTACTCATTAGGGTCTGTCTTAAACTATAGTAAAATTGATAAAAGACCCTACTGATTATAATAAACAAATGATTCATGACAGCTCAACCCTTGAAGCAGGGCAAAGCAGGAGAGAAAAAAAGGAAGAAAACAGCCCACAAAAAATGCACTTTAAAATGACTTAGGGCAGTTTTTAGTAAGCATGCTATCTTTGTACTACGATTTTATCATCAAGCATTGCAAAGTGTTGTGACGATTGATGAAGCTAACTTTCCTACAGACTGCTAACACTCATCCTAATAGAATGCTTCTCAAAATGGGGTTTCTGGGACAGCTATATAGCATCGCCTGGAAGCATGTTAGAAATGCAAGTTCTCTGGCCCGACCTCAAGCCTCCCAAATCAGAAACTATGAAGGAGTACACCCCTCTCCCCCTGCACCCCACCATCTGTTTTAACAAGCCCTCCAAGTGATTTCAATCCTGCCAACATTTGTAAACCACTGTTCTAATAGATAGTAGATGTTATCACCATAAGCAATTTGGATTCCCTTCTGAAAATCCACCAGTTTTTTTTTTTAAACCAAAATTAAACATAAAAGAATGAAGTGTTTTTAAAGAATTTTTTTTTCCTTTAAAAGCATACAAGAGAAATGTTAACATGTAGATACTCTTAATAACAGTACATTTACTGAACACATTTTCAAAAAAATGAGATTAGGATCAGAAATATAAAATATGCTCCACTTAATTTTAAACAATTGGTTATTTGTCACTCATAGCTTCTAATTTCTAGGCTCATGAATTTCTATACTGCTTTGCATGGAGTGTGTCACCCATAATGCATGTGTTGGAAATTTTGTCCCCAGTGTGGTGGTGTTGGGAGGTAGGGCCTTTGGGAAGTGATTAGGTCATTAAGAGGGATTAATGCTGCTCCTGAGGGGACTGGGTTAATTTTCAGAGGAAGTGAGTGCATTCTCACTCTCAAGGAACCGGATTTGGTATCTTGAGAGCAGGTTGTTATGCAGGAAGGCTGCTTCGGGCTTTGCCATGGTAGCACACGCCTGCTTCCTTTTCCTTTCTCCACCATGTGATGATGCAGCACGATGCCCTCACCAGAAGGCGACCAAATGCAGATGCCTAATCTTGGACTTCCCAGCCACTAGATAAATCTCTTGTCTTTATTAATTACCCAGTCTCGGGTACTCTCTTACAGCAACAGAAAATAGACTAAGACATGTACTAAAAGAGTAAAAACTACTTTAATCCCAGGAGGTTTGTATAATTATATGTAATATATAACAAATATATTAGTTTATGAATTAATTTATATGTTTATTTTCATGAAAAGAGATAAAAAATTATCTTCTAAAACAAGCTTTTTCCCTACAATTATTTAAGACAAATTGATTCTTTAGTTCCATTTTCAACTAAAACAGGTTATACCTTCTCCTACTTCTACTTCAATACTTCAGAAGATACTTAAGATTTTATAAAGAATTCATTACTTTAACGGAAAATGCTTGCTATTTTGTATTTTTCATGTGAAATTTACTGAGGTATAATCTTAATTGGTTTTGCTATCCATGTAAGAATATACATCAATATTTTCTGAGCGACTAAAATGAAATGAAACTAAATACTATCTATGTAGATCATCTTATCTGAAATCAGTATTTCACCAAAAATATTCTAAAGTAATCATTATTGTAGTGTCCTAGTCAAAAGAGTTAAAACATTTCAGGGTGAGGAAGCAAGAAAAGAAACTAATTCTACATGTGTAGTGGGGTTATCTAAAACACAGATAGACATTAATAAGAAAAACATAGAAACTGATTTCTGGGAAACCCTGAAATGATGTACACTAGGAGTTTTTGCTTTCGTTATATAGAACTGATGGAAAACAGACATCTCTTTGACCTTATTTCTTTTTGATGTAACTAAACGCAAGTCTTTGAAATTTCTGGGTCTCACTATTCCCACACAAGAAATAATATGTTTTCCTCAGATCCAGAGATGACCAGGTAATATTACTTGAGTTGCTTCTTCCAGCATCCAGAAATGAATTTGCTGGATATTTCCCATCCACGTCCCCTCCCACATATTTCAAGTGTGGTTTGGGAAAAACTAGCAGAACAGAAGAATCTTTCTCCATGATAATTCAGATAATATGCGAGTATGAAATATTCTTCACTTGATTTTAATATGTCCTCCATCTAGAATGTAGTTTCCAGAAGGACAGGGATTTTGTTTTGTTTACTGTTGTATTCATCATCTAGAACAGTGTCTGGCACACAAGAGTTGCTTAATAAATATTTTTTGGATGGATAGATGGATGGGTGAATGGATGGATGGATGGATGGATGGACGGATGGATGGATGGATGGCATACAGTATTTTTTGCTTATTTATTAGTTCAATTTTAATGGCATATGTGTTTAATTTTCTGAAATAAATTGAGTTTTTAGAAAATGATGAATTACAATATTATATGTAAATATGAGAAATGTGGTGTTTTTTGTTTGTTTGCTTGTTTGTTTGTTTTTTGAGACAGAGTCTTGCTCTGTCACCAAGGTGGAGTGCAGTGGCGCAATCTCAGCTGATGGCAACCTCTGCCTCCCGGGTTCAAGTGAGTCTCCTGCCTCAGCCTCCTGAGTAGCTGAGACTACAAGCACGCACCACCATGACCAGCTAATTTTTTGTATTTTTAGTAGAGATGGGGTTTCACCATATTGGCCAGGATGGTCTCGAGATCTCTTGACCTTGTGATCTGCCCACCTCGGCCTCCCAAAGTGCTGGGATTACAGGCGTAAGCCACCATGCCGGGCCAGAAATGTTTTAATTCCTAATCATTTATATACAACAAGAAAAATGGGAATGATAGCAACACTTTTCTTTTAAAAGCATTCTGATTCTTTCACTGTTTCTGGTGATTTTTTTTTTAAGGCAAACATCAAAAGGTGAAGAAAGTCATCTTTTTGAGATGTTGGACCATGTTAAAATAGTACCTGTGGTTGACTGGGAAAACTTAGAGAGCTCTTGTTCTCAAAGTAATTGCTGCGGGGGTGGGGGTGGCTTATGATGGACACTGAGAAATGACTTCTGGCTTTATCACTGACCTTTTATGGTAGCACGTTCAAGTCGTTTGACCTTTTTATGTCTAATTTACCTAACTGTGAAATAACAACATCTGCAATAATATACCAAAGAGAATTACTGCAGGATCTGTGCTCCTAATGCTCCTTAAGTTCCTGAACCAATGAGGCTGAGTGAAGAGCACAATCTTACTATTCTACTTTTCTCTATGATATACCTATTCCAAGAATGAGTCAATTGCTTTTCTGTTTCTCATAGTCTTGACAAAGCCACTTTAAAGTGGGTTAATTAGAGGCTTGAAATTATAATGATGAGTTCCGCAACAGTTCTCACACTGCCAGTGTGTGCTCAGGAATCCAATCTGAAGTGCGCAAATTAGCCAGATGTAAAATCGGGGGTGGAATATGAAGAGTTGAGAAGAAGCACTACGAGATAATTTTCAGGAACTTTAAGCTCGATTGCTTGAAAGCATTTCAACTTCAGGTTTCTTCAGCTTTCTATTTCTGAGTTACATCAGACTAAGAAATATGCCATTGCTGTCTCTCTGTTTAACTGTCTAATCAACAGCTGCTAAAAAAAAAAAAAAAAAAAAAAAAAAGGTCAGCTTTTGTGAGATAGAGTGGTTCTTAAAAGTGAGAGAATTACTGCTCAAATGAACTGTGTTTCAAAGGCAAACCTAATAAAGAAGGAAATGAGGTGGCAAGGTGAATTTCAAGTCTAAGTAGGGATTCAGATCTGTTGAATTAAACTGAAAAGAGACAAAGAACTTTGAGCAGATATATTTTGTTACTTGTTCATTCTGTGACATCCAACACCCTTTTAAATGTTATCTAGTCATTCAGAAGTTAAATAACCCAGGTTGCAAATGAAAAGACAAAGAGAGGGCATGAAAAGTAAGGAGAGGAAGGGAAGAAAGAGAAAATTTAAAGAAAAACTCATTTGGAAAAACTTATTGTCCTTTCTTAAGAAATATATAACCTACTGGTAAAGAAGCCATTTAAAGATCAAGGTATTGAACATAAACATATAGGTATATGAACAAAGTTACTGCCTGCAATGTAAGTGTCTTGGGGATTATATAATGAGGTCATGAATTATCTATAAGTAAAACAATGTTATTAATAGTTTCAGATACATGAAGTGCTTTATATGCAATATTAACATAACATAAAGACCCACTTCTCTTATTCAATACTAAGACAGAATTCTCCTATGACCTAAGCCATCATGAGCTAAATACAATAATTAATATATGCCTTGTATGTTCATTCTTTCAGAGGCATTTGAACCAGAGTAACTCCATCTTAAACGGGGGCTGGATAAAATGAGACTGAGATCTACTGGGCTACATTCCCAGGAGATTAGGCATTCTTAGTCACAGGATGAGATAGGAGGTTGGCACAAGGTACAGGTCACAAAGACCTTGCTGATAAAACAGGCTGCAGTAAAGAAGCTGGCCAAAACCCACCAAAACCAAGATGGCAATGAAAGTGACCTCTGGTTGTCCTTACTGCTCATTATACACTAATTATATTGCATTGGCATGCTTAAAGACACTCCTAGCAGCGCCATGACAGTTTACACATGCCAGGGCAATGTCAGGAACTTACCCTATGTGGTCTAAAAAGGGGAGGAACCTTCACTTCCAGGAATTGCCCAGCCCTTTTCTAGAAAACTCACAAATAATCCACCCTTTGTTTAGCATATAATCAAGAAATAACCATAAAAACAGCCAACCAGCTGCCCTCGGTGCTGCTCTGTTTATGGAGTAGCCATTCTTTATTCCATTACTTTCTTAATAAACTTGCTTCCACTTTACTCTATGGACTTGCCCCAAATTCTTTCTTGCATGAGGTCCAAGAACCCTCTAATGGGGTCTGGATCAGGACCCCTTTCTAGTAACAATTTTTTTTCTTTTAAGACAGAGTCTCACTCTGTCACCCAGGCTGGAGTGCAATGGCATGATCTCCGCTCACTGCAACCTCCACCACCCGGGTTCAAGCGATTCTCTTGCCTCAGCCTCTCGAGTAGCTGGGATTACAGGCACTTGCCATCACGCCCGGCTAATTTTTGTATTTTTTACTAGAGACAGGGTTTCACCTTGTTGGCCAGGCTGGTCTCAAACTCCTGACATCATGATCTGCCTGCCTCGGCCTCCCAAAGTGCTGGGATTACAGGTGCGAGCCACCATCCCAGCCTCTAGTAACAATTCTATAATTGTTAATGAACCTCTGATGTATACCAAATAATGCTCTAGGCTTTGGGGTTATAATAGTGAACAAAACAGACCAAAGCTCCTGCCCTCCTAGAGCTGACTTTCTGTTGGTGGAGGAGACATAAACAAATATATCATCTATCAAAATGTGCAAGTGCTAAGGAGAAAATAAAGCGGAGGACGGAAGCAATGAGCACTGGGGGATGGAGGTTGCCATTTTAAATCAAATGGTTAGAGACCATTTTAACAGAAACTTTTAGATACAAAGCAGGATTATGAAACAGAAACTTATAGACACAAAGTAGGTTCTTGACTCCAAGGCACAGCCAGGAGGCCAGTGTGGCTTGAGCAGAATAAGTAAAGACGAAAGTGGCCAGAGAGAGGGGAGATGGGGAAGAAGGCCAGGTCATATTGGGAGACTTGTGAAGCCAACAGGAGAGTTGACTTTTGCTGTGAAACTGGAAGTATTAGAAGGTGTTGAGCAGAGAGGTGACATAATCTGTGTTATATTTTTAAGGGTTCATTGTTGCTACTGTGTTAGAGAACACTCTACAGAACGCGTGGATGAACAGAAGCACGAAGAGTCAGAAGCCTACTGCAAATAATCCAGGTGAAAGATGGTGCTGGTTTGGACCAGGTGGTATTGAAGGATGTGGGCAGATTCTGTAACATACGGTGCAATGAAGAGGGCAGTCACAGACGTGGCTAGAGGGTGGGACTGTACAGTGGTTAGCATCACGGACTCTGGACAGACCTGGGTTCAACTGCATTATATCCTCCTTGTTAACTGAACAGCCACAGGCAAATCACTTAGCTTCTCTAAGCTTCACTTTCTCCTTCTGCAAGTGAGGCTCCTAAGGGTACTTTATGAATATTTACCTCAGAGAGTTACTGTGATATTTAGATGAGACACAGCACCGATACAAAGTAAGTACGTATTGTGCTCAATAAATATGAACTAAAATAACAGAAAAAAATAAGAGTAACCAGGAGCATGCTCACTAAGGGTCACCTGAGCATGTTGGTGAGCACGTACATACTGCTTTATCAGAAGCTATGGAAATGTTTGGTGAGGAGACAGACAGGATCAGCTGACCTTTCAGTATAATTAATCATTTTAGCTTCCCTGTGGAAAGTGAATTGAAAAGGGACTTAACCAGAGATGGAGACAGGAGGCTACTGCAGCTGTCCAGGCACAAAATGAAGATGGCAGCAGGAAGAAACTGGCAGTATGAGTGGAGAGGAGTGAGCAGCTCTGCCAGGCTGTCCAGGTGAGGGCGGTACGGGGGCCCAGGTGAATGCCACTTCTAGTTGGTAGCCGCTTAGAGAACTGTGCCACTCATGGAGAAAAGGGGCTCTGAGTTATTTTAAGGAGAGGCTGCTGACGACATCAAGACTCAGTTTCCCTGCAACATAGCACACTCAGATCGGAACAATCAAGAAAGGAAAATACCAGGGCCTTCCAGGGGAAGCCAGAAAGGGCCTGGCTGCCTGTCACCACCTGCACCCAAAGCACTGATATTTTCTTGATATGTGTGTTTATTACTTTGTTCTCCCTTACTTTGTGTCAATGTTAAACACGAGGGCGTCATCAACGATAAAAACAAGATAAACACGAGACACTTCTAGAATCAATGATACAGTTAATAAAATGAGGGGTGACGGAGGGGAACATTTTCAAGGAAAACTTGCCCAAATAAAAATTGTTTTCTGTTAAAACTACAAAGACATGAGTTTGTTTATTCCTTTTGGAGCTCATTTGTGAGCCCACTTGCAGCATCCATTTAGGATCTGAACACTGAAGCTGTCTGAATCCGAGTACTTCCTACCTAATGAGCTTCAGGAAGGCTGATGTGCCTCTCCTTCTTGCTTGGGTCTTGGTGAGCTGAGCGTGAAGGCCTCGCCACAGCTCCCGACCCCACTGACATTTAATTAGCACAGTTGCTGTGATCCCATAGCGGGCCTTCCCCGATGAGAACTACAAAGCACCGCACAGAGTGGGCACAACACAAGCTAAATTCCTAGTCTGGTAGATAAAGAGCTGCTTTTGCAAACTGGACCCTGTGAATATTTCCTATCAGTCCTTTCCTGGTACTGCTTTTAGGCAATGCTGCTGTGCTAAGGGGAAACACATACAAATATGAGGAGCCTCAGGAAATCTAGGAGGGTGGACATTTTAAATGTACACACACTTCTGCTGAAGAGCAATTGCATATATTTAGGGAACAAATAACACACTTGCTCAGTGACAGCAAGACAATCTGTGCTGTAATGCCACCAGTGTTTCTCTCATTCTCCCCTCTTCTCCAGGTTTTAGAACTGATATTTTGCCCTCATTCTGCTTAAGATAGAGATGGCTGAGCTGCTTTGAGTCATTGCTATTCTGACTCTACTGTGCATTCTGGCGTGTGTCTGCTTTGCAGGTAGTAAATCCCACAGCGTTCTCTGTTCACTGCAGTCCAGTTTGTGTCTCTTACTTCCCCTCCATCAATAGATTGTTCTTGGAAGGCTGCTGGTGACCTGCTGGGGGCCAAAGCCATGGGTCTGGTTTACAGCTGCACCTCGTTTATTGAGTTCTTGAGGGCCTTTGGCCCCACCCTCTTTTGTGAATCTCTCTCCTCTCTTGCTTTTATATCACATTCCCTCAATTTTCTGTGGGTTTC